>NC_000015.10:96235346-96873773 GCF_000001405.40 Homo sapiens
CATGTCACCTCTGTGAGGTGGGCATTGTCATTTCCATGTTCCATGTGGGAAAGCTAAGGTTTACAGTGTTCATGACCAGACACAGTGGCTCACTCCTATAATCCCAGCACTTTGGGAGGCTGAGGTGGGGGGATCACTTGAGCCTAGGAGACTAGCCTGGGCAACAATTGTGAGACCCTGTCTCTACAAAAAAATTAAAAATTAGCCGGGACACCTGTGCTCCCAGCTACTTGGGAGGCTGAGGTGGGAGGATCATTTGTGCCCAGGTGGGTAGGGCTGCAGGGTGCTATGATCTCACCGCTGCACTCCAGGCTGAGAGACAGAGTGAGACCTTGTCTGGAAAAAAAAAAAAAAAAAGAGTGTTAATGACTTGTCTGACATCGCACATCAGCTGGAAAAGGGAGGTTAAGAAATTTTCATCTTCTTTTTTTTTTTTTTGATATGGAAATCCAGCTCTGTCATCCAGCCGGGAGTGTAGTGGCATGATCTCGGCTCACCGCAACCTCTCCCCCCTGGGTTCAAGCAATTCTCTGCCTCAGCCTCCTGAGTAGCTGAGATTACAGGTGCCCGCCACCATGCCCAGCTAATTTTTATATTTTTAGTAGAGATGGGGTTTTACCATCTTGGCCAGGCTGGTCTTGAACTCCTGACCTCGTGATCCATCCACCTAGGCCTCCCAAAGTGCTGGGATTACAGGTGTGAGCCACCGTGCCCAGCCCATTTTCTTTAAAACAGATGATCCGGACTTGTCAAGTGATGATGATACTAGAGGAGTGGGATTGATAGTAAATATCTGTAGATAATTTGGGATGGGTACAGTGGCTCATACCTGTAATCCCAGCACTTTGGGAGGCCAAGGCAGAAGGATGCTTGAGTCCAGAAGTTCAAGACAAGCCTGGGCAACATACTGACATTCCGTCTCTACAAAAGATAATTTTTTTAATTAGTCAAGTGTGGTGGCATGCACCTGTAGTCCCAGCTACTCAGGAGGTTGAGGTGTGAGGAGCTCTCGAGCCTGGGAGTATAAGACTGCAGTGAGCTACTATCACATAGTTGCACGCCAGCCTGGGTGACAGGGTGAAACCCTATCCAAATAATAATAATAATAATTTGACAAATAAAGTCTCTTTTAATGTAGCTGGAATTGTGTAAGAAAGTCTTTCCTCAGCAAATAAGAAATGGACTATGAAATCTCCCAGAATCTTTTTTAGCCCCTAATTAGCTATAAATCTCCTGACAGTTTAGCCATGGGAGGCCCAAGACATGAATTGGTGGCATGGCACATGGTCTAATGTGCATATTGTATAAAGTTATCTAAATACATCTTGAGAGAGTCCACGCTTTCTCCATTCTTTTGAAGTACATTTCCATGGGTAGCAGACAGATGAACAAAATGCTGGTTCTAGGACCTCAGATATACTGTACCTGTTTCAATCAGATGCATAACTGTGGTAGGGCTGTTATTGTTTACTTTTCATACTATCACTAGCAACTTTAATTTTTGGTTAAGTTCTCGAAATCTCTTTCTGGAAAAGCAAATGATATCACATTCTCCATTCTCCTGGTTAACAGTGTCATTATCACACTGCAGATTCTCAAACAAACAGCTAAGTTCCACTGTCATTCCGAATCCTTTCTCTTTCTTTTGTAATGCATTCACAAACATATTCAGTCTTCTGCCTTCTCAATGGAGAAAATGTTATAGAAACTACTATAAGCGGTGCATAATTGTAAATGGCTTTAAAAAGCCATATGGAAGGATGAATAATCTTCCTTTTTGTTTCCATCTTTCCTTAATATTCTTTTGCTTTGTGTTTTGCAATACCTTTTGCACCCAGCTTTGGTCAAAATTGTTGTTGGCCATTTGCCAGTTTGAAATGTCCTACAAAATGAATTGCTTCTTTTGTAAATAAGAAAAATCTTGGTAACTTTGGAAAATATTGCTTGGAAATACCACACTGGAGTTATAGCTAGCTGTGAGCACTTTCTGTGGGGGCAAAGGAGTGCAGTGAGTTTATTGTCTGTTCAGCATGTATAAATCATGATCCAGGTAGTATTTTGTGCTTGCCTTCATATCTTCTAGCAGCTGTAGGTTGGGGCATCGCAAATATTCTTTCAAGAAAACACCACGTATTTCCTTTCTCAGGATGGCCTTTCATTTTGGGTTAAATTTTCAAATAACACAAGTACCAGATGGAATTTGGGACAAATTTTTAACCACTGATTTATTGGCTGAGGCTTAATGAGGACACCATGATATTCAAATGAATAAGTTCACCCACTTTTATTGGCTTCCTTTTCTTAATTTTTACATTAAGAAGTTAATTTAGTCCTCTTACAAGTTAAATGCCAACCTCTTCTAAAATTATTCTAACAAGGTAACTTCTGATTTGGCCACTTTTTATCTTTTCTCTTTCTCCTATCATCCTGTGCTTTTCAGGGTGAAATATCTGTAAATGACACATCAAGGACAGATAACAGAGTTGCCAGTTCATTCTCAAACCAAAGCAGTCATCAAAATTAACCCAATAATGCACTGCAGGGCACTTAGGGTATATTATCATATGGAAAATAATGTCTGTAATTTTTAGGGACTTAGAAAAGACAATGGAAGCACACCAAAGGGGAATTTATTAAAGCTCACATTTTTTTTTTTTTTTTGAAATGGAGTTTCACTCTTGTTGCCCAGGCTGGAGTGCAATGGTACTATCTCAGCTCACCGCAACCTCTGCTTCCCGGGTTCAAGTGATTCTCCTGCCTCAGCCTCCCGAGTAGCTGGGATTACAGGCATGCGCCACCACACCCGGCTAATTTTGCATTTTTAGTAGAGACAGGGTTTCTCCATGTTGGTCAGGCTGGTCTCAAACTCCCAACCTCAGGTGATCCGCCCGCCTCGGCCTCCCAATGTGTTGGGATTACAGGCGTGAGCCACGGTGTCCAGCCTAAAGTTCACATTTTAAAAGAGAAATAGTTCTCTATTTTTGCCCATCGAAAGAAATTCTATACATATATACACTATGAATCACTATGTAGGATTATTAAAGCAACTTTCAATAGTTTTCTTCCCAATATATGATTCTTCTTGAATCATATATCTTAATACAATATTCAAAATTATGAGAATAAAATTTTGAAACTTTATTGAAATGATGGACTACTTAAGGTAGGATTAGATTAAGGGTCACTTAAAACTGTATCTCTGCACTTTCATTCATGATGTAGATTATTTTTTATTTTGTCCTCTGAGAATTAGCTGAAATAAGATGTACTAGACCAAGATACCTGGACAGGAAATTGCCACGAGGTATGAACAAAAGACATCCAAGCTCTCCATTCTAATGAAAACACAATCAGCCATATCTTCACTTAGAAGAAAAGACAAAACATGCAAACAACTCAGATATTTTGAAAATTGTCATTAAAACTCAGCTTATGCATAACTCATAGTGAGGGGCATCTAACTAATCAATGAATGAGTGGTACAAAGCATCAAACCTTGATAATTTTCAGTCCCTCTCCCACAGACTTTTAATACCATCTTAAGAAAAAATCCATTTAAATGTTTACCTAAATTCAGAAAAAAAATCTTACGTAGATATAACATCTTGAATCTCCTTAGACACATTGAAGAGACTACTAATAAAAGCTACTCAGAATCACTACATGAAATAATGCAGGTGCTCTATGACACACTGGGTCACGTCATAGCCACATACTAAACAAAAATACAGTTAGTAGAGTCCGTTGGATACAAGACATGGTACTTCTTCATTTTTCCACATGGTATCTCAAACGGTGTTCCCTCTGAAAGCCAAGTTTTATCTTGGGAAAGACTTCATTTTAAAGACCAAAGCCCAACATTACAGAATCTTAGAATTCAACAAAAATACAGAGAACATAGTTTTAGCGCAAATTTTAATTGAGACCAACCTTTGCTGATGTCACTACAAGCAAATACACTACCTTAAAAAATATTAAAATACACAACTCTCAGACTTTATTTCTGTGTGTGTGTGTGTGTGTGCATGTGTGTGTGTATATTAATGCAAGTCTTTTCTACAAAGAAACTTGGCCATAGAACTCCTTCTCCTTTGGGAGTGTTGTATTTTTGTTTTCATATGTGGCACTGTATGTATTTCTATAGTTGTGAACAACTACATTTGATTAAAATCTGTCAGATTTATCTTTTTAGCAGGAGAAAAGAAATATGTGTTTCTCCAGAAAGGAAATCAATGTGTCTTCATGATAGATGCGGAGTGGAAAGCTGGAGACTGTCGCTTCAAGTGATGAAGCAGAAAGACAGGGTAGCTATCACAATTGGCTGCCGACATAATTGTCGTGAGCCAAAGCCCTGTTTAAATATCATAATCCTTGTTTATAGGGTAGACTTAGATTCATTGACTTAGTAGTTATTACTCCGACTTGTTAAGTAACAAAATCTTGCATCTGAGGTATCCGTAGTTTGCTCTGTTTAAATTTCTTTAGCAACATACTTTAGCCAGAGCTGTGCTCTGTTCTTTTCTGTAGTACAAGAAAGATTATTTCCTTCCTTCTAGGAAGGCACCAGGCTTTCAAGGCCCTGTAAATGTACCAAAGAATCTCCCTTCTCAAGGCAAACAGGAGAAACCCAGGCTATGCCAGAGACAGATGTAGCAGGAAACATACTCAAGGAAGGATGGGAGGCTGCTTCATGACAAAAATATGTCCAAAGGTCTTCTCCCTTCTGTTGGAAATCACTCTCCTCCCTAAGATCCCCAAGGTCTTCAGATAGAGCTATGCCAGATGGAAAAGAAAGCCTCTGCCCTTGCATTGTGAGATTAAGAGATTCCCCATTCAGAGATGGTACAACCAGCAGACACCCTATTAAGATAGCCTAGGAAAATTAGGTGAGCTCTGATGTCTTTGCAGCAGACGTATGTATGCCTCTATGATTACAGCCAGCAAAACCATTCTAATGAACTTGTAAAGCAACGTGAACATCTATGAACTCGCACATCAGTTGAAATTGCTATATCTTGTGTCTTATGAACGAAATCTGTCAGCAAAGTATTTAACGTGTTTATCTGCAACCAATTGCAATAATCACATTCGATGCATAAGCCCCTTTTTTACCTAACTTCTTCTAAAATGATATGTTGATTTCTGGTCCTCAATGAATGTTTCTGGAAGGCATTCTATTAAAATGAGTGTGTGCTCAGCATATTAACCCAGACCTGATTAAATCGTTAAATGAAAGGACACTGTATGCAAAGCACCCTAGTCAAGGGTTTGGAACATGATAGGCACTTATCACAGGCCCATGGCTTAGTCATCACTCTTCTCTTCAACTTGCATCCTAAAAATTAAATCAATAAGCACAAATAACTAATGCATTTGCCTAAAGCTAAATAACTCTTTTCCACTAATGTCCACTCTCTACCCTTACCCCACTCCTGCAATCAACAAGTTATTCAGAAATCAGGATTTAAGGATTCATTGACCACCATCACATCCATTACAACTAATTGGAAGCCTTTATATAATTTGCTAAAGAATTGTAATAACTGAGACACATTGTTGAGTTCTGGTAATAGACTCTATCTATTGTCATAGATAGACAATAGATAGAGTCTATTGTCATAGATAGTGGTGTCATAACTTTTTGATACACTGATGGAATTTAATTTGCTAAAATCTCTTCATAATTCTTTATTGAAATTGGTCTTCAAATTCTGTACTGTCTTTCCAAGTTATCTTCACAAAACAATTTGAATGTCATTCCTTGTTGTGGTCAAATAAAGTTTATATAATACTGCAAATGATTTTTTTAAAAGACTATAATGTCATCTGTAAAACCATCTGGGTCTGGTGCCTTTTTTAATGCAAGGTATTTCACTTTCCAGACTCTTCTACTACTAATTGATTTATTTGTATTTCCTATCTCTTCATGCTATAACTGATTTCCAGAGTCTATATTTTTACTTAAAAAAAATCCCTTTACTCTAGGCTTCCAAATTTATTCCTGTGGAGTTGTACATAATATCCACCAGTAAATTTTCTTATCTTCTTCATATCTGTGGTTGTAGTTCCTTTATAATAGTATATTCATTTCATTTTCTCCCTCTTTCTCTCTCCCTCTCTCTCTTCAGTCATAATAGACAGAATTGTATCCAGTTCATCAATATTTTTAAAGCGCCTAATTTTGATTTTACTTATCCGTTTTTATGTTTGTCTTCTATTTTGTTAGTTTTAGCTTTTATCTTTATTAATTCCCTCCTTCCTCATTCATATTTTATTGTTACTTTAGAATTTAAGTTCAGTATTTTAAAATTTATTTTCAATCTTTTTTTAACAAAAAACACAATTTAAGGGTATAATTTTTGCCTCAGTACAAAGTTGTTTGAATGTCCTATATAGTAGGAAATACTTTTATTACTCTAATTCATAACTTTAATTTGGTTATCTTCTTTGATCCAAGGATTATTTAAAAGAGTGTTTTTAATTTTAAGAACTTTTTGTCAACTTTTTATGCTCATGTCTAGTTTTACTGCATTATGATCAGAAATGTAGCCTATAAAACCTCTACTTTTTAAATTTCATTTAGTTTTTTTGTGTGGTCAGTTACCTATTAACTTTTACAAATGCTTTATGGACACAGATAAAGATAAAAATTCCTGTAGAGTACCTTGATACACACACACACACACACACACACACACACACACACACATTTGCATAGATCTGTGTGTGTGTGTTTGTGTGTTCCATGTTATTGACTATCTTATTGAAATCCACTATATCTTTGTTTACTGTTTGGTTTTTTTTTTTTTTTGAGAGGGGGTCTTACTCTGTCACCCAGGCTGGAATGCAGTGGCATGATCTCGGCTCACTGCAACCTCCACGCCTCCCGAGTTCAAGCAATTCTCCTGCCTCAGCCTCCCTAGTAGCTGGGACTACGGGTGCCTGCAACCACACCCGGCTAATTTTTGTATTTTTAGTAGAGATGGAGTTTCACCATATTGGCCAGGCTGGTCTCAAACTCCTGACCCATTGATCCTCCTGCCTTGGGCTCCCAAAGTGCTGGGATTACAGGTATGAGCCACCACACCTGGCCTGTTGTTTTCTTAATCTACCAGATACTGAAAATGCTTTATTAAATATACCCCCTACAATTGTATTCTTTTTTTTTTTTTTTTTGAGACAGAGTCTCACTCTGTTGTCCAGGCTGGAGTGCAGTTTTACCTTATGTGTTTGTCTCCTGTGTTATTTGATATTTTGTGTTCATCATATTTCCTTAATAGGTTATGCCTTTTATCATTACATAGTATATTTCTTTGAAGTGTTTCATGAATCCAAACTTTCATACCTTGGGGTTTGTTGTTTTGTTATTCTTTGCAGTTGTCGATGTCTTTGCCCAACCCTTAATTTACAGTATTTCACTTTGTCATAGGTATAACTCTTGTATGGGGCATTAAGCTGGGTTTTGTTTTTTAACCTAGTCTGACATTTGAAAAGGAATTATATCCACTTACATTTCTTGTAATAACTGATCTACTTAATTCCTCCATCTTATATTTAATTTCAATTTTTTTACATTTTGCTATTGTTTCTTTTTTACCTGTTTTTATATTTTTTTGCTGACCTCGTTAAGTTTCTCTTCTTTTTTTTTATTCCTCCTGGTAATTTGCAAGGTATTTTTGTTTGTCAAATGTGCTAAACATCACCTTCCTTCCATAACTACTGAAGTTAATGTTGACTCCCCTATTAGCATATCATTATTAAATAATTATTTCCTCCCACTGTGATATTAATTTCCCTATCCCCTACCATCACACACAGCCACACCTCTTAAATCCAGAGTTTTTCCCAACATCTCATTCTTTCTGTTCCAATAATCCATACTCACCAATATTTTACAACATCTCAATTACATCATTATCATGATCCATTGTTTCCGATCCTTTCGGTCTTGAGATCTCCATTGTTTTCAGTTGTCATTCGGGTAGATAATTTTCTGCAGTGTTTTAATCAGAAAGGCTATAGGGGTAATAAACAGAGTCCTTACCTGTTTCCAAAATAACTTTCTTTGGAACCAAATAAACAATATTTTCTTAATTATACGCTTCTTTGATTTCAGACCTTTTCTCACAATAGATTTTATTTCACCATCTCTAGCTTTCAGTTGGCTTTTCTCTATACACTTAATTTTTATCATCTTTCAGCTTTCCATATGGCAGACAAGCATAACACTAGTCCAATTCTCCTTTAATTTTTTTGGCTTTTTTTTTTTTCTTTTGTGGAGAACGGGGACTCATTATGTTGTCCAGGCAGGTCTCAGACTCCTGGGCTCAAGCTATCTTCCCAGCTCTTCCTCCCTAAGTGCTGGGATTACAGGCATGAGCTGCCACACCCAGCTCTCCTTTATTTTCAACTAATCAGATTGCTCTATTAGAAAATGTCATTAGTTTAGGGGTTTTTTTAAGGGAGAATTTTGTTTCGTTTCTGTTTTTGGATTTTTGTTTCGTTTTGTTTTGCTTTGTTTAGTATAAAGTGTCATAGGTCAGGTTCCCTGGGAAACATTCTGAGATGGGGATTTGTGGGCAGGAGGAATTTTACAGAGGAGTGCTCTTGAGAACAATGACTATAAGGAATAAAGAGGCAGGATTGGGCAAAGGGAATAACTGAGTAGCTGCGCGCAGCCTTAACAGAGGCCTCAGCTGATCTTATGGGAGCTGAGTTTGAGTTTTCATATTGGGACAAGAGAACCATTCCTTTGTACGTTGCATCAACCAGTATTGGATATGGACAGCAGTGGGTGGGGAGTTAGGGCGCCCCAGTCCTGAAGGGGGTATCTGGGTGAAACTCCACAGTGTCTAGTACACTGAATAGTCATGAATTTAATGAGGATATGTTGAGTTACATGTTTTTGTTTGGATTTGTTTTGTTTTGTCTTAATTCTTACTTAGACTCAGCTCTTGTAATCAGGAAACTAACTTCTTCCTTCAGCTCAGTGAAATGTTCCTTCATTTTGGATATAGTAACCACTTTTCCACCCTTTCCTTTTTTTCTTCTGGATGGCTTATTATTTGCATGTTCCATTTCCTGGATCTGTGCTTTAAGTCACCTACGTTTTCACTCATGTGTTTCCATCTTTGCGGCATGTTGTATTTCCTTTTACTTAATCCTGCAGCTCTCTAATTCAGTTGCTATCAAGAATTATGCCATTTTTCCCTCATTCATCTAATAGCTATTTCAGTGCAGACATCATGAACGTAGGTCCAGAAGATCTTTGTGGTGTTTCAATGACACATCTTTGAGAATGCTCATTATTTTCATCTTCATCTCTCCGTCTCTTCTATCAGCAAATGAGTCGTCTGTCCTAACCATCTGGGTTTCTCTCCTCTAGTTCCTGAATCCCACTGGAGAAGCCATAGTTTTTCTTGAAGGTCATGTTCTATTAGTTTGTAGAGGTCAGATGTTTGGTTCTGGGCAAGGAGAAAGTCCAAAATGGTAGGGAAGTTTATCTTCCTGTTACCATCTGCTGAGGCACTGAAAGGACTGGCAGGACACCCAACCTACCAGATGCAGAAGCTCATCTGCTAGTTTCTGCCTCACTCCTCCAGGGCTACCATGATTAGCAGAAGTAGAGGGTCCTTCCATGGACCACATCCTGATGAAGATATGTGAAGGGCTTCCTTCAGGAGGCACACAATCTGCTCTCTTTGCCCAGACCTTGAAAAGAGGCTGGCTTTCTCTTTCTTTGCTCCTTCACCTCTAACTCAACCCTCAGATGTCTCAGCATCCCCATTAGCGTCAGGTTCACTATCCCACTGGTGGCCTTGGTACCTCATGGCTTGAAGGGGCTGAAAAGGGAAAAAGTGTTAGGGGTAGACACTCAGGCACGATCCCCAAAGAATCCCCCTGACCATGTTTTTCTTAGGTTCTTCTTCTGATGTGAGCTGGTCTCATTTTCCTTTTCAAATGCTAAGTTTCTTGATAGCAGGATCACATCCCCTCCGCCACTGCATTTCTCTCTGCAGCTACCACAAGTGCCAGGCCATTGTAGACACTCAATAAACAGGGGCTGGCCTTGACAACAAATCCTGTGATCCTATTTGGTGCATTTCATAACCTTTCTGGCTAAAAGGCACAGTCCAACTGGCTGGAATACCATCTGTGAAACATGCCAGAGTATCTAACTCAGGGAGGCCCATGCATGTCTACCCACTTATCTTCCAAGAATCAGGTGATGCTGGAAAACTGAATGCTTAGTGGAGTTGGCGCCAGTACCTTGGGGGATAAGGAGAGGAAGTGTGGCATTGGATTTAGCAAGAGATTGGAGCTCCAATTCCAGTCTTTCCACTTACCAGTCAAATGATTTATCTTCTTTGAACTTCAATTTATTCACATATAAAGTAGGTTAAGAAAATAGTCACTTCTTCACAAGGCTGTTACAGGGATTAAAGGAGATCATGAATTAACATGCCTGCTACACAACAAGAGCTCAGTCACTGTGAGCTTCCAGCATTCTTGTTATGACCATTATTGTTACAGTGGGGAGAGGGAGATAGGCAGGTCAATAGTTGAGGGGCAGAAACCAGGGAAGAGGAAGAGGAACGGAGAAAAGAATGAGAAAGGGAGGACCTTAACTCTGAGTCTTCACCCAGAGATCTTGAAAACATTGGTTATTTAAGGAGATTTTAATTCCTTTTCCAGTAATAGTGACATTTCTACAGACTGGGTCTGTATTTTGTTTCCATTTTCCTAAATGATGTCACATCAAACCTCCTAAGAGAGTGCCTTTCCCACGCAGTCACCTCAAATAAAGACAGAGGGATGGAGTGGATGGGAAGAGGTGAGATGGGGCAGAAGTAATGCAGCCCCCAGCTCGCCAGCAGGTGCCCATTGTTGGAATTCTTCGGCTGTAATGGTCATTCCCATTTCTCCCATGGAGAAAGACAGCACCTCCTTTGACATTCTTTGTGGGTAAGGTGAAATCAGGGCAGGAGGAGCCACAGCCCATCACTTTCTGAGTTGACCAGAGATCTCTCAGGGGCAGCCTGGGCTCCTGTACCAGATGGCCCAGGTTCTAATTCTACTTCTTCCATTGAGTAGTTGCGTGACCTCAGGCAAGGTACTTAACCTCTGTGTGTCTCAGTAAAAGGGTGCTTTATTAACAAACTTTTATATTGCACTATTTAAAGGACTTTACAAATACAAATTCATTTAGTCCTTATAGCCATAGAAGGTAGGTCAGGGCCAGGTGCTGTGGCTTGTAATCCCAGCACTTTGGGAGGCCAAGGCGGGTGGATCACTTGGGGTCAAGAGTTCAACACCAGCCTGGCCAACATGGTTGAAACCCTGTCTCTACGAAAAAAATACAAAAATTAGCCAGGCATGGTAGTGTGTAATTACATGGTAGCCTGTAATTTCAGCTACTCGGGAGGCTGAGGCACAAGAATCACTTGAACCCAGGAGGCGGATGTTGCAGTGAGCCAAGATCATGCCACTGCACTCCCACCTGGGCAACAGAGTGAGGCCCTACCTCAAAAAAAAGAAGGTAGGCCAGACAAAATGTGGTAAAGATTAAATGGTTCATATATGCAACGTGCTTAGAGGCCCCTGTTTGGTACATGGGAAATGTAAGCGCGATCCAGTGTTGTCATCATTATTGTAAATGCTATCCATTAGCTGCCATCATCTTCTTCTCCTTCATCTTCCAGGGATTCTGTTGCGGTATAGCACTTGAGGGCATTTTCTCCCTCCTCATTCCACCACCAAACTCTCCTCATTTTTTGGAGGGGGGCATATCTAAGTTTATTTATTTATGCTATTTTTTTTTTTAGCAATTTCAACTTTTAGATTTAGGGGCTACATATGCAGGTTAGTTAAATGGGTATACTGTGTGATGCTGATGTTTGGGGTATAGATGATCCCATCACCCAGGTAGTGAGCATAGGATTCAATAGGTAGTTTTTTTTAGCCCATGCTCCCTTTCCTCCCTCCTGCTCTAGCAGTCTACAGTGTTCATTGTTTATGTCCATGCATACTCAATATTTGGCTCCCACTTACATGTGAGAATGTGTGCCATTTGGTTTTCTGTTTCTGTGTTAGTTTGTTTAGGATAATGGCCTCCAGCTGCAAACAGGTTGCTGCAAAGGACATGATTTTGTTCTTTTTATGGCTGCATAGTATTCCATGACGTATATGTACCACATTATCCAATCCACAGTTGATGGGCACCTAGGTTGATTCCATGTCTTTGCTATTGTGAATAGCTCTGCAAGGAACATAGAAGTATATATATATCTCTTGGATAGAACAACTTATTTTCCTTTGGGTATATGCCCAGTAATGGGATTGCTGAGTGGAATGCTAGTTCCATTTTTAAGTTCTCTGAGAAATCTCCAAACTGCTTTCCACAGTGGCTGAAATTGTACATTCCCACCAGCATTGCAGAAGCATTCCCTCTTCTCCACAGCCTCACCAGCATGTTATTTTTTGACTTTTAATAATAGCCATTCTGACCGGTGTGAGATGGTATCTCACTGTGGTTTTTAATTTACATTTTTCTGATGCTTAGAGATGTTGAGCATTTTTTCATGTTTTTTGGTTGCTTGTATGTCCTCTTTTGAGAAGAGTCTGTTCCTGTCCTTTGTCCATTTTTTAATGGGTTGTTTGTTCTTTGCATGTTGAATTGTTTATGTTCCTTATAGATTCTGGATGTTAGACCTTTATAGGATGCATAGTTTGTGAATATTTCCTCCCACTCTGCAGGCTGTCTGTTTACTCTGTTGATGGAGTCTTTTGTTGTGCAGAAGCTCTTTAGTTTAGTTAGATCCTGCTTATTCATTTTTGCTTTTGTTGCAATTGCCTTTGTGGACTTAGCGAAGAATACTTTACAAGGATGATGTCTAGTAAATATTTCCTAGGTTTTCTTCTAGAATTTTTACAGTTTGAGGTCTTACATTTAAATCTTTAATCCATCTTAAGTTAATTTTTGTATGTGGTGAAAGACAGGGGTACAGTTTCATTCTTCTGCATATGCCCAGCCAGCGATCCCAGCACCATTTATTGAACACTCTCCCTGTTTTTGAGACACAGTCATTTTAGTACTTCCATCACATTCTTGCCTCCCCTTGACACTGCTTACCTTTACCATCTTTGTGTTCTGAATCCCTGCTTCTTCCAGCTAATTTAAATGGGTTCCAACTCTCCCCAGGCCCACAGTGTGCCAAGCACAGTGCTAGATATTCTCACCTACACATATTCTAGGGCTTGGGGAAGCTGGGTGCAAACATCCATCCATCTCCAAAACCCAGTCCCATCCTATTTTATCAAATTATTTTAAAATATTCCACTCACCTTCCCAACTTTGTTATTCATCACTCTTAAACACTGAACTGATTTGCTTACAAGGCAGATCATCTAAATGTTTAAAATAAAGATTCATGCTAACTTAATGTAGCTATGTATGATTCTCAGTTGTCTGTATCTTTTAATTTTTTAAAAAAGATAGTATGTGAGCTGCTATGTATCATGTAATGTGCCTTCTTGACCAGTGGTAGGTTCTTATTCAAGCAAATAACCTTAGATAGGACTAGTGACATGAATGTATTTGCTATGTTAAGAGGAAAAGCTGGTTACAAAACATATGTAGAATAGCATGCTATTTTATACATCTGCAAAGATATATACCAATGCCATCACATTGGCTAACTTGTAGAAAAGGAAAAAATTATTTTTCAGGGTATTCTTCTTAGTTTTGCTTTTTGTATATTCTAATTTTTCTTTGTTTTGAGTATGTACTGCTTTTATAATGTCACAAAGAAGTACAAGAAACCATATTTTGATGGGAAACATGGTTGGAACTTAGCCAGCTGAAACCATCCTCAATAAAGCCCTTCGTTTTTTGTTTTGTTTTATTTTATTTTTTTAAGATAAAGTCTCACTTTGTTGCCCAGGCTGGAGTGCAGTGGCATGATCACTGCAGCCTCGAACTCCTGGGCTCAAGCAATCCTCTTGCTTCAGCCTCCCGAGTAGCTGGGACTACAGGTGTGTGCGACCATGCCAGGCTAATTTTTGTGGGGGCGAGTAGAGATGGAGTCTTGCTATGTTGTCCAGGTTGGTCTTGAACTCCACAAGCAATCCTCCCATCTTGGCCTCCCAAGGGGCTTGGATTACAGGCATGTGCCCCCACACCTGGCCCTATTAAGCCTTTAATCTGCTGTCTCATCAGGCTGTGCACTTGTCTGAAAGATGGCTCTGTTTATTGTGTCCTACCATGTTGTTAATTACTTTGAACTCAAAACATCTGGGTGGCAATGTCTATAGCTATTTAAGATTCTTGTTTTCATGTTTTGAATACACAGAAAGGTATATAAAACTTTTTCTGATGATAATGATGAAATCAAGTCCTATGTGTTGAAGGCAAAATTGACTTCCCTAGCTTGGTGCATGAAGAAAAACAAAGGTGGAGCTAAGTCCTCCCACTCTGCCCCACCAACAGCATCTTAGGATGCAGGGCACACTGAAGGCCCTTGGCCATGTCACAAGCAATCTCAGATGGAGGGTACTTACTCTCTCAGCCCATTTTCTTCCTTGTATAACTGTGCAGTTTCTTAAACTACCCTTTGCCTAACTACATATTTTAATCACATTCATTAATTTTCAAAGTGCCTATTTTTCTTATCATTCTAGAAGTACACTTCATATACTGAAAGCTAATGAGCATGTGTTCAGGAAATAGTGAGGAGTTGAATTTAGATTTTTTATTAAATTTGTATTTTTTTCTATTTACATTTTTCTGATTAAAAATGTGGCTTGTATTTTGTTTACTTCTACAGGAAACAAAGAGGGTGGTTATGTCTACTCAAAACCAAGCATGTATCTGAAAAAGTAGAATTTCAATTACATATCCAGATATTACATCTTTTTGCTTTTTATTTTGTTTTGTTTTTTGAGACAGAGTGTCACTCTGTCACCTAGGCTGGAGTGCAGTGGCACCATCTTGGCTCACTGCAACCTTGGCCTACCGTGTTTAAGTGATTCTCCTGCCTCAGCCTCTCAAGTAGCTGGGATTACAGGCGCAGGCCACCATACCCGGCTAATTTTTGTATTTTTAGTAGAGACAACATTTCACCATGTTGGCCAGGTTGGTCTCGAACTTGTGGCCTCAAGTGATCCACCTGCATCGGCCTCCCAAAGTGTTGGGATTATGGGTCTGAGCTACCACGTCCAGCCCCGCTATTATATCTATTTAATACCAATACATGAAGAGCTGGGTTGGTGTTTGTTTGCTTTGCTTTTTGTTTGGTTGATTGACATTATATAGAATGCCACAGTGGAACCGAAAACCTCCTCTCTACTTCAAAAATTAGAATAAAATGAATTTAAATTTTTTCTTATACTTTTCTCAGGTGCCTTTGAAAAATATTAAGGGCACTAGGTTAAAGCTATTAAAAGGCATATGTTTGTAAGTAAGAATTGTAAGAACTGACAGAACCGAATATTAAGAATTACTTTAAAAGCTAAAAACTTTAAAGAAATATTAGCCTGGAAAAGTGGAGAATAAGGGTGATTTAACAATTAGTTCCAAATAAATAACAGATTGGTAGAGGGTAGACATCTTGTTGCCATCCCACTTAAAGACAAGGACTCTTGAGAATTGCCTTTAGATTCTATCATGCCTTTGATCACACATAACACAGTGCTGGACACGTAGTGAATGTCCTTCAACACCTCCTATTCAGCATACTTCCCATATGTATGCAGGCACTGTGTGACTGACCACCTGGGGCAGGTAAACAGAGCTGCACCATGCTGCCACAGAGCTGGACCCAAAGTGTTCTGAGAAGTGTCCACATAACCCAGGCAAGCATCAAGGAAGAGAAGCTGTGCAGAAAGAGCAACATCTCTAGGAGTAGCTTTTACAAGTGAAGAGAGATTGTGCAAGTGAATAAAAGAAAGTCAGCGATTCCAGGCAAGGGGAATTGCATGGTCAAAGGCACTAAGGTATAATGTGCCTGGCAAATAGACTTCTGCAGGACTAGAGAGCTGGATTTGTGGAGAGATGGCATAGTAGAAGCAGGCCCAGGCCACATTAGCAAAAGTTTTTCTTGTACACCATGTTAAAAGTCTGGGTTTTGTCTCCAAGACAATTGTAGAACTCTTACAGTAAGGACTCTCTACAGAGAAATGACATAATCTTATTAACATAATAATGTTTAAAATATCACTATAGCAGCAGTATGGAGAATAGAATGGTAAGGAATTAATACTGGACGCTGTTGCAAGATTCTAGGCAAAAAAATTTTTAGGAACTGAATTAAGACTGTGGCTGTACAGGTAGGGATAAAGAGAAGGAAGCAGAGTCAGGCGATGATAAACAGCGCTGGCAGAACTTGTGAATCGCCTTGATGGAGAGGAAAGAGGAAGAGAATCGTCCAAGATGACCCTAGGGTCTTGCATTGAGTGACTGGGTAGATGGTGGCTTATTTTCCCCAAACAGGCAATACAGGAGGAGATACAGATCTGGGGGGGTCTACCAAGGGAGATAATCCATTTACTTTCCTAGTTGTAGAACTTAAGAGTACCTCTAAGGAGGAAGTCACATTTACTAGCATATAAGAACCATGAGAATGGGGACCTTGTTGGTTTCATTCACTATGTCCTCAGTGCCTAGCACAGCACACAGCAGATGATAAATCCTGGTAAATTCTAGTCGAATGTGTGTTCCTCGACACAGTTTTGGGTCCAGGTCTCAGCTATTATTCAATGCTCTTTGGTTTTCTTCCATAGAAAATCCTAGAACCTCCTTTGATGTTGACCGAGGTTGTCTTGCCTCCAGAAATAAGAGATTCTGCTCCATGCTGGCGGGGGTGAGTTACAAAACCATGACTAAGATTCTTAATGGTCCTATCACTCTTCGTTAACACATATAAGCAGGGCTGGTTAATTGTTAACCGACAAAAAAGCAAAAACTGCAATAATAAAGTTTGAAGTGGTCAGACAGAGAAGAATTAGTCACTGGAGTGAGCCTCTAATATTGTAATAAGACATGTGGCTTTCAAGTTGCCATTGAAATGATTAGGAGGCAGGGCGTGGTGGTGCATGCCTGTAATTCCAGCACCTTGGGAGGCTGAGGTGGGAGGGTTGCTTGAGCACAAGGGTTTGTGATCAGCCTGGGCAACATGGCAAGACTCTGTCTCTACAAAAAACTAAAAAATTAGCTATGCATGGTGGCTCACGCCTGTAGTCCCAGCTACTTGGGAGGCTGAGGTAGGAGGTTCACTTGAGCCTGAGAGATTGAGGCTGCACTTAGCGTGATTGTGCCACTGCACTCCATTGTGGGTTTCAGAGTGAGACCCTGGTCTCAAAAAAAAAAAAAAAATATTAGGGGAACCAAGTATAATTGTTAAGAATGAACATGAGCCAATTTAATTTGGTTTTAGAGTACCAAAAACTCTAAAAGGGATTGTTGCATTAGAACAAGAAACAGTGAGAAGTACGTAGATCAAATAAAAACCTGGAAAAAACTTTAAGAAAAAAAGAAAGAAAATCTAATAAATGGCACTGCTACTTGGAGAAGTTGGAGCAAATCTTCCTTGCCAGGGAAGCTTGAATTACCTGCATATCTCTTTAAGCATTTTCACGTACAAATCAAACACAGATGGCCCATTACGTTTATGACCTCACTGTCGATTCCTCTAGATGGAGCATGCATTAATTATTGAAATATTTTCATAGTATACAAGTTTTTAGTGGGCTACATTGCCACAGATAATTTCAACTTTCTGATTAGAAGCTGGTATAAACAATTTTATTTATGAGAATTAATCTCTTAAATGTAGTAAACACTACGAATACAGTAGTGATTTTTTTTTTCCCATTTAACAAAGCCAAACTAGGAATCCTGGCCTCTATCCTTGAAACTCAGCGTTATGTTAGCATTGCATACAATACATAAACTCTGCCAAAATCTATTACAATTGTAGTAAATTTTGATTACCGGAGTTGTTTGTTATTTATGTCTACAAGATAAAGATAATGTTGGGAATAGCCCTCTTCTATTCAATGTATAAATTACTTCCATAAAATATCTTGTTTTGTAAACAGTAAAAAAAGAAAAAAAGACTAAACTTGGTTGAAGCTTCAAATTGTTGCATCTACTTTAGTTCAAGTCAATAAACACTTTAGATGATGTGGAAGTCCATGGAAGGGTTTAGACTTTTAATGGTGCCCTGGTTTATCTCTGGCATGATAAACAAAATGCTGGGGCCATTCACTGTTAAAGAACAATAAAAACATTCCAGTGAAGGAGTGCTCGGAGAGAAGGCATGTGGAGAAACATTTTGCAGGACCTTAAGGAAGACACGTATTTTCTATCATTCTGGAAGAAAGCTATTCATTCAACAAACATCAACTGAGCACCTATTCTGTGCTGGGGACTTTTCTAAGCATTTGTAGTGCTTTGGGAGGGAAAACTAAACTCTCTTTCTGCCAGGTATAGATTCTAGCAGAATTGATTACCTTCTTAAATCCTCTTTGCAAAGAGAAGGAAGCTGAAGCTTAGCAAAGTGAACTAAGTAACCAGAGATTACCCACACAGAAGGCAGTGAAGCTGAATAAGAGCCCGGGCCATGTGGCTCCAGAGCCCCTATTCTTCACCTACCGTATCTCAGTTGCCTTCACCATTTTCAACCTTTTTCTGGCTCAAAGGTCTATTAATCTGGGTCATTGTGAATTTATATTTAAAAGTAGGCAGCTGGACTTCCTTCAGTCTAGGTCTTCATTTAGGTCAGTTAACTTTTGAAAAATAGTTATCTGTATTTCTTCTTTCTGAAATTCACCATAGGAAAGAATGTTCAGGCAAAGAATGGCACAAATAAGACAGGCATCGCAGAAATGCTGATTTCACAGTCCAGTGGGATATGGTGGCCCAAGAAGCAGCAAGCAAGGTCAACATGCAATTATTGGTTTCTTTCTCTGGCCAAAGACAAACAGGTATAGAAAATTATACTTCTAGCAACACACAGATAGCAGCGCTGATGGCACTGTGATTTCACAATGGGTTGCACAACACAAAAGAGAGAAATTCCTGCATACCTCGGGGACAACTAAGGCTGGAATAATACGATCCTTAACCAGAATCGTGCAAGAAGATGGAAATTTAGCATATGTATTAGGCGAGAATCTTCTACCAGTGAGTAATGCTTACATATAAGACTCCTCTAGCAAACATTTATAAGACACACTGCACTGCTAATGGAGAGAATTCATGTAGAAATTAACGATATATTAATTAATTCAATGCTGTTCAATTAATTTTGGATATTCATTTCATTAAATTAAAAAGTAATGCATTTTCCTACTGCTCACAATAAAACTCTCTCAAGTTTGTTTAGCACTTTATACATTTAAAAACTCTGTTGCTACTGGTGGAAGAGGGAAGATCAGAGACATCTGACAACTTGTCTGAGATCATGTCAAATTTGGCAGGGAAGAGCCTAGAACCCAGAGTTACTGATTTACAAGGTCAGTCCTTGGAGATTCTTTCACATTATTCTTATCTGATCCCCAATAAAGCAGGTATTATCGTGTTCACTGATCATAGGAGAGCCTGAGGCTTAGGGATGTAGAACAAGTCAATGCTCAATTCCTTTCCAAAAAAAATGTAACTGTGCATACAAATTCTATTAAGCGTGTGTTGGTAAGAGGGCATGGTTATTGCGAGCCAAGGTGTGCAAGGACAGAACATAAAATATGCAATAATGTACACGGTAAAGAAGTTCTACCATGGTAGAAGTAATTAATTTTATCTAGAATAAAAAAAAAGGTCCAACCAATTATAAATACAACTGACTGTAAAAACTATAATGATATTGGTTGGGCGCGGTGGCTCATACCTGTAATCCCAGCACTTTGGGAGGCCAAGGCAAGCAGATCACTTGATGTCAGGAGTTCGAGACCAGCCTGGTCATGGTGAAACCCTGACTCGACTTAAAAAATGCAAAAATTAGGCAGGTGTGGTGGTGGGTGCCTGTAGTTCCAGCTACTCAGGAGGCTGAGGCAGGAGAATCGCTTGAATGTGGGAGTCAGAGGTTATAATGAGTGAGCTGACATCACACCACTGCACTCCAGCACGGGTGACAGAGCGAGACTCTGTATTAAAAAAAATAATAAAAAAGAACTATAATGATATTGTGCATTGTGACTGGTTATGTAGTGTCTGATGCTATGGTTCCTTATGAGATCATGCAATACAATTACCTTGGACACCTGGAAAAAAGCAGAGTCTTGTACCTATGGAATCAGACACTTTGGACATAGAGGGCATAAATCTGGTTTTTAGCAAGCTGTATTAGGGGCCCATGGTCTAAAATCTTGCTATTCAAAGTACAGCCCATGAGCCTGCAGCATCAGTGTCACCTGGGAGTCTCTTAAGGATGCAGAAACTAAAACCCAACCCCAGATCTACTGACTCAGAATCTGCATTTGGTTAAATAACAAGATCCCCTGGTGATTTCCTCTTGACTTTACAGTTTGAAGAGACTACAGTTTGCTGGCTTATGGCATCCCTTCCTACCACACATTCACCTTATCAGAAAAAAAAAAAAATAAGTCAGCATGACTTGAGCTGTTTTTAGTGAATCCATGAGGGATCTAAGCGAACTGTTTCTATTTCCAACTTCCTTCTCAGTCTAATGTTCTAGATTTCCATCATCGTCTGATAAAGGTTTACCAAATATCCAATTAAAAATGTATCCTAAATTCTGTTGAAGCTCAACAACTAATTCATGGGCCATCAAGTGTTTCATTTCCAAAATTCACCTTCAGAATATTTTTTTAAAGTAAAAACCTCATTTGCATGTCTCTAAATTTCCACTAATTCTTCCATTTTTTACAATTCCTCAAAGACTAGTAAGGTGCATTGGCAATCCCATTGGCTAGTTTTCTTCGTCCTCTCATAAGATAATCAATCTATAAAAAATCAGGATATCTGGGTGTGTTTTTAGTAGCAGGAATAGCTATGATGAGTTCTACCCTTATACTGAGGCTTCAGGTTTCTCTTATAAGTGTTTGTTTAAGGCTGGGCGCGGTGGTTCACGCCTGTAATCCCAGCACTTTGGGAGGCCAAGGTGGGTGGATCAACTGAGGTCAGACGTTCAAGACCAGTCTGACCAACATGGAGAAACCCCGTCTTTACTAAAAATACAAAATTAGCCGGGCATGGTGGCGCATGCCTGTAATCCCAGCTGCTTGGGAAGGCTGAGGCAGGAGAATCGCTTGAACCTGGGAGGTGGAGGTTGTGGTGAGCCGAGATCGCGCCATCGTACTTCAGCCTGGGCAACAAGAGCAAAACTTCGTCTCAAAAAAAAAAAAAAAAAAAAAGTGTTTGTTTAAACCAGTCTCTTCAAGTGAAATCAGGGTGGTTTTTAAGTTTGCCCATCTCAAGTTCCTTGTTTGCAACAGCAATGTGTGCTCTTCCCTAGTTTTGGGGGAACCCCTCCAGCTGCCTTTCTGAGGCTAGGAAAAGACAGAATCCTCTTTCTCTGATCCAGCTCTCACCACTCAGCTAGGAGTAATACAGCTACTGTAATGCTTGAAATTCAATGTCCACTCAATATAACATTAACTTTGTTTGTTTGTTTGTTTGTTTGTTTTTTGAGATGGAGTCTCACTTTGTCACCCAAACTGGAGTGCAGTGGCACAATCTCGGTTGACTGCAACCTCTGCTTTCTGGGTTCAAGCAATTCTCCTGCCTCAGCCTCTGGAGTAGCTGGGACTACAGGCACGTGCCATCACACCCAGCTAATTTTTGTAGTTTTAGTAGAGATGAGGTTTTGCCATGTTAGCCAGGCTGGTCTTGAACCCCTGACCTCAAGTGATCCACCTCCCTCAGCCTCCCAAAGTTCTGGGATTACAGGCATGAGCCAATGCACCTTGCCCACATTTTAAAATTTTTTTAAAGAAATAAAATAACTTCTCAATCTATCACCCTGACAAGTTCACAGTCCATATAAAGTTAAGTTTAAATATGGGTTTGCCTTTTACCTGTCCTTACGATTACCCTAAAACCTTTTTAAATATTAATACGACTTTATAACATTTTAAAGCCCATATAATATTTCAACATTGATATGTTATATGTATGGACTCAATCTACTATTCTTGGACATATAGTTGGCTTCCAATTTTTCATTATAACACATAAATTCTAGAAGCTAATTTTAGAGATTCAATCCCAATATTTGACAGTTATCCTTAAAGAAAAAAAGAAAAAGCTCGTGCAAGACCAGGATTCCATGGCTAAGTTCCACTAGGCTTCTCATAAATGTATACCATTACTTACAGGGGGAACAGGCAGAAAAGGGTAGAGAAAACTGTATAAAACAGATCCTTTTTATCTTAAAAATCAGCTGAAACTACATGTTCTACTAATAGACTCAAAGTATCATTTTCATCTCTGAATTGGTATACATAACATAGTCTAAATATGTTATTAATATATATAGGGTTAGCTTCGTTGCACTTAGGGTCCTGAGTTACAAACAATCCATGGGTTATACAGGAGGCCATTTCCTGATTAGATGCCTGCACTAGAGTAGGAGCTGAACAGAGACTTAACTGTAGCATAACATTTTAATACAGCTACAACTAGATTACATTCTCACATTCTGTTTTAGACTGTGGAGTGGAAAATACATCCATCACTTAGAATGTGTGTAACCCTTATTTAGGTTATACCAGGTTGAGCCATTTCACTTAGGACTTAGAGGTTAGCCCAACCTCTGACTTCTGGTTTCCCTCTCCAATTTTTTTTTTGTTTTTGTTTTTGAGACACAGTTTCACTTTTGTTGCCCAGGTTGGAGTGCAATGGCGCGATCTTGGCTCACCACAACCTCCGCCTCCCGGGTTCAAATGATTCTCTTGCCCTAGTCTCCTGAGTAGCTGGGATTATAGGCATATGCCACCACGCCCAGCTAATTTTGTATTTTTAGTAGAGATGGGGTTTCTCCATATTGGTCAGGCTAGTCTCAAACTCCCGACCTCAGGTGATCCACCTGCCTTGGCCTCCCAAGGTGCTGGGATTACAGGCGTGAACCACTGCACCCGTTTTAATCCCTGTCGTTGTCTTCTATTAACAGTCAGACTCATTTGGTAGAAAATGAGGAAGACAGGAAAAGCCTCATGGAGTGGCCTGACTTTGAAGATGCAGATTTCTCTGCAGTTGAGGAAAGAGCATTCTGGCCAAGGGAAGAGTGAAGAGGCAGGAAAGTTGAGGGAAGGGTAACCATGTTGTTTTGCTAAGTAAAATATACATAAAGGAGAAGAAGAAAGGAAGTTTTAAAAGACAAGTTTGGGAAAAAATCATGGAGGACTTTGAATGGCAGCATAAAGGGCATGAGTAGTAAGAAGCTATGTTAAACAATAGCCAATCAAAACCAGATTGGGGCCAGGAAGGATGGTTCGTGCTCGCAATCTCAGCACTTTGGGAGGCCAAGGTGGGAGGATGGATTGATCCCAGGAACTGGAGACCAGCCTGGGCAACATGGTGAGACCCCATGTCCACAAAAAATAAAAAATAGTTAGCTGGGCCTGGTGGTGCATGCCTGTGGTACTAGCTACTCTGGAGGCTGAGGTGGGAGATCACTAGAGCCCAGGAGTTCAAGGCTGCAGTGAGCTATGATTGTGCCACTGCACTCCAGCCTGGGTAACTGAGGGAGACACTGTCTCTTGAAAATAAACAAACAAAAAAACTAAAAACCGTATTTGTACTTCTTGAAGATTTAGCAGGGTAAAATGGATGGAAGAAAGAGGAGACTAGCAGAGACAAATTAACATGAAGCCACTAGAACGATTTAAAGGTGAGTCTGAAAGAAGAGGCAGCAATAAGTCTGGGAAGGAGGTCATGGGTCTAAGACATGTCCTCTAAGACAGAGGACAAGAAAAACACTGAGTGAAGGGGATAAGGAAAGTTGTTCCCAGGAGCATCCCCTTCCCGGGCCCTAAATCCTAACAAACACCACAAGTCTGATTATAAGTCTTTCTACCTTGCCCCCAAGGCTGTCTTTGAAAATAGTAAAAATGTGTAGGCCTCAGCTATAAAACTGTCAGAGGCAATTGTTTGAATTTGGACATCAACGTTATGATCAAAATGAAAATGTGTCACTGACTTTGTTGATGCATTTTTAAAAGATGAACAGGCTTCGTTTGTTGACCTGATGCTCCCCAGTTTCTGAATGTCTGGTCACCTCAATGGCCCTGAGCAGCCCCGTTTCTGAACATCTGGCTATGCCCCCATGATTAGCCTGCCTGGCCCCAGCTTGCCCTAGAAAAGGGAAAGCTCAGTAGAAAAGGCATTCTGGGTGGTTTCCATCTTCTTGGAGAAGCAGAAGCAAAATTATTAACAGAGAATGAGACTGGCTGTAGCAATGTGTAGGTTTCAGTAGAGTTGAGAAAAGCTGTATCAGAGATTAGGGTAGGACTTTCATTTAAAATTAAAATTGCTGGATAATGTGGCAGTAACTAGTAAAACATAAAATATGTATACTTATGACCCAGCAGTTTCACTTTAAGTGCCCATACTAGAGAAGTACTCATGGCATATGAGTATTGTATTATGCATATGAGCATATGAGAAATACTAGAGTACATAGGAAGTATGTACCGGGATATTTACTAAAGTGCTATTTGTAATAGAGAAAAGGTAGAAGGAATCTACACACACATCATAGGAGAAAAACTCAGAGAGCATGGTCTACCTGCATCACGGGAAATTCTCTAAGCAGTTAGAAAGAATGGGGTATACCTGTTTCTCCTAACCAGGTAAGATCTCCAAGACATGGATAAGTGAAAATAACAAATGCGCAATGATACATACGATATAGCACATTTTGGTGACTCATTTGGACAGAAAAGGGACTGGCAAGATGCACATCCTTGGTAACATAGATCACATCAAGGGAGGCAGAGAAGTCATAGCAAAGAGCACTTTAGCCTTATCCTCTAATACCTTAATATTTACAAGTAGAATAAGTATATGGTAATTGTTTGGTGTTCCAAAATTTATTTGAAAATTTTAAACTCCTTAGTTCTAAGGAGTCCCTTTTCGCATTAAATATCAGATCTTACACCAAAGACATCTTTCTTTCAAAATGATCATTTAAAAGTCAGTGAGGCACTGGTGTAATGCAAGACTTAATGGTTGAATAACAATAGAAAGAATGATAAATACATAGAGAGATAGAGAGACAGAGAGACAGAGAGATAGACAAATCAGCCAAGCTACTTGCATAGCCAGTTTCCCCAAGAGCTGCCAATTTTATGCAAGATTATTAAGGCGACTCTGTTCAATAAAATGATGGGGCCCCCACAAGTTAGGTAGTGTAGCAAAATAAACATCAATGGCATGCCACCAAACTGCCAACACAGGCAAATACTTGCATATGTCATATTTAAAAGGCAGAGTGAAACATCAGGAGGCTGAGATGAGGTCCAGGAATGGAGCCGATTTAAAATCAGAACTGAAGAATGTAGGCCAGGTGCGGTGGCTCACGCCTGTAACCCCAGCATTTTAGGAGGCCAGGGCGGGTGGATCACGAAGTCAGGAGTTCAAAACCAGCCTGGCCAAGATGGTGAAACCCCGTCTCTACTAAAAATACAAAAATTAGCCGGGTGTGGTGGTGTGCGCCTGTAGTTCCAGTACTCGGGAGGCTGAGGCAGGAGAATTGCTTGAACCCGGGAGGCGGAGGTTGCAGTGAGCCAAGATCATGCCACTGCACTCCAGCCTGGGCTACAGAGTGAGACTCCATCTCAAAAAAAAAAAAAAAAAAGAGGAATCTAGACTGGAGTTTATTCACTGGAATATTTTTCTAGGTTCAAAAATCAGTGGTAGCAAATTATTTTCTAAATTAGAAAGTATATCTGCAATACTTTCATATCAGTTCCCATTTAGAGGACAAGGTAGAGCTAATGCAGTTTTAATACAGTTTAGCAGTTAATGATTATTGGCAAAATCATCTTTTGCTCCCTTAGGACTTTTTCACTTAAAAACTTGATGGTGTTTGGGGTAAAATGTCGTAAGAGACATTCTAGCACATGACAGAAAAGAAAATATTAACTCACTATGTAGCCAAGAGATGGATTAATCTTCCAAGCAATTCAAAAAGAGAATTGGAACATGAACTCTAAAAAACAGTTCAAGTATCCTGAAAACTGCTAAAATAGCTCTGTTTGGTGAATCTCAGGTATTTTGGTCGCATTGCTTCAACTCCTTAATTCAGAAGTTAAGTTTTAATGTGAGTCATTTCAGTTTTCATGTATTTAAAAGTCATAACCACTGAAACAGTTTTTACAAAAATACTTCTTTGAGCCTAATGTTGAACACAGTCTGCACTGCTGAGCATGTGAGAGTCACTCTGGGAAAAGGGTGTTTAATGAATAACTTTACAGTAAAAGGCCTTGAAAACTTACTCTAAACATTAGACCCGTGCTTTCTTTCTGAAATACATTAACAGCCTCCAGAAGCCTCATAGATGCTGGCAAGCCCTTTTAGGCAGACTTTTGAAGTCCCTGACATTTGTGTGCAGGGAAAGGTGCCTGCCCGCTCTCCACCCCGCCCCCAGCCCCTCCCCCACCCAGGCAGTGTTTGGAGATGCTGTTGACTTAAGAGTTTTGCTGGAAAGAAAGATTGATAAAGCAAAGCAATCGGAGTTATTTTCTATGCATGAAATTGATTAAATGCTTCACTAAATGGCTTATAAATTTGCTTCTCATATTTCTGTCACCCACTGAAAAGATTACAGAAACTCCGCATATAGCTATGTTGTATACAATACCAAATTACAAAAGGTTGTAAAAACTAATGTTTTGTTTAAAGTTTTGAGCAGGACCATATGCCTTCAGTGACCTTGAGTAAGCTATTTTAATTCAAAACATTTCAAAGAATATAAAGGGGAGAAATATTCAACTACATAACAAACCAGACCAGTGGTGGGTAGATCTCCGTTAACTGTGTTGAACTTCTGCTCTTTTCTACGAGGGTGTAGAGTGAATCCCATCATACAAACGCCTTATGTCTGGAAAGCTTGGAAGCACATGTGGTGTCAATGGGGATATATTTACAAAGGAGATGAAAAAAGGGCTTTAGGACCTCCCAAAGTTGAACCTGCTCTATTATTTTTAGTTGAGAGACACATCCTAATGAGTTCTGAGTCTAGCAGAGACTTGTAAAACTATGTAGAAAAGGTGACAAATATTAACAAGGGTGGTGGGGTTGTTTTATTTTGGAGGAATTTTTGTTTGCTTGTTTTTAATCTTTACACGTCTTTCAAATGTCAGCTAAGTTCTATTCTTTCTACCATGTGACAATTTCTTCTAACTATTGTGTAACAGTTGGAAGGGATGTTAGCATAGAGACGATTTATAAGCAAGCAGGTGACCTGCAGATGCTATGGGGAAACTAGCCCTTTTCTTAACATGGCCTTAAAAGTACCTGCCCTGCTACAGGAAAAATGATATTCTTTTACAACATTTATAAGACATCATGTCCTCAGCAAGAATTAACATTTGGCATTAACGAACGCACAGTTCTGGCCATAACTTCAAGAAAAGAAATTTTACAACCAGTAATGTGCTTAAATCCTTCCTGACCTGCCCTCTGTAATACATATCCCCAACCTTTCACCTTCAGAAATAGCCAGTACGGGGACAAAGATGGCTACCACAGCTATGGCCATCTGGAGCCCCGTGAGCTAGAAAAGACGGGGGAAGTACTGTCAATGGAGGGGGCAGAAGTACTTTCTAACATCAGACCCAGCCCAATGCCCGTCTGCTTATGCAGCCAGTTTCTGGGTATAGGCAAGTATTGCACTGGAATTATCCCTCATATATGAAAACACAATGTAATCTCACTTAGCAAAACCCAGGTTTCTTTCTTTTTTTATGAGTACCTGTTCTGGGAGATATGCCAAAAATTCAGGGATAATTTAACCAAACCATCAACAACTGGACAACTTATTTAACTCTTTGGTGAGTGTTACATGAACCTTTTTGCTGGCGTCAAGCCACCACATAATGAATCCTGACGCCAGACACAGAGGGTTTGATACATTAGAATAAAGGAAGAGGTTCCTTACTATACAATATATAAAAGAACTAGCTTCTACCAACAGGTTGTTGCCATCTTAGAAAATAGGAATCTGTGTCTCCTGAAAGTCTATTCCTTGAACACCAATGCTACAAGCTTATCCTTTATAAAACGGTTTGGGTAATCAGATCTATTGAAGATCAAATGTCCTGGGGATTCACAGTGCATAGTAATGTGCTGGAGGCTTTGGGGGCCCTGCTGCAAACAATCATATTTAACTCAGGTTAATCTACTGTTTCTCACTTGACCCCGGACATTTTTTTAAATCAATGTTTTGAGACATGAAATTACTATTTCAAACGTCTTCTGGAGAACACTGATTTAAATCTACTGCATGGCTGACAAACGAGTCCACCTCTTTTGAAAGCTGAGCAAGCCCCTTTAGGAGGACCCTTGGCTGAATAAAGGAAGTCTCAACCCAACTGCAAGAAGGTCTTCGCCATTCCTCTTCTGAGGATATGCTGACCTTGGGCCGTGCATATTCTCTTCTTCTAATTAAGACACGTTGCATGTTCTGTGGCTACCAAAGACGAAAACAGTAGACCTCACCAATTGCCCATGGGTTTCACAAGTGGCACTGGTTACCTACATAAATATTTGTCATACATCAAATAAATGCTTCACGTACATTGATTTTTCTTATGGACTCCTTTTCTTTTAAGATTATGTACAAATCCACTCTCTCTTTCCACTTCAAATAATAGACAAAAGCTATGTTTATTCTTCCTATTCTATAACCAAAGTCACTCATACATCAAGATCATTCAAGAAAGCCTAGCAGTATGCAAGTGAATGAGAGTGGCATGACTGTGAAGATAATCTTGGATCTACTCTAATTTAATTTTTTTAAGTAAATCATTTGCAAACTCCAGCACTCTAACTAGTACAAGTAACAAATTACCCATGAGGAGCCTCAGAGGCTACAGGTGACAGAGCTGTGTTGCAACACCTTGGCAAGGATCTTTGTACTACAGCCTTGGTTCTCAAACTGTACAGTGCATCAGAATCACCTGAGGGCTGTGTTAAAACACAGATCTCTAGGCCCCACCCCTAGTGAGTTTCAGTTTCAGTGGGTTTAGGGAGGGGCCCAAGAATGTGCATTTGCAACAGGCTCCCAGGTGATAGGGATGCAGCTGCTCTGGCTGGGGGACAGCACTTTGGGAATTACAACTGTACAGCAGTTCCCTAATGCTCCCGATCAGGATTACCTGGAAACTTTGTTAAAAACACTAAGTCTCACCCTTAGCCCCAGACTCCTGAGATGGACTCTCTAAGAAGGAAAGTCAGGAATCTGTATTTTTAATAAACTCCCCAGGGGATTCAAATCATCCAGCTCTGGACTACTTCAGCCTGAGAAGAGGGGCTTGCCTTTTAGATCTGGGCCTGACGTCTTGAACCTTTGCCGGCCTCTGGGCACACGGACTCTCCCTGCTAGAGGCCCCTTCAAAGTGCAAGCAGGCTGAAGACACGTGAATGCCTCCTCCAATAACTTGTCCAGTAATTGGTATATTGATTGCTAATGTCATCATGTTTTAGTATATATAAACCCCTCACTCTATTACACAGCCCCCAACAATCCAAAAAGTCATTGTTTATTCATTGTGACTCCCAAACTGGCCCTTGTCAGCTCCTGCTGGAGAGCTTGCTGATAAAAATCAGCAGATGATTGGACGCACACATTCTTAACATGACTGACCCATGACATCTCAGAGGGCAGCTCGAGAGCCTGTCATTACAGTACAATACATTTCTTTCTTCTTTCTTATCTAGCCCAGATGACTTCGAGATTTTTATTAACTCATTAATGACTGAAGATGTCATTAGAACCAGTGGGAAGGGTTATTTTTCTGTCTCTCTCTCTCTCTCTTTTTTTTTTTTAAGTGGGAATAAGTGTGCAATTTGCTGGGAAAGGGGGAGGGGCTCATTGATGAAACAGCTAAGACAAACCTAAGTGGAGAGACCCTTGGACTTTATTAGAATCTGAAATTTGATTGACGGGTCCTGGACCTGAAAATCTGCAGACAGAAATACAAAGTTGCTTCAGAAACATGTTGGGAAGAATGGGACAATTTGATCAAGGAAATAGCGACCCATAAAATTCAGTAATTTTTATTGTGTTGTGGACTCAATCTTTCCAACATAACAGCTAAACAAACAAACAAAAACGTCAGAGTAAAGCTACTGAAACCTCTAAATGTTTCTTAACCTACACGTTCATTAAATCATATCTTGTTTCTGCGTGCCTTTAATTTTCACATCTGCAAAATTGCTTTTAGAAATCAAATTAGATCTTTTGAAGGCACTTAAATTGCAACAACCTTATGTTTTTTTATATACTCTTGGGTTTCAGCCTTTTCATCTGGGTTGTGTGTCCAATTAATGGGATATCTCAAGGAAGCACTAATCATTTTGAAAACTTAAGAATATAAAAAGCAAGCAGACTATTTTCATTATAACTGATTGGATTGAGAATAAGCTACAGAGGAAATGTTCAATAATTATGATAACTTTTTTGGAGGAGATCACAAAAGAATGTCAGTCACAGAAGGTGCTTTTCATTGTGACAAAGGCTTTCAAGTCCAGTTTCAGTAGATTCCTCTTCGGGGTTCAGCCTCAGGCATGTCAGAAGGCTGCTCTGAGAGTGGGTTTTACACTGATTTTTATCAGCCCCAGATAATTCACTTGGCAAAGAAAACATCTATTACTAGATGTATCTCATATGTTACTGAATGTTTACTAAATTTTACTACTGTCAAAACACATTGTAAATGAACAGACCCTCAGAAGAACGAGGGAAATCTATTCCTCAGAAGAGAAAATGGTTGTCTGAGGACCTACAAAGATTTTTGCCCAAGGAAATTAATGCCAGTAAACTATGACCAAGATTTAAATATGCTTTCAGCCAAGTTTTATGCTTAAATCACCTAATTACATCTTTCTTTCTTTATTTGCCTGGTGGAGAATTATATTCATTACATGTTATGGTAAACAGAATAATTAGTTAATATTTACGGATTAATTAAATACAATCATTTTATCTAATTCAGTAATAACGGTGCTGAATTTTATTTTTCACATTTCTGAACATGATGCCAAACACCCAGATGAAACCTAGGAGGAGAAAAGAGTCAAAAATCCAGATGTTATTAAAGATCCAGATGTATGGTATCAAGTAAACAGAACATCAAGGATTTTTACTTTTCTTTTTTCCATTTTCATCCAGATGTTTGGTGTCGTATAGACAAAGTCTTAATCTGTTCAGTCACAATCACAGCGTTATTTAATATCATTTGCCAATATTTCACTCCCTTCTTCACAAAATGATCTCTAAAAATCCTATGTAATGCATTCACGAGGAAAACAAGGATATTTTCTTCAGAAACAAAAATATAATGCCCAGTGGATTCATAAGACCAGATTACCATCCAGGATGGTGCCCAAGTCTCTATGTTGAAAAACATTTCATATCTGCATTTTTAAATGATGAAAGTTAATTCACCTTAAATGGTTGGAATGGAAACTTAATTTTAATTGACATGCACATGCGAATTTCAGTCCTAGTAGGTAGCTTTGGAGAATAACAGGCTCTCAAGTGTAAATGATGGTCATCTTTTCAATGGGATCCTTTCCCAATTCATTCACTTATCATTAAATCCTAAAAGAGATTACCCGCCATTTTAAGAATAATTTCTGCTTTGCAACTTTGGGTACCTTAAAGCACTGACCCAGGGACTTAAGAACTTGATGCTGAGCCCCAGCATCTCATTTTTCTGTGTGACCTTGAGCCAGTCACTTAACGTCTGAGCCCCAATTTTCTCTTCCTTAAAAAAAAAAAAAATTAAATAATAGACCTGATTCTAGTGAACCCAAGGATCTAAAAACAAGAACCTGGGGAGGGCAAAATCCTTTATGAATATAAAATTATCAGTAATACACGGACTATTTTGAGTTTTACATATCATTATTACATGAATAGTATTACTGTGTAAAAGTGTCATTACTATTAAAATGAAATCCAAGAGGGCACAGTAGAGACAGTCATGCTAACAAGACCTGGTCAGCTATTTACCATTTACAAATTAAATACAGGAATGACTATAATCCCTGGATGTGCAAAGCAATACCAGATTCTACTTCCTTGTGCTGCCGTGTTTCACCACGCTAAATCCGAGAAATAGTTTGAGTGCTACCCTTTTCATGGTACTAAACGGACTAATCATAAGGCATACTGTATCTCTGATTACAATAGGACACTTCTGCCAATCTAGGACCCTATGCTTGGCTGACTGGTGGACTTAATTTTGACAGACAAATGCACCCTCCTCCCTCCTGGCCAATGGCAAAGACTCAAGCCTTTGCATAGAGCAAATTGTTGCTGCTGAATATTCAAACAGATCTCATGGTTTCCATCATGGGAGATTGCTTCCACTTTTTTTTTCTGTTAGTAAAATGTACATCCTAGGAAGTTATCATCAAAGAACAAGCTTTTTGCTAACATTCCTCTGCACAGTATAAGAGGGTTTCTAAGTGAGAAATCAACTCAAGCACTTGTAAAATGCTAAGCACTAAAAATCTCTGAAACACTTTAGTCTTACACTTTTCTGTAATGGTGCCGAGATTTTGGGAAGAGACATAGAAACTTTTGAGCTGTGCGTTTAAGATATTAAAAGATTCTGGAAGTACAACAAAGGGAATAAAATAAATGAAAGGAAGATCACTTCATTAATTTTAACTTTAAAAAAAATCTGCAGTGTCAAGATGCTACAGTCAAAAAACAAAAACAAAAACTCACACATCAAGAAATTTCTTTCAAAGTTTAGCCCAACTGTTTGCTCAATTATATGACTATAGAGAAAACGGGATGAATAATCAAGTTTTAGTTCTTCAACTTTGAAGGCACAAATCGCTCATTAGCATGTTGCTCTGTTTGATGCAACTTATTTTGAAGAGCCAGAAATCAATACAAAAGGAAACAATAATAATAAAAGGAAAGATTTCTACTGTCATAATAGGGAAAGGTGTGTGAGCTGGAAGAAAGTACAGTACAGAAGCCCATGACAAGTCATGATAAATGGGTCGTTATAAAATTCACGTTTAGGCAGCACCAGGCCGCGGATAATGCCATTCGTCATGGCAACACGAGGCCGCTAATGAGCCCTCATTGCATATTCATGTTTGTGGCGTTTCTTCCCTCCCACCCTGAACTAGTGCCTGCAGATATCTCCACCTCAAGCTGACGCTCAGCTTAGGTCTTCTTCTTCTTCTTCTCTCTCTCTCTCTCTTTTTTTTTTTTATTTGTTATGTTGCAGCAATTACACTGTAAAAGTGCTGCCCAAGATTGATTGCTCTGATCTGTAGTTCAATTGTAAATTAGAATACACATCCCCCCAGGGACACACGGCCCCTATTTGTGATTAAGAAAAAAGCCCCATAATAGACTAATAGCTAAAGTTCTCTCTCTTTTACTTTCAGGCAATTAGCTTGATGAAATGGCCTCTTTTTGTGTACCCTGGAAGTGTAAACCGATATCATAATGAAGTATATGATGTTTATTCTATTATTTTCACCTTGCTGGATATGCAGGAATGCATAAGTAATGGCTGCTTTGTCTAGTACGTTTACTGATTCACAAGTAAACTATTTCTTAAAGATGCAGTGTACGCTTTCTGAGGCTTGAGTTAAGCAACTCCTAACTGTGGATTAACCTTCACGCAAATGTCTACTGCAGGGGAGGAAAACGAATCCCCTAGGTTGGGGGAGAGCATGATGCTGATATTCAAGAGGCCTCCAGCCACTGGGGCAGCTCTGGGATGGATGTAGTGACAAAGTGCAAGTGCCAGCACTCAGGATCACTGAAGACACCAGGGTACTTTGGAAAAGTGTCCTATAGTGATTTTAGGCCCAAAGAGACTCCACCTGACTACAGTGTACCCTTCATCTCCCCCAGTGACTTGTGGAAGACCAACTCGCTCTCGGCTGTAGGGTGGCTGAAGCTCTTCCTACACAATGGTTATACAGTCTTTTTTTTAATTATTATTGGATTGCACCCTTGCGCCCACCCCCCGGGAAAAAATAAGTCTTGCCAAAACGTTGGCAAGAAAATATTCTTCAGCTTCCTACATGCACCAGCTGACACAGAGCCAATGAATCCACTTGCAGTTGGTGCATTATCAAAGCTATTTGTGTTCTTCCTATGCAATATTTCAATATATGTTTTGTTTTCATCCATGAGGATCTCAAAATTAGAGAAAAAAAAAGGGTGTCCTACATGAGAAGATAGAAAAAAAATAGAAAAGAAGAAATAGAAGAAAAAAAAAAGAAAAACAAAAATCTATCTTGCTCTAAAGCGTTTTATGGTGGGTAACTTACCAAGATGTTAATTACTGCTTCAATTCTACATTCCAATTGCCCCCGTTCATCCATAACCCAGTTTGTTTCACCTCTCAAACCCTTCCTAGGTTTGTGTTGTCTAAACAAATCCATCCTTCTCTTCTTTAATATGGATCCAATTTGAGTTTCTAGAAAATATAAGGAAATCACTTTTACGGCAAAGGATCTCAATAATTTTTAATGCTGAGTTTGATGTGCACTTTTAGATGTCTTACATTTTGAAATTAATATGTGAGATAGTTGTTTGTCACATATAAAATGTGCTTGCCTTTCCTCCAGTTACGTAGCTCCTTCTTGATTAAATAAAACATTTTGGGGAAAGTTTGTTACTATTTTCTGGAAAGTAATTCTATTGTCACATAATTTCCAAAAATACTGCAAAGTGAGTTACCAAGAAATATTTCATGAAAATTTGCTTTATGCCTTCTTTTCTAAAAATCAAAAGTTTTTATCAATCTTTATTTGGGGGGTTGACTTTCTCTTTAATTTGTACAACATTGAACTGCCTTCTAAACTATAAGCCTGCAACACAATAAGTGTAAATTTTCACTGCTCTCAGAAACTTTTGAATGTCTAGCCATATTGCCATATTTGAAATATGCTATTTTCAATTTTCAAATGATATTGAGCTTGGGTAGGGCCTCTCCATTCACTTACATAACCTGTCATATTTTTAAGTACACTTTTTCTAGAATAAAAATGCCTCCTATTTACAAGGTGCTTTATAATGTTTAAAGTTTTTTCAGATAGATTGCCTTATATAAATAATTCTATGAGATAAATGAGCCAAATAACCTTATTATTACCACAAAGTTAGTGGGGGAGAAATTATGACTCAGAGAGGTTATGCAACTTGCCCAGAGTCACAGGTTAGTAAGTGCCAAGTTGATCCTTGTCCCCAGGTCTTTAACTCCAAAACGTGAGCTCTTTCTGGTACGCAATGCTGCCTCTTCACTAGGTATACATTCCAGAAGCAGCAGCTCACCAAAATCTCACAGCTCTTAACATAAACAAGATCTGTGATCTTTATTTATACATGGGCAAGATTAACAAATGAGTTTAAAGACACATATGTGCGCACACACACAAGCCCTTCTTGATAAAAACACCCAGGAAAAAAGGTAATGAAATTCACACTGCTGCTGGGCACGGTGGTTCACCCCTGTAATCCCAGCACTTTGGGAGGCCAAGGCGGGTGGATCATGAGGTCAGGAGTTCGAGACCAGCCTGGCCAAGGTGGTAAAACCCTGTCTCTACCAAAAAATACAAAAATTAGCTGGGCATGGTGGCACATGCCTGTAATCCCAGCTACTCGAGAGGCTGAGGCAGGAGAATCGCTTGAACCTGGGAGGTGGAGGTTATAGTGAGCCGAGATCGTGCCATTGCACTCCAGCCTGGGGGGTGACAGAGGGAGACTGTGTCTCAAATAAACAAACAAACAAACAAAAAACTGAAATTCACACTGCATTATTACCTACCAAACAACATTTAAGTAATCTACGTTAGATTATAAACATATGCTTAGACTGGGTACATACCAGGCACAAAATTGAAGCAATTATCTACATAATTGAAATTCGAGGGCTGGGGGATTACCACTCTTCTCACAGTCCATTAGTTGGTTTTGTATGTCCAGAGATTTGGTTGAGCCTTTTCACTAAACATCTCTTCAGGCCTTTGCACTGCTATTCCCTCAGCCCACTCTTAAACCATGTCACGTATGTCCATCTGAGTAACTCAATCCTGACCACCAATCTAGATTCAGCTCAAAGATCACTTCTCCCTGGAGACAGTCCCTGACTTCTATCAATCCCTTTATCCCTGTGTCAAATACCTCTTTGCTTTGCTCTCCACTAAGGAGCCTCCTTCATCCCAGTTTTGAAGCCAGTGAAGACAGGATTCTTGAAGCCAGTGAAGACAGGATTTGGATCTAGAATTCAGCAGATATAAACATTTTAAACTGTGTGCTAGACCTGTCTGCCAAGGTACCTCCCATGCTCAAGACCCTCTGTGTACCAAAGAGCCACGTTCAGAGCCCCGGGATTAGCAAAGCAGCTCTAGGCTATTCTTTGCAAAGTAATGGCCACCATTTCAGTCAGCAGTGGGCATCTAACCTACGGTTTGCCCATTGTTGGAGTAGCCTTGAGATGACAACTTCACCAATAAAACACCTAGAGCAGAAACCACTGAAGTACACAGAATCATGTCGGCCATGAATTTTTTTTTTTTTTTTTTTTGAGACGGAGTTTTGCTCTTGTCCCCCAGGCTGGAGTGCAATGGCGCTATCTGGGTTCACTGCAACCTCCACCTCCTGGGTTCAAGCAATTTTCCTGCCTCACCTGCCTCAGCCTCCCAAGTAGCTGGGATTATAGGCATGTGCCACCACACCCGGCTAATTTCTAATTTTGTATTTTTAGTAGAGACGGGTTTTCTCCATGTTGGTCAGGCTGGTCTCACAATCCCCAGGTGATCCGCCCACCTCGGCCTCCCAAATTGCTGGGATTACAAGTATGAGCCACCACACTCAGCCCAGCCATGATTTTTATGCAAAATGATTGCTGCCTGAACTTGAGAAAGAAATAACTCCAGAAATGATCCCAAAACACTCTATAGATACTTCCAAATCTCAGGTGTAGCATTACCTAAACATAGAAGAAATAAGGGCATATGTCACTATTTCTTTCATTTATTCATGTTTTCATTGATTCAATAATTCATTCAACAAATGCTTATTGAGCCTTCAGGAGATAATCATAAAAATGACATCATTCTGGCCCTCATGGAACTTACAGTTTAATGGGAGAGATAAATATTATATAATCGCACCAATGAATAGAAAATTGCATACAATAATAAATACACAAAGTAAAAGTAAGAATAAAGTGGAACTTACAGTGAAGCCTTCATATAAACAAGTGCTTCAGCATAGAAGGTCTTGCAATAGAAGCCTGAAGAATGAGGTTATAGATAAAAGTATCAGGAAAAATGAAAACATTTCCAAAAACATGTGGAAAGGTCCAGGAGTAGGAAACAGCTTGGAAGTTAAAGAAATAATAAACAGGCCAGCATGCTTGGACCACTAGGACCTGGAGATAAAGCAGAACGTGATGAGACATAGGTGAGCAGAGCCACATCACAGAGGGCCTTGTAGACCACATGCTTAGGTAGGAATTTTGGATGCCACCTTAAGTCTAGTGTAAAGCAATTGAGGGGTTCTAAGCAGGAAAGGCCGATGATAAGACCCACAGCAGCTTAGAGGGTGATAGTGTTGTCTCATTTTGAATAAGAAACCTCAATTTGTTAGGAAAGAAAAATACAACTGTTATATTTTTCCAACACCAACTAACCAACCATGCTCTAGGAAAACACTTCACCTTCACTGGGGGAAAGCAAACCCCTCTTCACCCCATGTCTTATGTGAGCCCAACACCAGGCCTGCCAGCATTGAATGGAGAAGATCTGACACCAGGTATGATATCAAAGAGCTTTTTTTTTTTTGAGACAGAGGCTCACTCTGTCACCCAGGCTGGAGTGCAGTGGTCACTGCAGCCTTTACCCCCTGGGCTCAACTGATCCTCCCACCTCAGCTTCCCGAGTAGCTGGGACCACAGGTGCATGCCACCATGCCCAGCTAATTTTTGTATTTTTTGTAGAGAGGGGGTTTCGCCGTGTCACCCAGGCTGGTCTCAAACTCCTGAGCTCAAGCCATCCTCCCACCTAGGCCTCCCAAAGTGCTGATATTACAGGCATTAGCCACCACGTCCGGCCTTCAAAGAGCTTTTGAATCAGTTCTGAGAAACATTGACTGCTCTCGTGACGGCAAGCCATCTGCTCAAATGCGATAGCACAACTAGAAGATGCTTTACGGGGTCTGCATGAAAAATAGTCAGAGATTGGTTCAAAGAACCCATAAAGTAGTCATGCTGAGCGTCTTGAGATGCTGGCCTTGACCTCATGACACACTCCTGAGTCACTTTCCTAGACCCACTGATCTGGTTAGGACCCACCCACGCCGAACCACAGCTCCCTGTTAGAGCACGTTGCTGTCATCGCTCATTAATGGTCTTATCTCCTGCACTCAGCAGTGAGCTCCACAGAACAGGAAGAGCATGCATCTTATTCACCTAATGCCTAATGCCTGATACAGTGCAGGGCACTTTTAGGTGCTTAGTCATATTGGTGTGTTTCATTTGTGTTATGGTATGCAGCTACGTGTTGTAATTGTTGATTTGATTTTCTATCTCCTCCTGTGAGTTCTTCGCGAGTATAATCCATGCCTCCATCTTTGCGTCTCCACTTTATCAAAGAGGCTGGCTCATAGTTGGCACTTGATTCGGATTGATTAATTGATTAGTTAATTAACGTATGGCTAAAGCAATTAGGTATAAAGGACCTTCCTAAATGCAACCAGCTCTACTTCTCTTTTAGTCAATCACAAGATGCGTAAAACCACATTGTCTGAGAATCTTGCATATCATCAATATTCATTGGTGAGAGATGCTTTCTTAACGCTGGTGTTTTATGCATTTCTACATGTTATTATACACCCCAGAAAAGAGTGCATGTAAAACTGCTGAAGCCTGAATAAAGCCTCTAACTGAGTTAACAATATTGAATCAATTTCCTAATGTTTAGAATGTGCTGTGGTTATGTGAAATGCTGTCTTTGGGGAAAGCCGGGTGAAGGGTACAGGGGATCTCTCCGAATTATTTTTACAACTTCAGTGAGTCCTATATTATTTCAAAATAAAATGTGATAATTTTTAAACACTTTCTGATTTTTATGTTTATACTTTTACATATATTTGCATATATTTCTATAATATCTAAAATGTAGTTGAAATGTCACAAATAATAATTAAATGATGTTATCATATATTACACTAGCATACAGGAAAGAAAATGCCCTAATTTGGGGCACTATTCTTTTTGTCTGGCTAGGTTGGCATTTAAAATATGCTAGGAGAGGAAGGAGATGCATTACTTTTGCCTGATTCAAGCATATTTTCGAAATGATGTTTTCATAAACAAAGTGCCAACAGCTATGATCTTATCTTCTCTCTTCTTTTTATCCTAATTCAGGTCAATAACAAGTATTTCTGCTCTCTTCTGCAGATTCTAGGTTTTGGAAGAGAGGATGCAATTATGAGCAACGGGGAACTGTTAGTGAAAAATTCACCAAGAAGTCAGAGAGTGCCTTTAAACTTCTTTCTACCCAGTGTTGTCCTATTAAGAAAATAATGTCAGTTTCAGAGAGTGATGTTTTAAATAAATAAGGCTAGCGTTTACAGTAGCGCTGGAGTTTTAAATTACATGTTCAAGATCCCATTGTTGGTTACATGGATAACAATGTAGGTGATCACATCTAAACTCTGAAACATGGTAGGCAATTCTTCTACTACCTGAGAGATCTGAAAGCCACCAACAAAAAAATCCATACGGCAGATTAAGGTAAAATTTCAATATGTCTTAAACTGCTTAAACATGTAAGTTCAACCCCCACCCCCCCCAAAAAAAACACTCTTTTAGCATAAAGAGCTGCAGTTTCCAATCCTATTCAATTAATTAGTTTCCTGTAGTCAATCAAATGAAAATTCTGAAATAGCCTGTAGATGTCATAAACCTAAAGTCAAATTCAAAGATGAATGACATTCTCCCACACGCTTCCTTCTTTTTCTGGAAACTGCAAACTCATTAGTAGGTACATCTAAGAAGTATACCTGCCCAGAAGTCCCTGTAGTTTTGTGATAACCTATGTAAAATAAGTTCGGCTCAAGGTATGGCATGGTAGCTTCATCCTACAGACCCACCGGTTTATCCCGGAGAGATTCTGAAGGACAAAGTAAAATAACCAGGTGCAGGAAAAGAGTGCCTCTCTGCTTGCTAAAGCTCATTAGAGAAGGGCATCCATCTTTAGTCCTTCAGGATAATATCCATGAGCTGTAAAAATAGAGTTTTACTTAGTAAAGGAAGGGGAGAATAAATGCAAGAATGTTCTTAGGATCTGGCGTATTGAATCATGAATCAAAGAAGAAGAAACTATAATTACCTCTCGTTCCATCGAACAGAGAAATTTCTTCCACACGATCTTTTGTGTGGCAAGGATAAAGCTTCATTCCAGAGAAAATCCAGTTAAAATATCCCAAAAGAAATAAAATACAAGATCCTGCAGCTCTTTAATGCTTGCTACTGGCCAAATCCTGCAATTAGAATCAGTCACTTTAAGTGCTGAAGTCGTACAACGCTAATAGATCACTTTCTAAAGTGAGCAGTTTTTTAAAGTTGTATTTAATTTTCCATCATTACAGTACTGAATGCCAGTTGTGTCTGTCCATTCTGATATAGGTTCTTAAATCTCCAAAGGGTACAGACTACTGCTTGCCTAGGCATTGCTTAATTCTGGCTTTAATTCTCAGAGACCTGAATTAGAGCTGTAAAATGGAATGTATTTCAACTTTTTCCCTAAATGTGTTTATTTTTATTTTCAAACCAAATGATTAGGGCTCCTTTTTATTTCATAATTATTTTATTTCAAAAAAATAGAAATTGAGGTGAGGTGTGTATGTCTGAATGTGTGTGTGCACATGCACATGTGTGTGTGGTTTTAAGAAAATGAAATGAACCAGAAAATAAGCCCTTAGCAGTAACCTAAGAAATAAAACAAAATCATTTACAACACATGGGATTGTTGCAGGATATGTCAAGATTAGATGGTTTTAAGGGAGCTATCCTGAATGTGGAAGCAATTATAATGAAATTCATGACTCATTAGCAAACATTCCATATTGTGTTTCTCATTTCTGGGTCAATGTTACTAGAAAATATAGACTTAAGATTTAGATGTTTCATTGACTTCAATGCCAGATTATAGATAGTTGGGTTGTACAATGACATAAAGCAAAGACTCCAGGATTTTGAAGTTCTTCACTTCTCAGATATAGGCAATTTGGTCTTAAGATACCTATGAGCAAAGTAACTTCAAAAATGTATTGGTAAGAATTAAGTTGGTGATAGAAGGGTTGTCTGTAAATGTAAAGAATTACCTGGTGCAAATGCATACGGGTGGATGTCGGTGGGGATTTTGCGTGCACACTGCTTGGTATGCAATATGGCTGGTGAACTCAAGTACCCAATACTGTACGTAATGGGAACCAGATGTCTAACAGAGAGAGAAAAATATTTTATAGCAATAAATGTGACATTGACTCTTAAAGGGTTTGCTGTTTTTAAACAACTTCCCAGTCTTACTTTCCCTCATATTTTAATGTAGTTTAAAGTAGATTGTGTAAGGAAATTATTTTCACATTTTAAAAGAAAAAGCATTTAACTTGCCACTAACTTATAAAATGCAGACATAAGGAGAAATGATCTGAATAAGATAATTTTGGAATTCATTCATTTACAAAAGCACTATGCTCAGCAATGTAAAAACTAAAAAAAATATTAAGGCAAATAAAGCATAATTCCTCCTGCCCTTAAGGAACTCAAAACATGCTAGATATGATAAGATGCACATAACTGGATGGGGACATGGCAGAAGCAAACCCTAGGAAAGACGCCCAGAGTGCTCCGAGAATTCCAAGAAGGAAAAGAAAAGGCGATGCGATGGCCAGCAGGTTCCATGAAGGAGGGTCCCGCTGGTCCATCCTGTATCCTGTTCAACATCTCCCCCATCCACCCCGTCCTCTTCACGTCACTAGGCCACCTTGGTGAAGGCCCTCCTGCTCTCTGGCCAATGCAGGGGTCTCCAGTAGCTCGGCAGCTTTGCTCTCTCAGTGTCCCCACACTCACACTCCATGCAACCCTGACTTTGCTGCCAGGGTAGTTGTTCAGAAGCACTAATCCAGCTGGGAAGTGGGGTGCCCCGATGATTAGATTGCAAGCTCTGTAATGAAGCTTGGGGTTCACTTCCTGCTTTGATGTTTATTGGTTGTGACCTTGGAGAAGTCACTTAACCTATCTCCCTCGATCTGCTTTTTCGCCTCTGTAACAGCACATGTATTATATGCTTGGAGTCAGGATTTCACGAGCTGCTGCACACCATGTGCTTTCCACAGCATCAGCATGGAGTCGGGGCACTGTTGGAAACTCTTTTAGCTGTTATCTGATCAGTCATCCAATCCAGTTTGTTTGTTTGTTTGAGACAGAGTCTCACTCTGTTGCCCAGGTTGGAGTGCAGTGGCGCGATCTCGGCTCACTGCAACTTCTGCCTCCCAGATTAAAGCAATTCTTCTGCCTCAGCCTCCCTCGCAGCCGGAACTACAGGTGCCCGCTACCATGCTCAGATAATGTTTGTATTTTTAGTAGAGAAGGGGTTTCGCCATGTTGGCCAGGCTGGTCTCGAACTCCTGACCTCAAGTGATCCACCAAACTTAGCCTCCCAAAGTGCTAGGATTACAGGCATGAGCCACCACACCGGGCCGAATCTAGTTTTTACAGAGCAAAATCCAAAGCCTCTATTTCGGTATGCGAGACTGCTCGTGAGCTGGCACTTGCATATTTCTCCAATTCTTTCTCTTGATCCCTTCCATTAAATACTCAACTTTCTTGCTATCCTTGTCAGCTTGTCTTTGTCCAAGCAGGCCTTCTGTGCCCAAGCCCCATGCCTCTGCACATGCTGTTGCCCCTGCCTTAGGTGCTCCACCTCCCTTCTTCCTCTCTACTTTGCAAATTTCTGCTTACCCTGCAGGTCTCCCCTCTAGCAGATCTTTCTGATCTTCCCTGATATCCTGTGAAAGAACAAGAGCCTCCTTCCACTAGGCCATGTTCTTAAACTCACAGGGCCCACACAAACAGCATAAATAAATGAAGCAGTACAGGATAAAACTGTAAGGAGTAGTGGGGACTGTAGTTAAAAAGGAGAACTCATTTATTTCTTTCTTTTTTTTTTTTTTTTTTTTTTGATATGGAGTCTCATTCTGTCACCCAGGCTGGAGTGCAGTGGCACAATCTTGGCTCACTGCAACCACTTCCTCTTCTGCTTCCCAGGTTCAAGGGATTCTCCTGCCTCAGCCTCCTGAGTAGCTGGGATTGTAGGCACCTGCCACCACACCTGACTAATTTTTGTATTTCAAGTAGAGACAGGGTTTCACTATTTTGGCCAGGCTGGTTTCGAACTCCTAACCTCAAGTGATCCGCCCACCTTGGCCTCCCAAAGTGTTGGGATTGCAGGCATGAACCTGTAATGGGATTACAGACATGAACCATGCCCAGCAGGAGAAGTCATTTCATTCTCTGGTTAAAAGATCAGCCATCCCTCACTGTTACCATGGTGGAATAGGGGCTAATTATTGTCAATTCTTTCATTTTTTCAAGGTAAGACAGAAATCTGTATTTTTATCTAAAATCTCCAGTGTTCATTGTTGGTAACTAAAAAGAAAAATCAAATACTATGACTTTAGAACAACTAAAACCCCCCGGGGACCAAGTGGCTAACTGCATGCAGACCTTGGCTCATGGAATGCCTTATTCTGGGATTTCCTTGCAGGTGCACACCACCAATCTGGCAAATTTAACTTTGCCCTCTAATTGTTTGCACATCTACTTCCCCAACAAACGATGCTCTTGAGGATAAGGATCATGTAGGGTTACCTTTGTCTTCCCAAGTTGCCTAGCACAGTGGGTGGCTCAAAGAAGCATCTCACTAAATTTCATGTGGATATTTTCCAGAGCCTTGAAGCCGGGGAAGGGTCTGCTGATGGCAGGTCATTCCAGGCACATTAAAAGATAAAGATATTCCAAATGTCCCCGTTTCTAGAAAGGAATGATTTTACAGATACTGTAAGCCTTAGTCTACATTTGACTTCCTCAGGACCATCTGGAACTCTTCCTATGATGGCTGCAAAGTCCACTCCATCACTGGCAACACTCCAGCCAGCTCTCAAAATATAAATCTAATCCATAAATCTAGGCTATATATAAACTTAATCTATACCTGACAAGTAAGTGAATACCTAAATGAATTAATTAACTTTACCCAAAGAGTCTCAACTCAAATGTCAGATGTGATGTTTTAATTTTGTCGGAAAGTGAACATAGACCACATCCTGGACCCAGAAAGAAACATGTTTTCTCTAAATCTGAGGCCAAGAAGACAATGGATAAGGCTAGGGTGGTGGGCAACACTGAAGATTCAGAGACAGCCATCCTACTGTATGTTTTTTGTTTGTTTGTTTGTTTTGTTTTTGAGACACAGTCTTGTTCTGTCACTCAATCTGGAGTGCAGTGGTGTGATCTTGGCTCACTGCAACCTCCGCCTCCCGAGTTCCAGCGATTCTCCTGCCTCAGCCTCCTGAGTAGCTGGGATTACAGGCGCCAGTCACCAAGCCCAGCTAATTTTTGTATTTTTAGTAGAGATGGGGTTTCACCATCTTGGCCAGGCTGGATTCAAACTGCTGACCTTGTGATCTGCCTGCCTCGGCCTCCCAAAGTGCTGGGATTACAGGCATGAGCCACCAAGCCTGGCTCCTAGTGTATGTTTTTTAAAAAATTTTATGTCCATAATCTTTGATCCAATAATGCAACTTCTTGGCATTTTTCTCAAAGAATAATCATGTGCAAATATTTGACTGTAAGGATGTTCACTGCCATTCTGTTTATAATGTTGAAAATAGAGGCCGGGTATGGTGTCTCATGCTCGTAATCCCAGCAATTTGGGAGGCTGAGGTGGTCAGATCACTCGAGGGTAGGAGTTCGAGACCAGCCTGACCAATGTGGTGAAACCTCATCTCTACTAAAAATACAAAAGAGGCAGGAGAATTGCTTGAACCCAGGAGGCAGAGGTTGCAGTGAGCTGAGATCGCACCATTGCACTCCAGCCTAGGCAACAAGAGCAAAACTCCATGAAAGAAGAAGAAGAAGAAGAAGAAGAAGAAGAAGAAGAAGAAGAAGAAAAAGAAGAAGGAGAAGGAGAAGGAGAAGAAGAAGAAGAAGAAGAAGAAGAAGAAGAAGAAGAAGAAGAAGAAGAGGAAGAGGAAGAGGAAGAGGAAGAGGAAGAAGAAGAAGAAGAGGAAGAAGAAGAAGAAGGAGGAGGAGGAGGCAGGGGAGGATGTGGAAAATAGAAGGGTTGTTACATGAGCAGTAACAGAATACTGGTTTCATGATTATAAATAATGAGAGGTGAAATCTACTGACCCCTCACTTATATGACAGAAAATGTGCTGTGAACTTTAAGAATCATTACATCATTTAACCTTATTGTTGTGCCTATCTTACAGAGGAGGGAACTGAGGCATAGGGTGTTTAAATAATTTGCCCAAATCACATAGCCAACAATGTCAGGGCAGGGCATTGGAACTCAGTACTCTTTAACACCAGAGCTCAAGCTTCTCCCGCAAATTGCACTTCTCCCATCAATATTGAGACATCCACAATAGTCACTGTGCAGCCATGAAAATTATAATCTAGGAGGACATATGATGACTCAGAAAAAAACGATGATGTATTTTTCAGTGACCAAAGCCTGTGCCTGTCATTCTGCACAGGCATTGTTAGATGAAAATATCAGAATCCCATAGACACTGCTCCATTAAAGACGAATATTAGGTAAGGATGCAAGGCGATTCCACAAAATTCCCTGCAGGGATCAGTGCCAGGATACAAGGAGTCTCTGCCCCTAGAACTCCGCCATCTCTTCCTCTGCTTCTTACTGTCTCCTCTACTCATCTCTTGCAAACCACCTTCTCCACTAAAGCTTTAGCTTTCGAGGTACAAATTCTAATCCCGTGTTGATACGGCTTGGCTGTGTCCCAACCCAAATCTCACCTTGAATTGTAATAATCCCCATGTGTCAAGGGAGGGGCCAGGTGGAGACAATTGAATCATAGGGGTGGTCTCCCCCATACTGTTCTCCTGATAGTGAATAAGTCTCGTGAGTTCTGATGGTTTTATAAAGGGGACTTCCCCTGCACAAACTCTCTTGCCTGCTGCCATGTAAGACATGCCTTTGCTTCCCCTTTACCTTCTGCCATAATTGAGGCCTCCCCAGCCATATGGAACTGTGAGTCCATTAAACCTCTTTCCTTGACAGATTACCCAGTCTCGGGTATGTCTTTATTAGCAGCATGAGAATAGACTAATACATATGCCAATGTGCTGCATACAATCTAATTTAATCCCAGGGAAAGAGCAGGGACTAGCCCAGCTGGGCCAGATGTCCACACCTGTTCCAATCAGCTGGGGCCAGGGAATAGAATTCTGTAGAACTGGTTCAGTAAAATAGGAAGTAGCTCAGACGGAAGCACTGACCATCTAAGTGGTGATGCTACATTTTTGGATATAAAAACCATAATTAGAAAGAAAAAAGATGAGAAAGGCCCACATCAAGTTGTTAACAATGTTTCTGTCTACAGTATTTGTTTTCTTATTTTTGCTTGTCTCTGTGTTCTAAATTTTCTAAAGTGGACATATATCACTTTATACTAAGAGGATAAAAGAGACCCAGCCTACATGGGAATTAAAAATGAATGTCCCCTGGCCAGGCACAGTGGCTCATGCCTGTCATCCCAGCATGTTGGGAGGCCAAGGCAGGCATCCGCTTGAGGCCAGGAGTTTGAGACCAGCTTGGCCAACATGACTAAAAATGTTTATATTTTTAGTAGAAAAAATACAAAATTTTTAGAATTCAGTAGAATAATACAAGAATTTTTTGTAGAAAAATTTAGTAGAAAAATACAAAATTTTTCCACTAAAAATACAAAAATTAGCTCAGTGTCATGGCACAAGCCTGTAATCCCAGCTACTCAGGAGGCTGAGGCACAAGAATCGCTTGAACCCGGAAGGCAGAGGTTGCAATAAGCTGAGAATGCACCACTGCACTCCAACTGGGGCAACAGAGCAAGACTCCATCTCAAAACAAAACAAAACAGAAACAAAGAATGTCCCAAGTGGGTGCTATTAGGAGACTAAAGGCCCAAATCAAGATTAAAAGTAATTTCAGCAATGATGGAATATAGTAAATGCTTACCAAAGAAAGGTTAGCAGCTGAACCGCAAACCCCACCTGACAGCCCTTGGATTGGAGCAAGCTTCATCATGAAGATCTCAAAGCTGTATCTGGTGGAGATGCCGGGCATTGTGGCACCAGGGCCCACTGTCCCATGACACTGTGCTGGACAACTGGCTCCTGGGATAAGACAAGTCAGAGCAGAGAAGGGCGTGAGTCACGTGGAATATAAGATAGGATTTGAGGAGGCAAGAGACAGTGGCCATAAAGAAGGAAAACAAGATGAATATGTATATTGCAAGCAGTTGACTGAGGAATGAGACAAGGGCAGAGAGAAGTTCACTGGTCTGAAAACTGGCAATGGAGTAGCAAGTATGTAGGGAAGGAGAAGGGGAGGTGAATCTTTTTTTTTTTTTTTTTTTTTTTTTAAATTTATTGCTCTGTCACCAGGCTGGAGTGCAGTGGCGTGGTCTCAGCTCACTGCAACCTCTGCCTCCTGGGTTCAGGCGATTCTCCTGCCTCAGCCTCCCGAGGAGCTGGCATTACAGGTGCCCATGACAACACCCAAATAATTTTTTGTATTTTTAGTAGCAACGGGATTTCACCATGTTAGCCAGGATGGTCTCGAATCTCCCGACCTTGTGATTCGCCCGACTCGGCCTCCCAAAGTACTGGGATTACAGGCGTGAGCCACCACCGCACCTGGCCCGAATCTTTTTCATGCACAGAAAGGATAAAGTCACAGCAGAAGAACAAAAAAGGCAAGGTTTTTGGACCATTGCAGAATGATGTAATTGAAATAAAGGACAATTGGTCATACCAAGGCGGGGCAGAGGAGGATAAATAAATCATTGAGCACAGACATAGAAGTTTGAATAAGGCGAGTAAGCACCCCCACTCCAGAGTAAGGGAACCTTGGCCACTGCTGTCCTATTTGCCTTCAATGCTCTCCAAATGATCAGTGGCCACAGGCCTTCCGAAGTACACTCTGTCTGTGACCTACACGAATGCGAGTGTTCATCTTGTATCCCACTTGGTACCCATTCTTCTATCACCTCACTCACCTGGTGAATGGGTACTTATTTTATTACTTTTCACAGAATACTTAATTGACTTTGATAGCTTCAACGAGATTGGAGATTGGAAGCTCCTGGAGATGAGAGGCTGGGAGTAGCTGACACCATGATTGGACACTTCAGCAGTTTTAAAACATGTCCATGAGTTCTTTAACACTCCCCACATCCAGAGGAGGTATCTAAATGCCCTGCCCTTGAATCTGAGCTGATCTTAGTGATTGGTGGACAATAGAAAAGGTCACTTGGTAGGTCAAAAAGGATAATTTGGGCCGGGTGCAGTGTCTCACACCTGTAATGACAGCACTTTGGGAGGCCGAGGCGGGCAGATCACTTGAGGTCAGGAGTTCGAGACCAGACTGGGCAACATGTTGAAACCGCTTCTCTACTAAAAACACAAAAATTAGCCAGGCGTGGTGGCGGGCGCCTGTAATCCCAGCTACTCTGGAGGCTGAGGCAAGAGAATCGCTTGAACCCGGGAGGTGGAGGTTGCAGTGAGCTGAGATCACGCCACTGCACTCCAGCCTGGGCGACAGAGTGAGACTCCATCTCAAGAAAAAAAATAAAATAAAATAAAGAATCATTCAGCCTCAACCTTACTCTCTTGGGACACTCATCTTTGGAGTCCTGAGTGGCCATGTGAGAAGTGCAAGGATGAGATGCCGTGAGGAAGTTCAGATTACATGGAGTGACCCCATGCAGGGGTTCCAGTTGACAGCCCCAGCTGAGGTCGCAGCCATGGCCAACATCAACCAGCAGACATGAGAGTGAGGCAGCCTCAGTGATGACTCCAGCCTTGGCCTCCGCCAGACCTCATCTTTATCCTCAAGAAAGACTGTGTGGGAACCACCCAGCTGATCCCAGTCAACACTCAAAACAATGACAGATCATCATAACTTGATTTTTGTGATTTTAAGTTAATAAATTTCAGGGCGATTTGTCATGCAGAAATAGATAACTGGATTAGATATAGTTGGTTCTCAATACGTTTCTATTAAATTTCATCCAATAGCAGATAAGAGACGGCAACATTGTCTCTTGATCTTTTTCTCCCTTTTTGTCTAACTCCTTGCTCTTTTGTTCCTTGGTCAGTCTCTCCTTATATCCTTTCTCTCTCTCTCTCTCTCTCTCTCTCACTTTTTCTCTCTCTCTCTCTCTGCAAATTCAGAATTCTCCCCTTCTTTTGCGGCCATGGAAGCTGGAGAAAACAGATCTTCCATCCAGATAGCCAGGGCTCTCTCTCTATCTATAAAAGGCCTCTGTTTTCTCTCTTTTGGCATAAAGAAACTCAATTCCTTTGTTTTTAACTGCTCCCATTTCTCTGTTCTGTACTGACTTGATTCCTCCTTCCTGAATGATCTTTGAGTCTTCTGTGTACTTTTTAGGTTGTAAAACAAAGAACAAGACACCCTACCCCAGCGATGATCTTGGCTATAACATTACCCTCATCTGGAAAGCGCTGTTATTTTTGGCCACCTTCGGATCTTCGTGTAGCTGTTCCACCCCTCTGCTGCAGGAGCTCCGACTCACTTCCCCAGGCAGTCCAGGGGGTCTGTAGACAGCAGCTGCATGAGGAGCTTGAGTGGGAAGACAGCAAGCCGGGTGGTCAGAAGAATCTCTGTGAGGATGCGGCTTCAAATGAAGCAGTGTGGGCGGGAATGCATGAACCCTGTGGCCTGGAGGCTGCCTGGCTCGCCTTACCCAGAGAAGGAGTGACTCATAGAATGGTCGCTGAGCAGCTGATCAAGTATGGAGGCTGAGGGAGACCCAGAAACTGGACCGGAAATCTTCCCCCACCCCCAATGTGAAAGGACGTCTGTTCCATCTGCGTTGCCCCTCAGAGGTGGCCTGACCACTGCCTGAGAGTGTCACCCTGGGGCAAGCCTAGGTGGGCACGCGTCGACCGCTTCACACCCTTGCTCAAACACACAGCATCGTGCATGAGCACAGAGCTGCTTGACAGAAAGAGGAAGAAGCCAGCCCCCAGGAATGGCAAACACGTTGCGAAAAGGACCGCGTGCAGGGTTGGCCGGGTGCACTGGCAGCAGCCAGGCAATATCATCTCAGGTCAAGGAGAAAGCCCCATGGCCAAAAATAGCCGCGCTGCCCAGTTGCCACAGTGTCTAAAATTACACCATTGGAGATTTATTCCTTTGCGCACCTCACCTTTGCTGGGGGCGGGTCCGGGGAGGACCCACGAAATGTCTTCACATTAAGGTGCAAAAGGCCTGGCAGCTCCACAGAGTTATTTGGGGGCGGGAAAGGAGGGAGGTGTTGAAAGGGCAGGAACAAGGAGAGGAAGTGCTGGGAAGGGACAGCGCTGGGCAGCTTCTCCTATTTCAGAGTTTCACCCTGAAGGAGCCTAGCTGGCAGCTACATCATAAAACTGAGGCCTAAGCAATTTGCCAGTAAATTTGAACCATGCATGTAAACAATTCTAATAATTTATTCCTTGAAATGTTTCCTATCATATATTATTATGCAGAGCTGCACATGCTCTATTTCAAATTGCCTAAACGAAAAAAAAAACGTACATTAAGGGACAATTAAAAAGAATAACAAGAGGCAACATGAGGAAACAGTGTATGCATATGCCAGTCAGGCTGGAACACAGAGGGAAGCCGAAGGCAGCCAGGCAGCCCGTTGCAACCAAAGGCTTGATTTCTGGGGCAAGATTCCCTCGGAAATTCAGGCAAGGACTGTCTTTATACGTAGAAGTTTCGGTAACTTGACCCCAGCAGATTAAGCAGTAAACAAAATAAAAGCAGACAATCACTATTCGAAAGCCACATCCAGTCCGCTGCATCAATACACAACAGCTCCACTGTAAAAGTTCCTAAGACATAGATAAGAATTTCAGAAAGGTATGTCCACCCTGCTTGAGCCACCTCCGGGACAGAAAGCTAAGTCCCATGGATGCCCTGGTGGGCTTTAGGCAGGGGCAGGGATAAACTAGGGAATGGAAGGAAGCAGAACATGAGGAAGGGAACGAGGGAAAAATGAAAGAGCAGAGCCTGACACTGGGAACAGCTGGTTCCCTCAAGAATAACCACACCTCTACACCATTTGGCAGTTTAAAAAGAACTTCCACGTTAACTTTGCCTTCAAACCTCCAACTCCCATGAAGGAAGAAAGTTTACTCTCATTTTTATAAAGGAGGGTTCTGTGGATGAGAGCAATTAGGTAACTTGCCCAAGGACACACAGCTGGTAAGCTGGGGACCATGGTCAGGTCTTGAAACCCAGTCTAACTAACTACAGCCCCTGCTTTGTTTATTCCCACAGTGTTGGGAGTTACAGAACACGGGGATTCAAGAAATGATCCCCCTGAATCCACTGAGTAAATTCCTGGTGATTTTAGTAACTAAGGCTTTCCTTCTCAACCTTAATTCATTTATGCACTCAACAAATAATGATTGAGCCTCAACAACTACTGGGCATTGTTTCGGAGCTGGAGTTCACCTTCATGGAGATTTCACATAAGGGGCTCCTTGACAGCTGATGGCAACTGTCCTCTTTTCAGAGAGCCACTCCCTGACTGTGCAATGCAAATCGGCTCCAGCCACCTTTCAATCTTCCCGTAATACTTAATACCATCTGAAACCATGAGGTTCATAGATTTATTCACTATATTACTGCTTATCTCCTTCTCTAGAAAAGTAAGTCCTTCAGAAAAATGACCCAGTCTTATGTGAAGCTGACTCTCCAAAATTAGAACAGTTCTTGCACATAATAGATGCTCAATAAATATTTGTCCAATAAATGACACTGAATGCCAAGGAAAGCTTTTTACCAGTGCCTACTATGTTCATAAAATAGTGTGAGACTAATTACATAAATCATTTCATTAAATCAAGATTATATATGCCAAAATAGAAAATATATGAAGAAAATAGGGTTTTAATATTAGTGAAGAAACTGCTTGGAAGAAATAAGGGTCCATTTGTAATGCTTCTATCCTGTGCCACTTAATGCAAGAACAAGGGCTATTTTGTGACATTAAAAAGCAACAAATTTAAAACCAAGAAAAGGAAATACTTTTTAAAGCAGCGTATAATCTACCTGTGGAATTCAGTGCCGCAGGATATTATTGAGGCAAATAGTCTAGCAAGATTCAAGAAAGGATTAGACATTTATATGAATAGGAATAATATTGGTAGTTACACTAACTAAGTTAAAAAGTTACAAGGCATGTCCGTCCTGGGCTCCAGGGCATAGCTGTTCACCAGCTGGAGTGAGGAAGGAATTTCCCCCTGGGATAGAGCATTGCAGAACTGGCCAGATGCACGATGGCTCGTATTTTTGCCGTCTTCTGTAACATAGGCAGGGACCACTGCCAAGGGGAAGTTTCTAGAGTAGATGGACCAATGACCTCTAAACATGGTGTTTCTGTCTTCTCCTTGAACAGTCCTGAATAGGACATGGAGGTTGCATGTAAAGTCTTTTGGGATTCGTACCTGAGAATTTTTCAATTTCAAAAAACAGAAATTGACAGGTAAAAATAACTTGCCTCTTCCTAATGACAAAAATATTACATGGAATGAAATCATGCCCTGCCTGTAATCTCATTAGCAGCATAGCCAATAGTGCCAGGAGGCTGCCTGAATGCTTCCAAACCTCAACACATCGGAGTCTTTGTAGAATCTCATACAAGGACATCATCTACCCATGTTTTACATCCATCTATCACTGTGCCTTATGTGCTTGTGCTTAACACAGGTGTTTAACGAAAATGCATTTCTGCAGATGTGAACAAAGCCTCTCATTATGCTGTCCACTCACCTAGCAAAGCTTCTCTCTTTATTACATAGTCAATTACACTGCCAGGCACAACCTTTGATTCTTGGTGATGTATGCCATGCATTTTTTTCATTCTAACATGAAAAATCCAAAAGGTAGTTGTTAGCCATGCAACCAAATACAAGTGTTCACAATGGTATGGTATCATATTAATGAAAACATTGAAACTAAATTATGCATTATACTTGCTTACTTTACCGACCTCAGTTTTCCAGGTGTAGACAACACTCTGAAGAAACTGCATCAGTATTTAAATTATTAGAGATACAGGCCAGGTGCGGTGGCTCATGCTGGGAATCCTAGCACTTTGGGAGGCCCAGGCAGGTGGACCACTTGAGGTCAGGAATTCAAGATGACCAGCCTAGCCAGCATAGTGAAATCTCCATCTCTACTAAAAATACAAAAATTAGCTGGGCATGATGGCGTGTGCCTGTAGTCCCAGATACTCTGGAGGCTGAGGAAGGAGAATGGCTTGATCCTGGGAGGCAGAGGTTGCAGTAAGCCAAGATCGTGCCACTACACTCCAGCCTGGGTGACAGAGCGAGACTCTGTCTCAAAAAAAAAAAAAAAAAATTATTAGAAAAAGGAAAGTCCTCTCTCTGAGGTATAAAGAACATTCTGGAAGCCAAAACAGAAAGGGAAATTTTAGTTTAAATCTTAAACCAGCAATAAACCTAAAATTTTCAAAGTTTCCTGAAAAAAAGATAAAATTAAAATATATACAGCAAAATGTTGAATAATGTTAATATATGTGTTTTTCTGGAGAGAGAGAGAAAGAGAAACCATAGATTCCATTAATATCTTCAGCTATGTTCTCACACAATATAAGTTAAGAAAGTTAAGGAACACTAACCTAGGACCCAGTCCAAAAGAAAATTCTCACCTAAGTCTGGACAAAGTCCTTTCAAAGTCCTTTGCAACTACATGTAAGACTTGTTCCCTTGAACTCCTTAAATTAGCAGAATAATATCAATTAGATTCTTTTGGTCAAAAATCATTCATATAGGGTCTAATCCCCATCCAGAGAAAAAAAAACCTTAAAACATTTAAGTGTTGAAGGCTACCTGTCATTTTATTAACTGGTTGCAAATACGCTTTTTTAGGTTTGGCCGTTTTCTCAGTCTAAGCTTTCCTATTTTCTCATGTGGTTATTATAAGAGAAGAGCTTCTCTGATTTTTGTTTGCTGGTGTGGGTTTTTTTTTTTTTTTTTGGTTGTTAATGTTTGTTTTTTACTTATAACCACATATTATGAGGAATGATAAGGTATTATAAATTAATAGTGTAAGCTCTGTAATCAATTAGGATGGGTTGAAATCTCACACTAGACTCCAAATAAACCAATTAGTCTCCCCAGGCCTCTCTTTTTTAATCTATAAAATGGAGATATAATAATATCCACCACACAAAGTCTGTGTACAAAATAAATGAGACAATGCCTGTAAAACATGTGGCATTGTGCTTGTCATATATTAAGTAGACAATAAATATTACCTATTAGTATGACTACGTATATTTTGCCTATGTATTTATAAGCATTAAGAGTGCATATCCTGTTTCCTTATTATCACATAGTTCTCATACATTTTTATGGGCCCTTGATGCACACTGCAAATGAATTTCCAAAAGGATTTTGCTAATATATCCTATCAGCAATATGACAGTGTCAGTTTTACCACTCCTTGGTTAAAAATGGGAATTACTATTAACCAGGAATAAAAGAAAAAGACCAAAAAAAACAAAAAAAGCGGGGAAAAAAAGGAAGGCAAGAAAGAAAAGATAATTTAATTTTTTTTAAATGTGTACATGTAAGCTTTTGCGTTTCTATATCTAGGAAAAGAAATCTGTGAATGTTCAGATTTCCATTCGACATCAGCCAGTTTCTTTCCAAACACTTTCTCAAAGTGTCGTACTTCATCTTTCAAAAAGCCTCATCCTACAGTCACACACCTTGTAGTTTTCCGGCTGAGGGACTCACAGAAGGGAACCGTGGTTTCCTGGTTCTCTGCCAGATGTCCAGTGGTCCCACGAAGGCCAGAGATTCAACTGCCTGCCACTCTTGTGAAGATGTTGCATACAGGACGATTCCCAGAGGAACTGGGACCTGGTGAGGCCAACACACAGATATTTTCTTGTAAGGTAGGATAAGGCAGAGTGACACAGCCCGCATCTGACCACAAGTCATGGGAGGTGTAACCCAAGGTGGCTTATCACCTGAGCTCTGAAAGGGATAATCTGGGAGGAACAGTTGGTTTGTGCAGCTTTTCAAGAGACTTAAATAATACCTGGTTTTGTGGGAAGAGAAGGAACAAAAGAAAAGAAAGCAAAACCCTGGGCACGATGGCTCACACCTGGAATCCCAGCACTTTGGGAGGCCAGGGCAGGCAGATCACGAGGTCAGGAGTTCAAGATCAGCCCAGCCAACATGGTGAAACCCCGTCCCTACTAAAAAAACAAAACATTAGCCAGGCGTGGTGTCGGGTGCCTGTAACCCCAGCTACTTGGGAGGATGAGGCAGGAGAATTGCTTTAACTGGGGAGGCGGAAGGTTGCAATGAGCCGAGATTGCACCACTGCGCTCCAGCCTGGATGACAGAGCAAGACTCCCTCTGTCTAAAAAAAAAAAAAAAAAAAAAAGAAGAAGAAGAAGAAAAGAAAAAGAAAGCAAGAAAACACTTTAGTTGTGGGTACTGGATTTACTGCATGTCAGAGTGGGGAGATTGACAGTGTTGACTTGGAAATATTCTAATTCTAGGCAACCAAATGGAGGCTTTTCCTCACCTTCTCCACACCAATGTCTGGCTGGCCCCCTCTTTCTTTTAAAACAGTTCCTGGGGAGGCCCCAAAATTCATCTGATGTCTGTATGAGCACTGTTCTAATAAGAAAACAGTGACCTCCCTGTTTTTTGTTTTTTTTTACTTTTTTATTTTCTGGTTTTTGTTTTTTGTTTTTTTGAGATGGAGTTTCCCTCTGTTGCCCAAGCTGGAGTTCAGTGGCATGATCTCAGCTCACTGCAACCTCCGCGTCTTGGGTGCAGGCAATTCTGCCTGAGCCTCCCGAGTAGCTGGGACTACAGGCGCGCACCACCACCACGCCCGGCTAATTTTTTGTATTTTTAGTAGAGATGGGGTTTCACCATGTTGGCCAGGATGGTCTCGATCTCTTGACCTCGTGATCCACCCGCCTCAGCCTCCCAAAGCCTCCCTGCTTATTCACACAAATCCCTGAATAAGAACTCTCTTCCAGGTGGACATGATTTATAGGGCTGATTCAACGGCTTCTCCTACCTTAATTACCATGAAGGACTCACATTAAAATGCTTAGAAAAGATGAGAGTTGGGCTCTTTTGACTTTTGCTGGTGGTGTGGATTACCTGCTATATTCCTGAATCTGGCGCTTGCTAAAGAGGTTGAGAGGATTTGCACTCCAAGATGGGGACCACTGGCATGACCTTTTTCCTTGGCTCTGTGGTCAAGCCACCCCCTGCTCCACTTACTACCTGAGTGACACCAGGCAATCATTTCACCTCTCTAGACCTCTGCCACCTAATTCAGTACGTGGAGATAGTCACACCTGCCTTGCAGAGTTATTGTGAGGGAAGCACCAGCTTCTGGTACATGGGAGATTTTATTTATACATGAACACATATATGCTTGCATACACACAGATGTGTACCGCAGTTTTTGAAAATCATCTCCATTTTTATAGCTCACAAGGTGATTTTTGAAAAGTCAATCAAGAAAAGAAGAAAAAAACCATTTTCCTCTCCAACAAGAAAAAGCAATTAAACGTCAAATATTAACTGTTCCCTGGGAGAAAATTTTTTTAATGGGTTAAAGGCTTGGCCATTATAGACCTCCAATATGTAATTTCTAAGAAAGGACCAGGTAATATATTTTTTTAAATTAAGTGGAAGACAAAATGCTGGAACCAGTGAATCCATTCAGAAAGCGCTTTTTTATCCATTTTCCGTAGCTTCCCAATTGCATCATGCCTTTTAAGAGGCCCAATTTGTTTAACAGCATTTTATTTTAAACCTTCACTTGTGAAAAGCATTGATTTATGATAGGGCTGATTAAAGCAATGGTGTCTTAAGCAATAATGATTTCAATTATAGGACTTTCACCAACGTGCATTATTCTGATTTGCTCTCCATTCTTGCCACATTTTTATTCACAAAGAAAGGGGTAGGGATAGGTGATGTAATTTTGAAAAGTCCCTGGACAAATTTAATATCAGAAAGGAATGTATAGACAGATGGACTGATGTACCTTTTTTGATTATGTGAATGTATTGTATTTTAATAAGCTCTGACAAACTCTTCAACAGCTCCCTGATGAGCTCCTACTTGGTATCATTAGGGTTATTTAGTGCTTAGATTCGGCTCAATTCCCACTGGAGCCACACTGAGGTTGTAGAAATGTGCACACTACAGATTCACTCGAAGCCTAGCACTTAGAGTCTTATCTTTTTGTGAAGCTGGAGAAAACAATTAAGCTCACACTTAGATCTTTAACTTGTTCAAAGTCAACAGCCATAGAAAGGCACACTAGGCTGGGTGTGGTGGCTCACCCCTGTAATCCCAGCACTTTGGGAGGCCAAGACACGTAGATCACTTGAGGTCAAGAGTTGGAGACAAGCCTGGCCACTGTGGTGAAACCCTGTATCTACTAAAAATACACAACTTAGGTGGATGTGATGGTGGGCACCTGTAATCCCAGCTACTCGGGAGGTTGAGGCATGAGAATCGCTTCAACCCGGGAGGTGGAGGTTGCAGTGAGCTCACCCCCCTGCATGTAGAGACATGGCAAAACCCTGTCTCTACAACAGATACAAATATTAGATGGGGATGGTGGTGCTAGTTCCAGTTACACAGGAGGCTGAGGTGGAAGGATTGCTTGAGCCTCAGGAGATAGAATCTGCAGTGAGCTATGATCTCACCACTGCACTTTACCCTGAGCGACAGAGTGAGACACTGTCTCAAAAAAAAAAAAAAGAAAAAAAGAAAAAATGTGAAGTCAGCCTGGAGTCATATGCAACGGAATTCAGGGTATCCATCTAAATCTAATTCAGAATGCAACCTAACATGGTGGGGGTGGGGGGTGGCGTTGGGAGGCGCAGGGGGTAATCTATCACATTTATTAATAATGGCAACCTGTGAAGGAGCCCTGCCTAACGGGGGCTGCTATTCCTAATAGTCACTATGCACAGCTGTTGACCAAACAGTGCCACAACTTCGGAATTCAGAAATTCATATTGTTATGCAAAGTTGAAGGTTCTTGATTTTAAAGAGTGGATAAACACTGGCCCAATTCAGCCTGCAGGCTGCCTGTGCAATGCTCCCTAGTTGGTGCACAACTGGCCAATCAATCAAGTTATTGAACAGAAGATAGGCCCAAAACAGCACCATGCTCTGCAAGAACCTTTTTAAAAATGATCAAAGTATTTCAATTCTTCTACTATGCAAACATTTAGTGGGAATCTGTTATGTGCTAAGAACCATGAGTGGAGTACTGGGAACACACAAAAAGAATAATATCCATTAGCCCTCAAGGGGATGACAGTCTGTTATTTACATATATGAACTATGAGAGATTTTGGGTTAAAAAACTAGGGAGAAATGCAGTCTAACATTGAGTCCCAATCCATCACGCTTATTTTTAGTTAAGAACCTCCTTTGTTACCCTTTAGGTAAATTAGTTTGTCCCTATTCTCTGCTTTAAAGCATCATTTTAATTTGAGAGCTAGTCCTATGAATACCAAAGTCCATGTAGGATATATTCCTCTTAAAATCCCCAACAGCAATTGGAAGGGAAAATTCCAATCACACCTTGATAGAATTTTTCTCCATCAAATCAACTTTACAGATTTCTTAATTAGGCGCTGATATTAACTGAGCCCTTGCATGATTTAAATCTAGCTTTTAATCTCAGCTATTCTATGCTGCTATAGTTTTTATGAGAGCTGACCAGCAAATGCTTTATGCTTTAATGTCTCTGGAAAATCACCTTAATAATTTTTAAACGTTTTTTGGGGGGAATAGAAGTCCCAAGATGCAAATGAAGGCATTGAGGTCCGGCTATTGGAATTTGTGGTTTAGCACTTGAAAAATTATGTGCCAAATTGCTTTACAGAAGAAAATCAGATCAAAGTTAAGATTCTGTTTAAACTTTGTCATTATTTCTCAGACGCCCTTTTTAAATGCCTTAAACGTGCCTCCATTGAAATGTATATGAACTTTTTCTCTCTTCCTTTCAATATGTTGTTGCTATTCATTTCCTTCTCTGATGGCATTGCCCAAAGGAAAAGCTCTCACACATCACCACTATGGCCAGGATATGGAAACAGCCAAAACAGGTGGTGCACTGTGCTAAGAACTCGGCATTGAATTGATTTAAACACAGCATTTGATACATTCTCTACCTTAATAAGAGGCAATTGCAGGAGACCTCATTTCCTTCGTTGCATGAAAGTCCCAGTCAAACTTGAGGGTACAGTTCCCCTTTCCTTCCTCTTCTTCTCAGCCCATCCCCGCAAAGTTCTTCCCAGCAAGCATTAAATCGCAGATAATGTACTCTACCTGCTCTGGACACTGGATATTGTAAAGCATCGGAACCTTTTTATTTGCTTTACAGGGTTGACCATTCTCATAAGGTCATTGACTTTCTTAATTAGAAGCTACTTTGGGGCTGAGCGCAATGGCTCACGCTTGTAATCCCAGCACCTTAGGAGGCCAAGGTGGGTGGATCATGAGGTCAGGAGTTCAAGACCAGCCTGGCCAAGATGGTGAAACCCCCTCTCTACTAAAAATACAAAAATTAGCTGGTTGTGGTGGCAGGTCCCTGTAATCCCAGCTACTCGGGAGGCTGAGACTTGAACCCGGGAGGCAGGGGTTGCAGTGAGCCGAGATGGCACCACTGCACTCCAGCCTGGGTGACAGAGTGAGACTCCACCTCAAAAAAAAAAAAAAAAGAAGAAGAAGCTACTTTGACAATTCTCCTCCAAACTCTTTATGTGACAAGTAAAGGAGAAAAGACTGGGAGAAATGAAGTGACTTGCCCAGGGTCATGCAGCCATTTCCTGTGACTTCGTGGTCTAGCCCTCTCTCCACCTCCTCTCTCAGCCATCATAGGAATAACAGTTCTCAAACTGGAGTTTTAGTTAGGCTTCACAATCAACACTAACTTATTACAAAGGGACGAATGGGCCCTTGTTTTATGCCAAGTGCCATGCCCATCTTCAGAGACTCAACAATGAACCAGAAGCATTTTAATTCTGATCCAATCCTGACCTGCTAATGGCTCTTCCTCGCTGAACTGCTTAACAGAATCACTCCTGGCTGAACATCACACAGAGTGTGAATGTGGAGAGGAAACAGAACTTTCATCTCAACACCTCCTCATTTTACAAAAGAGAACACTGAGGCCCCCAGAGGTCTTAAGAGTGAGTTCATGTTAGAGGTAGGCCTAGAACCCACAGTGCTGACCCCCCAGTGAAGCTCTTGTCACTTGAGTACATTCATCTAATTCAGAATGCATCTATCATGGGGCCCATTCTGTCACATTTATTATACTAATGCCCTTTGTCATCTTTCAGGTAAGTTTGTTTCTCCCTTTGGTCTGCTTTGAAGCTCCATTCTAACTTGAGAATTAGTTCTTTAAATGCCAACATCTACATAAGACATTCACATTAAAATCTCCAACAGCAATAGGACGATGGTCCTTGGGACCCAGAGTTTAGGCACCTATGCGATGGAACTACAATGATTGGCAGTGTGCCCGGCAATAGCACACACTCATACCTCTGACAGACTCGGGGCAGATCCGAGGAAGTGGTATCATAAGCTGTGGTCAACAGAGATACTATGACGAATGTTTGGACTGTCCTCATACTAATGTAATGTTTGCACTCGCCACAGATATACTTAAAATAGTAGCTACAGTTTATATATTTTTTCAATGATCTTGTAATTCAATCGTGTTCGATAATTTCAGCTGAAACTATAGATGGAAACTGGACCCATTAAAGAAGGAGTTAGATCTTCTATTTTTTTTTTTTTTTAATGTGATCTTCCAGTAAGCGGCCTCTGGATATAACTACAGAAAATTAACACAATAAGTAAGGCATTATAGAACAGCTATTAACTGATTACAATAATAAAAACCAAATAGGGGCCTTAATTCTGCCCCTCTGGGAAAGCAGGACAGATAAAATAAACAATAGAAAAAAAAAGCATGGAATAAAGGATAATTGATTTTAAACAATAACACAGATACCTCCCATTATGTTTAAAAAGATACAGATCTCTGTCTTCATTTTGGGAACGATAGGGGTAAATTCTTATTTCCCCTCATTAAGACTTAAGTTTGATACTAATAGGGGTGTTTTCCAGGCTAACAAATTGGAAAAATTAAGGGGTGCTGACAAGGAGGTTCTTAAATGATGCCAGGCACATGGCTATAATGACTAAATTTACTGTTTTACCAAAATTAGGAGCCCTTCTGGTCTCCCTCAGAGGAAGACAGAATCTAAACATTCACAGTTCATGCTCCGTCAGGGTGGGACAGGAAGTAGGATCCAATAAACTCAGCAGTCAAGGCAAACACCAACCCTGATAGAGGAGAGAAGACAGGGTTTCCACTACCTTGGGCAGAGGCTGGAGAGCCCTTTAATGGCACCCCCAGTACAGTAATGCCTGTTGACTAAATCCTAAACTTCTACAGCATGTTTGGGGTTAGTTCTATGTAGAAATTCATAGTAAAGTCTTTCCATTTGTTATCTAAAACATGGCCCATGTTCCTGCCTTCAAACCTGGCCAGAACCTAACAGCTTCTCTCTTTTAAGTGCCTGCTTAGGTGCCAAGTGTCCAACTAGATGCTTTCCAGAAGTTGTCTCTGATTCTTACATTATCCTAGCAGGGGAAAGATGCTCAATTTAGAGTTGAAAAAATGGAAACTCAGGGTGACACAGAGATGTGTTTGAGATCTCACGGTTTTTAAGCTGTGGCTCATCCCAAAGGCCACCTCTGCTTGGAGAGGTTCACCATTCCACCTCTCCACATGTAACCAAACACTCTTGCTAAACATTGCTGTTTTTCCCCTCAGTCTATTTTCACATATCGTTCTAACCAGTCTAACCCATGGAATCAATTCTTTTTGCATGGCACATGCAAATTCCCAGGTTAGTTTTACTTTTCCCTGGCAGAAATCCAGCATAATTAAAATGAAATGACCATTTCTATGTGAGGAAAAAGTTTAGCATTTCCTAAAATGGAAAAATAAAAACTCTTACGCAAGACACTAACTTTTAAGGTGGCAGAAAATAGCGAGGTAGTTTCTTATGATTTACTGAATAAATCAAGGGTGATTCCAATTTTTATGGTTTTGGGCCAAGAATTGAAAGAGAGTTCTCCTGCCGTGAACCATGGGTGTTATGACTCAAAAAGAAGCATCACTAGATAAGTAATGAGGCTGTGTGTACAGAGATAGAACATTCTTGTATACAAAAAGGGTAAGATGTACTCAGCACTGAGCAGGGAGGATGGGGAGCCATACACTGGGACTAGGGTACAGAAGGTTCAGGAATGGAGAATGAAAGTTGAAGCCAAAAACACATCTAAGAGCCAGAGCTTATAAAAAATACAGCGTATTCCTAGCAGTGAAATACTGAAAGTCTTCCTAATGAAGAATCTTTTTAAATAATTTGGAAGTTCTAATCCTTTGCAATAAGACAGGAAAAATAAAGAAATTACATAAATTTGGGAAAGGAACAGAATGATCATTATTTGCAGATAATAATGTTATCTACCTAGATGATTCAAGAGAATCAAATTGACAAGTTATTTGAATAAGAAACCAGTAAAGTGGCAAATATGAAATAAAAATGCTTAAAATGCTGAAAAAAATAATGTTGCTCAGCGAAGTCATGAAATTGAATAGGGAAACTGCATGCACAATAGCACTGAATAAATGGGAGATTGTATTGAGAAACTACCTGATGGAACTATAACTTTATAGAAGTTCATATGAAAAGATCGATGAGAAGGCATGGTTTATTTCTACATGAGAAAACCTGGTTTTAAAAAGACCTCTAATCCACACACATTAATCTATAAATTGTACTCTCTCTCTTTTTTTTTTTGAATCAGAATCTCTCTCTGTTGCCCAGGCTGAAGTGCAGCGGCTATATCATGGCTCACGGCAGCCTTAAACTCCTAGTCTCAAGTGATCCTCCCACCTCAGTCTTCCAAAGACCTGGGATTATAGGTGTAAGCCACCGTGCTTGGCTTAAATTGTATTTTCTAACATCTAAACTTGAAACTTGATGCATTCCTATGGAATAACAAATAAGAAAGCATCATCTAGAATACCAATCTTAAAGAGGGAGAGCTTACTTTACTAGACATAAAACCATATTCTTGAATTACAATAATAAAAATGGAGAATTTTGGCAAAAATGATGGAGACAAAAAGATAATAAAATAAACATGGAAACACAGAAACGGGACCAATAGCATACATTTAGATCAACAAGGAAAAGAAATTTTAATGACCAAAAAAAAATTCCAGATAAATAAGAGATTTAAATGTTTTTATAAATTAAAGGAGCCACAGAAGCACTAGTAGAAAATATAGGTTAATACTGATTTTACTCTGGGCATAGGCAAAGCCTTTTAAAACATAAAGCAGAAGGAAGAATAAAGGAAAATATTTATGTACTTAAATTCAACAACATATCCATTAACAATTAAAAACCAAATGACAAAATGGAGAAAATGTTTGCAATATATGATAATGAGAGAGTTGATAAACTTAATATGTAAAGAACTTTTATAATTTAATAGAAAATTAATGAAAATTTCCTTAGAACTACAGGGCAAATGTTAAATAAACAAATATTTTAAAAAGCATGCAAAATCACCTGCACACAAAACAAGACAGAGTCAAGAAATGGAAAGAAAGTTAGCATCACAAATAATCAACATAATACAAAACACAATGGGATGCTATGTTTCTTATCTTTTGGGGGGAAAGGGTTAATTATGGTTCCTGAAATCTGTGTTTGTTCACATGCACCCTGAGTGAGAATATAAATCGGCAACTTTGGAGGGCAACTCTACAAAATGTAGCCAAAAGTAAAACAACAAAACAGAAAGAAGGCTTTGATCCATGATTTTCACATATAATAATTCATCCAGAGGAAATGAAGATACACAGGAAGATTTTATAAGGGCAAAAAGTTACAAATGGTATCAATATCTAACTAGAGGTTAGAGGAATGAATGAGTTACAGCCTCTACAGATAAGGAAATGCAATGCTGGCAGAGAAATCACGTTTTGGAGGCTGGGCACAGTCGCTCACACCTGTAAACCTGCACTTTGGGATGCTGAGGTGGGTGGATCTCTTGAGCTCAGGAGTTCGAGACCAGCCCAGGCAACATGGCAAAACCCCATCTCTACAAAACAAACAAACAAACAAAATTAGCTAGGTGTGGTGGCACAGGCCTGTAGTCCCAGCTACTTAGGGGAGCTGAAGTGGGAAGATCGCTTGAGCCTGGGAGGTTGCGACTATAGTGAGCCCAGATTGCACCACTGCACTCCAGCCTGGGTGACAGAGTGAGACCCTGTCCCAAGAAAAAAAAAAAAAAAGAAGAAGAAAGAAAGAAAGAAAGAAATTATGTTTTGGAATAGTTTTAACAAAATGAACAAATATTTACTATGACTTATCAAATGGGAAACGCAGTTTGCAAAATAGTACACTACAGCAGGGCCTGCACTGTAGTTTCCAAACACACAAATATATGTGTGCAAAAAAAGTAGAGGAAAAAGATTAGAAAATGTCTATCAAAGTGTTCACAATGATTATATTTAAGTGGTGAGATCAGAGGCAATTTTTATTTACTTCTTCACGCTTTCCTCTAATTTCCAAATGTCTTGCAATGGCCATGAATGGTCACTCTTAACCACTGTACCTCTTTGCAACTAAACACCAATATTTTCTTGTGTTTGTTTCAGTCCTACTTTGCCAGAAATTTGCAGGTGTCAGGTGGACTACCTGGAGAAGATGCTACAGGAGAAAGTGAACCCGGACCGCCAGTCTTCTTGAGTTTGTGAGTCTATGCCTTCACCTTGTTCTGGCTTTTTTTTCTTTTCTTTTTTATCTGTTCTCAGAAAGTCTGCAGCTTCCAACACCATTTTATTTGCTCCTCCTGTGAGTGACAGACCAGTGTGTCCCAAGAATACTTAATGTATTTTGTGTCAGGGGCCTGTGGGTCAGTAAGGTTATTAATAAACATCGCCTCTTGTTCTAATTTAGGTCCCTCCTCTCCTTCATGCCTCTCCTCCTGCCCTGCTTTTCCTTTCGCTTCTCTTTCTGTCTGACCCTTTTCCCCTTCTCCCTGATATAAAGCATTCAGCCTTCATTTCAGCTCAACTTCTGGCACTTTTCCCGTGACGCTTTTTTGATGTTGGGTGGTGCTGTTATGTTTTCATGGAGAATTTAATTTCGGAGGAAATGCTTACTGTCCTAAATCAATTTTATGCAGGCTGATATGATGCTATGATCTGACAGGCATGGGAGGGTGAAAGGATCACTAAAATCGAGGCAAAATGTGGATGAGGAGGGAGAACACCTTTTTAAAAAAGAATTTCTGTTTGACAAGATTCACTGACTACAAAACAAGCCCAGAACTTGAGAGGCCAGGATCATCAACCCTACATAAAAAGAAGTGACGTTTGAAGGCAGAAGGCATATTTGAATTTTGGTATTTTTTAATTATCTTTAATAGGACAAAAAGAATTTAACAAGTTTATCATGTACATTTGGATATATGTATATCAATTTTATGTTCCATTAAGAGTTTGATTGACCACCTCAACTTATATTTAGATAAGCCTTGTTTTATTTGTGCTGATTTTATTACACAAATGGAAGTGGCTACATTGCCATCATCACTACCAAATTCTCACACACACACTCTTCAAAGTCCCCGAATATTGTCCAAATCCTGTTCAATTTTTCTTTTAACTTCTAACATTTTCTAAGTGCAACTTCAAACTGGAGGTTGTTTTGTAAACTGAAAAAAAGTCAACTCCCCAGCAGTACACACACATTCACACACACAAGTGCATGTGGTCTTTTCAATTTACTAAACTTCAGTTACTTTCTTCTAAAAAACACAATATTGCATCTCCTATTTGAGCTCTATGGGAGTTACACGTGCCAATGGGAGTTTACTTAACAAGGAGGAGGCAATATTTTTATATAGGAAAATATGTAAAGAGAAATGCATAATTTTGTGTTGAATGATTTATACTTTTCAAATTAATCTATTGAATTTTTTCATATTCAAGAACACATTATTTTTTAAATATGACCTAGACCACTGTTTTCAGAATGAGTGGTATGAATGGTGCCATGTTTTAACACATGATTAATTTGACTTCAAACTAGGGTCCTCATATTGTGAACTACTTTTTTTAAATGAAGAAATGACAAGAAAGCTAAATTTATTAAGGAAAAAGATAGTTTCCTTTTTCTAATTTCATTATCATTAAATATACTAGTTTTATAGCATTAACAGAATTGCACCTGATTTTTGGTCTTTCCCAAATTGAGAAAGAAAATCTATGGGAACTCTGAATGAATTAGGCATTCAACTTCTTAATGGTCACTCTTAACCACTGTACCTTAACAGCCAGAGAGGCAGGATCCTAAACTCAGCTAAAATCTCCACTGGAAATAGCCACGAATCATACTTGACTGAATGTCTAATTTGGTTCTTTGTTTATTCTTTATTTTTCCATTTTTCTTTCGATTAGATCATTCCTACCTGTTCTATACCAATAATCAAAGTGTGAGCATAGCTTTAAATGTGTTCTGTCAAATGCATAGTCCTTTGTTATTCATGGAATAATAGTTACGTTTCGTTAAAGATAGTATTTTTCTTAATATTCATAGGCTCGCATAAGCATTATTAGGATATGGTGGGGAAGAAAAGATGAAAAAGAGGAAGGAAGCTTTTAGTGAGTGCCTACTAACTAGCACACATTGCAACAGTTGCAGGTGTTCACTCACTGGTGCATGTATGTTGCGCTAAGTGTTCTGATGTTGTCCTCACAGCATTACTGTGAAGTTACTGTCTTAACCTTAGCATATAGATGAGAAAAATGGGGCTTAACGGCAACATACCCAAGATACACACTTATTGTGGCACAAAGCAGGGATTCAAACCAAGGCTTTGCTTGCCAAACGACGGCACTTCGATGATTAGGAACAGGCTTCATTGTTTATAGCTGTGAGGGCCGGGACTCCAAGGAGCAAAGATTAAATCCTGGTGTTTGCTGCAACCAGAGCTTCTAAGCTGATCACTTAGAAGATATGATTTGGGGATGTCTGAGGGGCCAAAAAGACCTTGCAAATAATCACATGAGATAACATGCTGGAAATCACTGTGAAAGGTTTAATATAGCAATCATCATATTCGCATGACAATATATATGGGATACGTTATAACACCCATAACAAATGTGATTCAACTTGGTTGTACCAGTGACTTTCAAAAGGTGAGCATCTTTGTGCCTTTGTTTTACGTATCTTAAATTTTCTATATTTAAAGGTCATTGGTTCCAAGATGCTCCTTTAAATTTTGATAAATAAATGTTCTGAAGATCATCTATGGGGAATTCTTCCCCCTCACATAATAAGGTTGGATGCGAAGCGCAGTTTTACGCCCTGTAGCAGACTTTTTTTTTTAAATGCCCGCTCTGTTTTAGCTGCTTCCAAGTCCCAGCCTGGGATCGGCAGGTTGTGGGACAAGGATAAAGAGTGTGGTGAGTATCGGGCTACAGTTCTCAATGCTCGAGGGATAAGATTTCTTATGAAAACTGGCAGCTTTTTTGTTCTTCCTCAGCCTTTTTAACACACAGCCAGGTCTCTCTGTTCAGCTGTGCCCGCTGTGGTTGTGAGTGTACCGGGCTAAATTTATGCCGCTGACAACCCCCATTGAAGTGTCTCAGTGGCACAGAGTCAGTGGGAGTTATGTGTATATAAGCACCAGCAGACCTTGGCCCGCTGAGTGTAATAGCATATCTGGCTTGGGAGATTATGGGTATGATATGGGCCATGTGTAATGGATAGGGCAGTCTGTGTACAAATTTCAAATGACTTGCTACACCCCTTTAGGATGGTTGCTGTCAAAAGTATTAGCACGTTACACACACAACAACCACATATCATATTACCGGTGGCCCCTGCTCCTACAGAATGGCTCCTCCCACCTCTTGCAGTAGGTAATTGCTTCAGGGGTACCTACTGAACACATTCAAAGGAGAAAACACTGGTGAATTTTATTCTTTGAGCTCGACTGTTTTAATATAGAAGGAGGAAAATACCGACTGTGTTTAAATTAGCATGGACAGAAGTTCAAAGGGAATGACGTGTAAAAGATATCTCTGGCAAGATTTAAATTTTCAACCTGATGAGAACTGGCTTTAACATACTGAAGCTGAAGCCAGGGGAGGGTTACATGGATATGCACCTAAAAATCAAGACCTACCCTGATGGCAAAACTTCACTTGTGATGGAAACAGAAAGCTAGGAGGATGCAGAAACTTTCACATCGTGAACGGTGTCTAAAACATTTATTTTTTAATCATATATTTTTTTAATGCATCTGCCTCAGGCCTAGGAATCTACAAAAGTTGAAACAAAATGAAGATCTGATTAGGAAACACTAGCATTCCTTGGTTAAGCTCCTTTTCTTGCTAAAAGTAGACAGTATCCCCTCTCAGACTGGTGTAAGCACAAATTAAGCAGAATGCATTCTTCTTTTCTGAGTTGAGAGTAGACTTAAGTGTGTGTCTTTTCTGGTCTTCCATGATAAAAGAGGCATGATAGATTAGGTCAATAAAGACACTGATGCTATTATCGTTCACAGAAAGATTAGTGGCAAAATGACCACCAAGGAGATGGTCTGAGGTTGAATGTACACAACTTCTCTTTCCATGGTCAGGACCTCTTTTTTATAATCACGTTGAAAATCTGTTAGCATTAGGAGCCACAGCATCGACTGTAGTATCTGCTTACATGCAGGTCTAAAACACTGTGGAAACCCATTCATCATATTCTCAGTATATTAGCACCAAATGTATTCCAGGCACAGCATTAGTCTCTGGAGCTACAGATATAAACAAGACACTACCCTCTCCTTAGGGATCTTGTTTCGATTTATTTTATCTTCATTAATAAATAGTGCATGCTATGTGCCAGGCATTAGTGTAAGTGCTTTATATATCTTAACTCATTCAATCATCAAAACAACCATACGTGATAGTTACATTATTATCCCCATTTTAGAGATGAGGTCATTGAGGCACAGATAAGTTAATACACATAAGGCCACACACCTGGTATATTGGCAGATCCAGTACTTGAACCCTCGCAAATCTTATTCCAGAGACCCTGCCATTAACCACTACTTATGAGTTAACTGAAGAAATAAACATGCAACTATTTTCAACATATTCACTAGTGACACCAAAGACCCCAGAAACTCCAGAAGCCCTGGCATCTGCAATATTTAGTTCAATGACTGGGCAAAACCGTAAAAAAGAAAAAAAAATGCTAGTAAATTTGTAAAGGAACAAAATATAAAGGAGACAGATTCTAAAAGCTACCACAAAGCCAAAACAAAATGAAATTTAATGAGGATAAGTGTGAGACGTTCTTAAATGCAATAAATCCCTTGTACAAGCCCCAGATGATTAAGATTTGACTCCAGGATATGGAGGCTCTTCCTTCATGAAAGACTCCATTTAAAGCCAATCACATGGCGCAGTGGACAGACACTGTCCCTGATGGTCATGTAACTTCTGAGTAATTTACTTGTTTTGGGACACTTCTTAAGAGACTGGCAGGGCCGGGCGCGGTGGCTCACGCCTGTAATCCCAGCACTTTGGGAGGCCGAGGTGGGCGGATCACGAGGTCAGGAGATCGAGACCATGGTGAAACCCCGTCTCTAGTAAAAATACAAAAAATTAGCCGGGCGTGATGGCGGACGCCTGTAGTCCCAGCTACTTGGGAGGCTGAGGGAGGAGAATGGCGTGAACCCGGGAGGCGGAGCTTGCAATGAGCCGAGATTGCGCCACTGCACTCCAGCCTGGGCGACAGAGCGAGACTCCGTCTCAAAAAAAAAAAAAAAGAGACTGGCAAACCAAGGCCAACTCAGGGAAGCAAATCTCTTGAGTCTATGTCATATGGGGAACTGTGAACTTTAGCCACTGAAACAAAAGCAGTATATTGAGGGGCCTGAAAGTCTTCAAAGATTTAAAGGTCTATCATATGGTAAAGGGATGAGATTTCATTATATTCCTTCTGAAGATAGAATCAGACAAAAGAGAAAGATATTTCCAATACATCAATTTTTGCTTTCATACAAAGAACAAAGCTTTCTAAAAACAAAGTTCCCCAGTAGTAGCAGCCTTGGAGAGCATGAGCCCTTCCCCTCCATCTCTCTAGTTGGCCCTGGCCAAACTGGCAGCCTTCACCCAGACCTTCTCACATTTATGTTACCTTCCTTGACTCTGCAACTCCTGAAATTCGCTCCATCTGCATCTGTTTGATCATCTGTCCATCTCCAGAACTCTGGGTTCAGTGGGAAGTTGGACCAATGCCCTCCAAACTTCCTTCCAAGCATAGGATTCCATGACTTCTTGATTCCATTATGGAGCCTTGAATTCCAAAAACTTTTAAAAGCAGATTATCTGTTTTATAGATGGAGGAATGTCAGAGTGCTGAGTAACCAGCCAGAATGAGAGGCAATGACTCCCTCTCACACCTAGATTCCTGTTCACACTTGAGTAACTGCTTCTACACAACCAACCTTAACATCGTTACAGAGCAACTTACTCCTAACCTTATTCTAGAAAATTGCTCTGCTCCCCAGTGGCCACTAGATCATTTAGGTGAGAGCTTACTATCATTTCTAAGTTAATTTGTGAGTTAATTGTAAATGTCAGGAAGCTCTGACATTGCAGAAAATGGTAAATTGTTGAGATAAACCAGGATCCGAAAAATCCTAAATTGAATAAAGTTTGTTTTTTGACCAGTTTTTATCAGAAATATATGTTGATTTGTGAAGGGCCTGGAATGGCATCATATTTGAGTTGCCTCAGAAGTTAGCCCTGCATTAAGTGCACACAGGATGATGGGATAAAAAGCGCTTTCCAACTCCAAGACTCACACAATACTCCACAATCACAGCCTCTGTCATCTTTTTATCTAAATGGCTATCCAACCAACAGAGCTTGAAAAAGAACAACTGAATCTCTGCCTGTGCTTACTTCCAATTTTCTGGTCTAAGATGGTATTCAGTGTGGTTACGTTTCTTTTGAGACAGGGTCTCAATCTGTCACCCAGGCGGGAGTGCAGTGGTGCGATCACAGCTCATTACAGTCTTGACCTCCCCAGCTTAAGCCATCCTCCCACCTCAGCATCCCAAGTAGCTGGGACTATAGGTGTGAGCCACCACATCTGGCTAATTTTTTTTTTTTAATTTTATGTAGAGGCAGGGTCTTACTATGTTGCCCAGGGTGATCTCCAACTCCTGGGCTCAAGTGATCCTCTCGCCTCTCCCTCCCAAAGTATTAGGATTAGAGGTGTGAACCACCACTCCCAGCCCTGGTTACATTTTTTTTTTTTTAACTCTAAACACATCCGCATAGCTATAGCTACAGGTAAAATCATGACTTGTCGTTTCAATACTGCTGCATTGGGCAGTCCTGCTCTTCAGGAATAGATACCTCCTATTTCTTTTCCTTGTCACTTGGTTATTTACCTCCTGTCAAGGTCAAGCCCTTAACATCAGGATTATGTTAAAAGAAAGACCAATATTTTCAAAAACTTCTGGAATTATCAGGGTTATGCAATGGAGACTGGTCTTCCTTTGTAGAGGGAGAAACATGCATCTCCATCCCAAATGGTTCAAATCTCTATCAACTTCAACTTTTGGAGTTTTGGCTAAATGTTCTAAATGTCTCCTTTTAGCCCATAATATCTGTATTTGCCACAATCTTATGTCTGATCATTCTCAGCAGCACAGTTCTCCTGGTAATAACTTCACTGTCTACCATTTGTGACTGATTAATCCACAATGTATTGAAAATTAGAGTTAAATTGGAATGCTATGGTAATTAAGCACAAGATGGCAGGGAGCCTTTATTTTCTAACTTCTTTTATAAATATCATTTTTGAGGAGTGGCAAGTTGAAAAGCTATATCCTGACACAGTCAATTAGACTCTTCCTGAATGACAAAACCCATGCCTTCATGGCAGGGGATCTGTGTGCTAACTGTGTTACCTAGAAGATGATATTCAGTTCCCCATGCATTGACATTTTAGGGAAGGCAACGCAGGGCTTTCGCTACATGTAGGCTTCCTCTATCCTCAGACACACAGGTCAGAAGAGAAGTCAATGTTAGGCTGAAATTCCTGTAAATTACAATCTCCAGTTTGTGGACCAGAGCCAAAGGGCTCTTGGCTACAAAGTGTAAACAGATCATTGCTGCCTCTTAATCTGGATAATTGGTCCCAAATGCTGTTGCCACTTTTCGGATCGATGGTTTTCATACTTTTTAAAGAATCTGGAACTTTTCTCCATTGGCAGGGAAAAGTTTGAAGTATAATTCAGTCTTTTCATCGGCACTAAGGCTCCTATAAACAGCTAAGTGATTTCATTTGGGGGCCTGCAGACACAGGAGGCTTGCGGCCTACTTCGAGAGCTCCACTCCATTTTCCCATGTCCATCCCACATTCAAGCCAACCACTATGTGTTTACTTAACATGCACAGCTTCTGAAAGAGCTGAGCAGACTCGGTCACCTCTTGAAGATGTCGGTCAGATTTCAGAAGCAGGGCTATGTCTGATTCCAGCATAATGTGCTCTCATCAAAACATTCCCTAAGGGTGATGTGCTGTAATGAATTTGGCCTAAAATCAGTTGTTTTGTGACATCATCTCCTGAGCAAAATCCTGGGGACGTCATGCGAGAGAAGACAGCGTGGTGTTCTGGGAAGAGACCAGCCTTGGGAAGGATTCCTAGGGATACCGACTGTCTGACCCTGGGCCCCTCAAACCTTTGTTTCTCTATCTGTAAAACAGAGATAATAGTATATACCTTGTAAATTTATTATGAGGATTAAATGAGATGGTAAATATAAAGGTTATTACTTTTAGGGGGACATTCCACACATTATTATTATGTAAAGCATTTTTAACTATATTTTTTAAGCCTATCTTTCTGCTTCAACCTACACAAAGAAAGGAATAAAATGTTCTTTTCCTGTGAAATCCCTGGCTTGGACTTCAGCATTCCAAGAAAATATAACTTACACAGTGGGTCTTGCGAGACAATGACAAAATCTAACACTGTTCTCTTAATTTATTTTTCTCTTAGACCTTCCTCTTTGCCTCTTTCCAACCGCCCTAGTGACGTTTTTAGGCCATTGTTTTTCTTCTAAATACTTCTAGAACACTATTGAGTTCTCTATTAACTATTATTTGGCCAACGTTCTACTTGTCCAGTTCTTTTTATCTTCTCCTCTCACCCTGTCATTCTTGTATTTTTTTCTTTGAATTCCACTCAGTTTATCTCTATCTCTTCAGCACTGAGGCATCCTACGTAATGTAGTTTTCCAAGTGGAAGCTCAGCAAGGACTTACAGGAGATTTGGGAAACCAACTCCCTTCCTACTTCTGGGATAAGAAGATTAGACAAGAATGAGCTTGTCTACTTTGGCTTTCTCCATTAAATTTACTACTGTCCTCAGTCATTAAAAAATGGGAAAGCATGCCTCCCATTCACAGTCTGCAGCAGTTTGTTTTCAAACAACATTGCGAATGCATTTTCTCTAGAGAGGAGGTATGGCATTGTACTTAAGTACAGAGATTCCAGAACCAGACATCTGGGGCTCAAATCACTTTTACAAGCAGTATAACCTTGGACCAGTTACGTAACTTCCCTATGCCTAGTAGTCTTTCTCATTTGTGCAAAATGGGAGTGATAGTATTTGCCTAGTACTTTCTATGGTAAACGAAACTGAGTTAATACGTGTAAAATGCTTAAAACGGGGCCTGATTATCGTAAGCACTCAAGAAATGTGAGTTAATAATATTTCATCCTCATTCTGCTTTCTAGAAAACCCTATGTATACTTAACATCCAAATGCTGCTAATTTTCCCTTTTGGACAGTCTTATGTGGTCATCTTTCCCTATACATCATTGAAAATGTGCTTTATATACTTTTCTTCCCTAATTCAGAACATTATGAAATAAAACAAGATAAAACAGCAATTCCAAAAACATCTTCTAGTTTACTCCATGCAACCCATCATCTATTTATCATCAGCTAAAGTGGGATGAAAGTTTTATTATGAACCCAAAATGCAACCGTAGTTTACCCCAAAGTTAGTAAGTCTGGGTTAGGTTTAAGAAAACCTGGTTTGAATTTTAGGTGAACCTCCTTTCTACTCTCAAATGCCAAGAGAAGATTTACAGTTTCAGGTGGACGCCAAATGAAATTTGGTAAGTTCATCTGTGTTTTACTTTGAGTTTGTCATTTGAATGAACTCAAATTTCATACAGCTTAATCCTCGTATTTACAGTTTTTCTGCCATTTTCACCTCACTGGATAAAAAAATTAAATAAAAATTGAGACATGCTGTTCAGTATGTGAGCAAGTTGCAACATTACAGGATGCATACATTCCTTTGTCTCAATCATAAATAATTATGGAGAAAATATCATATTATTGGTAAAATGTGCTTCAGTGAGTCAAACCATTTTTGGAGAATATTCTTCTTTATCTACTATGATATTTATTTGCCATGCAATTCCAAACTGATCAGAAAATAATTAGCAAAATTGTCTGTTTCCATCAACGTTTAAAAATCTGCATTTTTATCAGTTTTATCCCTGACTCGGTTAAACTGTGATTTTAAAATCAAATTTGCATAATCTAAGCTTTCTTCATTTTTGCATTTCATCCCCCACAAGTCAGAAGCCCAGACTTTAAGCTAGCTAATTTCCTAAAATTATATGCTAGAGGTTTGGGAAGATTTAAGGCTAGATATTTTATGTCAAAATGATAGGTTCACAGTTCGTGATTGATGATCTTGTACATATAAATGATATATGCCCATTAGACACAGGGGCCTTCTAGGATAAGGAGCTTAAGCAAAAGTGAGCTTAGAGAAATTTCTACATCCTAAATTTGCAGAGACATGGGCAATATGCTTCCAGTTTCTGTTTTATTATAATGCAAAATAATCTGAAATAACTTACATATGGACATGAGTATATCGATGAGCTCTGAAAAGATTATTTTGCCTAAAACTGCCTGTTTCACTACAGCAGTTAAGTAGAAGCTTTGTAGTTACATTACACTAAATGCCTACTTTTTAATTTAACTAAACAAAGTTATATTTGGATAAAGTTTTTTCCTTTAGAAATGTATACTATATAAAATTCCCTTCAAACACCACTACTATCTTTTCATAAGTTAACCACATTTTATACCATTTTAAAAATTAAAACCTGGAAACATAAAAGTCATTTTTTTTCTTCGAATTTGTAGTCCCAAAACCACTGCTCATAAAAATAAGCTTTACAACATCTTTGAGAATCCAAAAGAACCCCGGTCAAGATTTTTTTGGCTAGAAAAGAAAGCAGTTTTGATATTCAAAAATTTGGCTGCTCTTAGTCAATCCCCAAAAGAGAAAAATCAGCTAATCTTAGCAAGATGGTAAATTTAAGCGATTCTGTAATCTAACGTAGTCCTAAATCATGTTTTAAAATATGATCAAACAGTAGAGACTGGGAAAAGACAGAAACTTTAAAAATAACTCAAAATAGAAAAGTTGAACATTTCTTTAAGAGGCTTTTCTGTTTCTAAATTAAAGCATGAATAGTATCTGAAAAATAGCAGCAAAGTTTGTGCTGGCATATTCCACTTAATAGCAACAACAAATTTCACTTAATGTGTTCTACTACTGGACCATATAAAACAGTATGAAACATCAGATTTTTGTTGGTCAGATATTCTGGATGTCATCCTAGAGAACAAGCCAGCTATGGACTCAGCCATACACAGGCACTAACATTCATGGAACATATGACTCTGCACACACACACACACACACACACACACACACATATATACACGAAATCTGACCAGGCTCTGCTCTGGATCCTTGATAACTCTGGCATATTGTAAGCCCTGGAAAGAATTTTAATCTACATGGTTTGAAAATAGGGGCCTTTTAAATATGCCGCATACGATTTGTGATGGTCATCTCTAAAATGCGCCTCCATTATCCTTTTCCATTTTGAATGAATGAGGCTAATTAATTTCAGGCCATACTTGATGAGGTCAGCACCATACGAGGGGTGCGTGCTAGACATTGCTAATCTCTTTCAGCTGAGAGTGATGAATTAAAGATGAAGCATGCCTTTGCAGGCCTAATTTAGAATGTATATCAAAAAACCTACAGCAAATAATACTATACCCTACAACAAAGGAAAACTTGTTCTCTCAGGCTCCCTGAGTTGTGTTGATTTTAAAGACATTTTCAGTCATCTCTGGAATTCCAGCTGTGGATGGGTGAACCATATCAAGAAAATCAAGCCATCTCTCACACATGGCCATGTGGACAAGAAGTGGGATTAAAGGAAAGAAAGAAAACAAAAACAAAATACAACAATCTGGGTTTGATCACTTGTGTATTAAAATTCCACCTACACATTAGGCTTTTTTTTCAGAGCTACCAGACTAACAAAGATCCCAAATTAGCAATACCTGTATTCAAGCAATGACCACCCAGCTCTGCTGGGACATTTCACAGCAATGTGCTAAATGGGGCAGCCTTGTTTTTAAAGCAGATATCCTAATGAGGCTTATTAGGTTTTTCCACGTCTCTATTTTGAAAGCCAATAGAGATTGACCAGGTAGATAATGTGATACCTTTTATTATGCCAAGAAAGAAATTGTAATACAGATGCCTCGAGGCCAAAATGTTCTTATGAAAGTTAATGCTAAGCCAGCTTCTGAGTTGGGAAAAGGGAGGTACTTGCTGATCTGAACTCTGAAGAGAAGAATGAATTAGTCATAATTTCTCAAAGATGACTATTACCTATTACAAGTCCCTAAGGGTGGCAAGGAAGGTGGTTTTGCCCAGAGACTGGGGAACATAGCTTGCAAAAAGTGTTTTCAGCCTATCTAGCAAGAGAAATCCTGACAGTTTATTCTAATGCATTGGAATTTCCAACTAACTGGTGGCACAATGGCTTCTGACTTTCTATCCCAGTAGCCCTCATTAGAACAAAGCTGCTTCGAATTAGGTCCAATCTGCATGCTGAATCAATCTTTCATCCCTTTGATTGCTTCTGAAAATATTTATATTTCTTAATAATGCACATTTTGTCTTGCAACTTCTGATTAAATCCAGACGGAGGTTCCAAAACAGGCAAGGGATATGAAAGGGTGATTTGGGACAGGAAAACAAAAATTAAAAATACAGGTTTTTCCCATTGGGGGACCATTAGAGAATATAAATCTAGCAATTTGGGTGATGGAGGCATCAGAGGAGCATTGTAATAAATACAGATCGGAGTGTTATTGTGACTTAATGGAGATGACAGAATATTCTTATTATTGTGTGATTCTTCATCGCAGCCTCCACTATGTAACTGGTGAGTTTAATAGGTTTTATGAAAAACTATTGTGAGAGAGACCTAGAAAAATTTCATATTACAGCCAATAATAACCCAATAAAAGTATCACATCATAAAATAGGGAAATGGTTATGATAGGGACATGATCAGATAATCTAAAGTATCTTTTGTTGAGCAAGGAGCATAGCGTAAGGAAGATGCTTTCAGGAGGTGAGGATTCCTGGTTTGGGGGCCAAGAGAAAGGGGTCCAGTTTCAACTGCATCACCAACCAGCTCAATGACCCTAAGTAAGTCCCCTAACCTTTACAGACCTGTTTTGTTTTTTTTCTTTTACTTGGAAAATAATGGAGGTAAGGATTTTCTTGCAAGTTTTAAATTCTATGGTTTTCTAAAGAACCATCGTTGTTTTAAGTATTCAGTGCTCTCTGGAGTCAAGAAAAAGAAAAAGGAGACTTCCTCTAATGCTGAGTGTCCTCAAGACAGTCTCCAAGAAGCGGGAGCCATGCCCTCTCACAGTGCACTGTGTCACGCGCCCCTACTCACCTCTGCATAGGTGGCTGTTGCTTCTCTGTTCCTCTTTTTTCCTCTTGGGCACCATAAGGGAGAGAAGCACACAAGTGCAATGTCCGTAGATCCATTTGACCCAACCGACTCATTTTCGAGATGAGGAAAGTAAAGGGCATAAAGGTTGAGGTCACCTACTTAGTAACTGGTAAAGCTAGAATTTAAGCCAAGGTCTCCTTATTTCCAGACCAGTGCCTATTCTGCCATGACACACTGCTGCAGAGTCTAAGGAATTTTATATTCTGAAAAGAAGTGGGGTTTCTTGTGACCCTTCAATACAATTTAAGACTTCTTGTAATTGGAAACAGGAACATAGGATAGGGCAGCAGCTTTGAATTCTGACTTCCTGGATTGGAATAATATGCCTCCACCTTACTAACAATGTGAATTTCAGGCAGGTCCTTAAACTCTGTTAAGTCTCATCCTGTTTGGTTTTCATTTTTTTTCTCTTGGATAATAGAAATAATAGCAGTAGTTACCGCAGAGAGCTGTATAGAGATTAAATAAAATAACATAAATAAATGCTTACCATAGTTCTGGTATACAGTAAATGTTAGCTGCTATTAGTATCATCATCCTCCTCTTTATTTACATAATGATGAGTGAAAAAATCCTGAAAGGAACCCAGGAGAAATAGGTTCAAATTCTGACTGTGCTCCTATTGGCTCCATGACCTCAGTTTACTCATCAGCAAAATGGGAATGCAAAATCTCTTCTTGTACAGGACTTTAGTAAAAATCAAATGAATCATGCATATGACCACATTTTTTAAACAGGTAGAGCCCTATAACAACACAATTGTTGATGGTTTTATCAAAACATAATTATCCCTAGGTTGGAAAGCCTCTGGATGCTCAGAGTTGGTTAATAAATAATAAAATGAGATCATGCCCCTGCTTTGCTTCTCAAATAAATCAACTTAAAAAAGAGATACCTAAAATACCATTAAATCACAAAAGAATAAATGCATGTCCCCAAGTATCACTGCCATCTGTTGAATTCAATTTTACTGTTCTCTACTTAAACTTGCATTTCTCTCAGAATTTGATCTTACCGGAGCATTAGAGGACTATTAGGTCACAGGGTTTAGAACAGTAAACTCACTCTCTTCTTTGCCTTCCAACTAAGAGAGAGAAAGATCTAAAAGTTAAAACACACACACACACACACACAAACATTTTATGAAATGTTAAATGATGACCTCCAAGAAGCCTTCATACCCTCTCTGAAATACTGCCAACCTTTGCAATTGACCAGCTGCTTATTGTGTATAAACTTAAAAATATATTCATTATTGAGATATAATTTTGTTTAAGCTAAAGAAGCATCAGGGGATGGGGAATTGTTTTGTACATGGGATTATTAAAGAATTGGGGCCTAAAAGTGTATGTCTATTTTAAAAAGAAATTTTCTGATTGCAGATAACTTCTCAATTTGATTTAGTGTCGAACGATAGTGATAGGGTTGATAAGTGAGCATTCATCGGTAATTCATCTTGTGCTGGTAGAAATTTACAGCAAAGCAGTGCTTTCCCAACAGTGACAAGCCCTATTAATCTTCTTCAGACACATTTCAATAGGTGTTCCCATCTGTGGCCAACATCTAAACACTCTGGCAACACTGGCGACTTGAAGACACCTTCATTTCAAGTTACACTAGTGAAAATGTGATACTAGATTGTACTCTATTTTTTAACCTAATTCTCTCTCTTCATTCAATTAGCCTTTCTTGCCTGGATTTTTCTGCTCATGTGTAACGTCATTTCCCAGGGAGAGCACTCAAAGATTTGGTTTCTTAGAGATGCACAATCTCCCCCAAGGTTAGCAACCAATAACTTTTTTTACAAATTAAAATTGCATAGATTCCAGTTCTGACAGTCATTGGCCTCTGATCCTGCATGTCCTTAGAAAGTAGAACCTGTTCGAATAAAGCCCACCTGTGCATCGAGAAGGCTGAGGAAAAGGGGAAGGCTATAGAATCCATTTGTGTTCATATTCAAAATGCACTTTACTATTCTGAACTATAATGTAAATTTCAGTGTGAGGGAATGCTGGGAAAAGGAGAGACAATTAGAAGAGGGTGGTGGAAAAGAAGCCCGTAATTCGAAATATGTTTGCCCAATATATTCAGTGCATAGGATGAAATGTCTCTCCTGTCCTTTTGCATCCATTGGAGGACCTCCTGTTAGAGCGGGAAATTAAATAATCACTTTAGCAATAGATTATTTCACTTAAATTGGCTTTATTCTACCAGCAACATGCTCTGGCTGGCTGCAAGCTCAGACTAGGTAAAAAATGTGGAGGGGTTGTTTGATTTTGGATTGCACCTAAGTGCTTTTTCTGTGACATTTTCAACCTCATAATGGGTTTGGTCTTGCAAAAAAATTGGATTTGAACAGCATTTTTCAAGTGCACTTTAGAAATCTTTCAAAAGAGAAAATTCTCTGACACATTCTTATTCAGGAAAGGTTAGATACATCTGTATAATGGATGGACTTTTTTTTAACTTCACTGAACATTTTTGTCATATGTGATCTGAATATATATGTATATATATATATACACACACACACATATGTTGGGGAGAGTGTGTACACATGCATGTGTGCCCCTATGTGTTACTGGTTTGTATGTGAATATACTTACATATAATAATATAAGCATTCTCAAAAAATGTCTCCCTTCTTCCCACAAACTGTTTTTCACAATGATCATTTGAGTTTGTTGTAGAGCTCAGTAACCTTATTGTAGGTGGCAAGTTTAAATGTGCCATATTAATAACTTGTTATCCAAGACAAATTAAGTTCTTATATGTCAAAAGCACTCGGCACTGGATTATCTACAAGACAAGTATTTATTGAATAAATGTTGAGTCCAATTTCATTTTAATGTGACTGACTGTATGTTTCAGCCTCTTAGGCAGAGATAAAAAACACTCAGACCTATAACTGTGTTGCAACATTACACCTAACTTGTCTATTTCTATTATTGTCTCTTAACTTAGAATATGGAAAGAAGGCTTTTTTTTTTTTTTTTGGTTGTTGTTGTTGTTCTGAAGAGCAAAGAGAAAGATAGAAAAACGGCTGGCATTCAGCCTAAAGAGAAATCATTGAAACAAATTAATCCTATGCTGTTTAAATTGACATGGTAATCCATCATCAGAGAAGGCAAACTCTGAAAGCAATCTAGAATCTGCCCTGCTCTTTCACTGGCCCTGGAGGCACAAAGACAGATAGTAAAGGAAGGAGGGGGGAAATCATAAAAGTTAGAAATGCCTGAGAAAAGAATAAAATTGGTGGTATCAGCTCTCACTGTCCTGCCTCTGCAAACCTCCTTTGGAAAGGAGAGGTTAACTCTCAACAGTTGCTGTCCCAACTTTCCCTCTAAGTGGTAGGTCTCTGGAGCTGAGCTCTAGTCTGCCTCCTTCTCTAGGCTGCCAGGCTGCTCACCTCAGTCTAACCATTGCCTGCCGTGTTTAAAAAGTTGACCAGCCAGGAGCTTGGCAGGACCCACAGAAACAGTTCAGTTTGCACAGAAACTTTCCCAACATGGTAAGGGGCTCCATTTATGGGGTTTAGGATTTGGGTTTCTTTTTATTTTGTTTTGTTGTTGTTTGGGGTCTTTTGGTGGGAGAGAGTGAGAGGGAGACTTTTTCTTCATTTTTTTTCCCTCCTATCTTATTTTGTACTTGACGAAAAAGCATGTTATTGTAATTTTTAAAAGAAAACTTTTGTAACGTCCATAAAAACTTAGGCAAGACATCATGCCCTGTCACTTGTCTGTCTTTTATTTTGGAGGCTTATTTTTCAAATCTCTCTGCGCTTCAAAAATCCTGCAATGTTAAAATTTGCTTTTAAATTCAAAAAGTATATAAAACTGTAAAACTGAAGTGTCCCATCTTAGAAGATAGTTAAGGTTTTAAAAATAAAAAAATTTTAAAAACTTATTAAGAGCTCCACTGTTCAAACACACTGAATCCTAAGAATTGTTTTTTCTCTTGAGCTTAATTTATGTAATGTTTATGTGTTTTGTTTTTTAGGGGAGGAGACATTTTACAGAACATACCTTTCTCATTATTGCCTGGACATACCAATTTGAACACAAAAGTGAATATTATTTTTTCAATTTAATAATGCATTCGACTATAAAGGCGAGACAATTTGAAAATATTTTTAACTTCAAAAATTCACTCTGTTAACAATAGACAGTATGTGAAGACAAAAACCCAAATATCTTTGTACCAAAAGCAAAAAGGCAGAAGGATATGAATGTAAACCCTACCCAACAACTGCCCTATTTTAATTTATCTAGGATAGTGTTTCTTCTAGTTTATTTTAAAAACCTTAGCATGCTACTGAAACTTCAGAATAAACATCACACCTCTTTTCTATAATTAGAATTTTTATTCACTGATTTTAAAAAGGGAGTGAATAATTCTTGTATACTGACTAATGCTTTTTAAAATACGTAAGCATAAAAGACAAATTAAAGGCATTTCCAGGGTAAATAGGAAAGGAGGGTTAAAGACTCATATTAAATATTCATTCATCCACAGCCATGTCAGTTGCAATTTTAAGAGTTGTTAGGAAAGAAGAACAGGTTTAGTTGTTTGTTTTTAATAGAACCTGGGGGGTTGAAATAGTAGCTCTTCAATAACTGAACATTCAAATTGCAATTCCTGAAAAAGATTTGATACTTTTGAATTTGTTTTCAATTTATATACAGTGTAGACTTTAGCAAAATAGTATCTAATTTTAAAAGCCATTAAATTAACCAAAATCACATGTAAGAAAATCAATGAGTAAATAGGCATAAGTCTTTATCACTCAGAGGAGGCTAAGAAGAAAAGTATCTTTAAAATCCTCACTACTTAAATATCACAATAGTAGCATCTTTTTAATTACTTGGTAATGTGGCAACAAAGTATATGCAAAGAAATTGCAACATACCTTTAGAAGTAAATAAGTTATTAACATACATTCTACACAGAAATAGGCTTCCCCAATTTTGCTATCTTCTTCTCCCTGACGGTGATGTGATGTGGTTCTGCCAAGAAATAACCAATGTGACATTTTTCACTGAATTCAATATTCCCTTCCTTTAATGTTCTCAGTTTTGCTTTAAACTATTTAAAGTGACTTCCTCTCAATCCATTTACCTCAGTCAAGTACATAGAAATCTCCTAGATAAGGTTGATTAATTTATTATGAATTATAATAGATGGATAGGAAAAGTATCTTTCTCTACCTTGTATTCAAACTAAAAAGAAAAGTATAAATTTTATTTAAACAATACACTTTGTAAATTCTCAAGCTAATACATCCTATGGTCAAGAAGCTGAATATGAAGTTAAACAGTCTTCTCTTAATTTTACACAGAAGTTCTTTATTTATTTTTAAGATGCACCTTCAACTTTTCAAGAAATCAGCCTTTTAAGAGGAGAAATGAGGTTGTAATTAATTTGTGCATGTTTCCCTATTATGACAGTATGTCTGTCTCTGTCCACCTACTTACTCCTTTATATTGAAACTGTCCCCCCCCCAAAAAAAACCTTATAAAAACCAATAGAATGGAAATCGCTCCTTAAACTATTTTTCTCCAACTGCAATTCACCTTGAGTTTGTGTTTTAAGAAAATTAAATTAGATCCCTTTTGTTGTTCTGCTTGTATTTTCTTTGAGTACTACTGATGCAGCTAATTAACCATATTAATTTATCTGGGTATTTGCCTTACTAACACCTTCACATTTAAATGACTGGCACTTGATATCATTTGATTAATGCTTTTTTTTACATACCAAAAATTAACTGTCATTTAAAAGATTTCATTACCAGACTCTTGAGAAAGAGAAAAATATAGAACCAGACAATAATTCCTCACTCTGTCCACTACTAAGTATGAGCTGATGTCCACATGGCTTTAGATGTCTTTGGAACTTTCTCAGCAGGATTTGCCTTACAATATAATATTAGCATTAAAAGCATGTATAGCCCACATCACACTTGGTTAAATGGGCAGAGAGCCCCCTTATGCCATCATCTCTAGCTATAGCCTGTTCTCCTTTAATTCTTCAATCCATTGAAAAGTAAAATAGAATGAGTAGCATATCCCTGAATTTTTAAATATTTAGGCAAAAGATGCTCACCTTTTATTTAAATGCCTTGCCAAAGCTACCAAACTGCAAAACTGATGGCTTTACTTTGAAGTGTCTTTCTGTGATTTTGCAAGCCACGGTAGCTCTACCATAGCTAAGTTGCTTCAGCTTGTATTTCAACAATGGTGGTTCTAAGGAGCTCATTCAAAACTCTTTTTTGTACTGCCTTCTGCCTTTTTGCCAGTACACATGAGTGACAGCCTCTATCTAGTGCCTGAGTATATGAACCTTTAATCCATCAAGGAACTTCTAACACCATCAGAATATACACACCCACGTGCATACACCTTCCTGCAGCCACCAGGTTTGAAACCAGCAGAATATATTTTTCTAATCTCACCCAGATTTTATGGCTATAATGTGGCTACTGACAAGATTCTAAAATTAGCTTTTATTTAAATAAACCATGTAATTTTTTTTTAGTTTTTTTTTTTTTTTTTTTTAGTTTTTAAAACTCTCTGCCACGGCAATCTACTGCTGTAGACATGGTTAGAAATATTTTTTAAATGGACTAGACGGTCAGTTAAATACAAGAAAATATTTCACTATATTATATTTTCTTATTCCCTAAAGTCCATCTCCATGGAGTGTGCTGCGGGTGATGGATGAGACTGTTGTCTATCTGAATGGAAACCTGCTTTCATAGGAAGGGTGGAGGTGGGAGAGGACCAGTGAAGGGCAGAGCTCTAAAATTCTGGCAACTAGAGTGAATATACCCTTTCCTCCTTTCATCCTTCTTCCTTTGCTCCCTCCCTCCCTCGCTTCCTTTTTGCTACGTCTCTTTTTGGTAGATCACTGTAGTTAACCTTCGTTCTGGCCAAGACCAAGAAGGGTTAATGGACACCCGGCTCCTGACACCTTCCAGGTCAGCTTGGCTTGCGAACTTCCAACGCAGGAATTGGAGGATTACCGGGGAAGGAATGCGAGGTACCCGATAGCCTCACACCTGAACACGGTCGCTTCAATCCACTGGGATTCATTTAAAAAAAAAAAAAAAAGAAATTCTCTTCTGGAAAATGGTTAATTGGATCTGCAGCTACATTTCCTGTTGCACCGAAGAGCCAAGCAGGGCAGCCTGGATTGGATCCCTCAAGCTGCCAAGAAAATCGAGCAATTGGGGGGTGGTGGTGGGGGGGGGGTGAACCTTTCTAAATAAATAAACAAACGTAGGTAGCTATCAGTTGCTTTAGGGAGCGCAGATATTTAGGAAAAGGCCAGGAGCGGGAAAAGGAAGAAGAAACGAAAAAGATTCTCCCCTTTTCTTACCTTTTGCCCCTCCTTTCCCCTCCCGAAATTTGCGCCTACTTGATTATTTGCAGCTGTTTCGAACCTCAAGGTTTGTTCACAGTAGCGAGAGAGACTTGCGCTTGGAGAAGTGAAAAGCCATTTTCGCGCCAGGGCTTCGCTGCTTGAGTTTGGGGGTTTTGCTCTCCCTCCCAGCAAACTCCCCTCAAAGCCTTGCTAACTTCGTCAAGCCCTGCCAGCCTTTACTCCTTGGCCACTTGGGTTCGCAGTACCCAGCCAAGGGCCCCGGGCGGGTTTCCATCGCTGGGGGTGGCCTGGTACCCCCAAAGCTGAGTTCCCGCCTAGGAGAGGACGCTGACGTCCTGGGGCTTCCTCGGTGCCTGTCACCCAGCCCCCTGCCTTCCTCCTCGGCCTCAGATGTCGTCCCACCTGCCCACGAGCAGGGAACCTGGAACCCACTCTCCCGGCAGTCCCCAGCGGGTTCCGCCACCCGGCGGCCGCCCCTGACACCGAGTGGGTGGGAGGAAGAGGCAGCTGGCGGGGATGGGCCATTGAGACCTCTTGAAAAATATTAAAAGACAGGATGGGTAGAGATTTCTCCGGGAGAAAGTTCGAGGGTGCATCGGGTCGCGGCTGGGAGGAGTACCCGAAATGCCAGCAGGAGAAATGCAACCTGTTTAGGCCACACCTTCAATCCCCGAGGCTGTCTGGAGAGACTGCGTGCGGGGGACTTGCCGGCGTTCCCACACCGCGCCTGCAATCCACTCCCGCGGCTGCCTGGCCTCTGCCACTCGCGGCTTGAAGCCAGTGGCTCTCAAGCCCTCGGCCCCGCGGCGGCCCGCGCAGCCTTCACCCGGCGCCGGCACCACGAAGCCTGGCCGCAGTGGACTCCCCGCAGCTCGCTGCGCCCTGGCGTCTCCCGTCGAGGAGGGAGGGACGGAGGCCTGAGCCGGGAGCTCCCTGGCGGTGGTCGGGCCGCCCCCCTTGAGGCCTGCTCCCCCCTCTCGGCCTCGCCAAATCCCTGAAAGCCCAGTCCCCCTTCGTCACCCCGGGGGCTTCTAATCACTCGGTATCGATTTCCCTAACTCTTTTCATCCTGTTGAAGACACATCTTAAAACACTCCAGCCCGGAGTGTGCTCTGGGCTTTATCCACACTAATAAAATGATTTACCCTTCTCTCCGCGCTCTCCTCACAGAGGAAAATCGTTCGAGCCCCGGCTATTTGTGTGTGATCAGTAAATATTTAGTGCGCTGACATCCTTAGCTGGGCTTCGGATCGATTCGGGGCCCACCGGGAGGTGCGCACGGTCCGGGCGGGGCCGCGCCGAGCTCGCCGAGGGGGCTCCTCCCGCCCTCGCCGCCGGCCGCTGATTTACGGCCCCTGCAACCAGCTAAGGGGGGCGAAAGCGCGCCTGGAAAATTGGCTTTTCAACCTTTTACTTTTGACATTCAGCCACTTCCCCAGGCTCTAATTCTCGCCCGCACTCCTCCCTCCCGCCCTACTAAGGGTTGCCCTGTGCGCCCTGCGAGCCCTTCCAGCAGCAACGCGCGGCGCTCGCGCCCCCTCGGCCCGGGGACCACCTATCACAGCCCTGAGCCGCGACGCGGGGAGGCCCCGGCCCCTGCTATGGGGGTCGCCTCCTTCGAGGAGAGATGCTCTCCGCCCGCCCACACCTCTGAGGGAGGAGAGGGGGTGGAGAAGCCCAGAGCTGCATCTGCTGGATGACGAGCCGCTCTCCCTGCTACCCTTTCTCCGACCCGTCGGCCTTTCTCCTACTCTGGAGACTGATCCTCGACGTCCATCGGGCCGGATGGCGTCGGGTGGAAGCGTTACTTTCCTCGCAGAAAAACTCCTCCTCTTTCCTAAGATCAGAAAAAGCGCTTAGCTTGGAATTGTTAGGTGGAGGCCTCCTGCCCTGATAGTGGCTGTGAGAGGGCTGCGGCCGTGACACCGTCTGTGTCCCCTGGCCCTCCTGGCCTTCCCCGGGCGCAGACGATTTCATTATTGCAGGGCCGCACCGTGGACCTGGAGTAGGGCACTGCGGGGTCCCGCTGCGTCCTACGGGAGCGCTACCTCGGTCTGCTACGTTGCCCGAGTAAGATGTGAGGAATCCCGACCCTCGGACTCCACTACTCTTGGGCCGGGGCTTCGGGCCTGAAAGTCTCCGGCAATGTCGCCCACCTGTTAGCGAGCTTGTTCCCCTCTCACCTGGGGCCCGGGCCTTTGCAATTCCCCTGGGGCCCAAGAAGGAAGGGGCATGACCTTGCTGGGTCTAGGCACCTCTCCAAAATGCTAGCGCCCTCTCCTTTGTCCTACACATGATTTTCTAAACAACCTTATCTGCAGACTATATCTTTATACTAATGCATACTTAATTGGTCCGTCTTGACTGTCCATATAAAACAATTTAATTAGGGTGCTTTCTTGCTTTGGAGAGCAAAGAAAAAAAAAAAAAAAACCCTGCCCAGTGCTTATTGTATTTAGCACCAATACAGGCAGAAAATGTAGCACAAGTTTTTGGTTGAAAGAGCACCTCTGTGCCCATTGAAGGGCGTTGATCCGAAAAGACAGAAAGGACAAGTAAAATCGATTTGAAGCGACCCTCTCTGTCCCTTTCACACCATTCAGAAACTCCATTCCTTCTAAGACAAAGACCAGCGCCTTGGGAATTCTCAGGGAAAAAGAGGACTCTAGTCCCACAAGCCTAGGGCACTTTTTTAAAAAAAAATCCTCAATATTTCACTTAAAACCCACACTTGATGCTGTGCCCCCCAAGTATGGGTTCCACAGATGCCCCCTCCAAAGTGCCAAGCTGCAAGGCTGACAAACCCCCTTTCCCCTGCCTGTTTGGCCTTGTAGCCAGGCCAGGACAGCCGTTTAGGGTTAGTGCAGCCCTCACCTTTGACCTCCTAGATCCGAGTGGCTGCCAGCACTACAACTTTGGCCAAAGTTAAAAGAAAACCACAACAAAAAATTTTTTCTGCTCCCAAACCCAGGGAAACCAGTTCTGGTTCAGCCGCCTGAGCCACCTTACCCAATAGCAACCTCCATCCCTAACTTTTTTTTCTTCTTCTTTTGCAATGAACTGCCTGAGCCATCTCTGAAGGAGGGAATTGAAGTTGTCAGGGCTCCACGGCTGGGTTGTGGGTGGGGGTGAGTTTCTTGGTCTAACTGGTCCTCCATTAGGAACCCCCGAATGCCAGGTTATCCCACTGGTGCCCGAGCTGGGGAAGGCAGTCATCTATCAGAACTGGCAGGAAAGGGAGAAGGGAGAGGAATGAGATGGGCAGGGAGGGGAGAGAAAAGGCCAGGCTGTGATCATCTTCACCTGCCCTGAGTCCAGCCTTCCTGTTCAACTATTCCTCGACCTTCGGCTGGGGATGAAGGGGGCGGGGGCGAAAGGGAGGGGGCACCCCCGAGTTACACAAGTGGCCTCCTTCTACTAAGAGAATGAGTTCACCTCCTCCCCAGAGGAGCCTCACCATCCATCCACTCAGTATAACTGATGAGACAAACCGCAAGGAAAAACTTCTGTAGCCCATATTTATGGTATTAATGAATAGTTAAAAAAGATTTACACTTCTTATGATCAATATTCTGAGTTATTTTGCTCAAAGTATATAATTACAGTGTCTTCAGAGTTTTCATCATTGTTTGAGGTGGCAAAACCATTTGTAATTTTCATTAGCCAGTAAACATGTAATTAACATTCAGCACTGTGTTTAACTTAATTCCTGTTTAAGACAAGGACAAGAAGCAGCCGAAGAGCGTTAGTTCCATTTGTCAAGTCTGACATACATCTTACCATAACAGTTTCCTAAAATAAAAGATCCGTGTTTCCCCATTATTCTTCTCTTAAAACAAAACAAAACAAAAATCCATTAGTTAAGACAGTATTAAACTGTGAGAGGCAGCATAGTTTATATTCAATTTTCACTAGTTACCGTATTCTTGCTTCCTTTATTCGTTTTGGGGAGTAGAGAAAGGGAGGGGGTGAATGAAGCATTCATTATCTGAAGGCATGGAATGGGGAACCCCTCCCCCCAAAAGAAATAGATTTCCTCCTCAGGAAAGTTCTAGAATAAGGACCGGAAAGGGGGGAGGCAGAAATCCACAGGGGAGAGGGGGAAAAATCACTTGGGGAGACTTGAGTTAAAAGTAGAAAATGAGGATTCCAAAGGATTCCTAGGAAAAATGTTGCCCTCTTGTCTCAAGTTCTATCTTTGATCCAGGACGAGGGAAGCCTGTCTGCCAGTCTGCGAGGCTGATGCTTTTTCCCCCTCCTCTTCCACCTCTGTTTTTTCCCAACTTGCTTTAGGATTAGCCTCCATCTCTCTCGACCCCAAACAGTGGAATTTGGCTGTGCCTTGGGTCGTCTTGCTTTGCAATATCGCCTATAGTTGTTGGCGGTTTTCTGCTGAGGCTGAGCCGTTTGCTCCAGCCTCCGACTAAACTCATTAAGTTGGGAGATTTTTTTCAATTGGACGGGTGTTTTTAAAGTCTCGTCTTTCCAGCCCCAAACAAGGTGTAACAACGCACTCTTCCTTCTAAGGAATGAGATGAGAGACAAGGATCACTCCAGACATCTCCTACCTACGGTTTGGGGTTTTTTTTCTTAAAGGCGAGGCTTGCATTCCTCAGCAGCTATGTACAAAGCTCCCTGAAACCTTGTCTCTCTAAAGTTAGTGTGCAGGGTTTTCCAAGGCTGAGAGAGCCTAATACATGGGGAAGCACTTCCTTGAGGTGGAAGATCTCTCCCTTCACCTTTCCTCTTTTTCCCTGCAGGCTAGTGCCTACTTTTTATCAGTTTGCACAATCGCTTAGATAAACACCGAGGAGGAGATTCTCTTTAATTATCAAAGACACATCTTTTCAGGGGGCCAACAAAGCATTTATTTCACCCGCCAAACTAAAGGAGAGTTATTCCAGTTTAGGAGGAAGATGCAAGCGGTTTGGGACCTTGAACAAGGCAAATATGGTTTTGGTATGTTTACTTACAGTATTTTTTCTCTCTCTCTTTCCTTTCTCACTTTTCTGCTTGTGCTGTGTGGGGTTGGGGATGACTTGGGGCTTTTCAAAATATCGGTTTGCTAACGTGTATGAAATGCCGAGGACTGTGGTTTAAGGGGTTCGGGGAAGGGGGGATCAGAGTCAATTCAATGCATTGCCATATTTTATTACATGTGTGTGGTAGGAGAGATGGTGGAGGGGGAGGGGGGAAAATACAATTGCAAAGCTGCCAAAATATGATTAAACCGAAGCGTTAAGACTGCGGAGCCTCCTATCTCCTCGTCCTGTCTCCTCAAACTCATTTCCTTCCACAGAGCAAACTAAAAACCAGTCCTATAAAGCGTGGTTTTGCAAGCAGCAGATGACTCGGTTTTCTAGCAAAGGAGCTGCTAGGCTCGCACTAAGTATCAGAATTTACTGTTCGCTTTGCCTCTGCGCTTCATTTTGCAACCTTGTGCAACTGACAGCCAGGCAGGCAGGGAGGGAGAAAAGCCTAGCCCGGCGCCCTCGGCCACGGTTCGGGTAGGCGAGCGCTCGGTTAAGCTAGGAGGAGAATCGCGACGAGAAGGGTACTCACCATCGGGCGGGGCGGTGGAGCTGGCGTGCGGATTTCAGGCAAACGTTTACCTTTTTGCTGTCTATTGCAACCGCGCCGGGCTGACTTAAGAAGCAATTCTGTGCTCTGTCCAGAACATTCAAGGAGCGGTTCCTCATTTTTAAAAAGCCAGCGAGAGAGACGACAGAGACAGAGAGAAAGAAAAAGAGAGGAGGGGGTGAGGGGGACGCACATAAACCCAGTTCAAAAAAAAAAAAAAATCACCTCTTCGCCAGTGACTCGGGAAACGCAGAGGTGGCGAGATCCGAGTACGGTCCAACCAAGCCAGAGCCAATTAATTTTAAATCCTGAAGAATTATTCAGATTAAAATGTACAGAAGTTTCGTTCTCCTATGCCTACGTGAGTCCAAAGTCGTTTCCCTTTAAGAGCTCCTTTTCTTTTAAAGTTGAATTTTAGGCAGCGAGGACTCTTACACTAGGGGGCAGACAGATACTGTACTTGCTCTAATCTTAAGCAATTTTTTCCCTCCCAGCATATGCTCTGATTTAGCACTGTAAATTTTTCAGAGGACCTAACTCTGACAGCCCCTGGTGATTTTCAAAGTACCACAAGCCAGTGGTTAAAAATTGCATTGACTTGGAAGTTCAGAGGGACACAATGGAAGCCCCTTTCCCTATTCATGGAGCTCCAGTGTGGTGGAAGAGAAAAACACACACGGACTAGATTGAGGGAAAGGAGGAATTCAATGAATCCTGGAGGACGGAACTGGTTTCTACTGAGTTCAGAGTTAAACTCGGCATTTGCTGGGGTCTGTATTCATATTGTGATTCAATCTGTAAAGAAATACAGCCCATCAGGCCACTTTCTGCAAGAAAATTATATTCCTGGGTGTTGAGTTTCTTTCTTTTCTTTTTTAGATTAGGGCAAATGTTGTCCCAACTTTCTCTAGGCAAATTAAAGCTTGCCATTCTTCTCATTATAATAAATTTACATCTGCAAAAAAAGACTGAGTTGGATTTTTAAAAAACAACAATAATATATTGATTTTATCTTCTCAGAGCTTTTTAACCTTAGACGCACAGCAAGTGAGCATCTCTGGAGAAGACATTTAAAAATATTTTTGCCCTTTTTTCTTCTCAGTCTGTAGTCTTGTCTCTTCTTCTATGCATTAAAATTAAGTATAATTCATACGGTGATTTTTTTTCTCCCTTGTAACAGCATTTCATAACTGAATGAGTCCTAAAATACAGAGTGAAACACCCCTGACTTTATGGCAGCCCTGTGATCATTTGCCTAGCAGGCTCCAATTTGTTAAGATATGGTTGGGAAATTATTCCATTTTAATCTAAGGCCATCACGCATACTTCAAATTCCAAAAATCTCTAAGTGGACTGGGGAAGCTCTTCCTCCTCGATATTGTTCCTTCCCATGTTTGTAAAAGGTAATCTGCTATGGAAGTCTCATTCAGGAGGTGAGATGAAGATTTCCCTATAATCAATTATTTTCATCCTCTATTGAGATGGGAATGCCCATTAGATTTCCTATCTCAACCCCAGTCTCATCACATCTCAGCTGAGCTTGTCCCGAATCTGCTGACATTTGTAACATTAGCAATTCCTGAATCATAGAGGTTGGAAGGGAAAACAACAACAACTACCAAAAACCTTCTCCTGTGTAATGATTTCTTTTCCATCCTTCTTATCCTCTTTAGGAGAAAGTTATATTGTGTCTCTAATTAACCTGAAATTCTCAGCTTGGCTTCATTCTGTGGCAATCTTATTACACACCAGGTTTATGATAGTTCAGTGTCCACTATAGGTTTGCTGGGCTTTTTTTTTTTTTTTTAACAACTTTCAAATAAACCGAGAACCTGCAGCTTTAGTGAAATACGTGATTTCATCGGAGAAAGAGTGAGGGCTGAGGTTTCGGGAATGAAGCTTAAAGAAGATTTTTCCTTTCCTAAAAACCAGCCCCTATCTGCCCAGATCTTTAGTCCTTACCTCATATTCTGCCTATGTGTGTAAAGAGAATTGAATGTAAAATGTGATCTATGCATGTCAATTATATGTATGGTTTATTTTTAAAATATCTTTACCCTGTCAATTTTTTTTTCAGCTACCAAGGATGTTTTCTGTGGTCATCAATTTACTCTTCATATGTGTTCATTTCTTTCCTGGAGCTCAGCGTCTTTTGTGTAAAATATTTTAATTGTTCACAAACCTGGTTGGTTTACCGGCATGAGGTTTTTTCTTGGTGCAAAGTGTGTACAAAGGAGACACAATTTTCTTGTATAAATGTGGAATAATGATAATTCACTAACTGGTCATAAACAACAAGTTTACTGCGTTGGAATATAGTGTGTTCTGAGAGCAATTCTACATGTTTGATGTTTAAAACCAGACACCCTGGAATTCAAAGACACAACTGTCTCAATTATTTTAGCACATGGAGCAGAATGGCAATAGGCTATGAAGTTGTTCTTTTTGCAGTGACTTCTTGAGGTAGAATATGGCTTGGGTTTGGTTCTTGTGACCTGTACTAGTATTATTTCCCATTTGGGGCAGAATCTCTGGGTGCGTTTTAATGACTATATGAATGCTTAAAAGGAACTTGAGGAACAATGAAGTCCGTACTCAACTGTTCTATGACCTAGAAGCATAGTCGGTGAAGTCTTTGTCTGTGTACATTGACAAATGTGCATCTGATACATGTGCGCTTACATGTGTGTACAGAGGGTGTGCACAGGGGAGGCTGGGCGGCTGCCTCCTCCTGTCCATCAGTGGGCAGAGGTCTTTCCCCTCTCACCATGACTGGGTGTGTGGCAGGATGTTGGCTGGAGAGTTAGCTAAAACCAGCGAGAGAGGGTAAAGTTGAGGAAAATTGATTCTAATTGCATCATGACAATCAGATGAAGTCTATTTCTGCTTCTCAGCATCCGAGATGCTTTATTTGGGCAATTAAAATGTCAGGCCACATACCTGTGAAATGTTAACCCTACAAGGAATAAACAGAAACAGAACGGCCTTTATCCTCTGAAAAGAATATATGTCATATATATATGTCACCAAACCGAACAAGTGATCAGAGTTAATTAAGAGAAGGGTTTGCCATCACCCGGATCTGGCCAACTCTTTCGTTTGGAAAATGCCTACAAGCTCAGTTCGTGGCACCTTCCCACCCTCACTCCCTATCCCTCTGCAAAGAAACCAGGGAACTTTTCTTTGGCATTGTGGGTACTAAGATGCGCCAGGAGTCCCGGGTGGTGCGCGAGCGGCGGAATTCGTGACATCGCCAAGTTGCGAGAGGCAAACTCCCCGATTCCATCCAAAGCCTCTCGCGGAGCCTTTAAGAGACGTTGTGTGTGCGCGCTGCGCTAGTCTCCCCGCCGGGGCGGAAACCTCGGGTGCGGGATGTGGGGAGAGCAGAGGCAGCGCTCGCAGGGCCAGCACGGGCCCATCCCCCTCTCGGCGGCGGCGGCGGCGGCGGCGCGGCCACCCCGTCCCCGCCCCCCCAACCCCCGGTCCCCCGCGTGCCCCGCGCCGCGCCGGCGACGCCGCTCGCGCTAGGACCGGGCTGCGCCCGCGGCCGCCATGGCGGGGCCGCCGCAGTCCGGCCAATGACGGCGAGGGGGCGGCGCGCGCGCGCCTGGCCAGGCCAACCCCGGCTGCTGCCTTATAAGGCGCGCCGTCGCCATGGCAACGTGCGCTAAGTTGCAGCAGTCGTGTCAAAGTTCACTATATAGAGAGCTCAGTGAGCTGATCGCGGAGAAGCCACTTCTGCCAGCCCCGGCGCCTATAAATCGCATTCCCTCCCGCGCCCCCCTTTTTAGCATATTTGATCACTTTGATTCTCTGTTCTTTTCTCTCCGCGGTGTGTGTGTGCGTGCGCGCGTGTGTGTTTTCTTCTTCTCCTCCTCCTCTCCCCGAGTTGCCTCCTTTCTCCGGGTGCCGTACTGCCTTTTTTCCCCTCTTTCATTCTTTCTCTCCGTCTTTTTCTCCCCCCTCTGCGCACGAAGGATGTGCTTCTAGGTGGTGATCTGCCCTCCTCTCTCTCTTTTATCATTTCTCCCCCGCCGCCGGCGAGTTGACTCTTTCCCTATGTGTGTGAGGCGGCGGCGGCAGCAGCAGCAGCAGCGGCTCCGGCGGCGGCAGCAGCGGCAGCAGCGACTTCAGCGGCGGCGGCGGCGCTAGACGCAGCGGCTCCGGGCCCGACCCGGCGGCTTCGGCGGCGGCTCCGGCGGCAGCGGCGGCCCGGGCGGCCCGCAGGGAACGGCGAGCGGCCTCCACCCAGCGACTGCGGGCGGCGGCGGCCGGAGAGAGCGAGGCGCGCGCCGGACGCCCGGGGCAGGCGGCGGCGGCGGCGGCCCAGCGCCAGGACGACGCCGCGCAGCGCCCGACGCGGACCACTTTCATGCTGATTCCCCCGGACCCGGGCAGCGCTCCGGCCACTCCGCGGGCCGCCGGCCTCCGCCCCGGCCTGCCTGGCTCCCTGGGCGCGCCCGCACCCGGCGCCTCCGATCTCCTAGTCCTCCTGATTTCGATGGCTTTCCTGAATGGCTGACTGTGGGCTGCCCTGGACTTGGCCCCCGGACAGTCGCCTCTCCTCCTCCTCTACCTCCTCCTTCACCACCACCTCCTCTTCCTCCTCCTCCTCCTCCTCCTCCTCCGCCAACTCCTCGGCTGCACACCAGCTCTAAGAGCGAGAGTGAACGAGAGAGGGAGGGAGAGAGTGAGAGCGAGCGAGATCTTTGGAGAGATTTTTTTTTTTGCCTCCTACTTCTGTCTTGAAGCCAGACAATCGACTTCAGCTCTCCCTCCCCTCCCTCTTTCTCCACGTTCTGCTCCCACTCGCTCTCCTGTCCCCTTCCCCTCCCCTCCCGGCGGAAAGCCCCCCGAAACCAACAAAGCTGAGCCGAGAGAAACAAACAAAACAAACACACCGGGCCAGACAAGCCATCGACAAAACTTTGCAAAAGCAAAAACAAAAAAGGAAAAACTAACCAACCTCAACCAACCAGCCCCCGAGCCACCCGGGGCGCCCTCCCGCGCCCTCTTGCACCCTCGCACACACAAAAGGCGGCGCGCCGGAGCCCGAGACCCGGGGAGCCGCCGCCGCCCCGCCGCCGCCCGCAGCCAGGGGAGCAGGAAGTCCGGACGCAGCCCCCATAGATATGGCAATGGTAGTCAGCACGTGGCGCGACCCCCAGGACGAGGTGCCCGGCTCACAGGGCAGCCAGGCCTCGCAGGCGCCGCCCGTGCCCGGCCCGCCGCCCGGCGCCCCGCACACGCCACAGACGCCCGGCCAAGGGGGCCCAGCCAGCACGCCAGCCCAGACGGCGGCCGGTGGCCAGGGCGGCCCTGGCGGCCCGGGTAGCGACAAGCAGCAGCAGCAGCAACACATCGAGTGCGTGGTGTGCGGAGACAAGTCGAGCGGCAAGCACTACGGCCAGTTCACGTGCGAGGGCTGCAAGAGCTTCTTCAAGCGCAGCGTGCGGAGGAACCTGAGCTACACGTGCCGCGCCAACCGGAACTGTCCCATCGACCAGCACCATCGCAACCAGTGCCAGTACTGCCGCCTCAAAAAGTGCCTCAAAGTGGGCATGAGACGGGAAGGTATCGGCCTCTCATTTCTCCTTCCCTCGTCCTGGGTCCCGGGGTCCTGGGTACGTTTGGCTAGCCTGCTCTGGGTAAGGACAAGAAGCCCCAAGCTCTTCTCTTCGTATTGCAGCGGAAAAGGGTTTTATACTAGAAGCGAGTTCTGCATTGGAACCCAGACCCCAAATCCGCATGCTTTGGCCGACTGATTTCCTTCTTTACTCTCTCTTTGGGCTGTTTCCATTTCCTTTGCATTGATTGTGAGTTCACTGGAGTCTGCCTTTCTGCAAGGGATGGGGTGTTTGTTGTTGTTGTTTTAAAGCCTAGTTTACTTCTCTCTCTCTGCCCTTGTTTTTCCTGCATGTTCAACATGTCCCTCCCCCTCACCCCTTTCCCCAGCCCCCACCCTCTCAAAAAAAAAAAAAAAAAAACCTGAGATTGTACTTTTGTACAGGAGGTTCAAATTACAAATGGCAATTTTATGCACTTCGCCGTATTAACGCTGCCGCCCGGGCAGCGCTCATGTGACCCTCCGTGGATTAACATCCTGCTAAAAAAAAAAATACCTCTGCTTTCTTTTTTCCTTTCACTTTTTGAAACGAAGAGAGCGCGATAGGAAGTAGGAAAGGGTGGGCGAGGGGCCCTGGGCGGCTGCTTTCGCTCTGCGCGAGTTGGGTCTTTGTGATATAAAATTCGCCGAGCGCCGCGAGCCGTGCTTTGCCAATGGCGCGCTCGGCGCGGGGCGCGGGCTCCGGGTTGGGGCGAGCCAACGCCGGGGTTTCTTTGTGTTTCTGCGAGAGCGACTCTCCCGGTCCGGAGTCAGATAACAGCCTGGGCCCGAGCCTCGCCGGCTTTCCCCGGCCCTTACAGGCCCTGCCCAGGCTCCGCTAGTGCCGGCCGCCTGCTCCCTGCCTCTCCCGGCTTCCTCTCTCTTTAGCCGGCCTCTCTCTCTCCGCCCTCTCCCTCCGTCTCTTTCTCCGAGCACACTGATTAGACAGACGCCAGACCTCCGCTCTCTGCTTGTCTCTCACTGGGGGGGTTCCCCGCCGGGCTGGGGCTGGGGCTTCGGGGTTTGTGGGAGAGTCGTTCCGGAGTGGCCACAGGCCGTCTGGGGTGGACCCTCGTGCCTTTTGCAAAAGCGCCTCACCCTCCCCCCAGACTCGCCCCTCCCGCTCCCTCTCCTCCAATCAATAAGAAATATCAGCTGTTTAGCAGTAAAGAAGAAAGATGCCCTCAGAATGCTACATCCCGCCCACAGCGCCGGGGACCCCGAGGCAAGGTGGCCAATTCTGGGTCCTCGGCGGACCAGCCCCGAGCGGGCCTCGGAGGCAAGTGTGCCCCTCTGGCCCTCAGAGCTCGCCTGGGTGGTGGTTTGAAAGGAATGGTGCCAAGAGCCTGGCGACTCCAGCTCTGTGGCAGGCCTGCCTGGTTCTTGCGCTGCTCAGGGCCTGGGTCAGGTGGGGGTCGGGCTGGGGCAGACCCCGCCGGGGAACCTGGGGACTGAGGCTGGTCATTAACTGTGGAGTGTCTCCTTTCCTCCCCGCAGCGGTGCAGAGGGGCAGGATGCCGCCGACCCAGCCGACCCACGGGCAGTTCGCGCTGACCAACGGGGATCCCCTCAACTGCCACTCGTACCTGTCCGGATATATTTCCCTGCTGTTGCGCGCGGAGCCCTATCCCACGTCGCGCTTCGGCAGCCAATGCATGCAGCCCAACAACATCATGGGTATCGAGAACATTTGCGAACTGGCCGCGAGGATGCTCTTCAGCGCCGTCGAGTGGGCCCGGAACATCCCCTTCTTCCCCGACCTGCAGATCACGGACCAGGTGGCCCTGCTTCGCCTCACCTGGAGCGAGCTGTTTGTGTTGAATGCGGCGCAGTGCTCCATGCCCCTCCACGTCGCCCCGCTCCTGGCCGCCGCCGGCCTGCATGCTTCGCCCATGTCCGCCGACCGGGTGGTCGCCTTTATGGACCACATACGGATCTTCCAAGAGCAAGTGGAGAAGCTCAAGGCGCTGCACGTTGACTCAGCCGAGTACAGCTGCCTCAAGGCCATAGTCCTGTTCACCTCAGGTAGGAAGGAGCCCTGTCTTCTCGTGCCCACGGGCTCCTAGCCCAGAGCTGGGGCCCAGAGAACTTGGGAGTCCCCAGGGCAAACCCAGTCTGCTCCTTGAAAGGCCAAACTGTTGAGTGCAACTTAAAGTGGGAACTTTTTATAGCTGCTGGGCACTACCAGGCCTGTCCTGGGGAGAGGAGAGGAAGGCTGGATTGCAGGAAGGATGCTTCAGATAGATTCCCCACATGGGCCATAGGGCAGCCTCTGCTGCCTGTTTCCCCCACCTGCAGTATCCAGATTGGGATGCCCTCTCCTGCTCCCTTTCCTGAGCCCAGGCCCCCCGGGCCTGCTGGGCCCCAGGGAATCTCCTCAAGCCCTCGGTTTTCTCTAGCGCCCTGGCTGGGCCTCCAGGAGATGCCCTGGGCAGTGGAGCAGCCCTGACATTGTCTCTGCAGGGAAAAGTTTGCCTGCTAACTCAATAGGAGTTGGAGCTCCAGGCAAATCCAACCTGAGGGCAGCAATTTTCAAAATCATATTCTTACTGGAATAATGCAGACTGCCAGGAGAGGCGAAAAGATGTGTCAGGATGGGGCAACAGGAGGAAAGGGACCGTCATAACTCTTCAGAATGTCTGCAGGAGGTTGAAGACTCTGGCCTCTTGCTTCCCCTGCCCAAGCAAACACTTAAGGCAATTTTCAAACAACCCAAAGTGTATGCCAACTTGGGCTGGATATGGATGTTGCTAGAGATATAAAACCATCATTGACTGCATTATGCAATCTAATTAGTTTGCATGTAGTTTAACCTGTGTGAGTAATAGAGCTGATACTAATTAACTTGAGGCAAAATGATTTTTGAAGGTGTCTGGCTTTCCATTTTGGGCCACACCTGAGCTTTTTGGCTGCCTCCAGGCTGAGTTCAGCATAGCCCAGGTGGATGGAAATCACCAACCCCCTTTCACATTCTTGTACTAAGTTGTCAGCTGATCCTTTTGTCATGGCTGAGAGGGGAAAGGGGTTCCCGATTAAGAATAACAAACATCTGGACGTTAGCAGGGCTTGGAACCTAGTCACCCACTACAATTTTTTAAGCTTGTTAACAGGAAACGAGGAGAGATGTGTAGTTTATGTGGCAAACATAAAGGAGGTCCACAATCTCTTCCTTATTGTTCGAAAGAAGTCTGGGGAACTAAGTCATTAGCTGAACAGCTTGCAGCTTCTTAGTCCTCAAACTGCTGTCTTGTACATTGCTGCTTTCCACATAAAACCTCCCAGCACAGCCACCCCAAATTCTGCCTTTGGAAGTCCTTAGGTAATCAATTAAAGGCCAGTGTCTGGGCAGGGAAGCTGTTTGCAGAGGTTTGGATAGGGATTATTTTTCTCGAGTGCCCCTCATACCTAGAACGTTTGCCTGCTGCAGATATACAGACAAGATATCTCCCTACCTCATAGCCACCTTCACCCCTGTCCCACAACCCAACACCCAGCCCACCTTCTTGGACGATGGAGGTAGTCGTTAATTTCTTGGTATCATTGCTAGCTCTTAGCCTTACCCTTGGTCTTTCAAGGAAAAAAAAATGCCTGATACTGTCGTTAACAGTTTAATTTATGACTATTTGCAAAATGTGGAGGCCTGTGTGGAGAATGCAAATCGCCTCACAAAGAGATAAAGGTTCCTGTTATCTGATTCAGAGGGAGACACACAGTTCCGAGGATGCCGAGGGAAGGAGTCCTGTGCAAACAGATCTTTTAGTTCCTGTCCACAGACACCTCTACATTCTGTAGACATGCAGAGTCCTAGATATACATATGAGGAGGTTGCATGTGTGTTCTGGTTCTTGGGGTGGAGGTGGTGGTGGAGATTTTCGAATATCTGTTTTAATGACTCACAATATGCATATGTTAACCCCAGTCTTGTATGGGGAGCCCTGAAAGGTCAGGTCACAACCTGAACCGCCTTTACCAAGAAGCTTCTCATTTCAAAGGCACTTACTGTATTTTCACGTATCAAAAAAGAAAAGTGTTTTCCTGAAGATAACAGGGAGGGGGGATGCTTCTCGGAGGGACCTGGGTTTTAAAAAATAAAGGGGGGTAGGAGAAAAAGGGAGAGAGAAGAAAAAGGGGGAAAAGAAACAGCTCAAATGAACAGAGAGATCACGGTTTGCATGGCTGCCCTTCAATAGGCTAAACTGACAAGATCAGTTTTAAAGGGCCACTTAAATCAGTTTCAAAGACTGGAGAAAAATGAGTCGCCCTCTTTGGGGGGAATCTGAGGCTGGATCGTGGACGCCATTACTCGGGACTGGGCCAGGTTGTCCACCCCCAACCCCCAACCCCTATATAATTATAAGCCAAACTATTATTTACAGAGGAGGAGGGGAGAGAGTGCTGGTAGTTTTGGTTTCTTCTGTTTACTGACTTGGGCCAGACAGACCCAATGCACTTTTGCTTGGGCCTCTCAATGACCCAGGCTAAGGACTCGGGCAGTGAAAGCCTGTAGCACACTGAGCTATGTTTTATTTTAAAGCAAACACTTCCTCAGGACCATCTCTTGCTCTTTCTTCCCCCACCCCGCCTCCCCCCCTTAAGTTTTCAGTACATAGACATTTGCTCCAACTCCGGTTGGGGCAGTTTGACAGAGCTCTGTGCACACACCTCATGTGACCCAATTCAAACCTCTTAATCTGATGACTGAATTCTTCTTCTTCTTCTTCTTCTTCTTTTTCTTCTTCTTCTTCTTCTGTTTTTAAACTTTCTTCCAGATGCCTGTGGTCTCTCTGATGTAGCCCATGTGGAAAGCTTGCAGGAAAAGTCTCAGTGTGCTTTGGAAGAATACGTTAGGAGCCAGTACCCCAACCAGCCGACGAGATTCGGAAAGCTTTTGCTTCGCCTCCCTTCCCTCCGCACCGTCTCCTCCTCAGTCATAGAGCAATTGTTTTTCGTCCGTTTGGTAGGTAAAACCCCCATCGAAACCCTCATCCGGGATATGTTACTGTCCGGCAGCAGTTTTAACTGGCCGTATATGGCAATTCAATAAATAAATAAAATAAGAAGGGGGAGTGAAACAGAGAAAGAAAAGGCAAAAGACTGGTTTGTTTGCTTAATTTCCTTCTGTTAAGAAAGGATATAAAAGGATGTTACAAGTTTGCTAAAAGAAGAGAGGGGAAGAATTTAATGGACTGTGAATTTCAAAAAAAAAAAAAAAGACTGTCAAATGAACTTTTACAGAATGCATTAAAAAAAAAAAAAAACTCCTGTGTCGGTCAGAACAACTTGCTACTTATCATTTTTGTATAAAAAGGAAATTAGTCTTTTTCTTTTTTTGGTAAATTTTTGAAAAATATTGCTAAAAGTGCATTTAAGGAGATTGGGAGACAATTAGCAGAATGGAGAAAGTAAGTCTTTTTTTTTTCCAAATTATTAATTGTCCTGTGTCTATGTACCTCTAGCTGTTCTTTTTTGTACTTTTCTGGTTCCAAACCAGTTTATTCTGTGGTTCTATAATAAGTTTTGATATAATCTTGGCTTCTTAAAAACTGTGTATCATTAAAATATATGTTCTGCAAGAATTAAAACTGAGTCCATGAAAATACCATAGGAAGACATAAAACTTTAAAAGGCAACTCAAAGATGATGGAAACGCACTTACAAGTGGTGACCAAAATTTTTAGGTGAAGTCGAGCACTCTAATTAGAGAACTGGAGGAACCACATATAACACTTAACTTCCCCTACCCTGCCCCTCCCCAAAAGAAACCATGACAAACCTAGCTTTTAAAAAATATTTTAAGAAAGAGAATGAACTGTGGAATTTATTGGCAGCCAAGGAATGTGTCCAAGACACATGCTGAGGTTTTGAATAAAAAGTGAACTTTTGTAATTTGAATTGGGTCCCGCTTAGTTCTTGAATTGTTATGAAAATCCTATATCTGTTTGTATATTTGCAAACCCTTTGTATTATAATTGTTGATATTTTCCCTTTTTAAAAAATACCATTGAAATCAGCATGACAAAAATAACACTGTTGGCACTTATAGGTAACGTGATTGATTCAGTATCTTAGAGTTTACAGTTTGTGTTTTAAAAAAACTGAAGGTTTTTTTTTTAAGTGCAACATTTCTGTATACTGTAAAAGTTATAATAACTGAACTGTTTGGTCGAGTCTTTGTGTGTTATATTCCAAGGAAAATTGAAAGTATTCAGAAATTAAAATATTATTTGATATCTGAAACCTGGCTGTCCCCACTCACTGTCTTTACATCTAGAAGAGCCCCTGTGAGCTCTCGCTTAGCTGGCCGGGCGGGGGGTGGTGGGGGGGGGCATTTGTTTACTCCCCTCAGTCAGTTTGTTCAAAGGTGGACTACTGTATTTGCCTGTTTAATTTGGGTGTGTGTGTGTTGGGGGGGGAGCTGAAGTTAATGGTTTATCTATGGTTTAGGAAGTGCCATACTGATATAGTAAACCACCCCCATTCACCTAATCCTCCTTTTAATTAAAAATGGATTTTCCAGGAAAAAAAAAAAGGCCCTTATATTTGTCACACTTAAGTGCCTGCTTAGGGAAGGTATTGTGAAAAAGTATTAGAAATCTTGAGATCAGTATCTATTTTATGATCAGAAAAAAATACTCTTTTGTACATTTCTGACAGTTACTCAGAAGATCGTTCAAGCAAGCTAATCACAGCATTGTAACTAGAGGACAGTTGTTTGCAGTGAGTTTTTCCTTAAGTAGGTACGATTTTTTAAAATATTCTGTGATTCTACTCTAGCGTGGTTGTTGAGAGAGTTTCAAATTCAGTGATACAGGTTCTAAGACTGAAAGGTCTACTTTTAATGTATATATGATAACTTGCAGTTGGTTTCCCTCTCCCCTCCCCCCCTTTACCTTCAGTCTGTGAGAGCATGACCACAGGGTCAAGGGAATCTTTTCCATTGGAGTTATGTACATAAAAACACATCGACATTTTGACATTTCAGATTGTGTGGCTACAATCTGTACTGCTCTTGGGATCCTTTGTCCTTAGAAGCCAAATTAAGGAAGAGAAAGCAGGACAGAGAAAAAGAAAGAAGGAAGGAGGGAAACTTTACAGGGTGTGCTGATTTGGAAGTAGTAACTATTTCTTTTGGAGTCTTTTTTTCATTTTTCCTCTTTCTCTTTTCCTGGTTTGGAGGAAGCTCGGTGCTGGGAGCTTGCAATTTTGTTCTTATTCAAGGTTTCCAACCCACCCCCCCACCGCCAGTACTTCATCATGTTGTGGTTTAATTCTAATTGGTGGGGGGGGGGGAGGACTAGTGAGGGAGGTGAAAGAACAGGGATAATTTTGTAAAGTGTATTAAACGTTAATATTCAGATCCAGTCAATACATGCAGACCAGTAAAATCTGATTTGTGCAGAGTTCTCCATCTGACTCTCACTTATTTCTGTAGATATATACATATATAAATACAAGTATGTTCTTACGGCACAGTATTGCTGACCTTTAGTTCGAGGTTTTGTCGGTTGTTGTTGATTTTCTTCCTCTTGCAAGTGCTATCCATGTGAGTGTGTGAAGTTTCTCTAATAAGTAAAACACAGGCCCTTTTCCTTGTTTGTTTTGTGTTAGTTTATTGTAAACAGCCATTTGTTGTAAATTATTATTGGCATTAAATTATAATTTATGATTTTCAAAGCAAAAGACAATCCCTGTTTTATTATGCTTTAAGCATGTGTTCTAGACGTTGGAAATCTCTCTCGCACTCTTAAGTTTAAGCAATGAGCTTGGGGTCTGCGAGGCAGAAAAACAGGACCCAAAATTTTTCAACCGGTTAAAACAAACCCCCTTGTATATGTTTAGAGTGGCCGGAGGAGGATCTGTTTAGAGTCTTGAGTTCGGTTTAAGTTTATTGCATTTAAAGAAAGTTTTTCTTTTCACGCTGAGTTAGAACAAAAGATCTTTGCTGCGACTGAATTGGACAAAAGACGAGGGCTGGGACCCAGCGAGCGCGTTCTGTGTGAAATTGACGAGATCTTTAAAAAAGCTGCTAAACATGGCGACTCTTTCCCTTTAAGTGTCTCTTTTTCCTTGCTGGGTTTTTTTTTTTTTTTTTTTTTCATCTGATCTGAGCTCGCTTTATTTCTTTTCCCAACCCCGCTCCCCCTCCTCCTCGTGGCGCTCGGGGGTGTGAGAGAACCCAGTTAGACGCGAAATGCAACAATAGTGCAAGGAGAGAGAGGGGCGCTCGCTGCTTCTCGCCACTTTCAAACAAACCTGGGGGAAGATTGAGCCCGGGGGGGATTCCAGCCTGCTCGCTCGGCTCGCGGTCGCCCTGCCTCGGCCTTTCACCATTAGCTCTCCCTGGGCCGCGAGGAGCTGGGGCTCAAAGTTAGCGGGCGACGTCCGAGGCTTAGCCTCTAGCCGGCTGCAGGGACGGGGGCCTGGAGTTGGCAGCTGCTACGGGAAAGTGCCTGCCCCCCAGCCCCCGCCCCCACTTACGTGCGGCAGAATTCCGCCAGCGCCCCGGGAAAGTCCGGGGTGCCGGGCGCGCGGAGCTGCACTCCTGGGATGTGCATTAAGCGGCGACAGGCGGGGGGGGCGAGGGCGGGGGCGGGGGGCGGTCAGGGGGAGCTCGAGCGTGTGAAACTCTGCCTCGAATCTCGCTTTTGACTTGGTCCTATGAGCTGAGCCAACATGGCGTCTCCCACTGCACCGCGAGCGCCGGGCTGCCAGGCTCGGCAGGGCCGGGTAATAGAAAACACATTGGTTACCAAAAAGAAAAAAAGGAGGGCGGGGGGCGCTAAAGGCCATTCCGTCTGCAGGCAGAAAACCCTTTTTTAAACTCTTGCTGGCAAGTGAGTCCGGTCCTCGGTTCTTTAATTAAAGCAACAGAATTCGTAAGGAAAATATTGGTAACGCTGTACCTTCTCCCCTCCCCCTCCCATATTCAGGAGAGTTGATTTCCTGTCCCCTCTCCTTCCAAGAACCAAATTAGAAAAATAAAAAGTCTGTATCCGCAAATGATCTTAAATGTTTGAATGGTATAGGGGGATGGGAAGAGGACGGTCTTTACAGACCTCGGTCAGTTCTCGCGCTCATTAATGCAGGGGCTGCGCCGGGGTTTGCGCGGGCCCGAGCGGAGCTGGGGCGCGGTGGGGAGGGCGGAATGCGAACCCCGCTGGACTTGGGCAGAACTTGCTGCTTTTGCACGCCCAAGTTGTGGGAAAGGAGGCTTTCCGGGCGGAGGGTTGATTGGGGGGTGGGAGGGTCTAGCAGGGGCTGAGGGCCGGTTCCAGGCGGGTGGTCGCAGACCCTAGAAATGTGTGAGCCCGCGTGGACTGTGCCCCTGGCAGGAGAGCGACTGCAGCGGAGGACCCTCTTTCTCTAATAGGTTTGAGAGTGGGCAAGGGCGGCCGTGGGACAGACCTGGCCTCCTAGAGAGGGTCTTCTGAGGGCCTCTGCAGAGATAGTGGATCCGGGCCCAGGCTCCCTTCTCGGGCGGATGGGATATCGCCCCGCCACGTCCAGCTCCATCCCCAGCCCCGGCCTGGACAACCCTCTCCCTCAGCCGCCTGGGATACTCTCTGAATTCCAGGCCTCGTCAAGATTTATTGAAGTTGGGCTTAAAAAACGTGCTTCAGATGATTTTTCCCATTTTCTCAGATTTCAAAGGCTCCCTGCAGTGCGGCTGCCTAATTAATGGTGAAATTCAACTAAATCTAATTATGCAGTAATTTTAAAGCAGTTAGTGCTGGGCGTTGGTTTGTAATAGGACCTCAGTTTTTTAAAGTTTGCTTACTGTGTTGGTTTAGGGGAAAGCTATTTTTTGTATGGTAAAGAAAGACCGGGAAGTAGTACTACTGGAGGAACCAGAGGGCTAAGAACCGCTCCCCACCCCACCTCTATCTCCATCCCCAATTCTATCTCGTTTTCCTTCTGTTTTTTCTATCCCAAGCACACGGTAAAAAGCTGAGCAAGGTGCTAACCCAACAAGGAGACCCTATTTCATAGCCAAAGGGGAAAGAGAGAATCTTTCATACAGAGACACAAAGGGCTTGGTATCTGTCCTGGAGGCCTCTGTAAATGCCCCCAAACCCGGGAAGGGATTCTCATCTCCTCTAATAGAGAACAGATTTCCTCCTCTTAACATCCATTGTCATTAAGGCGCAAAGCTGACTCTTGGAGTTGTAAATCTTATCGTCCTTCTGATAACACACTTGTAATAAGTTAGCGTCCTATTCAAAGTGAATTGTAAAACTGCCTCATTTAATATGGCATCTGTGTCATTAAAACTTTTATTTTTCTCCCCCTCGTGTCTTGCAGGTTTGGCCTTGGGGCTAGCGCTGAAGTCTCTGCCTATGGGGCCTCTGGGGTAGGGCTGAGGGGAAGAAAGGTGTGAAAGACGGGCTGCCTGGATTCAGCCTCTGGATCTTAGACCGGGGTGAGAGACCCGAGGCAGAATGGGCCTGGGGGGTGGTGTCCCTCTATCCCATCTCCCCCGGAGCGGCCCCCTCGAAATGACGTTCCTTGAAAGAAACATGCTTGTGATTAGCTAAGCAAACACATCTGCTTTCGGAGTTGGGCCTTCGTTAATTAGCTGAACAAAGGGCCGTTTTGCTTTTTACCTTTTGCTGGGGAGAGTGTGTTATTTCAGGAGTGTTGCGGGCCCTCCTCTTTTCAATTGCAGCCACGACGTTAATTTTATTGGGATTACTGATGGGAAATGAGGTGGCGCAGGCTTCCGAGAGGAAAAGCTTGATCATTACCCCCTTTGGAACTATATTTTTCCACCCAACCTCCTGCTTGAGAGGAGGGGGTGGGGGGCGAACTGCGCTGCAAGTTCGGAGCAATTGGAATCAGGCTCGCGGTGCGCTGATCTCGGGTGACAGAGCGTGTGTTGAAGCTGAACTCTATAATTTGCGCTTCTGTTCCTTTATTAGGCCTGGACAACGAACTAATGAGCTTTGGCCCAGTACAATGTCACTTGTATTTATTTTCTTATGGCAACTTTGAGATAGCGGAAGTGTTCTTTACCAAGAGCCAGGGAGGGCCCGGAGTCCTGCCGGCTGCTGTCCCGGCCCGGGTCGGTGGCTGCGTCCCGGGGGAGCGAGGGCGCGGTGAGAGCGCGCGCAGAGCCGGCAAAGCTCGGGGACTGGGCTTCTAGGCGAAGCTAATGGGGCCCTCAGGAAGGCGTTAGGCCCTTTGGAGGCCCAGGCATCCCTACAGGAGCAGCTCCCTGAGGATGAGGTCGGGGGGCGCGGGGCAAGTCCAGGGCAAGTTCCCAGGCACGAGATGATGGAAGGCGCGAAAGTGGCATGGCTTCCTCCTGGCGCAGAGCAGGGGGTCCTTCCGCAAAGACTGCCAGGCCAAGGAACCCTCTGAGCAAGCAGATGTACTCCGCCCGGTGGCCTGGGCGTCTGCTTTCTGCTGCAGGAACCTGGCCCAGCTCTGTTGCTCTCTGGGTTGGGGGTGAGGTGGGGTGAAGAGGATGCTTTAAAGGAGTTCTTGGGGTCCTCGGCATGCGGGGACTCCCTCCCTTCTCTTTCTGGTTTGGCCACTCCAAAGGGTCGAAGTTGGAGAGGCCTGGAATAAAGTGAAGAAGCAGTGGGGGTTGGAGGGACAGAAGGGTCGGCGGAGGCAGTGCGGCGTCCCTTGTTCCCTGGCAGAGAGAATACGAGCCCACCACGGGGGGATTGTGGGTGGGGGGCAAGGGAAGGGAAGCCCCAGGAACTGCGAGGGGAGCGAGTACTTCTCTCCGCAGCCTGTCACTTTCCGAGGCTCCCGCCAGGCAGCCCTCGTTAATAACGCCTAGACACCGTGCCCCTGCCCGCCCCATCTCTCCTTGCCTCTCCTCACTTCATCTCTCTGCCTTACCACCCCCTCCCCACCTTTTCCTTCCTTCCTGCAAATGGGTGTTAACGTGGGTCTTTATGTTCTGTCTATAACTAGGATGTAATCACGCACCCCATGCCTCTCTCTAAAAGCATTTCATAAATGTCTATTAAAGCGCTACGAATGTAAGATGAATTTAGTGGCGCGGCTGCCTCCCTGAATCCGAACGGTAATGATGGATTTATCAACGGGGATTCGCCTTCAGCCCAGCGAGGGAGGTTTACTCAGCAAATATGTCGGCGAGCACCCACCCAAATGCAATCATTTGACCCCCTGCGGACGATAGCTGCCGTGCCCCTTCCCACCGCTGGTCCTGCTTGGCCAGGGTCGCTGGGGGCCAGAGGCCGGCCCGGATGACCAGAGAGGTGGCCTCACGGATCCCTTGGCCTCTCGCCCCCTCCTCTGTTTCCTCCTCTCAGCTTGAGGCTCTCCTGGCAAGGGGGATCGATCTGGCGTGTAGGTTTGGTGGGGAGGGAGAGGGTGGTGGCGGTGCCAGAGCACAAGATGAAGTGTGGGCTGTCTTGGCGTTGCCAGGAGACATCAGTGGGTGCCATCGTGCCCTTCTTAGTTTGGAAGGGGCACAATTGTACCCAAGTCTCTGAGTGTGAGCTTAAGTGCCCTGCTTTTGACCAAATCTTAGTGTCTGGGATCGTGGCTGACTCGGCCCAGCCCTGGGCCCCATTGTAGGAAACGTGGCTGTAGGACAGAAGCCTGTGGTGCCCAGCCCCTTGGAAGGGCTCAGATGTGCCCAGAACGAATGCCTTGCCTGCCCATCCTCCTGGGGCTCCCTAGACCCCAAGCCAAAGCAGAGATACCTGTTATCAAAGGTTGGGGAAGAGCCTCCAAGGCAGGGGCAAAACTTCCATATCTCTTTCCCCCAAACTGATCTAGCTTCTCCTTCACCTTCCCCCACCGAGGCCACCCGGCCATTTTAAAGTTTAGTGGCTGTGGACTTTTAGAATTTGGTTTGGTCTGTGATCCTTACCGCACAGACCCAATGACCACCACCTCTTTCTTTTTGTCTTTTATCTGCTCTCCTTTTGAGGGGGAGGAAAGTGCTGGCCTGTTCCATCAAGCCCAGTTCGCATTTGCTTTAGCCTCTGATTTCTCTTTCTTCTTTGGAAATTTCATTGAGATGTCTCTGTACTTCGCTTGTCAGTTATCTTTGTTCCTTTTAAATAAAGGGCTTTTAAATGGACTTATTGCTCCCAGCGTGGGTTCCTCTCTCTAAATGTTAGAAAATTGTGCCATCTACCCGCTATGCTGAGTACTGTCACACTCGGAGACCTCGGGGACCTCCGGGCAGGCTTCAATGCTGCAGTGTCAGGGGCCGCGGGCAGCAGGAGGAGGGGGCGGCTCACGTGGATTTTTACAGATCTCCGCCTGCAGCCGGCCCGCGTGGCCACGCCAGGGCACGGCCCGAGACGCGCGCAGCCGCCAGCTTGATGGCGGCCGCGAACTTGGCTGCAGCGGCAGATCTCCGACCAAATCGCAGGCGTGGCCGGGACTCTTCGCTTCTGCAGCATACAGCTGGCCGAGGGGGAGCCGCGGGTGGTTTTGGACCCCAACAGCAACTGGGGGTCAGGGATAACGGAGGACAATGGGAAAGGGGGAGCTGCCTAGGAGGGGGAGAGGGGTGGATTTTGCCGCGCCGCTTTGGAGCGCTCCCACGGCCTCTCCAGGCCGGTCTCTTTCCTTGGGGGATGCCAGGCTAGGGGCAGCGGAGAGCGAAAGCCGCGGAGTGGCTTCCCTGTCTCTTGGCCAGAGAGTTCTGGCCAGGCAGTTCGGCTGCAACTTTCAGATCCATTTTCTCTGGTGGAGATATTTCTGGTGTCTTTTTGTAGGCCAGACTTCTTTCCTTTAGGGGAGAGTGGTTTAGATGGACCGAATTTGAGCAGATCAGGTGTCTGATGTGGGGTATCTTCACCCCAGCCCCGCCTCTGCAAAACACCCATCCGCAACTGCAGGTTCTTTTGAATGAGTTAAAATGGATTAACAGTTTGGATTTTATTATGTGGCTCCCCCTCACAGATGCCTTTTTTGTTGTTGTTTTTTGTTGTTTTGTTTTAACCCATAAGGAGTATTAGCTAAGATTTCCAAGTGTCAGTTGGGTATTTATGCTTGTGGGGGAAAAAAAATCTCCGATACGGTTTATGACTTTTATTACATGCTTCACACTGTTCGAGAAATGGAGTTTTAAGCAACATACAATTAAATCTATATTGCTCTTTGGAAAAGGGCCAAGGAACTCAGCAATCAATTAGTTTAGATCTTTTCATACTTGTTGCTAAAATCAAAGTATAAAACTACAACCCTGGCTATACCTAAGAATAGCTTCTTTTCCTATTTTTTTTCAAGTCATGTAGCTAACACGTAGGAAATGGCAGCTGCCTTATTTTCCCAAGTTTCTTTTTTCTGATTCTTCTGCCTAGATTAGCCTTTAAATAATCAAACGATTTTCTCCCCCCGCCCCTTTCTCTCATTGCAGTTTCTCATCTGCCTTTATCTGCCTGGTTTAGTTTTTAAAAATACACTTATTTGTAATATGTATTATTTTTTAAATAAATGTTCCTTAATCCTCTCTCTTTCTTCCCCCTTCCCTTGCCTGGCAGTGAGAAGGGAAACGATGTTGTTTAATAATCACAATAATACAGTGCTTTCTAGACAAAGGCAAAATTAAATTTTTTATAACCACAACAAGAAGGGAATCAACCTCTCTTTCTCTCTCTCTCATCTCTGTCTCTTTAAATAAGCAGCTGAGGAAATAATCTCCCGCACTGAACAGAAACTGCTTCCTCCTTGAAAATGCCACCGTTCCCACCTCCCTGGCCCTCTCTGGGCCAATCCCTTGGGCTGTCGGCTGTCTGCCTGTCCAAGACCCTGGTTGGGGGTGGGGGTGCGCCTATGGAGATCCAGGGGCGTAGTGAGAAGGCAGTGGGGTCTCGCTCGCCTACGTGCGGCTGCCGAGGCGGGGCTGACAGCAAGTTCTAAAGAGGGGCAGCTAATTTATTAAGTAATTCTTACTTCGCTTCAGCATCCTCTGCCTACAGCTCCCGAGGCTCCGGCGAGGAGGGGGAGGGGTCTGGGGCTGTGCGTCTCCCCCTCCGCATTTCCTTCTCCGCCTTCCAGGCTCCGCCAGCCCCTCCACCAGCCTCATCACTAATTAAAACGCCCTGTGGCTTTGGGACTGAGTAGGCCGGTCGTTGAACTGTCATCTCCGCCAGGATGGGAAATCTAGAACATCCCCTCTTCTGCAAAAAAGGTTCCGAACCCAGTGAAGTGATTGGGCGGAGTGTCATTAATCTCTCTCCAGAAGCTTTCCTTTTCCTCCTGGGGAGTGAGGACTCCGGCCTTTGCCTCCACCCAACACGGTCGCCCGGCTAGGCCCCACCATCCCCACTGTCGACCCCGCCGTTGTGCCCATCCGTATGCCCTAATTGTGAGGAAGGTCTGGGAAACATTTTCTTTGCGCTAATTTTATATTTCCCCTTTCCCCCTTGCAACATTAAACATAATTTTGCGCTGTCACTGTCACTAAGATTGTGGTTTGCTGATGTCTCTACTTGGAAACATGACCCCTTCGCCTCCAACAGGGAGTCCTCCCCTTGCTTGCAGCCTCTAGTGCGGCCCCTTCTCCAGCGGGGACTTCAGAGCGTTTATGAAAATGCTGGGGCGGGGGGTGAGGGGATGGGGAGGTACTGATAGTAGTAAAGGCCAGAAGGGTTCCTACCAGAACCCTACAATCATTCCAAACCCTCTTTTCCTATGACAGCAGGAGCAAATGTAGTTTTGATGTGCGTTTGGTTGTTGGCTTGTTTGTTTAATAAAATCCGTGTGTGTGTGTGTGTGTGTGTGTGTGTGTTTTAATGTCTCAGTGTATGTGACAGGAAACCACTTTCAGAATTTCCCTTTGAATTTTTTTTGTTTGTTTGTTTTTGTGTCTGTCCTCCTCAACTTCTCTCTTTTCTTTATTCCCCTCCCCACTACATTTTCTCTGGCTAAGCAATAATCCCCTGGCCCAGTGGCCACGCTCCTGGAGATAAAATCCATTTATCCCTTGTGTTGCCTCACTGAGGCCCGGTTATCCAGGGCCTTTGGCGACAGACTGGAACAAACAGAGATGAAGATATTTTTTCGTTTTCCATACCTGCTCCTCCCTTCCTTCAATGTGCCAGCCTAGAGGGGCTCTGGAGTTGAACAAATGTACCCACAACTGCAGGTTTGCTCTGGCGCCTGGTTGTGGTCCTAGTTGCTATTTGTTTGTCTCTTTGGAAGGAGCTGTTAGTTACATTCTGCTCCCCACAACAGTCTCAGAGCTTGCTTGCACCAAGGTTGGGAGGTTTCAGAGCGATTATCTCATTTCGCTGGTGCAGAGGGAAGCTGCTGGCAGCCCCTGGATCAGACATTCAGTGGAAGGCCCATGTCACAGACCCAACCCGAAGGTTAATTTTCCCTCATTAGCATCTCCATAGTCTGCTCCTTGCAAGGGATCTCAGGTCCTTGCTGCTATTTTCTCCCTTCTCACTCTTTCTGACGAATTCACTCTCACTCGTGGTCTCCTCATCACAACCTTACATTCTGCCAGGTTCCTATTGAATCCATAGACTGATCGCTGAAAACCCATTTCATCAGTTTCCAACCAGTATGCCTATTTTTAATCCTAGAGCCCCTCTCCTCCATCTGTATCTCTCTAGCCTCAATGCACCTCATTTACAAAGTGTTCTGCTTTATCCAAATTAGTTCACTTCCCCCCTTTTACTTTCTCATACCCCCTCATTCTTTCATTGAGTTCTAGCAAAAGCAAAAGATACAAAATGGCAAAGTTTGATGGGTTGGGGGAGACCATCCCAGCCATTTAGGAAGAAGCTGGAGGTTTGTAATGACAGAAAAAAAATGACAAAGAAAAGAGAATTGCATTTGTGGCTTAAGTGGGACAATGTGTTTGTGTGTCTATATCTCGGTGTGTTTTTAAGATTTCTTTGAACTGCTTTTGTGCTGACCCAACAAAGGCATTTGCTGAAGCTAGTCACGGTGTAGGAACTTTGAGTTAACCTCTTATATCAAATGAATCTTTTCATTTAGAGACCAATAAATCTCAATCTCTAGCTACTTTTTGTAGACCCAGCTTGGGTTCAGTGAGACAAAACTGGGGCTTATAATACAGACCAGATAAAGTTTGCAAAAGTTGTTTTTTCCCCTCCATCCTTTTTTACCAACCTGAAAAATTTCCCCATCCAACAAATTAAAGCTCAGCAAATAAAAGTAGCAGCTCTTCCTCAGTGAGCAGAAGGTTAGGAATTTCTTTAGCATTTCACAGCAAAGCCTTTTCACTGAAATGGTTTTCCAAACTCAGAGGCCGAAAAGATTTATAGTTCTTCAACAAGTCATTATTTGGGTGTGTTTTTTAGGTGGGGCTGAGACAATCTAATAATCAATGTAAGACGGGTGGGTGGGGGGATTGGCTATGACCAAAAGAAGAGTTAACACCAGAAACATGAAAGCCAGTCTGGTCTCCAGGGATTGAATTTGGGAAAGCCTGCACACGGCTGCTCCTGGGCCATAAAGAAATACATTGTTAACAACAACAAAACAGACAATGCCCTGAGCTCTGCCTGGATTCAGAGCTGAGCTACTTTCAAGATATTTTAGCAGCACTGTTCATTTTGATGGGGTTTCTGGGCCATTTGAAATTCAACCTTTAGCCAGCCTGCTCATGGGGTATGGTTACAGAATTCATTTTCTGATTTACTACCCCTCCTCCTGTATTTTCTTTATTTCCTGATGGCCTCCCATGGGGTTAATCTTTTTTCCCTTTCTTTTATATTTTCCAGTTTTGTTCTCCCCACAAACGACTCAGTGTTTTTCCTGTTTCTACTGATCACTCATTTGCTTCCTTTCTCTCTTTCCTTCTTTAAGAGCCAGAGAAAAATAAAAAGAATGAGAAGGGGATTTCCAAATCGTTCTTTTCTAAGCATTATTAATTACTGTTACAAGGCAAAAGATTTTTAACCAATAACAAAGTTGTAAATTACCACTGACTTTCAAGTATTTCTCATTTGTCAGCTCTGATTGATTTGATTAATATTCCACTCTGAAATAATTTCAGCCGGACTTATCATCAGTTCTACTCATGAAGCAAAGAGCAGACTATCACTGCTGCAGGGGATCTGACCACTCTGCTTTTACTCTTAATGTGAAGTTTGGGGTTTTGTCCTGAGGCCCGAGGTTCTGGGAAGGTGTACAGGCAGTTAAGTTTCGGGGATGAAGTGGACTGGCATATCTCCATATATTCAGTTATTTATATGTAATTTTGAAAACTTTGTTCAGGAACCTATTTGTATTGAAAGAACAAAACGGCATCATTTCCTTGCTCTCCTGAACATTTTTTTTTAAACTGAATATTCAAGGCTGAAGGAATGAATTTTTAAACAGTTCCTAAATCCAAGAAACTCATTCGAACCCTATTAATTCTTATCCTACTGGATAGCATTTCTGAGAAAGAGTGGGCCTACTCTCTGCTCAGACCTATGGGAGATTTGGGTTACTGGTGGGGAAAAAAGTGTGTGCAGGGACAGGAGGGTGGGAGGGGCTCAGCACAAGACAGGGGCAGCCAGAAGACTCCACTTTTGGGGAGTGGGGTTATAGTTTCCCAAGGTCCTTTTCCGTGCCATCGTCATATCCAGAATGTAATTTTTGAAGCTATCAATACCCGCTGCCTCCAATACCTCTCGAGTTTTAATCTTAATTATATTATTAAGTGAAGTACTCTGCTGTCAGGGCGTTGAACATGATTTATGACGTCTGCCTATTAGGGGATCGATTGTGAATATCGCCACTATCATCTATCAATATTCTCAAGCCGGGGGTATTTCTCGCTCCACGGTAGTTATTTGTAATACCGAAATGATAGACTGCAGGAAAAGACTACTTCAGAGGACTCGCTTTTCAGGAGCAGCAGAGAGTGTGGTGAACCAGGAGACTCGGAGAGTTCCAACCACATCTGACACCCAGAGAGAGTTTAAAGTTTTTTTGTTTCTGTTTTTTAATGTAAAAACCAGTGAATTCTCCCGTGGGGCTAGTAGAAGAAAGCAAGCCAGAGTCGTTTTTAGGGAAAGGAGTAACCTCTGCAGGTCGATATCAGGGGGCGAGGGTTTCTAGCTGCCAGGTGATTTGCAATCAGACTAGAAGGAAAAAACTGGCAACCAGGGGCCCCTTTATAGGAAGATGGCTGGATGAGGGCTGCAGAGGGGTGCTGGGGGTAGACTGCGTATTTCTGCAGCAGATGCCCGGTCGCTATGCCCGTGGATTCGGAGGTGTTCAGTTTCTGGGATCAATTAAGACTCGCTGGCTGAGCCCTCGCTGCATCGCCGCTTTCACCTGCTCCTGCTTCCTCTGCATAGGTGGAAGCCCGTGCCAAAGACCTAGTGGCCAGGCCCGAGGGAGCCTGAACGCAGAGGCCTTTTGTCTCCAGACAGAGAGCAGCGCCTGCTTTTTTCCACTCTCACGGGGCACGGCACTGGGTCACCAGCGAGTCTCAGCCTCCAGCGTTAGGGGGATGGGAGGAAGAGTCAGAGAATGGAGCAAAACTCTCCCGTTCTGGCGGCCTGGAGCTGGAGGCTAGAACACCCCGGGGGGGTGGGGCGTGGAGGGCGGCCTGAGTGCCGCGCCTGGCCCCTGCCCTGGGTGCGCACCAGGCCGCGAAAGCCGGGGGCCGCCTTCTCGGCTGCTGAAGCCCGGGAGTCAGTCAAGCGCCCTCTGGCACCGCGAGGGAGGCGCACCTCGCCTGGTGCAGAGTTGCCGCGACCCGAGCGGGAGGAGGCACAGGACGCAGGGCTCCTGGCCTGGCTGTGGGCTTGGCCTTGGCGCACTAAGCGCTCCCCATCTGCCCGAGCCTGGCCTCCGCGGCCCTCTCGGCCCAGTCTACGTTCGTTTAAGGACTTCAGCGCGAAGAAGAGCGAACGTGGCTAGAACCTGTTGACCTCTCCTCTGGCCTGGAAGTCCGCACAGCTCGTGGCAACACTGGACGGACTGGTTGTCAGGGGACGACCGCGGGCAGGTGGGGAGGAGGCCTTGGTCTGGCTCCTGGATTCCACCCTGGGACGGAAGGGGAAGCGGAAACCTTGACCTCAGCCACACAAGGACACCTATCTGGCTGTCTGCCTGCCCTGGCCCAGCCACCCGGTTCAGAGGCCTACCCTTGGCCACAGTGGTTTGTCCTCAGGCTTGGAGTCCCCAGAGATGTGGACACAGTGACTGGCACATAGTAAGCGCTTAATAAGTGTTAGATTGGCGGTGTCAATCATTTTTAGGCACATCCGGTTTCCTCCGTGAGCATCTCCCCTCTCACACACATTTATTCCAGGCCAACAACATGCCTAGCTAGGTCCTTAAGCACCGCCACTCATACCCAGAGGCCCATCAGCTGCCTCGCTCCCTCTGAGCCCTGGAGCTGCAGCCCTCCACCCTTGACATGCGGGAGAAAGCCAGAGGCCCCTAGAGTCCCCCCCTCGGGGTGTTTTCCAGGCCTGGGACACCTGAGCAGGAGACACAGAGGCCTGAAGAAGGGTTAGCAGGTCCCTAATATGCCCCATCCATGTCAGCACTAGAGGAGGGGAATTCTGGTTAAATAAGAATATTCTGGACAGGGAGATGGTGGTTGGTCAGTTAAAAAAGAGAGAATCATTCAGTAAGGGATGCATGTGTGGGAAGAGTGGGGGGCACCTAGGGGCAGGCTGACGCAGAAGAAGCAATAGAGGCTGAGTCAGAGCACCACAATGACACCTTTTTCTTCCAGAAAGAATTCTTTAGTTAAGCCTTTAATCGGCCTTCGGTGAGCAGTGAGTTGTGGGAGGTAGTGCCATTAACTATACATACAATGTTCATGTAACCAGATTTTAATCATTTATGATCTTAATAAATAAATATGCTGCCTTCTGATTCTTTTTACTATCAATGATATTAATACTGTTGTTGTTGTTTAAACGAGATTTTAGTCCCGGTTCGTCCCCAGAGCGGCTGCAGGAGTAGTGCCCAGGACTATTGTGACCTGCTGTGCCGTAGCTCAGACTTCAGCCTGCTCGTCTCCTCTTCCCTCTTCCCCAGATCCCCCAGGCTGATGGATATTCTTCGACCGGGGCCCTTTTTAAAATGACCAATGTGTTATCAATATAGGCTACCCATCCTTATCATATAGGCTACCCATCCTCTCTTCGTTTCTAACCATTTTGCAGTGCGAAGAGAGAGACCCAGGCGCAGGCCAGGCGGCGCGTGTCGCTCGGTCTGAATTGCACCGTAATCGCCAAAACCTTGGCCTAATTTGCAGCTAATAGATCTCGAGCGAGGGAGTCGGGAAGAAACCAGTGGCTTTGGAGGGATCGGAAATTAAGGGACTAGAAGAAGGATGTGATTCCTATTATTCTCCCCCTCCCCCTCCTGCACACGACCATGTGTCTCCTGGCTGGGCCTTTGGGGACGCGGCCCCTGGCCCTCCGTGGCCTGTGTTCCTGTTGTTCGCTTCTCTCCCAGCGGACCACTGTGTCTGGGGCGCCGCGCCCTCCGGTGCGCTCAGACCTCGCGCCCTCCGACCGGCTTCTCCCAGTCCCCGGGAGGAGGCGCTGTGCCCGGGCTGGCCTCTGGTCCCTCCCAGCCGATGTCCTGGAGCCCCCATTCACAAAACCCCTCCTGGAAGAGGACACACACCCACCCACCCACACACACACACACACACCCCACACACGCACTACGAGAAGGGGAGTTTGATCTTGTCTCATTGGCGTCTCGGGTCTGAAAGGAAAATCGTTTGGGTAAACAGCCAAGCTTCCAGGCTTAACGCCCGGCTCCCGCCCCCGCCCCTCCATCCCCTCCTGCCTCCCCCACTCGCCTTCAACCCCACCCGCCACCCACACTCGGCTCCGCAGCCGGGCCCCGAGCGAGCTCCGCGAGTCCTGGCGAGAGCCGAGGGCTCCCCGGGTTCAAAGGGCCGCAGCCCCGAGGGAACGCCCTCCTTGCTGTGCCCCGGGGGGCAGAAGCGGACTGCTGGGCGGTGGGACCGGCCTGGGCCACGGTAGGAACCGCGAAACCTCCGGCTTCCCTAAATAGAGCTGGTCTCGGGGGAGGGCGCCGGGGAGTTCGGAGCCCGGAGGGACATTTTTGCCAAGACCGAGCGGAAGCCGAGCCCGTGCGGCTGGCTGCGCCTAGGAGTTCCGCCACGGGTCCGACGGGGCACCCTGGGTCCCCGCAGCCCGTCACAGGCGTTTGCACATTTGTGTGCACGACCACTGGCGGGGGCGTTGAGCCTCTGCTAGCCGCCTCGGGCTCCGCACACCCTTGGGTGATTACCCGGCCCCCACCTCCCTCCAAGCGACCTCGGCTCCAGGAAAAGGCTTTAATCTGCTATTAAGCGTTTTCCAAAGTTTCTTTCCAAAGGAGAGTTCTTCACTTAACTGGCTGTAAACATAATTAATAGTTATTAACATGCAAAAAAACCTTTGTGGTGTTTAAAAGGATAATGGTCTCTCTCTAGCTCACACTCTTAAGCATGGAGAGAACCTTGAAATCTGAAAATATCCTGATTAGATTATTAGAGGTGATTATACAGTGATTTTCCTCGTTCTCTAATGACATTCTTCTCTCTCCTCCCTTCCTCTGTCTCTTGTTCTCTCTTTTTCTTTTTCTCCCAGTCTCAATCTCACTCTAATCCAGGAGTCATTAGCAACACCCTCTGGCTACATGTTTTGCATCAGTGAAACATTGTGACATAGTTGTAATACAAACTCAGCCGCCTTGCACTGCATCTTGCGGTAGGAAGTGTAATAGCAACAAAAATCATTTTTCATCTCCAGGCATTATTGGGCGAAAAAAACCCCAGAAAACCTGAATGTGAGAAGAGGAAGGGGTGGAGAAGAGAGAAATGAAGGGAGAGAAGAAGGGGGTGGAGGGGGGGAAGAGAGAGAGAGACAGAAAGAGAGAGACACACAAAACCTTTTCCAGTTTAGAACTCCTTTTCCAAACTGTAGGCGTGCAGGTTCACACCTATCATTTCCTATGCCTTCCTCTCCTCGGTTTTTGTCCTAGTTCCTCACTGCTGGCCCTCAGTGGGCCCCAGGACCCTCTTGGGAATTCCCTCTGAGCTCCCATTATCTCTCATCAGCTGCCTTCTCCCCATGTTAGCACCAACTCTCACCCCCACCCCCATGCCTAGGCCTCAAGACCCCCAGGGCCCGGGCCACCCCTCCTTAGCTGGCAGTTACTAGGGATGCTCACTGAAGTCCTGCTAGGAAATTGGGGCCTTTCTCCTGTGTGGTCTCACAGGAATCTTTCCTAGCCTGATGGAGAAGAGACAAACCAGCCAGAAAGCCAACCTGGCTATTTTCCTGGCGCAGCCGTGTAATTTCTGAGCAAGATCTGAGAGCTCCTAATCAGCAAGGAGGAGCCCTGGTTACAGGGAGAAGGGGCACTCACGCTATCCCCTGCCTGCCCTTTGGGGGCTCACCCCGCTAACTCAGGGGACTGCGGAGTTTCAAGAAGCGATCTCTATGTTGGGATTGCTCAGGCAGGGAAATACAGGGGCTTATACAACACCAGATAAACTCTATCTCCACCCTATAGTCCCCAGTTCAGCTCCCATTATTTGTAGGATCCACAGAGCTCCTTTTAAAAAAAAGGATTTGAACTTTGTAATAAAAACTACATTAAATAAAGGTTCTGTACCTCCCTTCAAAACAAAGAAACCACACAAATCCTCACTGGACCATGACAGAGATGCTGTATTTTTAAAACCATGTTTGGCATGTAACATTTGTTTTAACTTATAACACCCATCTCTGGGATGGTGCACTTTGAAGACACATTGAAGCAAAGGCTCACCATATAAGTGGGTTAAATTTTCTGTATATTTTATGGTCGTGTGGATATAAGATTGCGGCAAACCTGTTAAGTTATCAACTGGATAAAATAGTGTCAAATGCCCAGTTGCACCTTGGAAAGAGAGGCTGTGTAATTTGCAATTCTTGCCAGTTGCTACTTTCACCGGCGGACAGGTGTACGTGTTGGGGGCTATATTTTGTGGTTATTTAGTCAGCAAAGCCAAAAGCTGTGGGTACAGTGTCCCAGTAGGCTGGAGACTGGCACTGCAGAACCCCTCTAATGCTGGACTGACCAGAATAAATGAATTTTGGTGGAAATCATAATTGGGAAGGGATGACTTTATAGGCACCACCTCATGGGAGACATCTGCACTGGCCGCAGCTGAATGGCCGGAAATACACGGGGCCCGAACTAGTGGCTTCCTAAAGACCACGTCTCATTTATCTTCTCCTTTCTAGGAAAGCAGCTCCCCAGCTTGAGTGACTACTTTAGACTTGGTGAAATTGTGCCTATATATTTTTCTCCTTCTTCTGTTATTTTCCCTTCATCCCAATGCAGCCACTGTGGGATCTGTCGGTCACAGATAATGGTTTTTAACCCGTCAGAAGACCTGTGCGTTGCGGCTTCTCTGAGGGTTTCGATTACGGAAAAAGTCCGGGTGACGTACAATTAGGCTGCCGCAGGCTGGGAGGCTTGGCGGCGTCATTCCAGTTTCTGCAGCGAGGTGGCGCTCCAAGGTACGGCAGCGCGCCCGGGTTTTCGCCACCGAGCGCATCCGCCGCCGCGTCCACGCAGCGAGGCAGCGGCCACCGAGCAATGTTAACTCGGGGTTCCTAAAGCCTCTGAGCGGAAAATCGGGAGCGCTCAGACCCACCTAGGCGGAGCGGTCCGCAGGGTGGGCGAAGGCCTGAGGCCACGACTGGGGAAGGCTGGCGGCGGCGGGGAGCGCTGTGATGGCGAGTTCCGGAGCACACTCCGCGCGCCGCCGCTCGGGGGAAATCTTCGAAATTCCCGGGCGGGGCGGAGGCTGGGGCTGCAGGTCCCCAGGCACGGCGAGCGGCGCGCTGGAGTCAGCCTCGGCCCAGGCACACCGAGCAAGCGCCCAATCCACCACAAGCTCAGAGACGCAGCTTAGGGTTTTTTGTTGTTCTTGTTGTTCTTTTTCAAAGAAAAAAATAAGGAAAATATGTGTTCTATCGTTGTCCCCCAAACTAAAAAAGAAAAGATATATAGTTTTTGGGTTTTCCTTTGCTTTCTTCTTTTCTCTCATTTCCTTTTTCTTCCCTTCCTTTTCCTTTTATTTTCTGTAGTTTTTTTTTCTTACCTCTCCTTTCGCTTTTTTTTTTCTGTATTTTTCCTCCTATTTCTTAGAACTGGTTGTGTGTGTGTGTGTGTGTGTGTGTGTGTGTGTGAGAGAGAGAGAGAGAGAGAGAGCTTGAAAGAGAGAGGGAGAGAGAGAGAGAAAGTGAAAGTATTACCACCGGCTGGTAATACTAGAAGGCTTGGGCAAATGGTAGCAAAATTGGAGAAACTATTTCAATTTATTGAACGGACTTCAGTGCGTACGATTTCGTTTCCATGCTTCTGCTCTTTCTGGGTGTCTCACAAGCTCTGAGTCGAAGATGACTGGGAGAAAATGGCTCTCACTCTGCCACTCCTCATCTGCGGTCGTAGGGGCCCTTTAAAATCATTTTTGAAACAGTGATAGAATAATAGTAATAGTCCCAATGAACAGCGTTTCCTTCTGGCATGAATTTTCTCGTGGTTTTGCAGCCTGGTCGGCGGGACCCGAGGAACGCGGGCGGGCGGCGCGGCTGCTAGGCTGGGGCCCTCCTGTCAGCAGCTGGTTCCATGTGAATCCCCTGACCCGTGAGCTGTCCCCCTCTCTGTGGCCCTGGGTCTCGGGCCTGGGCCCTCGCAGCTGCTGGGATGCTTTGCTGCGACAACACCCTGCCTTCCACATGCAGCCGCTGCACTTCTCCCTTGAGTCGCATTTCCGGCCACCTCACCTTCCTTGAAGTTTTCTAGTATATAAGGAGGAATTTTCGGCCCAATTTAGAAGTCTGCAGAAACTCAGAGGGTCAGGTCATTAGGAATGTTAACGCGGCGACCAAGAATTATAAACATGATCTGAAAGTCTCTTCCAATTCATTTCTTCAAGTATTTATTTGAGCTAAGTGATGAAAAGTGACAGTTGTGAAATAGACAGCTTTTAAAAGTAATGAAGTCAGATGAGGCTTTAACCTGTCGATTGCTATAAATCAACTTTGAAAAAGAGGAATGAAGAATGTTATTTGAGCACCTAACCGCCAGCATTTGCTTTGCCGGCTGTCGACCCTGGAGTTGGTCTGCGAGCACCTCCCAGGAGGCAGGACCCAGTGAAGCCCTGCGCCTGCAGTGTGACCCTCAGGTGACATGAAGGATTGGGGGCCGCACTGCCAAAAGGCGACATTTTCGTGTGTGGGGGAAGGAGGGCTCCATTTCCACTCAGACTTTTGTCATGGGTTTGGGCTATGCAACGTATCTGGGCAGGTGACCCCAACCCTTAGCACAGTTAGGAATTCAGAGAGGCTGCCACCCATGGGGCTGAACCCCGAAATATAGATCGGCGCCCAGCCCAGCTCCCCAGCTGGTTGAGGGCGTCTACTTCCTTCTTCCATCCGGTTGGGGAAAGCCCAGGGCCTGCATGACGCCCTGACTCTACTAAACCTTTAGAAATGGTGGCAGCAGGGTGAGGAAGATGAGGAGACTAAATTTCTCCAGGGGTGGGTGGGTTGAGCTGGGGCTGAGTTATCTATAACATTAAATGACTCTCTTCTGTGAGGGAAACCCAGGAAGGAGGGGTCCTGCGGTCCTAGGGGCCTGGGGGCTGAAGGCAGGATAGAGCAGGTGTCTGAAGTTCTTGTGGGGAGGGGAGAAGGGTCCCATCCCGGCATGCCCCCGTCAGGGCATCCAGAATGCCTTCTGAGAAAAATGAACTGGTTGGGTGTTTTAAAGTAAACCTTCCACATTCTTTTGGAGATCTCAGTTCCCTACGATTGCAATTTCAGTCTTAGCCGGGCTTAGGGACGCCATCCTTTTCACAGTGACTTCACCGCACTCTGTCCCTGCCTGCACTCCAAGCCTAAGCCGGGGAAGAGTTCCCCGGGCCTCTGGCCCTCTGCGTCTGCTAGTCTCTTTCCCCCAAGACTCCCCGAGGTGGGGAGAGCACTGGTGCTCCCTGGAGAAATCAAGGTGTCCAACATTCTCTCCGAGGCGAGGCTGCTTGAGCGCCAGCAACAGGTCCTGCTGAACTTTCTTCCCCGGCTCCTTCGCTCCGGTTGCTCTCCATCCTCATTTCTGGGGTCAAATGGCAAAGAGGGAATACTCCTCGACCCCTCTCCCCCTTGACTATCCAAAGCAGCCCGAAGTTGGCGAGGAGACTGTGCCGGGTGTTCGGGCAAATGCCCCGCCGGGTGGCTCCAGAAATGGCCTGTGACCTGCACTCGCCTCGGAGAAATTCCAACTCTTGGTTGAGGACTCTGACTCAGAGGAGCCCTCTGAGGATGCGCCCCTGGAGAAAGTGCACGGGAGGGAAAGTGGAGAGAACCTCGCCCTCCCCAGGCGCTAGCCAGCTACTCCCGGGCCAGCAGGGCCGGTGGCTTCATTGGGCCCCACCCTGGCCTAGTGACTCTCTGCGGCCTTGGAGGGGTGCGGAGAGGTGAAGCCGATCTCAGGCAGCACCCCTCCCCTTGCAGGTCTAATTTCCCCTCTCTGGGGACCTGGATGCGGGAAGCTAGGCGCCCAGCTCGGGCATAGGAGGCTCGAGCTCTATCGGCGTCCAGCCCGCCCTCAGAGTTAGCTGGAGCTGGAACCTGGCGGCCTCGGGTGTCCGCAGCAGGCTGTGTGGCCACCGGCCTCTGTCCTCTCCACTAGCGCCAGGGCTTCCCGCACCCCAGGCTGGGGCAGCGAGGGCGTGGGGGTCTCCTAGACCGGCCCGGGTGACGGCGGTAGGGGACCAGCAACTTCCATTTTCCGACCCCGAGAAGGGAAACTCAACGGAGGGGGCCGGTCGAGACTCCTCCTCCACTCCGCCCCGAGGCAGCCTGGCTAGGCTAGCGGCGGGTCTCCGCCCGCCCGAACGTTTCCATAAATCAGGCCGCTGGCAGGCTGCTAATTAGCTCGACCGAAAAGAATAGAAAGAGGGAGAGGTTGGTGGCGCACTGTGGGGTGGGGGTGGGGGTGGGGACTCAGTAGGTGGGAGATCAGAATTTCTCTAGGGCCATTGGGGGACTCCCTGGGGTACCTCAGCAACACCCCCGCCCCGCACCCCCGGCCCAGGCCACCGCAGACCACCTCCCCCCAGCCTGGGCCTCCAAGCAGGGGCTTCGGGCTCACAAGCCTCCCGCACTGCGCTCCCCAGCGTTCCACCTGGCCCGCCCACCCACGCCGAGTCCCCTCTGCCACTCGCTGAGCAAGCCCAGCGTTAATTAACTCCCCTCCCTGCCCCCTGCAATATCGGAAGACTTTCAAAACTCATCTCCAAGTGTTTCCTCTTTAAGCCTAAAGCTTGGAACAACCGCCAGGGAAAGAGGGGAGCGGGGTCTAGAAGAGTCGGTCACTTAGAGCTTTGGGGCCACAAGACTTCCCCAACGATTGTGTGGGTTGTGGGATGAGATGCAGCAACCCTATTTCTCCATCCCCAGTGAAAAGGCAAGACGATCAATCAAGATTAGAAATAACATTAAAGTTGGATTATTGATTTCCCTGTAAATTGCGAACCGAGGATGTGGCGAGTGAGAGCGACTTCTGTTTATTTTCTCTTTTCCTCCCCCATCCTTCTCCTAGCTCCGCGCCCCTCCCAGCCTTCCCGCCCTTAGCCGGGAAAGGACGCTGAGATGACATCACCACAGAGACCCGCGGCCTCCCCGCCCCCGGCCCCGGGACCCCGGAGCGGAGATTGACAGGTGTCGCTCGTTAGGACAATGCCTTCCAGGTGCCACTGTCACAGCCCCATCCTTCCTAACCCGCCCTCTTTGCCCCCTTCCCTTCCAACTCTCATACCTCCCCCCTTTCTCCTCTGGGGGAGGTTCTCACATTCGCACTCCCAAACCCCAGCTCCTCGCATCTGGGCACAGGGCCCCAGGTCTAGAGATGCGGGCAGGGGGCCGGCACCCAAGGGCAGGGGTGGCAGAGGCTCCGCCTGCTGCCTGCCGTGGGGCCGCTCCGAGGTGCCAGGAACTCCGGTAAGGGTCCCGGCGGCGGCAGCCCGGGAGTGGGCAAAGAGGGAACATGCGTGTATTTCAAAGAAACCAGCGCGGTCTCTGGACTTCCCTGTCTTCGCTCTCCACCCCCGCTCCCCCTCAACACACACATAATATAACAGACGCGAAGATAATCCTGCCATCTGGCAAATCCCAAATTTGGTGACCAAGCTCGGAAAGCAACAGCGACGGCTCATCCCGGGAGTAGGTGGCTGGTCCTGCCGGACTCTCCGGAGCTGGGGCAAGGGCCGTGGGCTCTGCCCGCACCTGCCCCCACCTCTGCTCCATCCCTGCCCTGACCCGGTAGACTGTGGGGTTTTTCTGTCGCACTGGGCAGCAGTTCTGGGTGTCTGGAATGGGGGAGCTGTTAAGTGTGGGGCTCCGGCCCCACTTTCCACCAATGCTTCCTCAATGAGCTAAAACCCAAATTCGGCTTCATTATGTACCACCGAATGTAATTTATAGCTAGGCGGTCTGTCGGCGGCGATTTAAATCATTTGGTGATAAGGATCACACTTATTAGATTTCTTCAAAGCCGATGGGGGTTTTCTATCTTTTTTTTTTTTTTTTTTTTTGGAGGGCATTTGTGCTAAATTGCCCAGTGCTGGTGTGATAACTGTCAAAAGTTTGACATCAAAGGAGCTAATATTATTCAGTTACCAGAGAAGCTGTCTGTCTAAATAAGAATATCTTAATTACTGCATCACAAAGGTAGAAAAGGGGTCGGATCTGAAAAGGGGAGAGGCATTCAGCCGCTGCTTTTGATGCGCTATCTATATTAGACCGATGCGCCGTTCTTAATCAGGCCTAGTCCGATTTCCTTTCCTCTCTCGGTCGGTCCTCTGAACTTTATAACTATATGTAAACACGTTGTCAGTGGGGACATAATCTTCTCAGGTTCTTATTAGAAGAAATTTCCATCCTCTCCCGTTCTAGATTAGGCGCAGTGGAGTCCGCTCCATCAATGAAGGGACTAAGGTTTCGTGGACAATAATGTGGCAATTGTTGATGGTTTGTGACCCATAAAATGTGGAGGTGACTGTTCTGGCTTTGGTATGTAATTATGCAAAACACTTTCCATAAAGACTTGCCATTCGATCTAATGGCAGTCCCTGCGGTCTATTTCAAAAAGGGAGGGTCTATGTACAGAGAGAGAAAAGTAACATTTGTTTTAACACAGGTTTTATAGGGGGGATGGATAAATACAAACACATCACAACGCCGCCCAAAGTATTTTTTCGAGTCAAATTAAAATAATTATCAGGGGGTTTAATAAGTTAATCATAGCAACACGGCCCATCCAAACACACAGGGAGGGGGGTTCAGGCTTCAGCCGACCACCTCTCGACCTGGGACTGTGCTTGAGAGTGGCGAGTCACCCCTGGGTTCTGCAGAGCTGGAGCTCGTCCCTGTCTCAACCCAGTCCACCTGGGTGCTGGGCTGGGCTCTAAAGCCCCGATCTGGGGCTGAGGTTGGGGGAGGGGTGGGCGGCATCTCGACCCCAAAGGCTTGTCCCTGGAATTATTTGGCATGGGGCATTTTCACAAAGCAGCCCTCTTTCAAGAAGCGTCCCCCATCCCCTTTCCCTCTAGTGCCCTCAAGCTCCCAGGATTTAGGTACCCACAGAAAGGCAGGCGGAAAAACAAGTCCCGAGACAGGAATGAGTCTGACTGTTTCGGGTGGAATGGCTAAACCTGGCGCCCACGCTCAGAGGGCCAGCAGCTGAGCACACTCGAGTCAGCTAAAACTGCCCCCAGCACGTCCTCAAGACGCCTGAGGGTTTTGTTTTTTTTTTCAAAAGTAATACGGGGAATTAAAAAGGCCTGAAGGAGAAGGGTGGAGTGAGATGGGAAAGTCTTCACTGCCTTGGGCCCAGCCCTGGCCTCTGGCTTAAAAAGCAAGTCTTTCTTTGGCAGCCCTCCGGCCCTTACCTTGTCTGGAGACGCGCCCCCCACCCCGCGCTCCCTGAACTGCTGTGCGTCGAGCTGAGTCCTCGCCAACGGCCGCACGGTGACGTTGCCGTGTGAGCCCAGCAGTCGCGGGCAACAGGGGATTTTTCAAGGGGGAAATGACGATTAGAAGAGAGAATCATCTAAATATCAAAGTGACACATGGGGAGACTTGGAAAAAATATTTAAGCTAATGAAAAGCAAATAAAGAAGCAGACACTTAGGCTGGGAAATTAAATATTATGTTTAAAATGGTGCTTTTGTCCGGGCTTGAAGATTTCCGATTCATGTACACATAATAAACACTCAGGTTTGTCATCTGGAGGTGCAAATCTGAAAGATATTCCGACAAATGAAGTGCTGGCAGAGAGAGGAATAAAGAGATCGGTGCCTGTCAGGGGTCAGGCAGCCTGAGATTGCTTCTAGAGATCTTTTGAAAATTTCACACGATTGAAGGCTTAGGGGCTTCACTGCGTTCGCATTTCAAACTCAGATCAGTGGGATCACAATCAAAAATAGAGGTCTGGAAAATTTTGATGCAAAGATGGCCACGCGCATCAGGGCTTCTCTCACTAGCTCTCTCTCTCTCTCTCTCTCTTTTTTTTCTTTCTAAGACAGACACCCTGACATGGCTGTGATCCTTTGGATGACAGAGTTGTCAGTAAAGAAAGAGAAAATTGCATCTTGTCTGATAACTTCCTTTCAGTCAAAAGGAATTTAGGGTCTTATTTTCAATAAAAGAAAAAAAAAGATGGTTCATTTCTAGCAAGCATAGGATGCTCAAAAGAGTCTCGAATTTCATAATTAATGATCTACTCCTAGACATTTAGGTGTGATTCACCTCTTCATTTATCCAGACTAATATGATTTCTCACTCAGTTTATACTCTGGCATTACATTGAAAATTTGTCTCAATTTCTCAACACTATCATTTGTATACACAGTCAGGTGTATGAACGTGATTACATGCATACGCACTTCAACATATATGTGTGCACACACAACTTTGATCCCTAAATCCGGACATTGGCCTGTTTGTCTGATATTCCATGAGAGTTATTGCCCACTGCCCAAGATGTCAGCACTTTCTGGTTTGAACAGGACACAACAAAATCAATTGTCTCTGTGATTGATCTGGTGGTGGTGGGGGTGGGGTGGGGTGGGAAATAAGAGGACCTGGGGACGGGCATTCTATGAGACCAAATCAAACTAAGGAACTCTAGAATGGAACCAGGCTGAGTAGATGCCGAGGAGCTGGTAGACAGGCAGTGGACCAACTGGAGAACACCTTGGGAACAAGATGTGATGGCAATTATGCCAAAACCTGAATCATCTAAAATTATTTGCTATTGGTTTGGCCAACTTTAGGGTGAGCAGAAAAAGGACCAACTTAGCATCAGTTTGCAGGTTGTAATTTTCACCTGACTGTTTCAGAGAAATGAACAAGATACTTTTGGAAATAATCTGAATTACAGTCGAGTTTCATTAACTTTCAAACCAACATGAGCAGATGTTGGATTCCTGAAACCTCTCCTTAACTGCATATATTAGGAGATCTCTGCTGAGGAGGGTCCCTACAGTGGAGAAAGAAGAGACCTGTATAAAAAATATCTCCTGTTTCCTGAATTATAGACTCAAGTTGTTAATAATATATGTTGTTTCACACATGGTCAGAAAGGGAAAAGTGTAATAGTTGCTTTAAGTGGATTTATAAGCTCAAAGCTTTTACTCCTCCCACTTCTGCAAGGCTGGGGCAGCCACCACAAACACCAGGACTTGGAGGCAGAGGCAGAACCCCAAAAACTGCTTGGCGGGCTGAACAGGTCCCAGATGAACAGCTCTGGTATGCCAAGCCAGGGAGGACAACTTGGCCCTGGCACCCTGAGTTTGGTGACTCCAGGATGAGGGCTGGGGAGGTGAAATGGAATGTGAGTGCCTCTGAAGTCCTACATTCAGAAACCTCCCAGACACCCTCATTGCAATTCTGGTGGAGAAATTCCCACCCTGGAGCTTTGGAGGAGAGCAGCCAGTGTCTACAGAGCAGCTACTATCCTCAGATCGGCTTCTCCATTCCCCCTGCCCCCGCCCCCACCCCACTCCGTCCACAGTAAAGGAATAGAGAGCAGGTCCTTAGTGTAACTTTAAAGCACTTGAGCAGAGGCGCAAACGAAGGAGAGTCTTCTCTTCGTAGAAGGGCCACCCACGGGGCACTCAATTTCGCTTTTTCTAAGTCTCCTACAAAGGACGGAGGCCCCTAACCGGGCTTTAAAAGTGGGGTTTTGTGCAGTAAATACGGTGGGGCCCGTCCTGGTGTCCAGGAGAAGCACCAGAAGAGAAAAACGGGCGACAGGATGACCGCAAGGGAGCAGGGAGAGGTAGGAGGGGACCCTCGGCCGAGTAGGGACAGTGCCGCCTCGGAGCCTGAGCCGCGAACTGGCCCCAGCAGGGAGGCCGCGCAGCCTGGCTAGGGTTCGCTGGGATGCACGCCACCGCGGGCGTGCTGCGTGCCCGGGATGTCCCCTGAACTAGGCCGGAGAAGGATTCAGGTCTCCTCTGGTGGATGTGGGAGGTCTTGGGATAACTCTTCGTGAGAATGCAGAGCTGGCAGGAGCCTCCGTAAAAACACTACAAGAAGCGGTCTTGAGGGCCGTCTACTTTGCTCACAAAACAGGGTTTTTCTCCAGCCAGGAAGGGCGGCGAGACCCAGGCAACTTGGACCCGGTTAGGGACCTGTGCGGGATGTGTTTTCTGAAACTTTTACACAGGAACTCCAGGGGGCGGGGGACGAGGGCGGCAACCCCAGATCACAGGCGGCCGGCGACCTCCGGTTATAGTGATGGGTCCCCTTTTCCTGCCATCGCCAGCCCTGGGACCCAAGGACAGGCGAGTAACATTTCTCTCTCCATCCCATTCTCACTTTAACCCGCCCCCCTCCAAAAAAGTCAGGGTCCAGAGGAGAATTGCGAACAGGAGGTCAGAGGCTGAGCAGAGCTTGAGATGAAACGGCGCCTATAGATTTAAAAGCAAACAAAGCCGAAAACAACCCTAACCATTTTGGCTGCGCAAGGGCTAGAGCTCTCCGGTGCGCCTGGGGCAGGGCGGTCGCCGCACAGTCTGCTCCGGGGCCGTCAGGAGCTGTATCAAGGGCTGGGCCCCAGCTCGCTCCTGTCTGGCTGGCCCCGAGTCGGGACACCCCGAGTGCAACCTTCTTATCTGCTCTACCCCTCCTGACCCGACACGCTGGTTGTGGGGGGCGCCACTGGTATCAAGAAACGCGCCAGGCGCAGGTGGGCCGCCAAGGGGGGCTAGAGGCTGGGCAGCCGTGGCCCAGGCCAGGTCCCAAGCGCAGTGCCCTGGGTCCTGCCCCCTCCAGGAGTCAGACACAAACACACTCCGGGTCCTAGTCAAATGTAGAGTTGGGAGAAAGGAACCTGCGGAGGCATCTTCTGGCTGTTCTACCCCCAGCGTGAGAAAACTGAGCATTCCGTGCCTGTAGGGAGAGGTCCACAGCCCTAGGGGACCGTGAGAACGCGGTGGGACACCTGAGTTGCCATTTTGGCCTTTTCTAAAATAATGTTTTAAAAAATATTATGAAACTAAAATCTCCAGGCGAGGCATCGCCTTTCTTCTCGTTTTGATATGACACCCACTAAATAAAATCCTCTTTTAAGCCATCTTCACTCTAACTTCAAAGGAGCGAATGTTAATTTTACCTTTATTTAAATGATTGCAGAGGCTGACTGGTGAGGGATTCTCCCCTTCCTCCAGCTCTCCCTCCGGATTTTAACATATGGAGTACAGTCACGATTTACCGCCACCCTGGAAAGCCAGCCGCCACCTCCCCAACCCCCATCTTGCCTTTTTTCCCCCTTTGGTTGGTATTAATTTCATGGAATGCTATTTAAAGTTTAGCATGAAATGCTCGTGCTATAACACAAGTGGCGAGGTATCGCCAATGAACTAGGAGTGGAAACACATCAGGAGCAGACTTGACCTTTCCTTGGATGCCTGCAGACCACGCCAAGTGGGATTTAGTGGGCACCACTCCCCATAGGAGGCTTCATGGTCTAAGCCCAGATCTAAGCCTGAATGACCACACCCCCAGGAGTCTTTGCCACAGAGGACTGAAGCTGAGTTCCTTGAAGGCAAGGACTTTAGCCACGGAAGGGAACGCGAGGAACTTCGGGCAATCTTTTTGACGCCACGTTCCATTTTTTAGGATCTCTTGCCAATTTCTCAGTGTGTTTCTGTCCAGATAGACTAAGCTCTTTGGAGTTAATTAACCTGTGGTAGAGCCACAATTAATACGGAGAGAAGACGGAAAGGAGAAAATTCAGAAGGAAGGGGGAAAATAACAGTAGTGTTTGTCTAGCCGGATTCTTTTACACCGCTCGGTCACAGTTAGTTACCGACTTTCCAGCTGCGAGGACGATGCGCGCCATTTACTGTAATTGAATTGCTGTAATAACACCTTGCAAGGGGACAGCAATGCGTTTCAAAAAAAAGTTGCGTTCCTGGCCAGCAGTTGCCTAAGCTCCTCCTGGAGTCACTGGTTGCCTGCTAGATAGAGCTGCCCCAAGGGGATGGGGACACAGGGCTGGTTGGGTCCTCGGGTGGGGCTCGAGGAACCTGCTTTCAGGTGAATTCGTTCCGGGCGTTCGGTGTCCCTGGGCTTGCCTAGGGGTACTGGGGACCCTTAGTGGGCCAGAACCCGAAGCTGAACGTGAATAAGGGACAGGGTAGGACCTGAAATTGCAGAGACATAGAAAATCAATACGTGGTCGGGAGTCAACTGCGCGCGACCAAGGGCTCTGCCCTCCCTCTCTCCGTTGATTTGGACGCTGGGAAGCTGCCCGCCGTCCTTCCCCACCCCCTTTGCCCAGCCTTGGCAAGACCTCTCCGGAAACATACTCGCGTTAAGGAACTGGGAAAGCTTCCTGGCCCGGAGCTAGGAGCCCGACGTTGGGGCTCCTTGCTGAGTGAGACGCTCAGTCCTGTGCTCCCCGCCCCGCCCCAGGCGCCCAGTCCCGCTGGGATCCATCTCCTCAGCCCCGGTTTCCCGCTCTGCGAGCGGGGGAAGAACCTGGGAACTGCAGGATCCGCCACCTCGGTTTTTCAGACACAGCCTCTGGCCTCTTTCCTTGGCCTGCCAAACCTTTGTTCACTTCTCTCACCCGTTGTCTGCTCTGCTCTATCCCTCAGCAGGGTTCTCGTTTGGACAAGAGGGCCCAATCCTTTGCTTTGCTACTCCTCGCGTCTTGTAGACCCTTCTTGGTCTCCACAGAGCTCCACAGGCACAGAGAGCAAACCGTAGACTCTGACGCTCCCCAGGACAGCCACGGGCTCCCGAATTTCAGCACTGCTTTGGGTGCGGTCTCCAGGGGCTCAACAGGGTGAAAGAAGTGGCTGGATGGCGGAGGGAAGACGGTCTTCCCACACCGCCGCCCCAAATCGGGTCCCCACGGCTAGCTTAAAAGGGCTGCGAAGGAGGCCGGGTGCGGTGGCTCACGCCTGCAATCCCAGCACTTTGGGAGGCCGAGGCGGGCGCATCACCTGAGGTCAGGAGTTCGAGACCAGCCTGGCCAACATGGTGAAACCCCCATCTCTACTAAAAATACAAAAAAAATTAGCCAGGCGTGGTGGTGGGCGCCTGTAATCGCAGCTTCTCGGGAGGCTGAGGCAGGAGAATCGCTTCAACCTGAGAGGCGGAGGTTGCAGTGAGCCGAGAACACCCCATTGCCCTCCAGCCTGGGAGACAAGAGTGAAGCTCCGTCTCAAAAAAAAAAAAAAAAAAAAAAAAAAAAAACCTTCAAAGGAAATAAAAGAATTAAGAGGTTAGAATGCACCTCACCAGTGCTGGGAGGGTGTCCAGAGTGCTGCTGAGAAGAGCGAGCGCACTGGGCCCGGAGGGTACTCCATGGACTTGGGGATGCTCAGTCTTGCCCACGCAGGTCTGGCGGAGAAGGCAGAGACTTCCACGCCCACGCTGGACCCCCAGCGACCCGCAAGGTGCGTGGTAGAAATAAGTGTGTCTCAAAAGTACTGTCCAGAGGAGTTGAGATTGCAATATAAGGGCAGGCCGGGGATGTGGGGAGGGGAAGGAGAAGGAGAAAACAGTCCTGGAGAGGAGGAAACCGCGTGGGGCCTGGCCCTCAGCGGCAGGGTCGGGAAACCTTACAGCTGTTTGGGATTCACCTATAGTGTGTGTGTGCCCCAGGGCGTCGGCGCCGGTAAGAAGGGTGGAAGATGGTTGGGGAGGGGTTGGCATCCATCACACTCCAATATTACTCCAATTGATCCCTTTTCCTAGGGGATTCTTCAGCTTCCTTTAGGGTTTGCTAGACATAAGGTTGGTTTTGCAACCGAAAAGCCCATTGCTCCTGGAGGCGTCCGGCAACTGAAGCATTGCTCTTGGGTCCTGAGAGCTGGAGGGCATGTTGCAACCCCCGGCGCCCACTCCCAGACACTTACACCTACATCTACTTTTCTGCAAAACAAAGTTCTGTTCCTTTCCTGTGTGCCGGAAGATGGGGTGTGGGAGGATTCCCCGCTGTCTGGTCCTTCCATGGCTTCCTGGGCTTCCTGCAGAGTGGAACAGGTTGGAGGTGGAGTTGGAGAGGGCGGTAATAACTTCAAGAATTCAAGAAAGCAAAGCTCTGGCTTGATAGGGAGGCCTTGAGGCCGTGTTGGAGGTAGATTGTTTTAAGGCTCACCTGTGGGCAGGGAAAAAGCGGGTCCCACCCAAATGCATCTGGACTCGGTTTTCTCTGCGGGGAGCCCCAGAGTCTTTGATTTGCACGTTGATGTCTGAGAGGTGAGACAGGCTGGCAGCTGCCTCTTTGAAATGTGGCGAGCACTAGCAGGCACTAGAGGGAGAAAATGCTTCCTAGTGCGTTAAGGACTCAGGGACCAAGCCTCAAGCTCGCATTGGGTCGATAGCAAGGCTGCGGTGATCTGGCTGACCTGAGAACTGCGTCAACCGGAACCTCGGCCAAGGCTGGGCTTGTGCTCAGCAGTTCCGGCTCCCACCTCACTGCACTGCTCCATCTATCCTGGCTGCTCATCTCTGCTCCCCCAGTCCTGACAGAATCAAAGCCTTTCCATTTTTGACCTTCCCATCTCTAGACTTTCCTCTGGAGCGAATTTAGCCTAGTCCTAATGTTTGCCAACAAAGTTGATTGTCAACAGCTACAAAAGTTCTTTTGGAAAAGATAGGAAGAATAACAGAAAGAAGGAGAGCTGACATAAGTCAGGAGCCCTGCTCAAAGCTAAGCCGCTTACGTGCCTTATCTCTTTTACAGCCTAACAACGCCGACAAGACAGAAATACTACTATAGTCAACTTTTTGCTACTGGGGAAACTGAGGCTTAGCGAATTTAAGAGCCCTGTCCAACCAAGCCTAGGCAGCTAGGAACAGGCCAGGCCTAGATGGAACAGGGCTGGCCCTTCTGGCCACCAGCTGTGGTCCCAGACAGGACTCAGGAGATAAATCGGATCATTTGGATGGCTAAATGCAGATTCTCTCTGGGGCAGAGCAGAGCTCATCCCAGGAGAGTTGTCCCAGCCTCTACTATAGTCAGCTTTTTGTTGCTGAGGTAACTGAGGCTCAGTGAGGTTAAGAGCCCTGACCAAGCCCAGCCAGCTAGGAACAGGCCAAGCCTGAATGGAACAGCGCTAGGCCTTCTGGCCGCCGCCAACTCTGGTCCCAGACTGAACTGTATATAGCTGTATCTTTATATTATCTATACATCACACACACACACACACACATATATATAAAATACCCTACAAGTGTGTGTAAATAGGGTGTGTCTTAGGGTGTGTGTGTGTGTGTGTATATGTATATGTATATATGTGTATATATATATATATTCATTCAAATAACAAAGCCCATGGCTATTCTGATATTAGCCATGTAGGGCCAGGAAAACAACTGGAAACAAGTGAACCACATCAGGCCAATTATTATATCTGTATCCTATCACTTCTCATATTAAAACCTATAGCATCAAGTATTACCTCTTATCTGAAGAACCTTTTAGCTGTGTGATCCAGGCAGGCTCCTCCTTCATTTATTTGTCATATAATTTAACTCTAGCAACTACTTATGACACAATTAGTTGTATTATCCCCATTTTACAGATGTGGACACTGAAGCACAGGAAACTCAACTCACATGCCCATAGTCATACACAGCTAATCAGTGGCAGAGACGAGGTTTGAATCAAAACCATCTGCTCATAAAATCCATATCACAGGCCAGGCACAGTGGCTCACACCTGTAATCCCAGCACTTTGGGAGGCTGAGCCGGGTAGATCACCTGAGGTCAGGAGTTTGAGACCAGCCTGGCCAACATGACAAAACCCCATATCTATTAAAAATACAAAAATTAGCCAGGTGTAGTGGTGTGCATCTGTAGTCGCAGCTACTCGGGAGGCTGAGGCATGAGAATCGCTTGAACCTGGGAGGCAGAGGTTGCAGTGAGCTGACATCACGCCACTGCACTCCAGCCTGGAAGATAGAGTCTCTGTCTCAAAAAAATAAAAATCCATATCACAAAGTTTTACATTTCAATCAAGTCTATGGGAAGGCTATATGCAAAGACATTTCTTATTTCAAAAATACATTATGTTGGAGGGGATTAGGTGGATTGAAAGGCAAGGAACGTGAAGATAGTTGTATTCCCTCTCCCACCCCAAATTGCCTCAACTCTTCATTCCATAACTCTGTCTTCAAAATTTTCACTGCCTTAAAAGATTCAAATGCTTTTTCTGTCTCAGATGTAATGCCACATGCATAGGTTTTCACAAATGTTCAGAAGGCTGCCTGAATTACCTGTTTTGCTGCCTGTTTGGGGTCCTTTTCTCCTCTGTGAGAAGGATTTTTGCCTGCTCCTCACAGGTATGCTACTGCTCATACCGGCCTTGCTGGGAGAGGATCCTTGATGACTGGGACCTACATGGATGCCAGGATGCCAAGGAGTCAACGCCTTGTTCCCTGGGTAGCTGGCTCAGGCTGGTTCTAACAGAGTCTATTGATGCAAACCAGAATTTTGAAGCTTGGTTCACAAAGTTGAGACAACTCCAGCTTTCTTTGTTTTGGTCAGTAGAGTACTGGAAGCCATCTGTATGTTCAGCCAAACTGAAGGGAAAATTCGAAACAAAGTAAACTGGTGACTCAGATTCAAATTTGGTGGCTGGATGCAAACGAAAGTTAGCTCTCCATGAGACTAAGCATCTAATATTCCTAAGGCCACTGTGAAGCAGAAATCATTGTACCTAGTTAATTATTATTTTGTTGATTCAAAGCAACAGAGTGAGAGATAGCATTCAAATCTTCAGCTTGTAAAAATAAACCATTCAAGTGTGTGTTACTCATCTGGCCATTCAAGTGTGTGACTATCTGGAGATGGTCAGCCTAGGTCAGCCTGTCCTAGGGAAATATTCAAAGTCAAGATCGGCTGTGTCTACCTGGTTATGCCACAGGCCTATTCCAGATTTAGACCTTCCTGGTTTGGGAAGTGGGTGATGGGAAATTTGGAGGAGGTGGAAATGGGGGTGGGGCCATGAGTCCGAACGTGTAGCATGGAGAATGCAGGAATCTAGTGGGTGAAAAGAATAATTCTTCTCCTACACAAATGGAAACGTTCTCATTTGTGCATTTATTTAACATCCACTTATTAAGCAGGCAAGATGTGGCCAGCATGGTACCAGGCACTTGTGGATACAAAGATTGAAAAGTCACAGTCCCTGCCCTCAAGGAGTTTTTAGGTCAGAGAGGGAGAGGCAAGAAAGCCGATATGATTTAATATAATACACCCTGGTAATTAGTACAAAGAGCTTTGGAAGTTTGAGAGTGTGATCTGTCCTGCCTTGAATAACTGCCTGGGAAAGACTTCACCGTGCAGATGATTTTGACTTGGATCTCAGAAGATGGGTGAAGTAGGAGCAGAGCAAGGGCGAGACAACAGACAAATGGCAATTCCACTGGAGGGAAGCACAAAGCAAAGGTGGAGGAGGTCAGACCACGTTCTTTTGTTTTGTTTTGTTTTTTGAGATGGAGTTTCACTCTTTGTGGCCCAGACTGGAGTGCAGTGGCATGATCTTGGTTCACTGCAACCTCTGCCTCCCAGGTTCAAGTCATTCTCCTATTTCAGCCTCCCATGTAGCTGGAATTATAGGCGCCTGCCACGACGCCCAGCGAATTTTTGTATTTTTCGTAGAGACGTGGTTTCATCACGTTGGCCAGGCTGGTCTCGAACTCCTGACCTCTGGTGATCCACCAGCATCAGTCTCCCAAAGTGCTGGGATAACAGTCGTGAGCCACCACGCCCGGCCCAGACCATGTTCTTATTTCTCTTGGGGGGGATGATCAAAGATATTGGGATTTGTGTAAATAAGCTATAGGTTTCTCACATTGTTCTTTGTAGGTCCCCCCGCCCTACCACCACCACCATAGGTTCTCACTCTGTTGCTCAGGATGGAGTGCAGTGGCATGATCATAGCTCACTGTAGTCTCAAACCCCTGGGCTCAAGAGATCCCCGGACTGCCCTGGCTTCCCAGTAGATGAGACTACAGGCACACACCATCATGCCTGGCTAATTTAATTTTTTTGTTGTTGTTGTTAGAGACCACGTCTTACTATGTTGCCCAGGCTGGTCTTGAACTCCTGGCCTCAAGCGATCCTCCCACCTAGGCCTCCCAAAGTGTTGGGATTACAGGCGTGAGCCATCCTGTCGGTTCTGTCACACAGTTCTTCATTAGGGTGTGTCTTATCTCTGTCATGTTTCATGGGGAATAAAGAGAGAAGTGGATTTGAAATGGTTTCCAAGAAGATAGAGTTTCTTTATGTCAAATTTAGATTTCCATTTACAGTGAGTAAATTCAGCTCCTTGTGTCCTGGACATTTACCTGAAGGCTTAAGGCAGAGAGAAGGGCACATAAAAGTAGACAAGGTTGTGGAAATAACAGAGATTAGTACATGGAGAACTATGGCCAAAAAAAAAAAAAAAAAAAAAAAATCCTGCCAGAATGTATTCTTAACTTCGAACAAATGCCAGAAATATTGGTACCTTTGGCTTCCTCCTCAGTGCTTGTGCCTATCAGAACAGATAAAACATGCTGTTTTGGTTAGTTCCCTACGGGTCTCTCTGTCCCTCCGGGCTGGAAGCTCCTTGGAGGCTGGGAGTACGGCTGATTCACTTATGTTCCCAGCCCCTGGAATAGTGCCAGTCACACAAGAGCTCCGTATATTATGAATGAATGCATGATGCAAGTTTAAGAATATTGGTTTTTAATTTGTGTTAATGATAGCTGGAGCATCTGAATATCTTTTTATGTTTGCATTTGGGGTTTTTAATTGGGATTGCATAAAGTAGCTATTGTCCAACTGGCTCTTATTTATGGCGGGACCAGCCTGGCAGAACTGAAGGGCCTGAATGCAGATGTTAAACTCTGTACTCTCCGTTGACCTTGGACAGTCACCTCCAAGAAACTCAAGAGCACCCAATGTGAAAATCACCGGCCAAGAGGCTTTAAATCAATGCCGTCACATTTGTTACTTTAGTCACTTCTCAGAGTGATAGTAAAGTCTCAATCATGCTCTTTATATTGGTCGTTCTACCCTTCAGAGCCATGACAGAATCTCACAGGACTGAAACGTAACATAATCTTTATGTGTATGTTTTCTCGTTGTAGTTGTTATTTGTCATTTTATGTATAGTCTGAACATTAGTCAAGATATTTTCTTAGTTAGACTAAAGAGTGGATTAAGAAGACAATATCTGGCCGGGCAAGGTGGCTCATGCCTGTAATCCCAACACTTTGGGAGGCCAAGGTGGGAGGATTGCTTGAGCCCAGGAGTTCGAGATCAGCCTGGGCAACATGATGAAATGCCACCTATAAAAAATAGAAAATTAACAGGGCATGGTGGCATGCATGTGTAGTCCCAGATACTCAGGTGGCTGAGGTGAGAGAATCACCCGAACCTGGGGAGTTGCTGGCTGCAGTGACACATGATTTCACCACTCTACTCTTTCTTTGCCCCATGACTTCCATATAAAGTTTAGATAACTTAGGGAATGGCAATGACCTGGGTTCTTTTTTTTTTTTTCTGAGACGGAGTTGCCAGGCTGTAGTGCAGTGGTGTGATCTCGGCTCACTGCAACCTCTGCCTCCTGGGTTCCAGCGATTCTCTTGCCTCAGCCTCCTGAGTAGCTGGGACTACAGGCACGCATCACCATGAGCAGCTAGTTTTTGTATTTTTAGTAGAGCCGGGGTTTCACCATGTTGGCCAGGATGGTCTTGATCTCTTGACCTCGTGATCCGCCTTCCTCAGCCTCCCAGAGTGCTGGGATTATAGGTGTGAGCCACTGTGCCCAGCCAACCTGGGTTCTTAATAGTTAGGATCTTATGGTTACTGTCCCAGGGAAAGGTCAAGATCTACGTAGGTAGAGGAATTCATCCAAGAAGTTCTGATGCTCTTCTTTTCACCATGGCTCTGCATTAGTTAACATTTTCCAAGGTAGACACCAATTAGATCTTGGAAACAAGCATGAAGAAAAGCATTACATGAGATCAAAACACGATCAGCTCCCTCTGAATTCTACCTTATGTTTTAGACACTCTATTGGCTCCCTGGCTTGGAGTAATTTCAAATTCCCACTGTCTCAGTGACAAGATATCTTCTCATTCTTCCTTTCTAAATATATTCTTCATTAAAAAAATTCTCCTCACCACTTTATCTCTCTTGTGATTTCTCTTTTTAGAATTCAAATTGCAAAGGACTTCACAAGTGAAATAGAATGCATTTTTGAGCATTATGTTTAATGCTGTTCATAGCTGTAGGGAGCAGTAAACATTTTCAGTAAAGAAATTTATAGCTTTTGTTTGCTTTGAGTTGAAAAGACCATGTTAGCCTTGACAATCATTTCAGAGATACTGGCTTGTGTCTTTGTATCCAGACAGACGAGGTACTGTACAAATATCATCCAGTCACCAACAGATGACTCAAAGACAGGCCAAATTTTGAGGGTTATGGGACTCCAGTGACAAGGACAGAAGCAAGCTCTCTTATTATCAATACTAAAATATGATTCCTGAGGCCTGTTACAAGAGATTCAGATGAGATTGAATGACAAAAATGCAAAAGATGGGAAATCTAGCTTTCGGTCAATTGGCAATCCTGCACTAGGTGGCAAGTCTATCAAAAATGGATTACCTGGGTACCATGGCATTTGCCTGTAGTCCCAGTTACTCAGGAGGCTGAGGTGGGAGGATCATTTGAACCCAGGAGTTCAAGTCCAGCCTGGGCAACATAGTGAGACCCTATGTCTAAAATTTCTTTTAAAAAATGACTAATTTTGTCTTAAAAAAATGACTAATTTTTCTTCCTTCCTTCCTTCCTTTCTTTTCTCTTTCTTTCTTTCTTTCTTTCTTTCTTTCTTTCTTTCTTTCTTTCTTTCCTTCCTTCCTTCCTTCCTCCCTTCCTTCCTTCCTTCTTTCCTTCCTTCTCTTTCTTTTCTTTTTTTTGGACAGGGTCTTGCTCCACTGCCCAGACTGGAATGCAGTGGCATAATTATAGCTCACTGTACCCTTGACCTCCTGGGCCCAAGTGATCCTCCCAGCTCATCCTCCCAAGTAGCTGGAAATATAGGTGCTTGTCACCACACCCAGTTAATTTTTAATTTTTTGTTGAGATGGGGTCTCACTATGTTGTCTAGGTTGGTCTCAGACTTCCGTGCTCAGTCCTCCTGCCTTGGCCTCCCAAAATGTTGGAATTACAGGCATGAGCCACTGTGCCCAGCTGACAACTTCACTTTCATGATTCTAATATGAAGCCAATATAGTACCCTCTGCCACTTTGGAGAATTATGTTCATGCACAGATGCCTATATCTAGGAATCTAAATAATTATTACAACAAATACATCAATTTAATACTCTCAGTGCAAATATTCCTAAGAAATAATAAGGACAGAAGTCCTATTATTTCATTATGGAATAATTACAAATAACATCCTTCAACCCACAGCTGTATTTATTGAATACAAAAACAAAAAGAGAGGAACATGAAACATTCATTAATCATTGGAATAAAAACTATAAATATCTAGATGTTTGTGAGTTTGTACCTGAATAATGGAACACAGTTCCTACTTTGCAACCATAGAACTTGGCCTTGTGCGCACAAATTCAATCCGTTTTTCATCAACGGACAAACCAATGGAAGAGCTGGTACTATTCTGTCACTTGCTGAGAAAGACAAAGCTGAGAACAAAGAGTTAATATTTACCTGTCAAGAAAGCCAGCATTTTAGGACAGTGAGCTATTATCTTGGCATAAATCTAAAACTGAAAAAAAAATACAGAAGTAGAGTGAATTATAGACCTCAGGTTTTCTTGGATTTACCCGGTTTTGAGGAAGAGGGACTATAAAAGGTGAAGTGTATCCTGGAGTTGGACTGTCTAGAGAAGAATTTTGTGTGAATGGGCAATTGCGTAAAAACTAAAATTATACATTTATAAATTCAAAAGATATAAATTATTTTCATTTAAAACACAGGATGCTAGGAAATTTCCTTTTGTGTGACGTATGGCTGCTTGAACTGTCTTTGCTTGCACAAGATGGCCTTTAATAATCTTCCATGGTAGTCAATGAAAAATTCTTCCTATGCTGCCAATTTACTGAGCATAAATTACGGGGAACCTTATATGGAATAAATTATGTTCTTAAGCCTTCTCAGAGGTGAAGCCAATAGAGATTTTAAAGCAGAAAACGAAATGCAAAACGTAGCTCGAAGGGGCATTGGTGTGTATTTGGAACCCTCTCTGGAGCTGTTTCCTCTCCACCCCTGTGAGGGGATTACAGGGCCGCATTCCAACCTGAGGCTTTCTTAGCCACATGTGGCTCTTCAAAAACCTGCATGCGGTTTTCTTCTTAGATTTAAATACAGTGACAAGGAATATTGCAATGTTGATGTGGCAGTGGGCCCGAGAAAAAAACTGAAGAACTCCGCCTGAGTCACAGACGGGACAAATAGGGAAAGTATCACTGACCCCAGATGTGCCCTTACCTGACTTGGGAGCCTTTGTTGAGAAGCCGGCACTACCATACCCTTTTGTACAACCATTGTAAGTGCAATTCATGGGTACTCATAAACGCGAGGTAAGTTTAACTGATTTGTGGCTTTCCACGTTGCTGACGATGAAGTGGTTCTTTGGCTGTTGAAAGGTGAGAGGGACTTGATTTCAATACAGAGATGAGATGCTGCATTCTCTAAACTGACAGATGGAAACTGTGCTTCAGAATTCATTATTTGATGTGAAGGACAATGACGAAAATTTGAATCTGAGAAACAGTTCAGCAGGTCAAAATATAGTCAGACCATTAAAAGTTAAATGAATTTGGATGTTAAAATTCATTGGGAAATACATTTATATGGCAGTTTCTAGGTTCCCTGATAACCATTTTGATGGCCTTTTCTGTATCGTCTTGAGTTTCCTCCACTGTCTCTGCACTACTGAGGTTTGCAACCTTGCTGGAATTTTGTGTCTATGCAATACCTTGACATAGGAATGGAAAATAGAATCTCTTATCAAAAGATAACAAAGATCTCCATGAGAGATGGAAGCTTTCTTGGTCTTCTGTGGAGAGGGTGAGAAAGGAGAGGAAGATCAACCCCACCCCTGACCCATGTCTAATTATCTCCTTTCTCATCCTGAGTATATGGCTATATACTGTCTATTAATGGAAAATTAGGTTACAATTATAATTGGTTAAGATATTTAAAAGTATATGAATAAAATTTAACAGTTTCCCCTTCTAATGAACTCCCCCTCCGTAGTTTTTTTTTATAATTAATTTTTGGAGACAGAGTCTCACTGTGTCACCCAGGCTGGAGTGCAGTGTGCAATCATAGCTCACTTCAACCTGGAAGTCCTTGGCTCAAGAGATCCTCCCAAGTAGCTAGGACTACAGGTATATGCCACTGTGCCCAACTACATTTTTAATTTTTTTATTATACTTTAAGTTATAGGGTACATGTGCGCAATGTGCAGGTTTGTTACATATGTATACAGGTGCCATGTTGGTGTCCTGCACCCATTAACTCGTCATTTACATTAGGTATATCTCCTAATGCTATCCCATGTGTGATGTTCCCCATCTTGTGTCCAAGTGTTCTCATTGTTCAATTCCTATGAGTGAGAACATGCAGTGTTTGGTTTTCTGTTTTTGAGATAGTTTGCTCAGAATGATGGTTTCCAGCTTCACCCATGTCCCTACAAAGGACATGAACTCATCCTTTTTTATGGCTGTATAGTATTCCATGGTGTATATGTGCCACATTTTCTTAATCCAGTCTATCATTGATGGACATTTGGGTTGGTTCCAAGTCTTTGCTATTGTGAATAGTGCTGCAATAAACATATGTGTGCGTGTGTCTTTATAGCAGCATGATTTATAATCCTTTGGGTATATACCCAGTAATGGGATGGCTGGGTCAAATGGTATTTCTAGTTCTAGATCCTTGAGGAATCGCCACACTGTCTTCCACAATGGCTGAACTAGTTTACAGTCCCACCAACAGTGTAAAAGTTTTCCCATTTCTCCACATCCTCTCCAGCACCTGTTGTTTCCTGACTTTTTAATGATCACCATTCTAACTAGTGTGAGATGGTATCTCATTGTGGTTTTGATTTACGTTTTTGCGATGGCCAGTGATGATGAGCATTTTTTCATGTGTCTGTTGGCTGCATAAATGTCTTCTTTTGAGAAGTGTCTGTTCATATACTTCACCCACTTTTTGATGGGGTTGTTTGATTTTTTTCTTGTAAATTTGTTTAAATTATTTGTAGTTTCTGGATATTAGCCCTTTCTCAGATGGATAGATTGTAAAAATTTTCTCCCATTCTGTAGGTTGCCTGTTCACTCTGTTGGTAGTTTCTTTTGCTGTGCAGAAGCTCTTTAGTTTAATTAGATCCCGTTTGTCAATTTTGGCTTTTGTTGCCATTGCTTTTGGTGTTTTAGTCATGAAGTCCTTGCCCATGCCTATGTCCTGAATGGTATTGCCTAGGTTTTCTTCTAGGGCTTTTATGGTTTTAGGTCTAACATTTAAGTCTTTAATCCATCTTGAATTAATTTTTGTATAAGGTGTAAGGAAGGGATCCAGTTTCAGCTTTCTCCATATGGCTAGCCAGTTTTCCCAGCACCATTTGTTAAATAGGGAATCCTTTCCCCATTTCTTGTTTTTGTCAGGTTTGTCAAAGATCAGATGGTTGTAGATGTATGGTATTATTTCTGAGGCTCTGTTCTGTTTCATTGGTCTATATTTCTGTTTTGGTACCAGTACCATGCGGTTTTGGTTACTGTAGCCTTGTATAGTTTGAAGTCAGGTAGTGTCATGCCTCCAGCTTTGTTCTTTTGGCTTAGGATTGTCTTGGCAATGCGGTGTGCCCGACTAATTTTTTAATTTTTTTTTTTTTTTTTTTTTCTGAGATGGAGTTTCGCACTTGTTGCCCAGGCTGGAGTGGAATGGTGCGATCTCAGCTCACTGCAACCTCCGCCTCCTGTGTTCAAGCAATTCTTCTGTCTCAGCCTCCTGAGTAGCTAGGATTACAGGCATGCCCCACCATGCCCGGCTAATTTTGTATTTTTAATAGAGACGGTGTTTCTCCATGTTGGTCAGGCTGATCTTGAACACCTGACCTCAGGTGATCCACCCGCCTCAGCCTCCCGAGGTGCTGGGATTACAGTCGTGAGCCACTGTGCCCAGCCATTTTTAAATTTTTAAGAGACGAGGTCTTACTACGTTGTCCGAGTTGGTCTCACACTGTTGGCATCAAGTAATCCTCCTGCCTAGGCCTCCCAAAGTGCTGGGATTACAGGCATGAGCCACTGGGCCTGGCTTCTTCTTGGTAGTTTTAAAATTGTATCCACTAATTGCCTGATTCTCCCGACTTCAAGAGGTGGAGCCTAAGTCCCAGAAGTGACATTGTACAACTTTGGAGGCTGGGTAATAAAAAGCTGGGTAATAAAAAATCCATTCTGGCTCTGGCGTGGGTGTATGCTCTTTCTCTTTCTTCCTGTCTTGGATCGTTGGCTCTGGGAAGCCTTACAGAAAGGCCCACATGGTGAGAAACTGAAGTCTCTGCCAATTACCGCAAGGAACAGAGGCCTGCCAACTGTGAGAGTGAGCTTGGAACCAGGTCCTTCTACCACAGTCAACTCTTGAGATGACCTCTGCTCCACCCAGCAGCTTGACTGCAACCTCTGAAGAGACCCTGAACTGAAACCACCCAGCTACGTCACTCTCAGATTTCTGACCCTCAGAAACTGGGAGAAAATAAATGTTTGTTATTTTAACGTGCCAAACTTTCAGTTAATTTTTTACATAGCAATAGACAACTAGTACACAACCCTATCAGTGGAATTAGTACAGTGTCTGGTATTGGCTAGAAAAGGCACTGAATAAATATTTGTGGAAGGCATAAATTAAAATGAATAAATAAAAAATTTTATTTATGTCCTTCTACACCTTTCTCATTTGTATAGCCTCTTTGAAAGTAGCTTAACAGAAGAGTGTTTCTGAGAGAGGATCTCTTTAATTATTAAACATTCAATCATTCAATCATTCAACAAATGTTTATTACTGCTACTATTTGTCAATGAACCACTTTATTCAACTATGAAATACTTGTGAGCCCAGTTAAGTATCTGCCAAGCTTTCGTAAAAATATATTTATTGAATTTCTCCCTGAAAGACTCTCTGCTATAGAGGTTAAAACCCAGTTGTTGGGTTAGTTAGATATAGATGACCAAGAAAGGTGAAGGGTTAGTGAAAGGAGAGAAGTTATTTTAATACTGACATACTTAAAGTAATCATTGGTGAGAATGAGACCGATCACTGAACTAATAAGGAATAATAAGGATGGGTGTAAATAATGCAAGGCATTCAATGGTTACTGGGAACAATTTGGGGGAAATGTAGCTTACTCATAGTCTGTGCAGTGTGAAGTGTGGCCAAAGCTGGTTTGGGGGTCAGGTGATCTGGGTTAGAATCCTACCACTGCCATTACAAACTGTGAGAATTTGTAGAACTCACTGAATCCTTTTGACCTTATTTTCTTCATCTATAAATTGAGCAAGTAACACTATGATTTAGAGTTTTTTGGGTTTTTTTGAGACAGGGTCTTGCTCCGTCCCACCCAGGCTGGAGTGCAGTGGTGCGATCATGACTCACTGCAGCCTTGAGACTTCCTGGGCTCAAGTGATCCCCCTGCCTCAGTCTCCTGGGTGACTAGGACTAGAGGCACACCCACCATGACTAGCTAGTTGTAGAGATTTTAAATTACACAAAGCAAGCAAAAGGTTGAGCTTATTGCCTGGCATGTAGTAGGTACTTGAAAAATTGTTAGCTCAAAAAAAAAGAAAAGAAAAAGAAAAAGAAAAAGAAAAGAAAAAAAGTCTGGGCGCCGGTGGCTCACGACTGTAATCTCAGCACTTTGGGAGGCCAGGGTGGGAGTATTGCTTGAGTTCAGGAGTTTGAGAGCAGCCTGAGACACATGGCAGAATCCTGTCTCTATAAAAAACACAAAAAACTAGCTAGGCGTAGTTGCACATGCCTGTAGTCCCAGCTACTCAGGGGCTGGTGTGGGAGAATTACTTGAGCCTGGAAGGTCAAGACTGCAGTGAACTGTGATCCTGCCACTGCACTCCAGTCTGGGTAACAGACTGAGACCCTATCTTGAAAAAAAAAGTTAGCTACTTATTTTTTTTTTTTGAGATGGAGTCTCACTCTGTCGCCTAGGCTGGAGTGCAATGGTGTGTTCTCGGCTCACTGCAACCTCTGCCTCCCAGGTTGAAGCGATTCTCCTGCCTCAGCCTCCCAAGTAGCTGGGATTACAGGCATGCACCACCACACCCAGCTAATTTTGTATTTTTAGTAGAGTCAGGGTTTCACCATGTTGGTTAGGCTGGGCTCGGAGGTTTTCAAGTCTCCTACATTGTTAGAACACTTTCCTGCTTATGTGCACCTCCCTCCTTTTACCTAAACATCAGTACGGCGGAATTGTCTGAAAATCTAGAGTCAGGAGGAATGATTGGAGTATTGTTGGCCTTCTCAGCTGCTCTAGGAGGAGCTTGGTGAGATGGGATAAAGGCAACATGGACACAGTAGCAGTCTCTGTGCTGCGTCCTCACACTCCACATGGCCTTCCATCCCACAGTGTTTCTGCCCGTTGGTTGGTCTCTCTTAAGAGACCATTTGGAGGCTCCTCTTGCACCAAAGTGACCTTAATGGTGGTTCCTGCACGTCTCTAACCTACACTTCTGAGAGGTGAGGTATAGGGGCCATTGCAGAACTAGCTCAACTAAAACATTTCAGGGCCATTTAGTAAAAGAGTCAAGAAATGTTTTCTTGTTCATTAGTTGGCTGCTTCACCTTAACTTGACCATAATTGAAACTGTGAGCCTCTCTGCATTTCCCTTCTTTCTGTTTATCTTACTAACCCTTCTCACTTTGCCAATTTCTTCCTCTACTTTCACCCTCCCCTTCCTTCCTTCCTTCCTTCCTTCGTTCCCTCCTTCCCTCCTTCCTTCCTTCCTCTCTCTCTCTTTCTTTCTTTCTTCCTTCCTTTTTTTTTCGGGGTTTCACTCTGTCACCCAGGCCTGAGGGCAGTGGTGTGATTATGGCTCGTTATAGCCTTGACCTCCTAGGCTCAAGCAGTCCTCCTGCCTCAACCTCCTAAGTAGCTGGAGCCATAGGCATGTGCCATGAAACCCAACTAATTTTTTAAAAATTATTTGTAGAGATGAGGTCACCCTGGGCTGCCCAGGCTGGTCTTGAGCTTCGGGGCTCCAGCGATCCTCCTGCCTTAGCCAGTTTTGTTCATTTTTTTCCCTTCCTTTCTCCTCTGTCCATCTCTCACTCATGGTGAGGTAGGAGCTAAGAAAACAAGAGGGACTGGAACCATTTTGGTTCCTTTCTTTTCTTCTTTTTTCTTACTCATGTCACATACTTCCGTAGCAGAGGCACTTTGGAAGTTGCCAAGCAAATGAGCTTGTTTCAGATGAATCCATTTATATTTGAGTAGAGGTCTAGGGCTTATTTGGGCTCAATAAAATCAAGTAAGTCTTTGGATAAAGTGGACAAATTATCCTTTTCGTTTGGCTTGCTCTTTGGCCACAAACACATCATTATTCTTATTCTCATCTATTTGGCATTTCCTTGAATGGGTCTTCTCATCTTTTGGCAAAAACAAACACACAGACAAACAACAAACAAATAAACAAAATACCTCAAAAAGCATGAATACGTGAAATTTATTTTACGTCAGCCAGTTTGAACATACTCCTTGGTAAAGAGGGTAAAGAAAGATAGGATGAGCACAGTTAGGAATATGATGTTATTTGCTAGATTTATTAAAGTGTGCTTATTATTTAAGTCCTTTGGATGACATCTGCAAATAAATATGACTAATGCATTAAATACTATGTCTATATTAAACCTACATTTACATTCTGCACATTTTTGTATTAGCACATGTGTCTTTCACATTTGACATCTATTTTCTGATACTTAGTAATATAGAGTACATCTTTTAATTTATTTTTTAAAGTCCTGATGGGAAGAATTAGAAGACATATTTAACAAGATCTTGTAGAATGTCCTCCTATTCTCACAGTGGTAGACAAACTCCATGGTGCCTCTCCTTACACTCATCTCTCATGTAACTTATTTAAAAAATATCTTAGCAGATCTGTGAGATTTGCAGCTTCTTTTTGCTCGAAATTCATTCTTTAAGTGTAGAAAACATATATATATAGCATTGCAGTATATGAAAATTGAGAGAAAATATAGAAATTACCTGTATTAGTTAGGATAAGCCAGATTATGCTGCTGTAACAACTTAGCACTAAAATATTTATAGTTTAACAAAACAATTTCTCAGGCTCATTTCTCAGTCACATTACATATCAATTGCATGTTGACATGGTGATTCTATTTCACATACCCACTAAAGGGCCCAAGATGATAGAGGCAATGCTATCAATAACTGGACCAAATCAAATTAGTGGTATACTTTGTGGCCACAGCAGGGGAAGAGAGCACTGGAATATCTCTCATGGGCAATGAAATATCCAGAAATAACACATGTTTCTTCTGCTTATATCCTCTTGGCCAGAACTAGTCACCCGGCTGAGCATAACTAGAATGGGGTATGAAAAGTATAGTCTTCTGTGTGCTTGGAAGGAAGAGGAGAGCCAGACATTGGTGAGCATTCTTGATGGCCACCACATTACATAATTTAATCCTTTTATTATGTAGATAAAGAAAACTGAGGGCTAGAGAAAGCTGGTACACTAGGTCACAAAGGAAGCTAGTGGCAGAGCTAGCACTAGAACCCAGTTCTTTTGGTAACAGGTCATTTTTTTTCTTGTCGTTGTATAGTAGTTACTCTTTTCTATGTAGGAGCTGATGGCACAGACATGTTGCAGAGCTATAGATAAATCATTAAACACGAATAGAAAAGATGACCTTGGCTGGGTGCAGTGGCTCATGCCTGTAATCCCAGCACTTTGGGAGGCTGAAGTGGGAGGATCTCTTGAATCCAGGAGGTGGAGACCAGCCTGGGCAACATAGTGAGACCCCATCTCTACAAAAAATAAAAAATATTAGCCAGGCATGGTAGTGAATGCCTCTAGTCCCAGCTACTCAGGAAGCTGAGGCAGGAGGATCACTCAAGCCAAGGAGTTTGAGGCTGCAGTGAACCTGAGTGATTATGCCACTGCACTCCAGCCTGAGTGACAGAGTGATACCCTGTCTCAAAAATAAAATAAAATAAAATAATTAAGCAGTGTTGCATGCTGCAGGATTAGACAAGTAGACTAATGCAACAAATAGAGTTCTGAAATAGATCCACGAATACATGGTCAGTTAATCTTCTTTTTCTTTTTTTTCCTTTTTTTTGGTGGGGGACGGAGCCTCCCTGTGTCACCCAGGCTGGAGTGCAGTGGTGCACTCTTGGCTCACTGCAACTTCCGCCTCCCGGGTTCAAGCGATTCTCTTGCCTCCGCCTCCAGAGTAGCTGGGACTACAGGTGCCTGCCACCACGTCTGGCTAATTTTTGTTATTTTTAGTAGAGACAGGGTTTCATCATGCTGGCCAGGATGGTCTCAATCTCCTGACCTCGTAATCTGCCTGCCTTGGCCTCCCAGAGTGCTGGGATTAGAGGTGTGAGCTACTGAGCCCAGCCTGGTCAGTTAATTTTCACCAAGTACACAAGGTGGTTCAATGAATTTTGTGTGTGTGTGCCGTATATGGTCTGGAGCAACTGACTAGCCAAGTAAAAATTGTGGGACCTATATTTCACATAAAGAAACAATAATTTCAAACTGACTGTAGATCTAAAGTAAAAGCAAAAATTGTACATTTCTAGAAGTAAAAAAGAGACTATCTTTAAGAACATAGGGTAGGTAAAGTTCTTTCAGGCAGAACATAAAGGCAGTTTTAAAAAGACAAAAATTAAATATAAAAAATATAAATTATACCTTATTAAAGTAGAAAGTCCTTGGCATCAAAAAACGTTGTTAAGTAAATGAATAGGGTTAGTTTTTCTCCATTTTTAAGAACTGGAGGAGGAGGTGGGAGGATCACTTAAGCCTCAGAGGTTGAGGCTGCAGTGAGTTGTGATTGTGCCACTGCACTACCTCCTGGGTGACAGAGAGAGATCCTGTCTAAAAAAATAAATAAATAAAAATAAAAATAAAAAAAGTAGAAGAAGAATGACCTCACTGTGCTTTCCAGGCCATATCCTCTAATGCCATGATGAGGGAAATTTTCTCTCTCTTATTCAGACAAATGTGAAACTTTGACATTTACTGTTACTATTACTAGTAACAATATCGTGCATGTACTCAGAACCTTAAACTTCTCAAAGCATTTTCAAATGTCTTTTCTCTCTTGCTTCACCATAATTTATCTGAGATAAGCAGGCTCACTGTCACTGACTTAATTTTATAGATACCCACGACAATGACACAATGTGCTCAAGCTCACAAAACCAGCCAATGGTGACATTAGGATTAGAATCCAAAGCTTTGCACAACCATGGAAAACAATGAAATCATGTCCTTTGCAGCACCATGGATGCAGCTGGAGGCATTTATCCTAAGTGAATTAATGCCAGAACAGAAAACCAAACACTGATTATTCTCACTTATAAGTGAGAGCTAAACATTGGGTGCTCATGGACATAAAGATGGCAACATCAGACACTGGGTACTACTAGAAGCGGGATGGAGAGAAGGGGACAGGGGTTGAAAAACTAACTGTTGGGTACTATGCTCAGTATCTAGGTAATGGGATCATTCATACCCCAAACCACAGCATTATGCAATATACCCATGTAACAAACCTGCACATGTACCCCCTGAATCTAAAATAGAAGTTGGTACTATAAAAAAAATAAATCCAGAGCTTTGATCTGTAAGACCAATGCTAGAGCACAAGCCAATCATTTCCTTCCCTTTTCCTCGATTGTAGGTTTCTTCTTGGTGTGAACAGAAATAGTTGGATGACTTTTTTCAAGCACCAACAGCTCTTTAGTAGCAGGGTAAGGAGCATAATTTGGCTCTTAATCTAGAATGCTTTTTCTAGATTCTTCCCCTTTTTTAAAATCTTAAAGCCTTTACTTTGAGGTACTCTTTCATCCATCCCTTCACCCATGTACCAGTGAAAAAATGCATACTTGGCATATGTGAGGTCAAACTTGTGGTCCAGGTGAGCCCAGGCCTCAGCAATGGCAATGGTGTTGCTCAGCATACACACAGCTCTCTGTACCTTGGCCAGGTCTCCACCGGGTACCACATTGGGAGGCTGATAATTGATGCCAACCTTGAAGCCAGTGGGACACCAATCCACAAAGTGGATGCTGTGGTTGGTCCTGAGGGTGACAATGCCAGCATTGACATATTTGGGAACATCTGGTACATCAGGCAGCAAGTACATGTATTTACCATGTACTTCATGGTACAACATCATGGTACAACAGGCAGCAAGCCATGTATTTACCATGGTAAGACTCAGATTTTACCATCAGATTGACTGGCTCAAAACAAGCATTGGTGATCTTTGCTGTAGTAAGCTTTCATGGTAGGCTTTCTCAGCAGAGATATTAGGGGCCTATGTGAGCAGAGGGAAGTGAATGTGGGGATAGGGTACCAGATTGGTCTGAGGTTCCGTCAGATCAATATTCAGGGCTCCATCAAATCTGAAGGAAGCAGTGATGGAAGGCACAATCTGGCTAATAAAGCAGTTAAGGTTAGTGTAGGTTGGGTGCTCAATATTGAGATTTCTATGGCAGATGATGTCATAGATGGCCTCATTGTCTACCATGAAGCACAATCAGAGTGCTCTAGGGTGGTGTGAGTGGTGAGGATGAAGTTGTAGGGCTCAGCTACAGCTGTGGAAACCTGGGGTGTGGTGGGATTGGGTAAATGGAGAGCTCCAGCTTGGACTTCTTGCCATAATCAACAGAAAGAAGTTGTTATATTACATGTGCTCTGTGTATAAAATACTCAACATAATGAGATGATCAGGAACAGAGAAGGAAGTGAAACAAAAGGAGAAAATCCAGCTCTACATATTTTCTTTCTATTTCTACTCCCTATTCCTTAGAAGCTATCGGGGTCCTGACAGACTACAGATGTAACAACTGTGAATTTTGCACAACTGATAAATTATTTTAGATTAGTGAGATTGCCTTCAGTTGCAAGTAATAGAACCTCACTAGAGACTGGCCTAATTTAAAAAAGAATGCATTAGCATATATAATGGAAAAGATCAGGGAAAGAGCTAAGTATGCAAATACAATAGGAAACTATTTTTTTATCTCTTGGCTCTGCTTTTCTTTGTGTTGGCTTCATTCTCTAGTAGATTCTCTTGAAATGTCAGCGCAGATGGCTACTAACATTTCAAATTATATCTTACTAGTTTAGCCTCTTTCTCAATAGTTGCATTAAACATTTCAGAGTTGATATCCATAGGTCTTGACTGGATAACATATCCAGGCTTGAAAAAAATCACCATCATTCTGATTGGCTGGGCTTAGGTCACCTGCCAACTGCTGGAAACAATGGATGGAGTTAGCACTACTTAAACCTTAAGGAAGGACCAAAAAAGGAGAAAGGGAATGGTACCCTAAAGGAAAATCAAAGTGCTATATAAACAGGGAATGTATGCTGGACAGAGAAAAATTACAGATATCTGTTCTAGTACTCAACTACATGCTTCAGTACTCAACAAATGCAGGAGGGAACATAAATGATTATAGTCAAGGGTGACTTGGCTTTGCTTAACTGAAAGCAAAGAGGGTTATGATGCTAAGGACAGGTGGAAAAATCTAATAGACGAAATGTTTTCAAGTTACGTTCTCTTTAACACTACATTTCCCCAGAGCTTTGCACATGTAGTAGGATTAGATAACATCTTCTGCGGCAATTTTTACAGAAAAATATATTGGTGGAGAGAAGTTATGTAGGCTATAAAACAAAATTTTAAAACCTTGTCAGTGATCAGCGTTCTCCAGATAAATAAATATTTGGATATTTGTTAATATATGGATGTAAAGATGCTGGTCTGTTCTTTAGATAAGATTATTTTTTAACTCCCGGGAAATCCCTGTGATTCACCTTTGCTTAATCTGCAAGCAGTGTTGATTCCAAGCACAACTATGTTTAGCATGGGCATGTTGTCTTTGTGTCCTGTTTTTCTACAGGTGGCAATTACTGTTTCCTCAAGCCTGGAGTGTATGGTTATGGGACAGCCACTTCCTCCTTCAAATCACATCCATTAATCTGTGTGGGCAAAGTCCATCACTATCATCTATTGATCATATTTGGCTTGGGTGGAACAGATTTTCAACTGTCACAAGTAAAATACTCCCTACAGACCAGGTAAATTCATACAAACCCAACAGACTATGCTTTTTTTTTTTTTTTTTTGTGAGACAGGGTCTCTCTTCTGTCACCCAGGTTGGAGTGCAGTGGCGCGATCATGGCTCACTGCATTTTTGACTTCCATTGCTCCTCCTACCTCGGCTTCCCAAGTAGCTGGGACTACACGCATGTGCCACCATGCCTAGTGAATCTTTTGTATTTTTAGTAGAGACAGGGTTTTGCCATGTTGTCCAGTCTGGCCTCAAAGTCCTGGGCTCAAGCGGTCTGTTCTCCTCAGCCTCCCCAAGGGCTGGGATTACAGGTATGAACCACTGTGCCTGGCCCAGACTATGCTTTTAAATAAAATTTATCAACCGATATTTGTATCACACGTTCCTGTTTCCTAACTTCTGGCATGTAAACCGTCTCACTTATTATCACGGAAGCTTTGGAAGGCAGGTAGGGCAGATTATATTATTATTCTCATATCATAGGTGATGAAATAGAGATCTAGAGAGATGAGGTGAACTACTCAAGCTGATATGAGCAATAATTAATGTGAGTCTTCAGATTCTAGACCTCAGGTTTTTCTCAAGGTGCCTGAGTTTGGGTGAGGGTGGCAGTGTTGGCTAGAAGTGAGTGGGAAAAACTCTGGAATCCAGGTTTGAAGCCTGGTTCTGCTGATTGCTGGTTGTGTGACCTCAGGCAGATTTCTTAATCACATAGCCTCAAATTACTCATCTATATGTTGTTAAATCATTTTTTGCCTCATAGGATTCTTGTGATGATTAAATGAAGTAACGCATGAATGGCACTTGGCAGGGCCTCATATATCTCTCCTGCTTGAATATATCAGTTATGTTATTGTTGTTGTATATGTCCAAATCCAGATTCAACCTGCATTCACAAAGAGAAATGAAGAACTGAATCATTCGTCTGTGCTGTGCCAAGCTTCTGCCTCTATCAACCATATCTTTCAAGCATGGGTAGGAGGCAAGGGTGAATTGCCCCAATCGGTTGTTTACCTTGCTAAGCTTGCCTTCTGATAGCTTTTCTTCCCATTCTGATTGTCCATCACAAAGCCAAGTATATGTTGTATATGTTCCAAAGATTGTAAGAGTAAGAGTATTTGGTATATTCTAAGAGAGAAATGTAAACTCTACAATTTGATTCAATAATTAAGTATATAGCCATGTTAAAAACAGTGAAACAAAAACACCCATCTGAGTCTTTCTTCTTAGACTAAGTAAGCTCCAATGAAAGCATTTCTCCTATTTTACTTTGTTTTGAACTTTCCTCAGTTTTAGTGCATTATGAATTTTTCCCAGTGTTAGTTTTATTAGAGATGAACCAATTATTTCCATATACCTCCAACATTGGTTCTTCTGTAATGTTGGCTTTGAATACAGTAGTGGTCAAAACATCAATTTCATTTGGATAGACCCTGGCGGTTTTGTAGAGTAAAGGCAAATGAAAATAGCATGTTCTGGGAAGGTGCAGCCTTTCCTGTTGAACTTGGTTGATTCTTGCATTCATTCAGGACCATTGAACAGCCTGTCAGAAATGAAACTCAGCGGAAGAGCAAGACCTAATCCCTGCCAAGTGAGCTTGCTCTCTCATGGTGGATACAGAAAAGTAAACAGGCAATGAAGGATGGTGATGGAAGTATAGAGAGAATGGGAGCACACGCATGAGGAGCACTGAACTCAGACTGTGGGAACTCTTCTCAGAGATGGTGACATCTAAGCAGAGGGCTGACCAATGACTGTGGATTAGCAAGTCAGAGTTTGCTGGGAGGAGGGAAGAGGCAACTATTCCAGGCCCAAAGAGAAGATGCAAGGGCTGTGAGGATGGAGTGAACTTGGCTGGTTTATGGCGTGCAGAATTCTAGGAGAAACCTGGCAGGAGAGGGACATAAGAAGTTAGGGCCAAAATAGGGAGAGAGTAGAACAGTGAAAACTTCTCCCACGCCTACCCCCAAGTCCATGAAAGTGCAAGTGACCCCACAGTTCCTCTGTCTCCCAGTGGAAAGATAAGTTCCTTTAGCACTGGGCTTTCTGGGGACTAAATGAAAGCAACAATGACTCAGCACTTCACAACGTGTCAGGCACAGTTCTAGTTATTTTATAGTGATTTAAACTTCTAACAATCCTATGATGTAGGCAATATTGTTCTGCCCATTTTACAGGTGAGGATATTGAGACAAGGGGAGGTAAATGACTTCCACAGGGAAACCCAGCCGATGAGAGGCAGAGCCAGGACTGGATCCCAGGTGGTGTGGCTCCAGAGAGTCCCCCTCGACAAAAAAGGCTGTAGCGGTTAGGTGTCCTGTGAGCAGATTCAGGAATGCCCCGCAGAGCTTCCAGCGCAGTGCCATGGCAACTAGAGAGCACTCCCCTGACATTTGCATGAAGAGAGCAACTCTTTCATCTCTTTTTTGTGGGGTGGGGAGGGTGGTGGAAAGCCATGGTGAAGTAGTCAGGACAATGTTTCACTAAAACATGCTTATCAAAATAAGCATGTCTCTAAGCTACAAATTATAACAGCTATTGCAAATTATGGTGGTTTACCATGGAAGAGATTTCAGACTCCCCTTATCTTTACTTTTGCTTTCTCTTTAACATAGGTAATGAAATCAGACAGGTCATTGTCCATTAAAGTCTGTAACGCGTCCTGATTCTCAAGAAATGAAAACGAAACATTTTCTTTGCCTTTGCAGCACTGCTACACTTTATTCAAATTCAAAGACTGCTTTTTACCATGACTCAGTCAGCATTTTATTTTGTTGTGTCATTTTTAAAGCAAAATTTCTCTTTTTAGAAGACTATGTGACATGCTTCTGCTCCCAAATGAAAATGCAGGCTCCAGCCATACCTGACATGGCTTTTTGGTTTCTCTTCCAGAAGTTCATGGATTCGAATGCCAAAGACACAATATTGGTTTTGATGCACTTGCAGTAGCACAAAGTGAAGTCCTGGCGGCCTTATCCTAGTTTCATAAAAGAAAAAAAAGTTAAAGAGATGGGGAAGATAATAGCTAAAAAACAACAACAAAAAAGCTGAATTCAAACTGCGATGACTTTATCAAAGGACTGTCCTACTGACATTCAACATAACATCAAAATTAACATCACCTTGCCAATATTTGTAGTTTAGTCACAACTTTTCAACTACACTCTACTCTCTTTTGGGGAAAAGAAAGTTACGCATGCTAGCTGTTTTCAAGTTTGGCAGATGCACTTTGAAAATACTCGTTGGAGAGTGAGATTAAAAACAAAAACGCTGTGTAATATTTCTATTACCAGGAGCAAAATTGTTTCTATGAAAAAATATTTGAGGAACATCTTTAATTTGTTGCTGGAATTGATTTGTGTGTGTTTGTTGCTTAATTCTCTGTTCTGGTCAAAAAGCTGTCAAGTTGGATCAGGCCGTTTGATCCTATCCTATTTCCAGTCTTCTTCTAGGACCTGTGAGCACGGGCAAACACTTTTTAATTATCCTGATCAAGTGTGGGGGACATCCTTTTGCTGACCCCACTTGTAATCAACTGTGATCTCCTAGAAGCAGGCGAATTGATTGCTTCTGTCCTCCCCAACTAACCAGAAGAGTAGGTCTTGCATTATCCTGGGCCTTTGAAAAACCCAACTCAGTGATTGATTTTGTGGCTGCCGGTGGCAGCAAATTCCTCAGCATGAATTCTACCAAGTGAAAAAGTATTTCCTATAACTTGCTTTAAATTTCCTTAGCATTAACTTCTCTGAGTGGCCCAGTCTCTTATGGGACAATGTAATAAGGATCTATCGGTTTTACTGCCTAGTACATATCTTTAATGCCTAAGTAAATCTCTCTTATTTTTCCGCCCAGGCTTAGTAATTCTGACTTTTGAAATCTCCTGTCGTGAACAAATCTACACTGCACTTTATTTCTTGCCCCGTCCTGGAATTCAGCCACTCCTGCACTACATTTCTTAAGGTGAAGAAGTGAAAGACGAAGACACCAATCCAAGTGAACGTGTGTTATTCTCTTCTATAATGCTATTGTATTATATTCCCTCTTTTTTTTAAATTCTCTTGATTTCTCTGCACAAAAGAGGGAAATTCTTCCAAAGCAACGGAAAGTTTCCTTGAAATACTTTTATCTAGTCACACTTACATAGTGTAATGTCTCTCTCTTACAGCATTGTACAGTTTGGGATTTGTTTTTAATCCTGTGGAAAATGTCCTAACAGGGCTTTGGTGTATCTTTGTTCCAATTTCTACATTGCTTGGGGAGGGGGAGAAGCTTTCTTTGTATTAAATGAAATACACCACTACTTCATTAAATAAATAGACACCTCAACCATTAGTTGCTAATGAAACAAAAATCTAAGTAAAACATCTAACTATCCAAATACTACATTTTCTCTACCTTTGCCCCAAAATGTGCCTCATCTCCCTGCACCTCCAAATAATATTTCTAGTGTTTTCATTTTATTAGTTTTGCAATGTCACTGTCCAGATAGAATTATTCGATGACTTAAAACAACTTTCGTAAGATTTTCAAGCCCTAAATTAAAAAATCATATTTCAATACAACAGATCTTGTCATTTATTTATTGGGATGTGTGTGAGAGGGACCTGCTGCTTCGTGCTCGTCCAGTACATTGGCTTTGAAATATACTTGAATTTGTGGAGGCAGGGTGTAGAATGACAAAAACAAACAAAAACCCCACAATACAGACCAAATTGGGGTACACACGGACAGATTGGTTTTAATTTTATTTTAATTTTTGAGTTTCTATGAGAAGAAGAATGAGGAGAGACAAAAAAGGGGAAGAGTGAGAGATAGTATATTTAGGGTATGACAAATTGGGAATGGCTCTGCAGTGATCTTTTTCTTTTTCTTATTTATTTTTTGTTTTTTTTGGTTTTTTTTTGAGACACAGTCTCGCTCTGTCACCCAAGCTGGAGGGCAGTGATCCTGGCTCACCGCAACCTCTGCCTCCCGGGTTCAAGCGATTCTCTTGCCTCAGCCTCCCAAGTAGCTGGGACTACAGGTGCGTGCCACCATGCCCGGCTATTTATTTATTTATTTACTTTCATTTTTATTTTTAGTAAAGATAGGGTTTGGCCGTGATGTCTGGGCTGGTCTCAAACTCCTGATCTCAGGTAATCCACCTGCCTCGGCCTCCCAAAGTGCTGGGATTACAGGCTTGAGCCACCACTGCGCCCCACTCTGATCTCTTTTTCTGCCCTTCTTCTCTACCTTCTTCCTTCCCTTCCTTCCTCTTTTCCTGCCTTCCTCCTTCCCTCCCTCTCTTCCTTCTTTTTTTCACTGTCATCAAAGGTTATTGAGCCCCTCCCAAGTGTAAATATTGTGCTAGGCACCAGGGTACAGTGAAAAGATAGATATGATCCCTGGACTTGCAGAGCAGAACCAGGCAGCCAAAAGCATGTGTGTTAGGAGTCATCCAGGGGGAGCCATAGATGCATGGGCAAGGAGCACGTGCGGCTGTGAGGGTTTCCTGTGGGAAATGATGCTAAAGACAGTGTGTGAAAGATGGATGGAAGTGGCCAGGGGAAGGAATTATTAGGGGAAGTTAAAGAAATCATCCCCAAACCAGAAGGTGCTCACCACAGAGGAGCTGAAGGAAGTCCCGCAGGGCCGATGGGCAGGGCTCCAGGTGGAAAGTTCTCCAGCAAGGCTATCCAGGCTTGGAGTGCTGGTCATTACTTTGAAAACAAAACTAATGCCAGAACTCAGAAACCTAGTTGGGGGAGAGAGGGTGTTCTTTTTCCTAAATCTAGCGAAGATTAGGTACAATTGGAATCATTATAATAAAATTATCTGACATAGCTACAGAACTCCAAAGAGGAGAAAGTTAGAAATTTGAGAATCTACTAAATGTCTGCATCCCTGTCCCCTCTCCCTAAATGAGGACGTGAACATGTGACATGGGCATTCCAGTGGGATGAGCTGAGTGCACTGGAGGCTACTGGGGTTGTGAATTGGCAAAGAGGCTGACCAGGTGCAGGGAGATTTGTTTTCAAGGGCTCTCCTCTCAGCATTAGGGACATACAACAGGGATAACATAGAAAACACTTTTTCAGGTACTTGATACTTTAAATTTAATTTTAATTAAAATAACTGTTTCTAGAGACAGGGTCTTACTCTGTCACCCAGGCTGGAGTACAGTGACACAATCACAGCTCACCGCAGCCTTAAACTCCTGGGCTCAAGTGATCCTCCCAAGTAGCCTGGACTACAGGCATGCACCACCACACCCAGCTAATTTTTATTTTTTATTTTTGCAGGTAGGGGTTGCCCAGGCTGGCCTCATACTCCTGTCCTCAAGCTGTCCACCCATTTTGGTCTCCCAAAGTGCTGGGATTATAGGCGTGAGCCACTGCGCCCAGCCTTAATACTTTTAAACTTTCTCTCGATCTCTCTCTCGCTTTCTCATTTGGTAGCCAAAGCCATAAAAGTCATAAAAATTAAGCAATTTGAGATTTCCCACCCAGGGGAAGGGTCACTCTGTTGACAATGAGAGGAAATTAAAGGTTGGGGTCATGTTCTCTTTGCCCATCCTTCTATTAATGCAGAAAGATAATTGCATGGCTCTGATTGCATGGAGAGATAAACGCCCAATCCCCCTCCACTCTTCCTTCGCCACGTCTCCAGGACTGACAGCAGACCAAGGGACATTTGGCTTCAAGTGGGGAAGAAAATTTGCTGGAAAAGGCCTCCTCAGAGCTGGGCATAGCTCTGTCTGATGGAGGCCTGACTTGCTTCTAAAAAGAGTGTGGTCTGGATCCATCCCCTTTTCCCAAATCATTTTAAATCTTGCTGAATCAGTTCAATTTGAAGTCTAATCAACTATCTGCTTATCTCTCTTAGTTGAGCCTTCAATGTCTTTTTCTGTTTGGACTAACAAAGTGAAATGGTTAGAAGGACTATCAAGCATACAGATTTTCTTTTGCAAAAGTAGGGATATATTCTGGGGCTTAGTTGAGGGAGTCAGTGTAGGCTCCTCAAGCCATCATCCAGTTTCTGACTTTAGCACTTTTTTTTTTTTTTTTTTTGTAGAATTTCACTCTTGTTGCCCAGGCTGGAATGCAATGGCACAATCTCAGCTCACTGCAACCTCCACCTCCCAGGTTCAAGTGATTCTCCTGCCTCAGCCTCCCAAGTAGCTGGAATTACAGGCATGTGCCACCATGCCTGGCTAATTTTTTGTATTTAGTAGAGATGGGTTTTCACCATGTTGGTCAGGCTGGTCTCAGGGTCAGGATGATATGTGTTAATTCAGATTCAAAGAGGCACATCTTTTATTTTGAAGTGAACTTTACATAACAGCAACTTGAACTGGACAGCAATGCTTGTGGAATCACCCTGGGCAGGTAATGCGCTTATCAGGCCTGGACACCACCATATTCCTCTGTATCCCTACATATTCCCCAGAACCCCTTTTGGCGTCTTTTGCAGAGAAAGTTCTCAAAACTGAATTAAGTGGCTGATCCAGCACAGCGGAGGGCATCTAAGGATGCCAGAATACCCAGCCCCAGTGTCCATGTCTGAACCTTGCCTCTAATCCCTTTCCTAGTTCCAGTTTCAGATAGAAAAACATTCCATAACAGGGGTCGTCAATTTGGAATAGCAATGATGACAACAATAATGTAATAATGACCTAGACTGAGCACTCACTATGCATTAGACTGTGCTAAGCATTATTATTGTATATAATCCTTACAGAATCTGGAGGCAAAATGTTCCTATTTCACATTTCTTATTTCTATTTCACAACAAGGAAACTGAGCCTTAGGGAAGAACTGTTCAGTCACAGAGTTAGAGAAAGGTGAACCCCAGACCCCACGTCGAGTTAGTCTGATTCTGGGGACTGTGTCGTTAGTCATTACCCAGACTCAGAAGCCTGAACCTTAAGGCACAGAAGGTTCTAGAGACGAAGAGAAATTTTTCTGGGCTGTATTACACTCAAAGCAAATTTAGGGTGAGAGGCCTGTCCAAGGGATTGATTATTTTCTTGTTTCCTTTGTTCTTCCTTTCCTTTGTGTCACAACTCTTTATTGAATTGTGCCAGGAATTATGACAGACACCTGAGTGGGGTAAGGAGGCTAAAGAAGAAAGACTCTGCTCATTCGGATCCCCTGCCCTCTTTCCATTCTTCTTCCCACGGGACTAATGATCTGAACAATCCTAAAACCTGGCTGTAGTCATGTCTTTGGGGGACTCCTGCAGACCCCTGTCTCCTACAGTTCAACTTCTCAAGCCTACTTTGTAATTCCTAGGCAGAATTCGGAGCTCTGCTGTCATCTTTTAGTCTTTCACTTATTCAAAATATTTTGATCCAAATATGCCCTTGGTGCCACACTTTATTAATGCAGATATAACTCATACTAGTGAGTGTCTGTTTTGGAGCCACTTGCCCTGCATAAGTTATTGGGTTTCACTGTTTATCTTAGTTAAAAAAAAAGTTCCATATGCTCTGACCTGCTGACACCTAAGCCCTGCCTGTGCAGTTAAAACAGGAAAACTAGTTATTTGATATCATGAAGGCAATTCAGCTGGTGGACAAACTCAAATGTTTCCATTTCCGATGGATTGTAAGGAACCATAGATTATTCATCAGGGATGCTCAGGAGAAAAATTGTTTCTTTTGTTTACTTGTTAATTTCCAAAATGAACCCAATACAAAGATGATACAGCCATGGTGCATTTATTTTTCATTGTTAGCATCTATCATTATGTCATTGCATAAGAACTGCTCAAATAAATTGTTTTAAAATCACGTGGATGGCTTTATGTCCTTTCTCCCACCTGCCTGCAGAGTTGCCTGAAAAAAGAAAAACATGAGCGTCAGCCAGGCCACTGGGGTGAGGAGGCTGTTCACCGTGGGGGGGTGCCAGGCTAGCCTGGGTGTCTGGGGTCAGGCTTTGGCAGACCACCAGAGACAGGGCAGCTCACAGTCCAGGACTGATCCTAGGGGATCCTGAGCCAGCAAGTCACTAATGGGAACCAGGGTCGAGAGTGGAGTGCGAAATTTATACCATGGACCAAAACCTCCGAGGAGGAAGCGATTTCACTTAAGGACATTTTCTTCCTAGTTTTAATTTTCCTTTATTTTAACTGCTACACATTTGTTTCTCACCAGATTCCTCGGTGTGTCTAGTTGTTCTGTCATGGGTGCTCCTGAATGCACCATCACACGAATTTATCTCTAAAGAACACACTGGCTGTTTTGGGAGAAAAAATGCTGGTTTATGTCTTATGATATAAAAATGGCTAACATTTACTGAGCACTTATTTGTACCAAGTGTTGCCCTAAGATGTGCATGGAATATTTCAGGTAATTCTCAGAACCTACTGTCTGGGTGCTATTACCAAGCCTAATTACTGTTGGGAAAACAAAAGCATGAGAAAGGTAAGCAATTTGCCTGAGGTCGCAGACCAAGTAAATCGCAAAGCTCCCCTGTAGCCTGATGGAGTTCATGCTCCTCACGGTGACCCCCATGTTCCTCTAGACGGAGGCAGCGCTTGCCTTGGTGTCCGTCTGGAGCTATTGGCAAGGTCTGCATCTCCATCTCTGTTAAGTACCTATTGTGCTAACGCGTACTTGCAAACCACCGAAAGGGGCATTGGGGTGGAAGGCAAAACGAAACATATTCTTACGATATGATCTAGCAATCACACTTCTTGGTATTTACTCAAATGAGTTGAAAATTTATGTCCACAGACAAACCTGCACATGAATGTTTATAGCAGCTTTATTCATAATTGCCAAATCTTGGAAGCAACCAAGGTGTCCTTTAATAGGTAAATGGATAAACAAGCTGTGATACATCCAGACAACGGAATATTATTCATCAATAAAAAGAGATGAGCTTTTGCACAGCTTAGGCATAATAATAGTAGTAAGGCACATTGCTAAGTAAAATAAGCCTATAGGAAAAGGCTACATACTGTATGATACCAGCTCTGACAGTATTGAAAAAGCAAAACTATAGGGACAGTAAAACAAACAAACAAACAAAAACCCAGTGGTTTCCAGGGGTTTTAGGGAAAGGGAGGGTTGAATAGGCAGGCAGAACACAGAGGATTTTTTGCTCTCTCTCTTTTTAATTTTTTGAGATGGAGTCTTGCTCTCCAGGCTGGAGTGCAGTGGCGCGATCTTGGCTCACTGCAACCTCCACCTCCTGGGTTCAAGCAATTTTTCTGCCTCAACCTCTCGAGTAGCTGGGACTACAGGTGCACACCACTACACCTGGCTAATTTTTGTATTTTTAGTAGAGCCAGAGTTTCACCATGTTGACCAGGCTGGTCTCGAACTCCTGACCTCAAGTGATCCTCCCCCCTCAGCCTCCCAAAGTGCAGGGATTACAGGTGTGAGCCACCATGTCCGGCCCACAGATGATTTTTAAATCAGTAGAGCTATTTTCTTTGATACTGTAATGATGGATATATGTCACTATACCTTTGTAAAAATCCATAGAATGTACAACACCAAGAAGTCAACCCTAATGCAAACTATGAATCTTCATTAATAATAATGTATCAATATTGGCTCATCAGTTGTAACAAACAAACACTAATGGAAAATGTTAATAATAGGGGAAGCTGATGAGGAAATATATATCTCTATGCTTTCCATTCAATTTTTCTATAAACCTAAAACTCCTTACCAAAAAAAAGTCTATTGATTTTTTAAAGGGGACATTGGTGAACTTGAGTAAGCGGGGCTGGGAGATAGAACTGGAAGAGTATTTTCACCCCTTTCTACTTTTTGCATGGTTCTATTACCTTTTCAAAAAGAAGTTAAATTTTAAAAAGCCATTTCAGTGTTTCTATTAATATTTGGTATTCAAAATAAATTAGGCTGGGAGAGGTGGCTCACAGCTGTGAGCTGAGGCAAGAGGATCACTTGAGCCTACGAGTTCAAGACTAGCCTGGGCAACATAGGGAGACACTGTCTCTAAATAAAATTTAAAAAAATTAACTGGGTATGGTGGCACCCACCTGTAGTCCCAGCTACTTTGGAGTCTGAAGCAGGAGGATCCGCTTGAGCCCAGAAGACTGAGGCCGCAGTGAGCTGTGATCTTGCCACTGCACTCCAGCCTGGGTAACAGAGCAACACACTGTCTCAAAAAATAAAAATAAAAACAAAATAAATTAAAATGTAAAGCCAAGGAAAGAATCTCAGCTTTGGGTATGATCCTGAGGATATGGCCTTGTGTTTGACTCATTTTTAATGATGAAATTATGATATCTTGTTCTTGACACATTAGAATCACCAGACCCAAGAATGACCCCTTTGATGAGTTTGGGGGTCCTTAGGCCTTCATGCTGCCTGCTCCTGCCTTCCCAGATCCACACGCTTTTTCTGTTTTTTTCGTTTTGTTTTGTTTTCTTTTTTTTTTTTTTTAGACAGAATCTCACTCTGTCACCCAGGCTGGAATACAGTGGCACAATCTGGGCTCACTGCAACTTCTGCTTCCTGGGTTCAAGTGATTTTCCTACCTCAGCCTCCCAAGTAGGTAGGATTACAGTTGTGCACTACGACTCCTGGCTAATTTTTTGTTGTATTTTTAGTAGAGACAGGGTCTTGCCATGTTGACCAGGCTGGTCTCGAACTCCTGACCTCAGGTGATCTGCCTGCCTCAGCCTCCCAAAGTGCTGGGATTACAGGCGTAAGCCACCACACCAGGCTGGTTCTACACACTTTTTTTCACTCCTCAGAGACTTTACAGAGAGCTTACTCTAGTGGTCCACTTTGAGGCTGCTGAGGTGAGGTAGTGTATGAGAGAGAGGAAAAAAAAAGGCAAAGAAAAAGAAAAGAACACAGAAAGAGGGAGGAAGGAACAAAGCATGAAAGGAAGAGGAGGAGGAAGGGAGAGAGGGAGAATATAATTTTGTTGGGCAAATCAGGAAGTTGGTGTGGTCTCCCATTAAATTCCCGGATTTGGCAAGTGATTCCAGAAAAAGAAAGAAGGGTACCTTCATATTTTCTAGCAAACAATGAGGTTGGAATTTTTCCTGATTCTTCTCTACTTCAAACCGTGGAAGGAGCACTAAACCAAAAAGAGGACTCGCTTATATATGCCACCATTTCCTGCAGCCTCTCCACCAGGCCTGGGAGACACCATTAATCACACAATGCGTCCATCTGTGTGCCTGTCATTTGAGCTGCTCCCTATGGTCAGAAAAACAGACAACAGGCACATGGCAAACACTGGGCTGTGTGGGTTGTCAGTGACAACTGGGGGAGAAGTTACTTCTCTATGCCTACCTTTTAATCTTCACCAAATCCAATTTACTCTTAGAGAAATGAGGCAACTATGTTTAGAGAAAATGGATCAAACCCAATTCCATTTGGCTTTCTTGCTGAACTGAAGACATTAGAGGTTTTAAACATCACTGAGCAGTGTTGATACAAGTCACACACACACCCAAATCTGATACAATTGGGGCTTTCTGAACAACCCATTTTTCTATCTAATCAGTTGAGGAATCCTTGGTTTTAAATACAGAATAAGTCAGGACAAGAATCTTATTTAGTTGTGTTACACATAAACAGCTTTAGAATGGAAACTTTCCATTCTTCTTTTCTCCCCAGAGGGAGATTATATTCATGAACTCTGATATACAAAGGGATTTCTGAAGCTATGGAATATTATTTTTAACATGAAATTGTATTTGGGATATATGGACCCCCCAAAGGCTTCAATAAAATTTTGTTATTGGCTCAATGTAAAGTTCTTAAAGAGCCATAACTGATGGCTCTTTTCCAGGCAGAGAAAGCTTTCAGAGAAGTGCCTGATTCTTCCTGCAGGGGCTGAAAGCTGCTGGCTTCAGGGTGCCTTTGGGTTCCCTTAAGAAGAATCTTTAGATGGTACCAAAGTTTCTATGCAAATGCAAATATAAAAAAGGTGTGATCCTATCTCTACAAGTAAATTAATAATATCAGAAAGTAAGCATTACACTTAAACTCTACATCCTCCTTCAGATTCTAAGACGTGTTTTTGGATCAGCAAAACATGTACCTGGAGTTTTATTTCACGTAATTTATTTTTCAGGAACAGATGTGGACTTGGGCTGTCCACCCCCACCCACTCTTGCTGAGGTGTCTCACTACTGCCCAGACATGTGAATTCATGTGAGAGCTGGTATGAGTTGTGGTCACAGGACAAAGGAGGCTAACCGGGCATGATTCTCAACTTTGGCTTCAATCATGCCATTTTCTACCAACTAAGCCTCTAGAGTCAAACTTGAAGAACTATCACGTGGAACTCTTGAAGAATGGACTTTCTTTCCACAGTGAATACTTCATTGATTTTCGCTGGTTCCCTGAATAAAGCAGCAACAAACCCACCACCTATTTACTGAAGGCTCTGCTTCAGCCACTATGTCAAATGTGTTACACTCTTTAACTAACTTAAATATTGTCTATAACCCTTTGGGTGGTGTTGTTTCTGTTTCATGGATGAAGATGAAGATATTGACACTTCGAGGTTACAAAACTATCACCATCATTAACAGCAACAATGGTGCTTAGCTCTGATTGAGAACTTACTCTGTTCCTAAAACATGGAAAGCATGTCACAAATCTTCAAACAACTGGGTAAGCATGTCACAAATCTGCAAACAAGTTTGTAAAATAAAGACTATTAACATTCCCATTTTACAGATGAAGAAACTGAGGCCTAGAGAATTAATGATGTGCCCCATGTCACAGAATGCAGTATAGAGGTGGAGGAGGAGTTAGCTTTACTCCAAAGTCTTTTATCTTCATTGCTATAATTTCTGGCAGTGTAGCAGAGTAAAAATGAACTAAAAATTAATGTCAGGTTTATACAAATTATTTTATTAAGAAAAGAGGCCAAGTGTGGTGGCTCATGCCTATAATCCCACCACTTGGGGAGGTTGAAGTGGGTGGATCACTTGAGGTCAGGAGTTCAAGACCAGCCTAGCCAACATGGTGAAACCCCGTTTCTACTGAAAATACAAAAATTATCCAGGTGTGTTAGTGCACAACTGTAATCCCAGCTACTCGGGAGGCTGAGGTAGGAGAATCGCTTGAACCGGGGAGGCAGAGGTTGCAGTGAGCCGAGATAGCGCCACTGCACGCCAGCCTGGGTGACGAGCAAAAACTCCATCTCAAAAAAAAAAAAAGAAGAAGAGAAGAAAAATGTTAGGACAAAGGAGAAGAACTCTAAAATCTTATGACTGGAAGCTTATAAATTATAAGTATTGAAAAATTAAACATTCCTAATAACTACAGATATCCATAAAAAGTTGCCCAAAATTAAGGGCAAATTTCTTCAGTGTCAGCAATACTGACAGCATTAGTTTCATGGTCACAGAGATTTTTGTTATTATTGTTAACATATTCCAAAATTTAACACAAATTTAATCCATGTGAAAGTAGAGCTTAGACAATAAAAGATATCAGACCTTGGGGTATTACAATGACTTTTTAAAAAAGCTTATTATCATATATTTCATTATAATAACAGGACGCCAAAACCATTAGCATGAATAATAACCTGAGATTGTAAGGATTATGTGTAAATGTGAAAGAAGAGATAATTATGTTTATATATCTAATGGTCACCCTTAGGTATTATGTGATAACATGTGGCCTTATCCACTGAGGACAAGAGGGCCATTTCCTACCTTGGATTAGGCATTCCCAGGGCGATTCTTACAGTTACCTCTTCTTTCTGTTCAGTATTTAAGCACTGTTAGTTCATCTGAGGGAATGAAAATAAAGATACTTTCTTCAAGAAAAATGAATGAAAATATTGCTGATTTAACCATGTGCGAAAAACCTCATTTAATTTTATTTGTTGAGATTGATATGAGCATTTTAAGGGAAACTAAGTGACTTTCACAAACTTTTATTTGTGCACTTAGAGCACAATGTGGATAAGCAAAAGTTGGGCTCCAGGAGAGGTGCAATTGCATATGGCGTCACTCAGAACCAAGGGGCTTCAGCCCCTTTATGTTCTATGGACCTGCATCAATCTTTCCACTTCCGACGTTTCCACTTCTCCCTCCTCCCCACTGCCAGCACTCACACGTGTGCACAGTCATCACGGGAGGGAGGGAAGTTTATTCTCCATAAACAATTTGCTCCTTGGCCACTCTGAATCTGCCAACCAGGTTGCCAATTCTGATGTAGACACCTGTCCATTTGGAACAGGAATGAAAACAGCCACTCATTTTCTAGAAACCATCAAACACCCTGTCAGTGAACAACAGCTCTCCATTAACTGCAATCTGGGCAAGACATGAACGGGTCACTTCGATAGACAATTACTGATCCTCCAAGCCCTTCAGCTTTCTTCAAATTGATGAAAGTTTCTGATCCCTTCCCTACAATGGAGGGGTATCTTTTAATGACGGTGATAATAAACTGCTAAAACTTTATTTTTTTGTTATGCAAGTGGGTTCTTAAAACAATACTATCAAGAACTTGCTAATGAGGGTACACGGCCAATCCATATTTTAAGATGGCTTCCCAAATGACATTTTCATTGTTCTGATAACAACAAAAATGATTTCCAACCACATCACTATTGGATTCTGAATAATTTTCATACTTTCAAATAGAAGCCAGTATACTTTCCTCTCTCCTCCCGCATGCGTGTGCGTGGTGTGTGTGTGTGTGTGTGTGTGTGTGTGTGTGTGTGTGTTGCAGGGCTCTTTGGCCCTTCCCCTTGTTCTTTGTTTAATAAGATACTGCCCTGGTCCCTCTAAGTATGACATCTTCATGAATCTTGGGTGAAAAATATTTTAGGTCAGTGCCACCTACTACTTTCAGATGAAATGAATTGTTGCCATTGAAGTAAACTTTCTGAGAAGCCTGAGTCCTGTGTTTAGGAGCTCCTGCCTGGGGAAGTCTGGAAACTAATGTGGGTTTAATGTTGTTATGAGCCAGGCGGCTGAACTGAGTAACAATACAAGTCTGTTGGACATGTCTTCTGGGTTGTCACGTTCAATTTGCACATGACCTTCTGGCCAAAAAATGGGAAAGAAATGGTAGAATGTGGGACTGAAAGCTCATATTATTGCTTTGACAGCTTCACTCATCTAGAAGTAATGCAAAATGCAATTTATATTTATACACTCTGACCTCCTGTGCAGAGAGGGAAAGTATCTAATGATGGGCCGAGGTAGTAAAGGAAGAAACAGATCTCAATACAGCTGGAATTTGTCTACATTTTTGCTTTTCAACCATTCAATTACAGTCAAAAGATAAATGAAACACAGACAGTACAGTGGTGAGGTAGTGACACAATTATTTTATAGTGACTGGGTTCTGGCTTTGAGTCTTGGCAAAGGTGGCTGCATCACGCCTTATTTCACTGGAGACAGATAATCTGCCTGCTCCCACCGGACAAAGGCCCCTCTGCTTGTAGGTGCGTCATTATACCCATCAGAGAGGAAAAAAGACACCAGCGAGTCAGTGACACTCTGGATCTGCATTTAGAAATTCTTGAGAGAGGCTGACACGTTAATCCTATTAACCAAGATAAATCAAGTCAGGCCTGGTGGTAACTGGGGCATTATTCACTTTCGAGTGGAAATAGGCGGTGGGCAAAAAGCACCATTTTCTTTTGTGCACCAGGAAATTTACTGGTTTTTACATGTCCCTAAATAGCTTCTCTTTGAATAGAACCTATAAGCCAACTGGAGAGAATGGATCCTCAAATATATCCTGAGTAATTCTGACCAGTATTTTAAAAGAATACCATTTTCAGTAACTGCAGCTTCATAGTTTCTCCAAAAGTAGGTCTCACAGGGGAAAGGGATTCTGGCTTTTTCCAGAGATTAAAGAGGACAGAAATAATCATCTTTATAAAGTCAGCAGCACCTGCTAAACTGATGGTGAAATACCACTTTAAGATGTGCACATTAAGAGCCCAGCTTGAGACCTGGAGGTCAACCTTCAGAAATAAGATAAAAAGAGAAATGAGAGATCACAATAAACAATGAAGTATAGTATTTCTGAACTGATTGCTCCAACACAAATGCATTTTTTTCTATATTCTAATTTTTTCTTTTTTGGGGGATACAAAAACCTCTACTACCTATTTTTCCAAATATTAAACTTCTCCTTACTATATCTCACCATTGCCTGCAGATGCAGAAAACAGAAATGTTTTTTCTTTTTAACTGAACAGAATTGACTTCTTTGTGGAGGAATGTCAAATAACCACAACTCTCAAATTGAATCTTTCTATGTTCCCTCTCTTATCACAGTTTATGACACAGACTTCCCACCGTCTCCAGTTCCCACTCTACCCCTCAATGGAAGTCATCTGCGGAATTCAGCTGGCCAATTTCTCCAGGTTTCCTTTAGAGAATAGAATGTGTTTTGGGTTTTGAAAGTATTGTTTTTAAGGTTTTGCTAGCTTCCCAGCACAGAAAGAAATTAGGAGAAAGTCTGTGAATTGGGCGAGAGGAGTGGGCAAGGAGGTATGAGAGGCAGGCGGTCTGAATTCGGGGCACCAGGTTGAAAGTGTGAGCATCTCTCTTGGGGCGAGATGCCCTGAGAAGGGAGGGTGGCGGGCCATGAAGCCAGGCCAGGATAGGCTGTTTCCGTTTCAATGGCTGGCTGAATGAGAACAATCTCCTAGCCTCCCTCCTCGTTTTGGAACCCCCCAAGAGGAGTTCCCGGGATGGATGTGAGGCCTTAAGCGTCAGGGAGGAGGCACTCTGACACTATCTCCATCAGAGGCTGCCCCACCTCCTTCTTTATTCTTATTTTTATTTATTTTTTTTTTTTTGAGATGGAGTCATGCTCTGTTGCCCAGGCTGGAGTGCAATTGTGCCATCTCAGCTCACTGCAACCTCCACCTCTCGGGTTCAAGCGATTCTCCTGCCTCAGCCTCCCAAGTAGCTGGGATTACAGGCGCACGAAACCACGCCCGGCTAATTTTTGTATTTTTAGTAAAGACAGGGTTTCACCATGTTGGTCAGGCTGGTCTCGAACTCCTGACCTCAGGTGATCCACTTGCCCCGGCCTCCCAAAGAGCTGGGATAACAGGCGTGAGCCACCGCGCCTGGCCCCACCTCCTTCTTTAAATAAACTAAGGACAAAATAAGGCTCCAGGAAGGCAGCTGCCGGGGTTCAGCGTTGGTTCCCCTCTCCCAGGAGCCTGCCTCCTTATTCCTACCCACGTCCTACCCGCCTACTCCCTAATATCGGGTGACATCAAAGCCATGGCTTCTCTGTCACAAACTGTTGACAAATGAAAAAAGCCTGGGAGACTCGCAGGCTCCCACTGGCGACCTTAGGGTATTCTAAGGCGACTTCTCTGTGGGTGGTCAGGTAAGAAGAAAGTGGGGGTGGGGAACTTCTAAATAGGTAATGGTGGCGAGGTACCCAGGGTGTCCCTGGGTACCGAGGAACCTCTCGGTCAGGAGGAGGCCAAGCCAGACGTCCAGCTCAGGGGCACTTGGCCATGCTGAGGACTGCGCACCTGGGCCACGTGGTCCGTGGGACACCCTGGAGCTCGGGATCCCTTTGCAAGGGTTGGGGAGAGATAATGAAACCCGCATTTGCGCGCTCCCCAACCCGGGCCATCTGATTAGTCATCTGAGTTAGCCCTTCACGTGCACACGTGGGACAGAAAAACTCCAACAGATCTTCATGTTTCAGTTCCAGGTTTATGAAAATAATAATAGGATGGGTTTGGCTAATTAGGAAAATGGTTTGAACCAGTTACATCACCAGCCCAGTGAAAAGCCGCCGGGATGCCGGCTGACGTGACCTTGGTATCAGTCTTCTATTTCACTTATCCCTTGTGTTGCTCTCGGTCAGGCCCCCCTCCAATTAAAAAAGAAGAAGAAGAAAAAGGACAAGTGCAAATAGGCGCCTCTCGTTTTGAGGAACGCGCCTGAGCAGCACGTGTGTACGCAGCCCCAGAGGCCCAGAACTTTCTCCCGCAACCGCGCCCCGGACCGCAGTAATCCCGGCGGGGCAGGGCCGGGGAGCTGGGGACGGGGTGGTCTTTAGGGTGGCGGCTTCCCCCGACCCCGGACCCGGGAACCGGCCGCCGGCGCGGGGCGCGATCTGCACTGCCGGTCCCACAGGAGTTAAACCCCGAGGCAGACAAAAGGGAGGCCGCCGCGGCTCCTTTGCTCGGCTGTCAGTTGAAAAGAGAACCGCCGCCCTCTGGACTTCAACTCCCGACGGAAAAGGCATTTTATTATGGGTTATGACAAGTTGCAGAGAGACGCGGACAACTCAGTAAGAAGGAGCGGCGAGCGGAATCAAAAATGCTCGAGATGTTTGCAAGACAGAGCGAACACGGCTTCAAATGACAGGTGTTAGCAGGACTCCAGACGGGATCTGCGGGATCGGCCGGGTGGGAGCCGCACCGCACGGCGCCGGGTCGGGGAGAGAACCCGGCCTGGGGAGGCCGCGGGGTGCCCCCGCCGCGCCGCCCACCAGCCCCGCGCGGCCCGGAGCCGACCCCGCCTCCTCTTCCGAAAGTCCTAAGTCAGGACAGCGGCAGATCGTCCCAGAAAATCAGCGCCAACTCCCTCTGCTCAAATTTGCTACTTTGTGTTTTAGTTCCAGGCGGGAAGTCTACACTGCGCTCCCTCCCAGCCTCCGGGTCTTTCCGGATCAATATGAGAATGGGATTGCATGTACTCTAGGTCTTGCCTCCTGCGCTCTTCCATTAGAGGATTTTTTTATTTTTAGTTTTTAAATTTTATTTTTTACTAGTTTTGGTTTTTCTCCGAATGTCCCTCCTCTCATCTAAAAAATGAAATCCCGCCAAAGACTTATATTTTCTGCCTTGTGGGAGAAGCTTCTCTTGGGATTTCTGCTAAGTCAGTGCAATAGTCTTAACCGTTTTCCGCCCAGGGTCCCTCTGACCCAGCTGATCTTGCAGGGTGGGGAACACATCCTCTTCCCCGGCACCTTTTCAAATGCTTTCATCACCCCATCCGCAGTGGAAAATAGTTCTGTCTGCGTGAGTGCCTAGACTTGCAGAGCCTTGCCCTGCCCTGAGCTCAAGAGAGGTGAAGAACCCCCAAAAGAACACAGAGCAGCATCCCAACTGGCAGCGGGGCTTGCAGGATCCAGGTCGGCCTGAGGATGGCAACTTAGTGAGGGGAGGGAGGGCAATTATCCGGAGAAATGCAGGAGGAAGGGGGTGTGGAAGCAATCTTGTATTCCCAAAGGGGTGATGCGTGTATCCCAATTCCCTTCCATCGCCCTAATCTAGAGAAGACATGGTTAGGAGTTTCACAAACAAACTTCCTTACAAAGTTCGTTTTCTTGAAAGATTTGAGCTCAATCAAAGCCAGAAACTTCTGCCAGTTACATAGCACATTATGGCAAAGTGCTTGAAAATAAACTGCATGTTCTCTTTCCTCCCCACCTTAAAAAATTTATGCAAATAAAGTGTGAACAACCTTGTCTAACTCTACCATTGAAGAGGGAGAAAGAGTGGATACATTGCAAATACCTAGCTAGTGTTCATCAGGAATTCGCTGAAGGAGGACTGGGTGTTGCCCGAGTTTGAAAAATTGCTCAAGCACTTGCCTGCTGGTTTAATCGGTTTAAAGGTAACAATCAGGAAAAGTTTTAAACAGCTGTTTCAAATAGGCTGTTTCTTGGAGTGGTGATCTTGGACGCACTTCAGCCCCTCCTCCAACTGTGCTACAGACCAGAATCACTACAAATTTGTTTTCCCAACCCTGACCCAATCTTTTACTATGAATTTCTTTCAGAACTATTTATTCTCTTCCTGTCAAAGTGTGCCTGATTTTTATAAACCTTAATTATTTGCTCTCCCTCTGGAACTCTCCGTGACACCTCCCCCCAGCAACTTATATCAGACATATAAACAGACCTCCAGCTCGAATTTGTGGCAGGAGCTGGAGAAGGTTGATATTAAAACAACTGAGCCCGAAAAGCAAGCCCTTATCATCCTGAGCAGAGCAACTGCTGCAAAAACTTAGCTTAAATTTAAAAGCCATGAAGCTGAGTGGAAAAGCCCCCCAGAAAAAAAAAAAAAACAGAAAAGATATTTTATAGCATTGTAGTCACAGAATGAATGGAATGAGAGATACTATTTATTTTTCTGTCATGTGCCACTAGTGATAATTATACTTGAAGATAAAACTATATTTCCCGAACGACTGATTTGTGTTATTTTGTTTTAACGTTCTTCAGAACTAAAGAAAAAGAGAGGAGAAAAGGAAAATAGTTGTTCTTCAAATGGCTATCCATGGGCCAGTAATCAGGAAGCAGGTTTGCAAAACTATAGGATTTTTTTTTCATTAAATAAGTAACACATGGAAAGGTTTTAATTCTCACGATAGAACACCTTCATCTAATATTTTGCTCTTGAAGAGATGGGGAGGGAGAAATTGTAAACGAAATCACCTCCCTGGGCTTGATCTGTGTAAATTGGGATCCTTAAAATTCTGGTGGGACAACCTGAGCAATAGTGAAATGCAAACTGGATGGAGCAAAATGCTCCTTTCTACATTTGGGCAAAATCTGAACAGGTAAGACTCAGTCTTTATTTCTCTTTGTCTTCTGTCTTCCTTTCTGGAATCTGATTATATATCAATTCATACTCCAAAATCAAGCTCAAATATGCTTAAAACTTCCTTGGTTTCACATGTTCTTGTCTTGTCTATGCATACCGTGTCTCTCCCCCTCCCTGGAAACAGCAAATTATTGAAAGTAAAAGAAAAAAAAAAACAAAACTCCAACAACCCAAAAAAAAAAAAAAAAAAAAACCACCCACACATCTCAAACTTGCCCCCACACCCTCGCAAAAAGAAAGAGAATAGAGAGATTTAAGTCAGAGGAATGTGAAACTGTCACCAGCAATGCTGCCAAAAAAAAAAAAAAAGCAGTTGTAAAAAGAAGAAAGGTCATCTATAAGAAAGTAAAAATAAGAGCCATTGTCTGTGGGTGAAGCTGCCCTAGCAACTTACATATTGTGGCAAAAAAATATGAACAGAATTGTCACTTGGTAATGTATAAGAATGAAGATACTGGTAAGGAGGAAAGAGGACAAATTTGTAAGGTGGGGAGCTTCAAAATAGGAAAAGTTCCCAGGAATATTTTTCGCACCCCCATCTTTGCAAATCTTCCTGGCATCTTGGAGGAGTGCTGGAACTGCAAAGTGAGGCAGAGAGGACCAGGCACTCTGAGGAAGGTTTGGGCTGCTTTCGCCCCTTTGTAAGAAGAGTGGGGGCATCTCTTTTTACAGTTTTCCTCCCTTCTGAGGCTTAGAATAATAAAGTCAAGTGGCCGCCCATCAGCCCCTGTCCATCTTCTTTACCAAACTTGACATAGTGGAAGAAATATGACACGTGAATTATTAAAGAGGAGCTAGTTGACTTTTAACCCTGGTTGCTTTTCTCAGACCCCATTACCTGCAAATTTATCTGGCAATACACTGCAAGAATTACAGGGCATGCAGGGTAGGAAGAAGAGAGTAGAAAGCAGAGTGAGGGCTTTGTGAAAATATCAGGGAAAGGCAGGATGCTTTACCTTACCATTTGCACTACTCAAGGGGATGAGTAATATGTTATAGAAAACAAACCACTCCTCTAAAGAAGGAGGTTGGTTTCTCTGTCCAGGAAGAAAGCAGAGACGGAATTCAAAGCACATTCAACACCACCCCTGCATCTCTCTGATTCTCACTTCCTTCAGGCAGAACTTCTCAGTGTCTTAATTTTTTAAAATCTTTAACTTGATTTAAATTAATTCTTAACTTTATGAACAAAGGTAATATAATAAGCTCTTCTCCTCTTCCTCCCCTTCCTTTTTAATACCATTCTTGTTTTCACTCAGTTGCAAACACTTCTCAAAAGGGAAAAAAAACCCCATAAAGACAGCACACAGACCCTTTGTAAGTTAGAGTCTTCCAAAACTTTAGAAAACATACACAGACTACTTAATTTGGGCCATTGGTAAGATTATAAAAATCAGCAATAATCATTCAGGCATTCAGACAAACATTTGTGCTAATTAAGCAGCCATTATCCTGTGGGGTTGAGTAACTGGGCAGATGTTTTCAGAATAAAATAGGAAAAAAGCTATTGAACCCTTAGGGATTTTTTCTTTAAAATGAACAAGAGGAGAAGTGCAGTAAAAAAAAAAATACTATTATTATTACTTAGTCATTTGGGCATAGATTTGTATATCCTGTTGCCAAGGTGAAGGTAATAATTGAATCTATCCAAAATCTGAGTGATAGCGTAGTAAGAAATGACTCCATCTGACAGAAGAGCCAGGAGGCAAGTGATGGATACTATTGTCCAAACGTGACCCTCCATTAACACCACCTATCAGCATCTGGATCCTGTCACTGTTTCCCATCCCAGAGCCAAGAGGGCTGCCTGGCATATTCCAAGCGTGCTTCCCTTCCAGGGGCTTCGATGCTGCGCTCAACCCCGCGTCAACTAAATGGGTGGGAAGCCTGACCTAAACCCTGCTCTCTCTATCTCCACTCTCCTTATTACCCCTCTCCAGGCCCATTGTTTGGTAGGTGCTGGCAATTTGCTCCTTATCGCGCCTGTGTTTATGATAGCTTTTTATTAATAACAAAGAGAGAAATGGTATTAATATTAATTAACACAATAAAATGAAACTGTTTTGGGAATCCACCAAATGAATAATCTCATCGTCTAATTGGAGCTGGAGAGAAAAGGGAGGAGGAGGGGAGGAAAGGGGAGGGGGAAGGGGGAGATACAGATGACCTACTGGGTGACAGGCACAGGTTGGAAGGGTGACATTTTATTGTAAGCCTCCCAATGAAAGGAAGAAAAGGAAGGGACCAGTCAATTTAATGCAGGGACCAAGAGTGCAAGAGTGTTGCTAAGAGACAGAGATGCTGGTAAAGTTCTATCAGAAGCACTACTCTGACCTTATGCAAATAGAGGCGGCCAACTCTTTGTGGAACGGCTGAAAATTCCACCCCCTGTGTCACCAATACCTGGCATCGAGCCTTTTATTCAAATGCTCTCTAAAAACACACACAGAGGATGTGACAAAGCATGACACATTTAGGGGCTTCAATGAAAAAAAAATGCAAAGAAAATGGGGGGGTGTGATAATAATAATAGTAATATTTTTTAAAACCCAGAAAAAAAATCTACACCAGATCTTCCTATGGAAATGTCACCCATCTTTACCTTCTGGCACTGTCATTTTCCTTTAGCAGGAAAGTAACCTAAAGATTCAGAAATTGCCCTCTCAATGCGGAAATAGAAGCTTATTAAGACACCACAGTGGTGCTCAAAGTACTGTCATTAATTTACACCCTGAGGAGTGTGAGGAGGGGATGGTGTGAGGGTGGGTGGACAGGCGATGTGAAAGCTTGGTGCAGACTAGAGAAATTACAGCATATCCTACCCCCAAACAAAATGCGTGCGCTTTCCCTCTATTTTATCTACCCACTCTAGGGCAAGGTTACCTGCAAAAAGCCAGAGGCATGGGAACTAGTTGGCTCTCCCAGGAAGATGAATGTCCTTACAGGTAAAGTGGGAAGGCCCAATGCATCTCAGAGAGCCAGTGGCAATCGGACATCTGCTGTGGAATGGCTCCAGGCTGGCTTCCAACTGGACTAGGAGGTGGGCATGCCCATGGACGCGCCTGCCAGCTCTAGCAGAGGATGATGCCCGGCTGCCCCTCTGTGCCACAAAGTGCGTTTGGAGCTGGAAGTTGCCAAGCGCCTGACCTTGTGGCTTCACTGTACAGTCCTTGAAAGGACGGAGAGAGAAATTTAACTCCACCTCGGTTTGCCAACCTCTGGGCCACTTTAGGCAGCAAGGCTTTGGGCTTGGGCTTTGTGGACAAACACTTCTAAGTGTCCAGGCCACATTCTCTCTCTGTCCTTCCTCCCCTTTTCAATCCAAGTGAGCGTTAGTCCCTCCGCAGGATTGCACATCACATGGAAAATCCTACCCCTGGAAACACCACCTGACCTTAGGGTGCCAGTCCTGAAAAGTTGAACACCAAAGAGGGAGAAATTGATGATTCACAGTTCTTGGCAGAATTTGTTCCCTGGGGTCACCTTCAGGACTGGAGCTTTGGGAACTTCTGGGGCCCAAGGCTGGAGGTGGGTGGAGGTCTGGAAGGAGAGGGATGCCGAGGGAAGAGGGCAGGGGCTTTACCACTGCCACGCATCTGCCTGTCCCGGCAGCCCTCCAGCCTCCACTGCAGCCACATCCCAACACAACCTGTATACTTCTGCTTGTTCACTAGTAAAGTGGAAAAACGGAAACATCTATACATGTGGGCAAAGCGTCTCACACACCCAGAACTTCGCAAACTCAATTTAGTCAGCCTGCTTTTTACACTCTTGATTTCCTCACTTGCTTTTGATTTCAATATTGATAAAATACCTACTGTCTCACATCTTTATGGTAATAGTTGCAGAATACATTCAGCTGCTTGCGGGGAGTTTTGAGTGTTCAGTCGTGGGTAACTTCCCAGGGCCACTTCTCCCTAGGACCCTCCCCCGCCCCTCTTAATGGTGGGACTTTTCATAATGTGCACAATACTATTAAAATTTCATATTAGCAGTGTGTATGGTGAACTTTGTAATGGGAAATTCAATAGCTGCTGTAAATATTAATGGAATATGAAATGAAGCCACAGCCTCGACCAGCCCTGACAGTAAAACGGAGTGAGCATGTGGCGGCCCCGGGGCAAGAGGGGCCTTTCCTCTTGTCGCTCTCGCTTTATTACATTAGCGCGGGCTTCCCCGCGCCGGCGTGGGCTCAGAAGCCGAGGCGCCGGGTCACCCATGACAAATGTCCCCGTGTCTCGCCAACAGGCCCCGCCTGGCCCTGCCACTCCATCTGCCCAACAGGACCCCGGAGAGTGCTTGCGGGTGTCAGTTTCAGGTAAAGAGCTCTCGAAAGCGCAAAGTCTCCAAAAAGGTTACAAGGGTTCCAGCGCCTCCCCAAGTCACGGAAGCCTGGGCCGCCGCTGCAGCAGGAAGGGTTCGTACCCGGGGGGAGGGGACCACCCCAAGCGCGTGTGTTAACGAACCCCAAGCGAATTTCGGGGCTTGAAAGCGCTACCGGGGCAGCCAGATTACTACCTCCCACTCTCACCTCCATCCCTCCCCGCCCCTTGCCCGTCCCACGGGCCTCAGATTTGGGCGTAGGGCTGGGTAGGGCGCCTGGGAGGAGCCAGAGGGGGCGGATCAGGCCGGGATTTGGCGCCAGGTACCCCCACCCGCCCGCGTCCCGGGGTCGCCAGCTGACTCCATGTGAGCCCACTTGGCACCGGCCCCCCGAGGGATCCTGCGACGCGAGGGGTGCCCATTTGCAGTGATCCGCGGACTCTCGAACCCTAAACCCCGGGGCCCAGCTCTGCCCCGGCGTGGATCTTCGGGAAACCGGAGCGGAGGCTCGTGGAGACCTGGGAGGAGCTGCGCTGACTGGGGCAGGGGACGCCCAGATTGGATCGGTTCCGAGCTCTCGTCGCCCCCGAGGAGGGCACGACGCGCTGACAAACGTGGCCGTCAACACCTCGAGCTGCCCCGGCGAGTTATTTCAACAGACTGGGAGAGAGCCGTACTATTTGAGTGGCAGGCGACGCCTTTCCCCACTCTCGGTATTTATGTTGCACCGACGGCACTTAGGAGAGCTTAGTTTTAGATGCGGCATTAATCTTCACTTGTTAAGAGATAGTCTGTCAGCCTTTACCAGGCTCTCCCACTCCCGACGTGCAAGGCCCTCCCCCAGCGCGCGGCCACCCCCAAGCTGGTCCTCGCAAAGGCGCGCGGAGCCGCACTGCCGAGGAGAGGAGCCCGGGGTTAAACTGGGGCAAGGCGAGCGAGCCGCGGACGCCAGGCGCGAGCGCAAGGTTAAAGTCAAAAGCTCTGCCTGGGCCAGCACTCAAGACGGTCCTGGCACCAACGCCTTTCATTTTTGCCTGTTTGCAAGCGGGGAAAGTGGAGTCCTCAATCATAGCGAGGAGCTTTTCTTAAGCCACAAAGCACACGGGCGCAAACATCCTCGCTGCTAACTCAGGGCAATTGTCTTCCTATTTTCTCGTTCCTGACCCCCAAGTTTCACCGGTGGGAAGTCATCGAAGATCTCCCTTTTACCACCAGCTCTACGGGGTCGCTTTTCTCTTAAGCGCCCTGTGAGGGTCCTCCCTTTTAAATTATTTCCTGCCCAGTTATTTTTCCCCCAATTAATCCAGAATAGTTTTCTCATCTGCTCCAGATGCACGCAAACTGCAGAGCTGAAATGAACTGAACTAAGAGCGGAATTGAAATACACCAGGGGTTTCCCTGCAGGAATTGTTCCAACGAGGTATCCACGGGTTTCAAGATCCGTTGAAATGCTTCAGGTGTGGTTTGCATTCTCACCGACCCTCGGGCCAGTTCCCTCGCCCCCAACCGCCGTTATTTGTTCCCCCCACCTACTTCAATAGTTGCGCCTCACCCTTCCTTGGCGCCATTAAATCAGCACCCCGCACCCCCGCCAGTTTTGCAACTTCTTTTCCTTGCCCTTTAAAAGAGTTACACTTTCTAAGAAGACTTAAAAAAAAAAAAAAAAGGACAAGAAATGGATATAGGTTTTGTAAGTGTTAAATAACTTTCTCAGCGTGTATTAAAGGAAGATTGTATTTTATCAACTGCTGATTGATGCAGCCGTGTGATCCTGTCGGTTTGTCTATGGTATCATATTTATTTAACCTGCTGGGGGACTGTGTTCAGGGGCAGCCTGTTCACGCTGACAAGAGCATGCACATTACACACTACCCCAGGTATTTTGATTGATTGTTCCCACCCCAAAGCCTTTGGTTCATAATTTAGCACAGCGGGTTCTGCATCACAGACTAGGTTAAAAAAAAAATCCTGTAAGAGATTTCAATGAACAACTACTGCCAAGAAACCTTTCTCCACCTGCAACCCCCAAATATTTTAAATGCCCCTGGAGATAGCTCAGTCTGTATAATTAATAATTACAGGGCACACAACCTTTATTTACCCTAGTTTCCAGAAGTGTGATCAGATGATTCATTCTAAATCTATGGCTGGAGCAACATTTCCTTAACTGGGAGAGGGGGGTGGTGGGGACAATATCAAATAGGGTGGGCTTCTCTTTTCTTCTCTTTCACTCTCTTTCAATAGCAGGCTTGGGGTGTGGAAGCAGTAGAAAGGCTGACAAAATGATTCTTTTTTACAGACTCTCTCCTGAGGTTGCCTTGGGATTTAGTTCATAAATTCCTTTGGCAGCAAACTGGGTTTATACTACCCCTACACACTCCCAACCCCATGGTGAGGAAAGTTTTTTTTTTTCCAGGTGACAAGCTGTTCAGTGTGTAAAATAAACTTTCATAATATTTGTGTCTTTTCAAATAAATAATCCCAATGGTCTGGGCATATCCTAGCAGTTCTGAAAGTTGTGACCTGAAATTAGCATGACTTAGTGCAGAAACAATGAATAATTACTTCCTGTGAGATTTCTAAAAGGTGGGAACCATCTCCTTGACAGTTTTCTTCCTTTCTTTTTTTTTTTTTTGTTAACACCAACAGAGCACATGTTTATGTACCAACTAATGTGTGTTTTAAACATTTATTTGCTATGATAAAATTGGGACACATTTTTCTTTGCATCATCTTGGATTGCTATTATTCTGGCTAGCAATATTTTTTTTCTATGAGTGCAAAAGTGAAGTTTCAAGCTTGTGCTGATTTCCAGTGACAGAGATGCTATTTATTGTGCTTGGTGTTTTTACATTTGTTTTTTAGAGACTCCTGAAGTCTAAAAAGGCAATCTTAGCACCAGTATGTATCTCTTTGCCCATTAGAGTCTTATTTTGTCATTCTAGGTCAGATGGGAAAGACATTACCAAGGTGGTTAATTGCATGTGTGTATAATGTTGCACTGGAGGGTGGAGATTCACAGCATTTAAAAAAAGATGTTAAGTACATAATTGCTCCCCAAATAAGCCAACACATCTAAAACAGCTCTTTTTTTTTTTTTTTTTTTTGTCTTCAGCTTTTAGGTTAACATTGGGAGACGATGGCAACATTGATCTCATTAAAACTTTCTTCTTCATTCTCGAACATTATCATTCACCAAAGCGTATCTTTTGGCTTGATTGTGTACCTGAAAATGATGATAAACACATCAACCAAATGTGATGCACACTTCTCATTCCAGTTAACATCTTCTTTTATCAAATGTCCCTTATTTGTGCTGGCACTGAAGCCTTTCTCTTACTGTCTCCTGTTTAGGGGAAGTTTGGGAGATTCTGATGGTATGCCTTCTTTGCTGATAATATCATGTACAGCAACTCTTTTTATCCCTAGATGTTGCTATTTATCCTCAGATGGTGTTCGGTGACAAAGCTCAAAATATTACAAAACTCTGAAAGATGTACTTTTCTGCTGAGAAACCAGCCATTAATCAAAAGCAAGTACAGATACAATATTCAGAGAGAAAGAGAAAGGGTAGGCTGGCAAGGATAATATTTACCCGTAACTCAATGGCAGCCAGGGATACTAAGGCAGACCAAGCAAGGTGAAAGGCCAATTTGTGATGTACAAAATCTACACATTTTAATCACAGAAGTTTTGAGGTACCACATGAATCTATTTGTGATCATTTTCCAAAAAAATTAGAAATCATTGGTTTGCATTGAAAATCAATCTTTTAAAGCCGTCAACTATAAGATTTATTTAATAGAATATTATGTACATTACCCATAATAAAGCAGAAAACAATTTCCTATGTTGTCTCCTGGAGAGTCAAATTGATTTAGTGGGGCTCTACTTATTTTCAAGGAAACACTTTGACCATATTTAATACATGCTCACACACAGAAACACATACAATGAACTTCTTTGAAGTTTAGTCACTTCCTGGCTGTGTGTCTCTGGGCAAGTTACTTAATTTCTCTGTTCTTCAGTTTTCTCAACTTGTAAAATAATAATATTACCTACAGCAGGGGTTGCTGTCAAGATTAAGTGAGTTAACTCACGTGAAGCTCTTAAAGTGTGCCTGGTGTGTGGCAATTTCTAGATATACATCAGCTGTTACTGATGGCCTACAGTAGGAATTAATGTCTTGCTAATGTTATTATCAACAACAGTGTTTTTGTTCTGATCATGTAGAATGTTGTGACCAGACTTCAAAATGTAAACTTGAAATTTGAAGTGTTTCTATTAAGACCTTGTTCAAATATCTGCAGATTTGCTCAAATCTGCACTAAGCTGAAGCATCAGAATTACAAAATTGCCCCAAAGGGGCAAAGTGATCACTCTCTTTCTTCCTGGCTCCCTGAGCCTCGGATAAACCACATAGCCTTCTACGCAAATGCCAAGCTAAAATGCGGCTCTGAGGAGTGGTGAGAATGCCGTGAAAATGTCTATACACCAAATCACAAGAAAAAGCTACCAAGAGACCCTAAAGAGAAACCACAGTGTGACTTGCCATCCAGTCACTTTATTTGGTAAGGATGTCAGCATGCTCTTTCTTCATTTTTGCTTTATGCTAAGTACCTAATTCCTTTGTAGCATATCTTTTAACATCCTCTGAGTTTTAGGATGTGTGTTTTATATGTGCCAGGCACTGTCTTTTATTAGGTTGTCCAAGTTTAAATTTATTTTGAATGGAAAGACATATGTCCTGATAATATGTTAGAATATTGATTTAAACTAGGATCTTGATGTAAAAATTAATGGAATGAAATAATAAAATCTTTCAGGGTTTGATCCCCACCCCTCACGTTGGCTTTTGTAATGAAGACAAAACCAGTTTCGACTGGGTATCACATTACCTCAACTATGGGGTATCTTTCTCTCTGGTTTTGAGCTGCTCTGGCTCTTTAGATAGTAACTTGAGACCACAGCTGAAGTGAAACCGGGGTGTTGGAAAGGCAGCTAACAGCACCCTCCCTTTCTCTCCAGGTCACCCTTCATGGATATAAAATATGACTCAATTTTGTTACATTAGATCACAGAACCTCAGGCATGCATAGTTTTCATTTTATGTAACTCCCCAAACTAACTCACACAAACAAGTCCGGATGGGAGCCGGTGTTTTCGGACACGTGTTCATGCTAACTTTGCCACTTGGAACCACACCCCCTCCTCTCTACATCGGCATTCCACATCCTACTCACATGTTTCCCTTTCAACATGTTCAGTGTTGTAAGACAGTCTGTTTCTACTTGGTGCGCATACCAAAAATTTGTGTTCTAAGAAGGTGGTGTTTGTGTGAGGTTTAGATGTTTCCTAAATGTCATCTGTCTTGCTCTATTTCATATACAAAGTGAATTTTAGCTGTTTAAACTCAGCTTCAGTAGTAGCTGTTTTCTTACTCTTAATTCATCCTTTCAAATAAAGGTAAAGGTAACTTTAGTGAAATACACATAACTTCCTATTGTGTCTTTTCATGGTTGCTCCATGGGCCTGAAATAAATCTTTGACTTTCTCATATTTGGGCTGATAATCTCTTCAAACTTGCGCAAAAGACCCTAAACAAATATATTAGAATATTTTTGGACAGGAAAATAAACCATGGTGATATGTTGGTTTCTGTATGTGAAGGCTGAGATTTAAGAAAATATGGTTTTCCTTTAAGTCACATATAAAATTTTTTAAAACATTGTTCCTTTTGAGGTTTAGCAAATAGTTAAACTAGTTTACACAGTTCTCTTTTTTCTTCCTTTTAAACACGGCACTTAAGCAAGCAGACACTTTAACGTGCCTCGCTATTAGACAGCTTTTCTTCATTGCCTTTTCATAGCATGGCTATCGAAAATAAGATAACGCCCAAAGATCTGGGACCTAATCAGCTTTCTAGCTGGGTTTAAAGAGTCTAGAGGCTGTTTAAAGGTAGCTCTAGTTATGTGTGCGGGCCCACTGCAGTGTTTGCTCTGCCACATTTTGATGGAGAGGGTAATGTGTTTGCTAGATAAGGCGAAAGGGACCAGCCAAAAAAGCAAGGCTCTGTTTGATAAACCCTGACATATTTAGCCATTTTTCACACACATGAAAGGAAGCTTTAAAACTCCAAGGAAAATAGAGGTGTCCATTCAAGCACACTAATGTTTATCAAGACAAAAAGGGTAAATAAAGAAAATTGGCATCTTGTAGTCTATTAAATTAATTAGCTCTAGAGCTTATCATGAAATTGAAAAGCTGGATAAAATACAAGTTTACTTCTTGTTGTTGTTACTTAATATGAAAGGTAAGTTCTTTAAGTCAATGTACATTGAAAAGACAGTTATTTTGTGTGGCTTGTCTTGCCCTGGTGGAAGATTTGAGCCCTATATAAAAGAGCTCATGAATCGAAGTTAAACTTTTATAAGCCTGATTGGCCTGGACTTGGGATGAGATCTTTATTTGAAATTAGTGTTAAAATACATGGTGACATTCTTTGTAAAGTGACCTATAGCCTGAAAACAGATTGATAAAACCAGAATACAAACTATGCCACTTGGAATATACTTACAATTAGAGGTCAGAATGTTTTAAAAGTCCAGTTAAAATAAGTTCATACAGAAAGATATTTTAAAACAAAACAGCTTTACAATCCAGAATCATTTTTTTTAAATGCTGGGGGTGAATTCTTTATTGGTTTATAATAATTCTCCTTTTCTAGAAAAAGTAAAGAAGAAAACATCTGAAGGTTACACAAAATACAGCCTTCTTTCAAAAATAAGAATTTAAATGATGTAAGTGTAAAGATAATTTGGGTTTCGACTTTCACACTATGATGATTTTAAGTTAATTTAGAGAGAAATATCAACTCTAAATCAACATTTAAAATTTTAAATTTAGTAAAATTTTCTGTTTTTTTTTTTTCCTTAGGAAAGATACTTTTCCGGTCTTTTTTTCCCCTTAAATCAAAAGTGTTTGATAAACTGAAGAAGTTGTGTCAAATGATTAGTTCATCTATAGAACATTTTAAAATATAATCACTTGAACCTCTAGAAATGTGTTTCATCTATATATTAATCATTTTAAACATTTTTTATGCCTTGGTATTAATAATTTATATGAGTGTAGATTTTTAGATGAATTTAATGTCAACTAGAGATTAGTGTGCATTAATTAAATTGACTGTATCTCCTTTAATGAGAAAAAAGGATTTAGTTTTAATACTGATGATCTTAATGAAGCTTTTCTCTACTTACCTGTATTTTCTCAACATCAGAAATTATTTTTATTAAAAGGTGAACTAATTTAATAATGGCAGGGTGACAAAACATGAAATAAATCAAATGGTTGCAAAGTGACATTGTTTTTGTTATTGAGGTTGAATCATCAAATCACATAACTTTCAATTAAAAAGAAATCAATTCATATCAGCTATTTAAAAATAAAAACATAAGTTGAACTTCACGTTCAATTTTCATTTGAGCATTATATAAAATGGCTAACTGTTTGATAGAATTTAAAACAGTACCTCGGATAGAACATGTTCAACACACTTGAATCCATCCTCTAAACAGTGTAAAAGTCACCTCTTATAAATGCATTTTCAGTAAAAATCATTGTCCCAAAAGGTGTGTTATCATAACATAAAATCCTTCGAAAAATTTGTGAAGTTTGTGAAATTAATCACTATATTGACAAAGAGGCACAAAACCCCAAGCAGGGGAGTGCATAAGGTTTTATGACATCTCCTCTCCCTGTAGATGATTACATGTTAAAAGAAGATGAACGTTAGTTGAGCACTCTAGACCACCCTGTAGTTGTTATAATTTATTTGGGGGAGCATTCATTGGAATTATAGGTTACTGCTCCTTTTAAAATTATTTATTTATTTACTTAGTATTTTAAAATGGACAATGGAGGAGAAAAACAGGAGAACAGGGCCTGGCAAAAACCAAATTAAACCAAAACCAAAGCAAACAAACAAATCCCAGGCTTGTTTCCCTCCGACCCTCTCCTTTTTTCTTCACATTCCGCATACAGTGCATCCTTTACCAGTTAAAACTCACGTTTAGTGTCTGCCATCCAGCCTCTCATGAAGGCTTCTCACGAATGAATACTTAGTTATTCTTCGTTGATTCTGTCAGGGCTCTCATCTCATGTTTAAGGGCCTAGAAACTCATCTCCCGGCACCCCACACTTACAGGTGGGTGCATGTGATGGATCAAGCCCTGGTCCTCAGCAAGCTGTTGCAGACAGCTTGCAAGGTTTCCCTTCCAGCTGGTTCGATATGAGGTTAGGTCTAAAACGAATTATGCTAAGACTTGTTTATTAACCTTAACCTGGAAAGATGGTATTCTAGACCAGGAAGCTTCCACTTTAAAAAAGTGCGATGCCCATTGTTTCAGCACTGTTCACAATAGCCACAATTTGGAAGCAACCTAAGTGTCCATCGGCAGATGAATGGATAAAGAAAATGTGGTACATATACACAATGGAGTACTATTCAGCCATAAAAAGGAATGACATCGTGTCATTTGCAATGACATGGATGGAAGTGGAGATCATTATGTTAAGTGAAATAAACCAGACACAGAAAGACCAACATCGAATGTTCTCACATATTTGTGGGATCTAAAAATCAAAACAATTGAACTCATGAACATAGAGAGTAGAATGATGGTTAACAGAGGGTGGAAAGGGTAGTGGGAGGCTGAGAGGAGGTGGGAATGGCTAATGGGCACCAAAAAAATAGAAAGCATGAATAAGACATTTGGTCCCATGACTGGGTGACTATAGTCAGCAATAATTTCATTGTACATTTTAAAATAACTAAAACAGTGTAATTGGATTGTTTGTAACACAAAGGATGAATGCTTGAGGGCATGGATACCCCATTCTCCATGAAGTGATTATTTTGCATTGCATGCCTGTATCAAAACATCTCATGTACCCCACAAATATCTACACTTATGATGTACCCACAAAAATTAAAAATACAATTTTTTTTTTTAAATGTAGTGCCCAGATCCAGGCACCAAAAGGTGCCAGGCCAACATAGTTTTACTAGCATAATTGCCTCAGTCCCAGTTCCGGCTTTGGCAGTTAAAGAATGGGTAATAAAATCCACTTCTCTAGCTTGTTAAGAATATGACAGAAGAGATCCAAAATCCCTAATGCTATGCCTGTCGGAGAACAAGGTTTCCATAGAGGATGAATCTCATTATTATCTCTTGAGGTTGGTGACCACAGTGGATCTTAGTGCAGAAACCAAATCACTTATAGAACAGTTGAGAGACAACTGGGTCGAGACAGGCAAAATGCAATGGATTTCAAAGGGAAGTAGGTAGAAGACAGGTATTGCAGGCAGTAGATTTTAGCTCAATATAAGGAAGTATTTACAATTCAACCAGCTTGAAAACACTTTTTAAAATGATCATGCCATCTGTCAGGGTGGCAGGGAGGATAATTGGATTATGTCACAGTTGCCCAAATCATTGTTTTCCAAACCTGGTGGCATAAAATGGAATCACCTGGGCAACTTTTAAATATCTACATTACGGATGCCTGAGAAATGTCTTCTTTTGCAGACACATACATGCCATTTACAAGTGTAATTTCTGGTATTTGTTAGAAATGAGACACCTTGACTATGTAATGCTAAAATAAGATCCAGTCACTGTGAGAGCAAAATTGTTTGCTTGTGTTTTTGATTGGCCCCTGTGAAACTCACCAAATCTCACTGTGCCTCCTTTATCCCAATAACATTCTGTCGTGGAGGAATGAAAATGAACATCAAGGTTAGTGACAAGGGATAAGGATGCAGAACTATAGTATAGAAGATATCACAAAATTAGCATTCTGGTCCAAATTATTTTTCTTTTTAACAAACGATTTTGCAATAATAGCTATGATTTCTGTAATACATTATTTGGTTCTTAACTTGCTAACTGAATTTGCTTAAACTCTCTCACCCTAAGTGTACTTTCCTAAATGGGGGGTGGAGAGGTTGAACTAGATCAGGAGTGGCCAAACCAAATGCTCACAGGGGCTTGCTGGGACTAGAGATGGGCGTTGTGGAGCAGGTGTAAAGTAAGAGGGACTGCTGGGGACTATGACAAACTAGAAAGTGCTGGTTCTAAAGAAGTGCACTGTGATTTCACTCTTGTTAAACGTAATCCTGTGGAAATGCAGGTTCAGTGTTGCCATCGTTTCTCATTTTGCAAGATAACCGGGAAACTCAATTTTCCAAAATGTGAAAGTGGCCATTGAAAAAATCATTTTGCAATTCCAAATGAGTAGTCCTGGGGACTGGATCCAGCCTGGGGGTTACTGGCTCCTTCTGTCTGAGCTGGCCGACAGCTAAAGATATCCTCTAACAGTACTGTTTTCCAGCGGTGCTTCTCAAGAATTGTGCAGAGAGCTTGTTAAATCACGGGTTCCTGGGGTCCATGGTAAGGGGTTCTGATTCACACTTTTTACAAGTTTCCAATTGATGCTGAGACTGACCCTGGCCAGTGAGCATGCAAGTGAGCTCACTGGCCAGTGAGCATGCAAGTGAGGAGGCGCCATTGATTTGGCATTTGAGGATTAATTCAGGGGGTCTTCCTGACTCCTCTTCTCTTTGCTCTTCCTATTTCCCTCTCTTCCAGTGTCAACATGATACCGTAGAAATGGTCACAGCTTACACTTTTGCATTGAGACAGGGAAATAGTGAAGTGTTGATACTGCTAGATTCAGCCTTGTTGACTTGGCAGGAAATGCTGAATCGTATTTAGAAGATAGAATCACCCCTAAATACATTGCAGATGAGCTGCTTCATAAATAAGGACAGCTAGTGATATATGGGTAACTACTTGGTGGCAGGCAATGTACAAAGTATTTCACCTATACTACCTTCAGTCCCATTGACCTTTTCTAAGGTAGACGGATTCTCATCCCTACTTCACAAGTGAAGAAACTCAACCTCAGAGAGGTGAATAGCTTGTCCTAGGTCACATAGGTACTGAGATATCTAAAGCAGGGCAGTATGATTCCAAAGACTATTCTCTTTTGCCGTACGCCCAAATTGTATGCACAGACATTAATTATATTGATATAACACATAATATAAATCATACCTTCCTGCATAAAGAATTCAAAGTGATTAACAAAAATGCAAATCATATTGCTAAATTAAAAAATTAGGAACAAATAAATCAAGAAGACAGAGTACAAAATGGCATTCCATAAAGTCATATTCTCTTGTGAGTAGTCATGAACTTGACTCTGAGCTTATAAAGAAAGAGCAGTTTCTAAGGCACCACGCTACATCTTTGTTGACATGGGCCATGTGAAGGCAGAGGGGAAGTAAAAGAGGATGAAGCCGTCTCGTTTCTCAAATGCATCCTGACCTGGTCTTTAGGATGCCCTCTTAGGCTTGTGGCTACCTGAGATGGGTACCTTGGTGCTCATGAATCTATCTGCATCTGAGGGCAATGCAGAAAATGCAGATGATGCTTACTAAGAACACTCATTTCCATTGACCTAAAGCAACCTGCATGGTATTGTCAATCTGAAATGAGGCTTCTTGCCTATTTAATTCCATTTGTTTGCTATGTGCCCTAGCACTGTAGACTGATAGATTCTTAGTTAAAATAGTACCTTCAGATTGATGAAAATGCTCCAGATTTATTGCTTTATATCAAATGTAAGATCATGTCCTTTACACAATGTAACACTTGAAGTCCTCCATTGATCTTCCAATTTCATTTGTTTTAAGGTTCAACACATTCAGCTGGTTGAAATATACAGAGGAAGGCCAGGTGCGGTGGCTCATGCCTGTAATCCCTGTAATCCCAGCACTTTGGGAGGCTGAGGTGGGCGGGTCATTTGAGGCCAGGAGTTCAAGATGGGCCGGGCCAACATGGTGAAACCCTGTCTCTACTAAAAAATACAAAAATTAGCTAGGCATGGTGGCTCACATTTGTAGTCCCAGCTACTCGGGCGGCTGAGGCAGGAGAATCACTTGAACCCTGGAGGCGGAGGTTGCAATGAGCCAAGATCATGCCACCACACTCCAGCCTGGGTGACAGAGCAAGACTCTGTCTCAACAACAAAAAAATAAATATACGGAGGATTTTAGGATAGGTAATTTCAGAAGAAGAAACAAAAACAGCCATGGCAGAAAACAAGACAAACATAAAACAAGAACATTTCTTGCTCAAGGGCAAGAAAAGTATCTTGCACTTAGAAATATTCCCAGAGAGCCTACTATAGAAGTTTTCTCATCTGAAAACAAGGGACTGGTATTCTACTGTTTTCTAAGGTCCATTTCAGCTTTAACACTCTGGAAGATTATTAGTTGGACTGTGATTTGGTGGAATCATAGATGGGCAAAGGCCAAAGAACAGAAAGTCATGCTCAGAACACCAGAGCCAAGGGTCCATCTGAGATGTAGCCAAGCAGCTTCTGAAGCAGCCCTGTAATTTGCAGGATAGAGCTGACTCTCTCATCCCATAGCTGTACACTGTGAAGATCAGCCAACCAGCTCAGGGCAGAGGTGAACCAAGGCTGAAGGCATTTCCAAAGAATTTAGATCTTCTGCCAACTGGATCACTTGAGTCATCTTTCAACATCACATTCCAATTCCAGTGCTTATATGATGTCACCAGGCATTAATAGGGAGACTGGCCTGGGTTTTGCCTTGGGGTTTGTAGATCTGTCACATCCATGTTTCATAACTTTATCTGAGTTTTCAGAAAACATTTGGCAGAAGCCATCCTATCAGTACTTGCTTTTTTTTTTTGAGACAGTGTTTCATTCTGCTGCCCAGCCTGGAGTGCAATGGCACAATCACCACTCATGACAGCTTTGAACTCCTGGGCTCAAACGATTCTCCCACTTCAGCTAATTTGGTTTATTTTTTGTAGAGACGGGGTCTCCCTATGTTGTTCAGGCTGGTCTCAAACTCCTGGGCTTAAGCAATCCTCCTGCCTGGGCCTCCCAAATTGCTGAGATTGCAGGCCTGAACCACCACGCCCCGTCCCCAGCACTTGCTTTTTAAATTAAGCTTCCACGCTGCCAGGCATGGTGGTTCATGCCTGTAATCCCAGCACTTTGGGAGGCTGAGGCGGGAGGATTGCTTGAGCACAGGAGTTCGAGACCAACCTGGGCAACACAGGGAGATCTTGTCTCTGCAAAAAATTAAAAACAAATTAGCTCGGCATGGTGGCACATGTCTATAGTACCAGGTACTGGGGAGACTGAGGTAGGAGGATCCCTTGAGCCCAAGAGGTCAAGGCTGCAGTGAGCCATGATCACACCACTGCATCTCAGCCTGGGGGGCAGAGTGAGACCCACTCTCAAAAAAGAAAAAAATAATTAATTAATTAAGCTTTCACTAGTGACCTCCCAATCTCATCTCCTCAATTTGAAAATGTGTCTCTGCCTAATTCTGTTTGACCTTGTTGTTTGACTAGTTTAAATTAAAAACAAAAAAACAAGCAAGCAAAGAAACAAAGTACCTTTTGAGTCTTCCTCAGGTGCAAAAGTCATCCTTGAAAGCAAGATTGGTGGGCTGGGTGCAGTGGCTCACGCCTGTAATCCCAGCACTTTGGGAGGCCGAGGTGGACGGATCATGAGGCCAGGAGTTTGAGACCAGCCTGGTCAACCCGGTGAAACCCCGTCTCTACTAAAAAATACAAAAATTAGCTGGACATGGTGGTGGGCACCTGTAATCCCAGCTACTCGGGAGGCTGAGGCAGGAGAATCACTTGAAACCGGAAGGCAGAGGTTGCAGTGAGCCGAGGTGGCACCACTGCACTCCAGCCTGGGTGAAAGAGTGAAACTCGGTTGCAAAAAAAAAAAAAAAAAAAAGCAAGATTGCTTCCGAATAGCTGAGTTGGCCACATTCTTCAGCAGACCATTGTCTGGGATTTTTGGAGATCTCTAGGATCACTGTATAGCTGTGTCTCTTTCACATGTTTCACTCTGGGTACCACTGTTTGTATTTCAGAGTCAATAAGCAACTCGGTAGCTAGAAAGCACATTGTAAACTGAATGAGTCTTTTAAAAAACAGATAGTAATCAAGGCAGGTGTAACCTCCAGTTTGTTTAGTTTTGAGGCCATGTTGGCAGAGTGGTAAGTATATACTTTACTTACCCAAAATCCTTTCAACTTCTTTTACCTCTAGCCCTGATTTTCCTAGGGAGCCATCTCTTTTTCACAATCAGTTGTTGTGTCTCTGGTGGAGCTACCTGCGTTATACATTATTGGCTATGATGACTGGTACAGGGCTCAGCAGAGTGAAACAAAGATTGCATCAGTTAGGATTAGGTTTGGTCTTCAGTAAAAAAGATCTATAATGCAAGTGGCCTTAAACAAGACATTTTATTTGTCCCTCATAGAAAAGTCCAGAGCTAGACTGTAGCTCTACTCCAGACTTTTTGTTTGTTTTTAAGAAATTGACATGCTGATTCTAAAATGTATATGAAAATGCAGAGAACCTAGAATAGCCAAGAACATTTTGTAAAACAAGAATATTGTTGGAGAATTCACACTACCTGATTTCAAGACTTAGTATAAAATTACAGTAATTGGCCAGGTGCATTGGTCAGGCATTGCCTAGGCTGGAGTGCAGTGGTGCCATCTCAGCTTACTGCAACCTCTGCCTCCCGGGTTCAAATGATTCTCCCGGGTTCAAATGATTCTCAGCCTCCCAAGTAGCTGGGACTACAGGCACGTGCCACCACACCCAGCTAATTTTTGTATTTTTAGTAGAGAACGGGTTTTGCCATGTTGGCCGGGCTGGTCTTGAACTCCTGACCTCAGGGGATCTGTCTGCCTCAGCTTTCCAAAGTACTGGGATTACAGGCGTGAGCCACTGCGCCCGGCCTGAATTTTTCTGTATTTCTTTTGTTTTGTTTTGTTTTGTTTTTTGTTTTTGAGATTGAGTCTCACTCTGTTGCCCAGACTGGAGTGCAATGTTGTGGTCATGGCTCACTGCAGCCTCCAACTCCTGGACTCAAGCAGTCCTCCTGCCCCCGCCTCCTGAGTAGCTGGGACTACATGTGCACACCCTCATGCCTAGTTAATGTTATAATTTTTTTGTAGAGACCAGGTCTTGCTACGTTGAGCAGGTTAGTCTTGAACTCAGGACCTCAAGCAATCCTCCCCTTGGCCTCCTCCAAAAGTGTTGGGATAACAGGCTTGAGCCTCTGAGCCCAGCCTCATTTGGACTTCTTAATAGTTAGAAAAGTACATAGATTTGTAATTTTTCTTCCAAAAGATATGGTTTAACTTGCTTTCTTGCATAAAATTTCCTTGACTTTCTTTTCCACTATTAAGCACATTCATTACTCTGTGGCTTTTACCTCTGGAACCCAGATCTGTTAACTTCAGTATCATTGGAATATTATTTGTATTTCTAACATGTACAAAGACTCAGAGCCAATTCATCCCATCTATGCATTTACCTCTCTGTCTATAAGGATCTCTGTTGGGATTTTCTTGGAAATAGTTCAGTGATAGCTTCATTTCTCAGACAAAGGAAACTGAGTGAATAAAACATTTCCCGGAAATATGACAATCTCAGCATTGAAAAGTTAAGCACCGTAAATTTAGCGGATGCAAACAAACTAGTCCTCTTAATACTAATGTCAGAACATTCCCTGAATTCCTATTTGATTGCTGCTTCAGAGACAGCCTCATTAGAAAGCATTTCCCATTCTTAGGTTCTTTCTTTGCAGTATCTGAACATTGCTAATTCAGCCTGGAGGAGAACTACTTTATGAATAGCTTTAAGATATGAGATGTGTGTGTGTGTATTTAGCATACCCTGAGGATACGTATTCGTATTGTTGAATGACAATAAAATTCTACCTTTGCTGTGATTAAAACAAGATACTGTCAAAAGGGAAGAGAGCTGGTATATAGGGAAACAATGGTTACGGGGAAAGAATGTCTTATCTCCAACTGATTGTATGTAAATGTGGTGTCTACTTTTCTAACAGACATCTACTGATACCGATATCACTCTACATTCACAGGGTGTGCTGTATTTTATGAAGGCATTTCATAGACATGGTTTTATTTAATCCTAAAAATGTCACAACTCTGCTAGTTTATAATCGTCTTCTGGGTTTAGGTACCTTCCTCAAATGAGAATCCTTCAAAGTATTGTGATTTCTAAAGCTCCCCAAGTGGGAGCTTATACCTGTGTTCTTTCCAGTAACGTTAGTGGAATTATATTTAAGCTTCACAAAGTTCTGTAGATTCTTCATGTATTTGACTGTGACAACCCCATGGTCTGAATCTGTTGAGAATCCATTTACACTTCTTAAAGAGCCCATCTGCACAGTGTTCTGGGACTGGTGTCCAGGTATTTCCCTCCCACCAGGGAGATTCTATGGGACAAATCTTTCTTTTCTCTGTCCTGGTACAGACCGATGTGTAAGATGAGACTTGCAAACATGGAGAACAGGGTAAGATCTCATGCTCCCCAGAGACTGGCTCGAACCAGGTAATTCCTGCAATGAGGATGGTCCTCGTGGGCCCACATCTGCTCTGTGGAACTATCTCTGTTCCTGCCTGGTTTCAAACCTGGTTCTCCAGCCCTTCTGAAAGTAACCTGGTTTTCTAATATTCTGCCAAGAGATTTTATTCCCTTTACATTAGCCAGAGTATTTGTTTTGTCGTCTCTCCTCAAAAAACCCATATATATACTGTCTTTTGGAAGCAAGATCCCATAGTTATCAGAATTAGTTTGTTGAAGCAGTTTGCAAATGAAACTGACAAACTTTCATTAGTAATATCTTGGTTTTCTTTAAACAGAAAGGGGTAATTCATTAGAGAAGAAGACTCTTTAGGACTTTTACCGAAATAATAGTATATTCCTGTTTCCACTCTTATATTTTCCCTACCAATCAAAGAGATGAACTTGGTTGGTTGTATAAATGATATCACAGAATTCTGATTTACTACCAAATTATGTATGAAGCAGACCATTTTCCAAACTGGCTAGATAATAATGGTGCCTAGGATTTTCCAGGTGTCAGGGTTATAGTAAGCACTATCCATAAATTATCTTATTTAATTCTGACAATAGCTCCCTGAAGTGGCACTATGGTTATCCTCATTTTACTGGTGCAGAAATAAACTTAGAGAGGTTAAGTTGCACATCATAGCTGCCAAGCGGCAGAGCTAGTATTCAAACTAAGGAACTGAGCCACACCAACTAGTCTATACCAATATAATAATTAAGCACTTCATCATAAAACTTGTTTTCTAATTACAGAGATTGTGGAAATAGATGATTTTTACTCTTAATGTTTATTCTTAGCTCCAACCACCCATTTAATTAATAGATTTGAGATTTATTTTATTTGTTTATAAAAACATGTTTTGCTTTTATGATTAAATGACTAAGCAGTAGGGACTATAATTTAATTACATATTTCTTAATTATTGGTGTATTAGTTAATTATATGAAGTTAATTTTTAAAATTAAGTAATTATATTTTATAACATGTTGCTGTTCTGATGTCAATCATATTTTTCTAATTTAGACTCAAGCATTGTTAAATATACAGTTAATTTTAACACTAAAATTAGTACAGGTTACTAATAAGATTTTATATACATTTTATATATGCATCTATATACACACATATACACATACAACACACAATTCAAATCTATTAAAATATTTCTTTATGATATATGCAAATATATTAAATATTAAGAAAAATGTGCAAGTACCTTTAAAAAGTGAGCCTCAATTTTGAGATGGCTTGGAAATTTTGTAATTTTAGTATTTCTTGGTCTCAATATTCTGCTTTATTATTTTAAGTAGAAACTATTCTGTGTAGAAAAACCTACTGTGAGAAAATGACTTAACTATGTTGTCAGCTTCTTCAGGACAGGGCCATTGTTTCATATTCTTCACATGGAACGGCTTCTGGCACAATAAATGTTTGTTGAATTTGAATTTTGAATTTAAGTGAAATGATGCTGAAAATTTTACATTAGCTACAGCCATCCATCTGAATTTAAGCCAGGAGTTGCTATCTTGCATAGGGGAATCATTAATAACGTGGTATCTAGTGGGATTATTTGGTGACAGTAGAAAATGAGATATTTCTTCTGCTTTGAGTTGTCTGTTTCAATCATGCATGGCTAAGTCTTCAGGGTAGTGTTTTTGGTTCAAGAGAAAATTATGAATTGTATTACCATTAAGGTTTCTGCTACCTTGAGGGACAAGAAATTAATAAATTTAATTTGACCCCCGATTTTTGTTTTGATTTATCAATATTACACAGCAGTCTACTGCCAGAACTAGCTATTGAGGGCAGTACTTCTGCATCTCACTTCAGTATCTTTTCTATTGTGCCTCTCATAGAACTTCTTATTACGTAATTATAATGAATTATTATTCATTATTGAGCTAAGCTCCTCCCTACTTGTCAGCTCAATGAAAACAAAATTATCTAGTTTTTAGCAAAGAATTTACTGTGAAATATTTGAGAGATTTCCAATATTCAGGATGAAAAGAGGTTAGTTATTCAGCACGCTGCTGTGCAATTACAAGTTGGCACGACCTTACTGGTGGAAGTTTAGTAAGGATATGAAGAACCTTAAAAAGTGTTTTCCCCTTAATTCACTATTTCATTTCTGGGATGTTATGCAAAGAAAAATAACTGGCAAATGTATTGAAATACACACACAGATATACACACAAAACATTCACCATAGCATTGCTGAAAACAGCAATAAACTGGAAACAAGCTAAGTGTCCACTAATGGGGGTTGGTTATAATACATCTTTACCATAGATATGCAAAGCAAATACAGCTTTTCTATTTCCTGGTGCCTCGTAGCATGTTTTTATGAAGCCTTAACTTATTGGAGAGCAGGGCGGTGGTAAGGTTAGTGGTGGATGATTGAACTTTCTACATGCCGTTTTATACAACTACAGTCTTGTCTGTTTTAAACTGGGGAGAAAACTCAGCCTCTTTTGGGCTAAGGCACAGTGTTTTGGGCTTCCTTCCTTTCCTTCGGCTCCTTTCCAGGGTGACATCCAGGGTGATCTTGTGGTAGCTGGGGATGGGGGTGGCTTAGCTTTACATGACACCCTCTACAGTCACACTAGTCTCTGCTGAGGAATTGCACGTACAAAGGGTAACTGGGGCTGGGCACAGTGGCTCACACCTGTAATCTCAGCACTTTGGGAGGTCGAGGAGGGCGGATCACTTGAGGTGAGGAGTTTGAGACCAGGCTGGCCAACATGGTGAAACCCTGTCTCTACTAATAACACAAAAATTAGCCGGGCGTGGTGGTGGGTGCCTGTAATCCCAGCTACGTGGGAGGCTGGGGCAGCAGAATCACTTGAATTGGGAGGTACAGTTTGCAGTGAGCCGAGATGGCACCATTGCACTCCGGCCTTGGACGACAGAGTGAAACTGTGTCTCAAAACAACAACAAACAACAACTGCAACAACAACAACAACAAAAGGCAACGGGTCCCATCTGGCCTTTTGGGAATAATATTCCCATGTTAAATGTTGGAATTTAGAGTCTCAGACATTTGGTCCTGCTCTCAAAATGTCATCAAAATTCCTTCTCCCCTTCTTTGATGGTAAGGAAGTTAGGCATATGGCTGAGCAGCCAGAGACTAAATTTTCCTGTGGTCTTTTGCAACTAGATATACTCATGTGAGTCACGGAGACGGAATAGAAGAGATGCATGCCATTTCCATGCATGAGCCTTAAAACACTATTCCTATACTTATCTGAGTTTTCTTTTCTTTTCTCATAAGCCAGAAAACTAATGTGGCTGTGATCCTTGGGTCCTTTTTATTTTTTTGTGTTGGGACATTTCTTGGCTATGTGAGCTGGTGAGGAGATCTAGAGATCTGACTTGTTATTATTATTTTTTTAGTAAAATGACCTAAGCAATTTATTTTATGTTAAATTAATTATTTTTTAAATTTTTTATTATCATTATTTGGGATGGAGTCTTGCTCTGTCTCCCAGGCTGGAGTGCAGTGGCATGATCTTGGCTCACTGCAACCTCCGCCTCTGTGGTTAAGCGATTCTCCTGCCTCAGCTTCCCCAGTAGCTAGGATTACAGGCAGGCGACAGCACACCCTGCTAATTTGTGTATTTTTAGTAGAGGCGCGGTTTCACCATGTTGGCCAGGCTGGTCTGGAATTCCTGACCTCAAGTGACCTGCCCGCCTTGGCCTCCCAAAGTGCTGGGATTACAGGGATGAGCCACTGTGCCTGGGCTAATTTTTATCTTTCGATAGTTTTTGCGGTGCAGGTAGTTTTTGGTTACATGGATAAATTCTTTAGTGGTGATTTCTGAGATTTTAGTGCACTCATCACTCAATCAATGTACACTATACCCAATATGTAGTCTGGTATCCTTCACCCACCTCCCAATCTTTTCTTGGGCCCTCGAGGCTCCAAAGTCTGTTATATCATTCTTATGCCTTTGCATCCTCATAACTTAGTTCCCACTTATAAGTGAGAACATATGATATTTGGTTTTCTATTCCTGAGTAACTTCACTTAGAGTAAATGGCCTCTAGTTCCATCCAAGTTTCTGCAAAAGATATTATTTCATTTCTTTTTAAGGCTGAGTAGTAGTCTATGGCATATACATACCACATTTTCTTTGTCCACTTTTTGGCAGTTGGGCATGTTAGATTGGTTCCATATCTTTGTAACTGAGAATTGTGCTACTATAGACCAGCCTGTGTATGTGTCTTTTTCATATGATGACTTACTTTCCTTTGGGTAGATACTCAGTAGTGGGATAGCAGGATCAAATGGATGTTCTACTTTTAGTTCTTTAAGGAAATCTCCATAGTGTTTTCCATAGTCGTTGTACTAATTTACATTCCCACCAGCAGTGTAAAAGTGCTCCCTTTTCAACACATCCATGCCAACATTTATTATTTTTGACTTTTAAATCATGGCCATTCTTGCAAGAGTAAGGTAGTATCTCATTGTGGTTTAATTTACTGATGATTAGTGATGTTGAACACTTTTTCATGTTTTTTGGCTGTTTGTGTATCTTCTTTTGAGAATTTTCTATTCATGTCCATTTTTTGATGTGATTTTTTTTTTGGTTCTTGCTGATTTAAGTTTTCTGTAGATTCTGGATACTAGTCCTTTCTGACTTATTCTTAAGCAAATTTTTAAAGAAGTTTTTCTCATTTTACTGTCCCATTTCCCGCCCCCTTTACTTTCGTCTCAGGGAAACCTGGTACCACCCATACCTGCACACTTGGAGAGTCTCTCATGTAATGCATATTACGTATTACATGGTTCATAGGTTCCCCCAGGCTTGCCTTATAAATCAGTTTTCTGGGATATGTTAATTCAATTACTAGTCTTCCACCTGCTTTCCTGCTCCAAAAGTTTTACTACTTTAATATTGTTGTCCACTCTTCATGTTACAGGCTTATGTCTTTAAAAAAATCGTTTTTCTAGCATTTAGTGAGTTGGGGAAGTGAGTGAACGATATGTGTATGCTCATATGACAATATTTGCTTAAGAGATTAGAATGATTTCTCATTTTCTTACTGTTAGGTTTTTGCTGTATTATAATTGTAAATATTTTATTGTTCAAGTATAAAGTTGAAAGCATATTCAAACACTTTTCTCAATGAGAAAACAAAACCATTTGAATGCAGATATAAACTTTTTAGTTTTTTTTTTCTGTTTTCTTTTGTCTACTTTCTGGCTTAGAGAAAAGAACATGGAGAATTGTTGCACCTCTGAAATTATTGGTCTAGAACTTTTAATGAAGAATAATATTTTATTCTTCTAGTCCTCGCAAGTACCTCTTTGATTGTGTGATGTATTTGAACAGATCAGTCCATTCTCTTCCATCTTCTGTCTTTTGACCATGGTGTATGAATTTGCAAAATAGATGGGATACAGGTTGCTATCCTGGATTGTGGAACCAAGTGAAATGAGAACTGGAAATACCGCAATCAAAAGTTGGAAGTAACATCGACTTCCCTACTTAAATAATGTTCTGCAGATTCAACAACACTCTGCCTCTTGCTTCATGAGCTGATGTGTAATGGGGCTCACCAAAGACAACCCAGTGTTTGGAATGGCACAGGCTTTTGGTGGCTTTCCCAGCATTAGCCCTCTTGATGTCAAGTGCATTTGTGGGACGGTTTAGGGGTTCTAGAATTTCAAGAGGGGAAGAACTGTTACAGAATGTTCAATCTAGCTGCCGTGAAACACTGAGGTACTATCCACCACTTGGATGCCAAGGTGTTGTATGGGTGGAGATTGAAGACTTCCATTGGAAATACATTTGTGGGTACAGTCAAATGGAAGTTGTCTATGAGGACCACGTATTCTTCTTTCCAGGCTCCTATATTCTCTCCTGACACCCTAAGAAATGAAAGCCTGCTCCTTCAGTGCTGATTGAGCCTTCTAAGTAAAACAAGTGAATGTGAGTTGATACTGCTCTGTGGATAGGAGGCATTTAAATTAGGGCTTCCAGATCCCTGTATTTTCATTTTCTTATCTATCAAATGGGGCTGATACTACCTATATTGAATAGTTGTTCAGAGTTAGTGAGAATACATTTAAAATGCCTACCACACAATGCATGGTAGCTAACACTGTGGTTAAAGGAGAAAATTCATAGGAAGGATCTTACTTGTTTTCCTGTGAACGTGCTACATGGACTTCTGCCTGCTTACAAGGCTGTCAGGACTACAGAGAGAAAATTATCAATCAAAATTGTGATGCATCAATTAATTTAAGCCTGGAAAATACTTCAGGATATGTGAGCTGCTCTTGAAAATGCGCATTTATTAACCACACTGGTGGAATAAAGCCTCCGTTCACCACAGCACAGTGGAATCCTGATGAAGTGCTTCATCCACCAGGTAAACAGCAGGTCCAGGCTTGGCAAATCAAACGCAAGAGTGAGCATTTTCATTAGTCTTAGATTTTTAGGAGACAGGTACAGGAAAAAAAAATAAGCACTTAAAATCAGGTTGTTATATATTGAGTGAAAAAAGCCAGGTTAAAAAGAAGAAGATGCCAAAACATTGATTAGAAGGGCATCAAACGTTATTTGATGCAAAGGTGTCTCTGCATATTTACATGGCATGGATAAGACAGTACCTTATGGCACCCAAGTGTACAGTCTACAGCTACAATTACTTTATTGATCACAGAAATCAAAATCCATTCAACACAGAGGACTTGTTTTATTATTTGTTATACCTCAAATTACTTTGAAATAACTTAAATGAAAGCAAAATTGGAAATGATTATTTCATTGATTTTTTGAAGAAATAAATTTTCTAATTACCGAATGATCTGGCTATTTGAAAATTAATCTTCTATGTATTTTATAATTTGACCCAGTAACACCAAACCATTTACAAATAGGGAAACTACGCTTTAAATTTAGTCTGGGCACAGTGGCTTACGTCTGTAATCCCAGCACTTTGGGAAGCTGAGACAGGAGGATCTCTTGAGCCCAGGAGTTCAAGACCAGCCTGGGCAATGTAGGGAGACCCCATCACTACAAAAATCAAACAGAATTAGCCAAGTGTGGTGGCATGTCACCTGTAGTCCCAGTTATTTGGGAGGCTGATGTGAAAGGATCCTTTGAGCCTGGGAAATTGAGGCTGCAATGAGCTATGATCGTGCCACTGCATTCCAACGTGGGTGACAGAACAAGACCATGTCTCAAACAACAACAACAAAAATGTAGAAGAAGGAGACAGTACATCTTAAAATTTCAAGCTTCTCAAAGAATATTCAAGAATATGGAACGGTAATTACACAAGATAAGTGAAAAAAATCAACTTAAATAACACTTACAAAATTATTCCAATTTTGTCAAGATTTTGCATGTATATATGAGCATAGGACAAAAAGATGAGTTTATGCTATAAAATGTTAGCAATGGCTTTATTTATTTATTTATTTATTTATTTAATTTATTTATTTTTGAGACAGAGTCTCACTCTGTCGCCCAGGCTGGAGTGCAATGGCACGATCTTGGCTCACTGCAACCTCCGCCTCCTAGCTTCAAGCAATTCTCATGCCTCAGCCTCCTGAGTAGCTGGGATTACAGGCATCTGCAACCACACCAGATTAATTTTTGTATTTTTAGTAGAGATGGGTTTCACCATGTTGGTCAGGCTGGCCTCAAACTCCTGACTTCAGGTGATCCACCCAACTCTGCCTCCCAAAGTGCTGGGATTACAGGCGTGAGCCACTGTGCCTGGTTGAATTTTTTGTTTTCTATTGGACATCACTCCTTTATTATACTGATCTGGAAAAAGGATTTAGTACAGTTGTGCTCAAATGAACACTGGACCCATGTTGTAGGGCCAAGCAACTAGAACATGATTCAGAAATCAGTGAAAGACATACTTGGACAAGACCAAGAAGCATTTCACTGCCACAAAACAAGGTGGGAAGGGATTCTAAAACACACAGCAGGAAGCACTCCTGCCCCTCAGAGGTCAAGGAGCTTGTCCCATGTTGGTATGAGGAACGGCTTATTTTCTGATGACCACATGTGGGACTATTTCAACTGCCACGAGAAACCCCAGAAGGGTTATTGTTTTGTATTATTTATATATTTTATATATATATATCTATATATCTATATATATAAATTTTTTTTTAAAGTAAAAGTAACACCTAAACTAAATTCAGGATTGATCCCAACCTTCTAGAGCCCGTTCCTCTGGGGTCAGAGAGGAAACAGTCGTCACATCACCATGCAGGTTACATCCATCTTTCACTGGAATGACTAGAGCCCCCAGGCAGTGGTCTGACTGTAGAAGAGCACGGGACTGGCTCCAGGGGGCAGACAGGCTCTCTTGCTTCTCCTCATTGGTCATGGCTTAGCATGGTTCCTCTCCACAAGTCCTTAGTAAACAAAGCACTCGCAAAAACCCAAGTCACTACCTTTAAACTCTCTTGGCTGAGGGGAGCTTTTCCACAGCTTAGACTGAGAACCTGTGCCCTAGAAGTGCTATTCTGACTAGATTGTATGAAGCGAGTGGGTGCAGGAGACAAAATGGCTAAAATGAAAATGGGAGCCACTGGTCCCCATCTGCAGCTACAATTGAAGATGTCTACAGATGTGGTCAGTGTGACACGTGCAGGAGGGAGGGGCAGAGGGAAGCGACGGGCAGGGACAGTGCTCCTGGGGACAGTAGCCTGCCCGCTGACCTTCACTTCTTGGCCTTGCCCTGGGCAGCCACAGCTTCCATGGCTTCACACACGGTCTCTTCATCCCCCAGGAACTGTATGGGCTTGATGGGCTTCGAGCTCTTGTCCAATTCATAGACAATGGGAATACCAGTCGGCAGGTTCAGCTGCATGACAGCCTCTTCAGAGAGACCCTCCAGATGCCTGACAATGCCTCAGAGGCTGTTGCCATGGGCTGCAATCAGTACCCATTTCCCTTCCTTGATCTGGGGAACTATTTCTTCATTCCAGAAGGGCAGAGCTCGGGCAAGAGTGTCCTTCAGACTATTACAGGAGGGTAGTTGATCTTCTGTGAGGTCTGCATACCTGCGATCCTTACTTACGTTGCTGTAGAAAGGATCACCCGGCTCCATTGGAGGTGGTGGGACATCATAGGAGCTCCTCCAGATCTTCACCAGGCCTCACCATGCTCTGCAGCAGTTTCTGCTTTATTGAGACCAGTTAGACCCCCATAGTGCCGCTCTTCGAGGCGCTAAGTCCTCACTACTGGCAGCCACATCTGATCAATGGCATCTGGCACTGTCCAGAGGGTCCGGATTGTTCTCTTAAGCAGATATCAAACTCGTAGCCAGCATCTGGCAGCGCCTGCTCCCAGCGCTTTGCCTCCTCGTCGCCTGCTGGGTTCAGGTTGGCATCGTACCAGCCACCGAAGCGGTTCTCCAGGTTCCACGCAACCTCGCCGTGCCGGATCAGCACCTGTTTGTAGGCGGCGTGGCGGCGGGCTGGGGATGCAGCACCGACTGGGGTTTGCAGATTCCAGAGTGCTTTTTGAATATTTTGTTCTTTATACTTTTTGATATTTGCCAAATTTTTTTGTAAAGAATCTGTTTTCTATTTATAACATTTTTTTCTTCAACTCTTTTATTATTTTTTTTCTTCATGTTTCTTTAAGTTCCGGGATATATGCGCAGGATATGCAGGTAACAACTGCATAGCAACCCACCATGGCACACACATGGATAAATGTGTGCCATGGTGATTTGCTGCACAGATCAACCCATCATCTGGGTATTAAGCCCAGCACCCATTAGCTATTCTTCCTGATGCCCTCCTTCTTCCCGCCTAACACCCAGCAGATCCCAGTGTGTGGTGTTCTCCTCCCTGTGTCCATGTGTTCTCATCATTCGCCTCCCACTTATAAGTGAGAAAATATGCAGATTTCTGTTCCTGCATTAGTTTGCTGAGGATTAACGGCTTCCAGCTCTGTCCACGTCCCTGCAAAGGACATGATCTCATTCCTTTTTATGGCTGTGTAGTTCCATGGTGTATATGTGCCACATTTCCTTTATCCAGTCTATCATTGATGGGCATTTGTGTTGATTCCATGTCTTTGCTATTGTGAAGACTGCGGCAATGAACATACACATCCATGCATCTTTATGACAGAATGGGTCAAACGGTATTTCTGTTTGTAGATCTTTGAGGAGTCACCACACTGTCTTCCACAATGGTTGAACTAATTTACACTCCCATCAATAGTGTCAAAGTGTTGCTGTTTATCTGCAACCTCACCAGCATCAATTGTTTCTTGACTTTTTTTTTTGAGACAGAGTTTCACTGTTGTTGCCCAGGGTGGAGTGCAATGGTGCGAACTCAGCTCACTGCAACCTCCACCTCCCGGGTTCAAATGATTCTTCTGCCTCAGCCTCCCAAGTAGCTGGGATTACAGGCGTGCACCACCATGCCTGGCTAATTTTTGCATTTTGAGTAGAGACAGGGTTTCACTATGTTGTTCAGGCTGGCCTCAAACTCCTGCCCTCAGGTGATTTGCCTGCCTTGGCCTCCCAAAGTGCTGGGATTACAGGTGTGAGCCACTGTGCCTGGCCCTGTTTCTTGACTTTTTAATAATCACCAATCTGATTGGTGTGAGATGGTTTCTTATTGTGGCTTTGATTTGCATTTCTCTAATGACCAGTGATGTTGAGCTTTTTCTCATTTGTTTGTTGGTCATGTGAATGTCTTCTTTTGAGAAGTGTCTGTTCATATTCTTTGCCCACTTTTAAATGAGGTTGTTTGTTTTTTTCTTGTAAATTTGTTTAAGTCTCTTGTAGATTCTGGATATTGGGCCTTTGTCAGATGGATAGTTTGTAAATATTTTCCCCCATTCTGTAGGTTGTGTGTTCATTCTGATGATAGTTTCTTTTGCTGTGCAGAAGCTCTTTAATTTAATTAGATACCATTTGTCAATTTTTCCTTTTGTTGCAAATGCTTTTGGTGTGAAACAGTTTTTTTTATAAGAGGATTTTCTCTCTCAGTTTTTAAACCAATCTGTCTTAGTCTGTTTCTGCTGCTATAACAATACCACAGAATGGGTAATTCATGAATAACAGAAATCAATTTCTCACAGTTCTGGAGGCTGGAAAGTTCACAATCAAGGCATTGACTGATTCAGTATCTACTAAGGGGTCGCTTTCTGCTTCCAAGATGGTTCCTCGTTGCTGTGTACTCCAGAGAGGACAAACGCTGTGTCCTCACATGACAGAAGGGGAAAAGGGATGGAGAGCTCTCTGAAGCCTCTTTTCTAAGGGCACTGATCACATTCACAAGTGCAGAGCCCTCATGACTTAATCATTTCCCCAAAGGCCCCACCTCTTAATACTGTTGCATTGGGGATTAAGTCTTAACATGAGTTTTGAAGGGACACAGACATTCAAATGATAGCAATTCCCAAACATCATTTTTTTCATTTTAAATTAGATCCTCATTTTTATGAAATTAGAAATGAACATTTTCCCAAAGCCATTATGTTTCTGACTGTTTCCATGAACTTTTTTTGGTGACATCCATTCTGTTAAGTCATTCTTGATTTCTTAAAATAAGAGCCAGTGAAACCCAAGTCTGAAACATCTTATGGGATCAGATCACAAACTTCATTTTCTTCTTTGGGTGGCAGTCTTCTTTTTTGACCACTTTACTGCAAAGACCAAGAGTTGTTACTTCTGATCACACATGGGTGCTGAGAAGGCTGCTAGGATCATTTGACTATGGAAGACAACAGAATGGTAAAGCTGGGATGATCATGTGGATCATTCTGGAAGAGAGGAAAGCCCAAAGAAATTTCCCAAGGCCTTGCAACTAGTTTTTGGCTTATCCAGGTGAGATATTCTGGTATTCATTATTCTAGACTGATGCCACAATCATTTATTCTATCTTCCATCTCCAAATAATGTTACATGACTTGATTGTCTTGTTTTACGGAGGCTTCAGATAAATAATGGCTGCTGTTTGTCATTTTAAAATGGACAAAAATCCCCTTTCCTCAACAATCTTTTCTTTATTCACAATGTAAATTAATACTAACAAGCCCTCTCAAGCTGGATCCTTAAGCTTTGGGGAGAACTTTCAGTGTCTCACCCACTTCAGAAGCGTTTACTTATCATCAGCATTAAGTATGATAGTTCAAAGCAGCATTGCCTGTTTCTGAAAATCAATTCCATAGTAGACTTTGCTGCCTCAGCTTTTTTTGGACTAACTCTTACAAAAATGACTAGTTCCAGCTTCGGAAGTCCTGGGTTGGGGTCCAGTTTTCCCACATAATCACTGTATAAACTCATTCAGGTTGTTTAACTTCCCTGATTATCCAATGATAAAGTGCTAAATCATCACAAAACATTTCATTTTAAATTCCTTTATACTTAAATTCGTTATTTTTGTATGGATCTCCCAATTTTTCTTATTAGAGCAGCTCGAGTAGTATGTTTCCAAAGCAGAGCTCTTTAAACTCTGTTTTCTTTTCTCCCCTTCTCTCTCTCTCTCTCTCTCTCTCTCTCATTCTCTCTCTCATACTAATGTGCCCACACCCACACCACTTCTCTCTCCCTTTGTTTCAGAATACTTAACTCCAGGGTGACTTAGGTTGCCATTTACTAATAGGTGCAACTTGTGTGAAAGGATGAGCATTTTGAAGAACTGGATGAAAACTCAGTTGGAAAAGCACAGGAAGCCTCTAAATGAGAGACAGCTGAGTTGGGACAAGCACACAGAGTGCAGACTTAACTACACCCGTGCAAGGTGCAGGTAGGTGGGCTACATTCACATGATCCTCCTGCTTTCTCTGCTGCTGCGCCGGACTTCAGGGCACTGTTTAGGATTAGGCACAGTGGTGCCGGTGGGGAGGGATGAGGGAAGGCAGAAATCTTATTTGGTTGCTTTTAGGCTGTGCTTGCCTGGGGCAGTCACATTTTTCTAATTTGTACAAAGGTGTCATCTGGATTAATCGGAGTTGTGGTAGAATTAGTCTAAATTTCAGCAAAAACTACTATGAGTAAATATTGAGTCACTGAGAAAGATTTTATTTTTTATTTTTAGAGACGAAGTCTCGTTCTTTTGTCCAAGCTATCATACCTCACTGCAGCCTCCCACTCCTGGGCTCAAGTCATCCTCCTGCTTCAGCATCCCTAGTAACTAGGATTACAGGCATGAGCCACTGTGCCTGGTGATTTTTAATAGACAGGTCAGGAAATGCCTAAATTATAGCCGGGGTCTATGTTACACAAAGGTGGGAACTCTGATGGATCTGAAAGAAAAGGTGGACCATCTTTCTAAGATGGGTCTACATCAATGCAATGACTGCTTTAGTCAAATGCTTTAATGAAAAACTAAATAATGCTTGCTATTGAAACAGCAGACTGACACATATTATTGACAACTCATGTACATAAATATTCTTGGATCGAGTGACTCTAAAATAGCATAAGAAAATATAAAAAACAGACGCAATTAATGCTTAATTTCACTTGATTTTTGCTAGCAGGGTTTGGAGGGCCTTTCTCCTTTACTCTGAGCCTAATGTCGTTTTGGCTGTCCCTTGGCCCACTTAAATCAGCCTCCAGTCTTTGAAAAGAGGCCATGGCACACTTTAGATAGGAAGCAGACAAAATAAGGTCAAATAAAAGTCCGAGTAAGATGGGCCGCAATTCTTCTTCTCATGCATTTCAAATTAAGAGGGACTGTAAGGGTTAACTATAAAGTATTCCACCTTGAACCCCCACACTCTCTTTATCTAGCACACCATAATAAAAGATCAAGAGTTCCTGCTTATTATCTTATTTTTCCTGCTTGCTCCACCAGGCTAAGGCCCAGTCCGGTTATGGATTAACACGGTGATCAATAGTAAGCCTGCTGTCTCTCTCTCGGCAGGGGAAAATGAACTCAAAATGCAGTCAAACTCTTATTGATCAAGGATATAGGTCTCACTTTCATTACCTCTGTCTCCTGATAACCCACAAATAATGTGATGAGTTGCTAATCTCTCTGATTTTCAACGGACCCTTCACCCTTCCTGTCTGCACATTGCAGCTTTTATTTTCATCTTGATACACACTCTGTGTAATTCATGTAGCACTAACTCTCACTCTCTTACCGTCAGTCCTGGTCAATCAGAGTTAATAATATCGCTCTTCACTGGGGATGGAGGCTTCAGCCAGTTCAAAATAGAATGTCTCCAAACGAGGCAAGGAAATGCAAGATGAAGACAGCTCCTTTCAAGGACAGAGAGATGTGAAGTCTTCTTGGTGAAGCAACACTCAAATCCCAAGATCTGACCTGCTTCTACCAAGGTAGAAGATTCACAAACTTAAACGTTCAAGTCTCTTGCATGGCTAATTTTACCTTGGCTTCTGTTTCTCAGAGGACATGAACGGAGTGATGCAAAGCTTTTTACCCTGGTGGTGCTAGGAGTGGGTCCCCTCCTTCTTGGTGCCTAAATGGTCATGGAATTTCTATTAAATAGCTGGAGAGAATACCATGGGAACCTAGAGAGAAGCGGACCTTTAAAATATTGTGCTTATTTATTTATCTATTTGAGACAGAGTGTCGCTGTGTTGCCCAGGCTGGAGTGCAGTGGTGCGATCTTGGCTCACCTCTGCGTCCTGGGTTCATGCGATTCTCCTGCCTCAGCCTCCTGAGTAGCTGGGATTACAGGCATGCGCCACCACACCCAGCTAATTTTTGCATTTTTAGTAGAGATGGGGCTTTACCTTGTTGGCCATGTTGATCTTGAACTCCTAACTTCAACTGATCTACCCACCTTGGACTCCCAAAGTGCTGGGATTACAGGCGTGAGCTACTGCGCCTGGACTCTTTATTTTATTTTTTACCTATCTATCTATCTATCTATCTATCTATCTATCTATCTATCATCTATCTATCTATCATCTATATTATCTATCTATCTATTGACATGGTTATGAGACTGTCTAATTTTTTTTTTTTTTTTTTTTGGTAGAGACAAGATTTTGCCATCTTGCTTAAGCTGACCTCGAACTCCTAGGCTCAAGCCATCCACCTGCCTCGGCCTCCCAGAGTGCTGGGATTACAGGAGTGAGCGGCCATGCCTGGCCTGTGTTGATTTATTTAATTAAAGGTAGAGCAATATAACAGAAACAATGTGGCTTTTGAGTCAAAAGCCCTACTTTAGAGTCTTAGATCGTCCTCTTATGCAGGGAAACGAGGACATCATGGAAAAAAAATATCACTTAACTTTTCTTTAGAAAATTTTCATCTGCTTTATAGATAAAAATGGTCTTCCTTTCCAACTTAGATTCGGCAGAATGGCTCCTGCAAAGAAGGGTGGCGAGAAGAAAAAGGGCCATTCTGCCATCAATGAGGTGGTGACCCGAGAATACTCCATCAACAAGTGTCCCCTTGGGCACTCTAAGAGATTCGAAAATTTGCCATGAAGGAGATGGGAACTCCAGATGTGCACATTGATACCAGGTTCAACAAAGCTGTCTGGGCCAAAGGAATAAGGAATGTCCCATACCAAATCCATGTGCGGTTGTCCAGAAAACGTAATGAGGATGAAGATTCACCAAATAAGCACTATACTTTGGTTACCTATGTACCTGTTACCACGTGAAAAAATCTACAGTCAATGTGGATGAGAACTAATCGCTGATCAAATACATTAAATGAAGTTGTGAAATTGTAAAAAAAAAAAAAAAAAAAAAAAAAAAAGGACCCAAATCAGTTTTAGGAAAATGATTCCTGTCACAAGCATGGTTATTTTTTTAGTTTGTTAGTAACATAACTTTACTACCATTTTGGGGGGGATTCTGCGACTTATGACTTTTTTAAAGCAAAGCAAAAAGAAAGGAAAAAACCCTTCAAATTTCATAATGTGTGATATTGCTTGGGCATTTGGCTTATCAGAGATCCTCAAGTATAAAATGGCATTGAACACAGGTATAAAAAAGACAACTAATACTCACTGTTTTCCTCAGCTGAATTGTTAGAATTGAATTCAAACAAACAATGGTTGCTTTTACCTCTTTGATATAAAACCCCAGGAAGGCTCACCTACCTGAATCACTTTTGTGAGTAAAATCATATTTTCTGCTGCCAAACTGATTAAAATAAGTTACCATGACACCAATTCCTCATTCCTGAAGAAGATACGAGATGACCAGCTGCAACTAAGCAAATACTTTGCTCGCGTTCAGCCCATAGGGTCTGAATGCTGTTTTCCAGCTCCAGTCCAAACGATTTGCACACCTGTTGAAGAGAAAGTAAAATATGACAGTGGTACAAACTCCGGGGGATTAAAGCGATTTTCACTGAGCTCTTAAAGCTGAGGTAATTGCAGGTCTCATTTTCTTCTTTTGTTCTGCAGAGCTGCATGTGAAATTTGACAACAAAGTCCTCGTCCCCTTTTTTGCAAGGGACTGGGTGGCAATTTCTTCAGTTTTCCCCCTTTCCTCTGTGCTGAGTCACTTTTGAAATCCTCTCATTTCCTTTGGCTTCATGGGATAAGATAAAAGGAAAATCTATCCAGGGCAGGCTTTTGTTTATTGGGCAGATTTTGGAAGTAACTTTAGAAGTATGGTTTTTTTTTAACCTATTCTTTTAAAATTCTGATATCAGACAGCTGAGAGAATGAGAGGAAAAGGTGGTTGGTGAAGGCTGGTGAGAAAGCTTACCCTGCTTATTTTGTCAACACAGGAGGAGAAGGCACTCAGGGAATGCTCCCCTCTTGGTGTTCTCCGTGTTCTCATGGTGAGCAGTGTCATATACAACCAGTCTCTGATTTGCTGTACTTCCCAGGCTGAACATATGCTGCAGAATACCTTTGATGTTGCCACAATTGTGTGTGTGATCTTCAATCACGGATGTCATCAAATTTTATTAAACTTAATGTAGATAAAACCAAGACATTATTGATTAGTTCTGCCATGCAAACCTCCCAGGCTTCCTCTTCGAGTGGTTTTCTTCTGGGGAGGCTGTCTTTATCCTTTCAATAATGCTCATGCCCTTGGAGCCACTATGGCTTCTGAGTTTTCTTTTGAAGCCCACATCAATCATATAATTAAGACAAAGTTGTATTAATACAACTACAGCAATCTTGCCATATTGGAAGGCATGTTCTCTGGTCTGCTGGCGCAGGTTTAACTCATGCCCCTCTTTCATGTGGGCATAATTACTGCTGTTCTTTTTCACGGTTCTTCGTGGTATATTTTCTGTTAATCCAAATTTAACCAGACACACCCCTGTTTGGTTTTAAACTTTTCTACCTTATTAATAGGATTAACTGGCTTCTGACAAAGAAGGTCAGATTCTCTTTCCCCTTTGTAGACATCTTCTCAGCCACTCTATCCACGAATGCTGTCTGGTGGCATCCAAGCATAGCCAAACATTCAGATGGAAAATGAAGAATCCAGAAAATCTCCCAGATGCCCCAGGTGACCAGATATTTGGTGTCGGATGGGCATAGCATCCAGATCACTGAATTTTTCTTAAAATTATTTTCCAAATCTTGCTGTCTGGGAGTTTTTGGCACGAGGCAAACACAGGCAATTTCCAAGCCCCACCCCCGCCCCCATCCTACTGCCTTCTCTTTTCTCCCACACTATTGGCTAATCTTACTATGTTTTTCTCCCCTTCCTCTTTCCCTGTATTTGTGTTGTGGGTCCAATCTTAACATCTAATAGGAAAACATGGAATGGAAGGCAGGTGGGGGAGCTCAAGTTTGGGAATGAGACCCAGGCAGGTGGCAGTTCTAGCTGGATTTCTGATCAGCCGTGTTTCTACTTTCTAAGACATACAACTTTGCTTTCCAACAAGGTATCTGCATTCTTGGAAAGAAGGAAACCTACTTTCAGATGAAAACATCACATTTCTCTGAAGAAAAGGCCTTTGGTTTCAGTTTGAAGAGGGTTGGCCTCCTGCTGTACTTGAAAAAAAAATCTCACTTTTAAAACACAAGCAACAGATGAATAACCTTTTCCTTCATCATGTCTAGTGATTAAAGCATACGGTTCTCAGTTTAAATAAGATCATAAACTATCTTCACTATAGGTTCATGTTTGAGAATTATTTCATGAGCTGTTGGCAATTCAGCATCTGCTAGAGGTTTGTTCAAACATCTCATATTCATTTAGGATTTTAGATTTTTTTTTTCTAAATTAGCTGGGCCATTTACTCAGTTTCCTGGAGTAATGCCTTCCATTGTACATCAGTGTTGTGAATGCAGTCACTGGCACTCATAAATGTCCACAGGGGAACTGTGCATTTGTACAAAATATTTGTATAGCTTTAAAAAAATTCTAGCTGACCTTAGTGACTTTTTCACAAAAACCTTATAGAAAAGTCATGCACTACTTTTTGACTTAAGTTTTATTCCTAAAAGTTTTGTCAGTGGAAACAGGTACTTACCATTTCTTTTAGAAAAAAAAAAAAAAAAAGAAAAAAGAAAAGAAAAGAAAAAAAGGAAAACTGTTTGCCCAGTGCATTTCCTGTTTGGCCTCAGCTAACAGGAATCTGCCCCTAATCTTGTCACCAGTGTTAAGCATCTCAGGGACATGAGAGCATCTGCTCCCTTTGCTACATTTGGAAAAGTGGTTTTCAACCTTAGCTGCACGTTAGCATTATTGTAGCAGTTTAAAAACATATATTGAAGCCTGAGATCCACCCCCAGAAACTGGGATTTAATTGAACTTTGGCTTGTAGCTTATTTGGTGAACTATTTTGGAAATTGGTGGAGTAGATAGACACAATAAACAAATTACTTTAAATCTTCTGTTAAGAGTAAGACAGGATACACATATATATATACAGAATACAAATAAGCAAGCAAAGTAACTAGCAGTTGGGTCAGGGACAAGCCACTTAACCTGCGTGGCTTTGCTTCCTCATTGTAATCACCAAGTTCCCGTCTGCTGTAGGACATCACTGTGATCTGGGGTTCCCTGCCAGTCCTCCTCAGTCCTTGGCCTCTCATTCTTCGAATTGGTCCAGTCTTCTGCAGCTCAGATAATCTTTTACACCTGCTGTTTCCATTCTCCCTTTCTCAAGACCCTCAAATGACTTCCCATTAGCTTCTGGGTCATATTCAAATTATTACCTATTGGTTTCAAGACCTTAAGTCAGGCAATCCCTTTTTATGTCACTTTTAATCTCTCCCCTTCCTGCTCCATTTGTGGCTGTCAGAATCATCTTCACCAAGCAACACTTGTTCCTCTGTCTCTCTCTCTCTTCTTCTGAGCCCTGCTTGCTTTAGCCTATCAGGGAAACTTTCTAGATTATGCCCACCTGACTTCAACCATTCTTCCCATCCTCCTAGTATATAACCCTTCCTGCAAACCTCAGCTACCTACCGGTGATTTAAAACCTTGTAACTAGGTTTTGTTGACCTGAAGAAAGCCAGAATTGCCGGGCAGTTGCCCAGGGGATGCTTCTCACACAAATCATGGAGAGATGACCAGAGGAAGGTATTTAAAAAACACAGATGGAATCATTTGTATTCTTTGCACACTATCCACATGACTTGGTGGTTCCCCCAAATCACTAGTCAATATATTGTCTTTTCTCTCTTCTTGCCTATGTTTCCTAGCACTACTCAGTAAATCCTTAAAATGGAAATAGAAACCAATACCCTAGATTTGGAGCAAATGTGATTAATTTCTTGCTGTAAAATATGTCAGGAAGTAATGCAAGAACCAAATTGTTGTTTTAACATTAATTCAGATCTCCTGAGATGGATTTACTAGCTTATAAATACATTTACAATGGGTCACCAAGTCTCTCACTTTGAGTTAATTTTCTAATCATCTCTTAGATAAAAGAGGAAGAAGGAAAGGCATCATACATATCTTATAGCCTCTGGATATCTTCCCTTTATGCATACTAAGCATTCAACACATATTTTTTGGATGAAGTAAAACTAGCCTCAAAACTTTTTGACAACTGGATGCAGTGGCTTATGCCTGTAATCGCAGCACTTTGGGAGGCCAAGGTGGGCAGATCACTTGAGGTCAGGAGTTTGAGACCAGCCTGGGCAACATGGTGAAATCCTGTCTCTACTAAAAATATGAAAACGTAGCTGGCTATGGTAGCACCTGCCTGTAATCCTAGCTACTCGGGAGGCTGAGTTGGGAGGATCACCTGAGCCCAGGAAGTTGAGGCTGTAGTGAGCTGAGATTGTGCCACTGCACTCCAGCCTCAGGCATGGGAGTGATACTCTGTTTCAAAAACAAACAAACAAACAAAAAACAAAAACTTTTTTTTACTTCTTGGACTATTTGTAACAGAATCACCAGTTAGGGTGTGTGTGTGTGTGTGTGTGTGTGTGTGTGTGTAGAAGGTTGCCTGTTAAAGTAGTTTGGGGCCCTCAAACTGGATTTACTACATTTTAGCAAACACCAGGGGATTTTTATAGACACTAAAATTTGAAAACCACTGCCTTATGATAATATTCAGAAATACTGTTATAAATTTTATCTAGCATTCAGAATCTATCAGCTCAGTGAAACAAACACCCAATTAAGAGACAAGAGGCTTTTTCCTCCATCCTACCCCTATACCTATATCTTACAATGTGCAGTTACTAAAGCTCTGGGAAGTCAGCCTTGTATGTAAATCTTTTGTTTACATCATTTATCACGTTAGAAAAATGAAATCATAGTCAATTTCACAATAGTCCAGCCGGCTAATGAGCTATGCTTATCATTAGTTCTCTTTCAGTCTTGAGCTTCTCTCTTTCACCATCAAATGAAAGAAAGAAAACAGCATGCTACAGGACATTATTTTAAACTTTTTAAATTCAGGGAGACTTCGTATGTAGAAAACAATGTTAGGAAGTGGCAATATATTCAAACCTATACTGATTTGAAGCTAGCAACCACCAACAATTATAATGCAAATAATAATTAATGTAAGATGAATACAAATAGAGATTCTTGTTGTCCTAACAAGATGTTCCTTTTTAGGCTGTTCTTTGAGTGGATCGTGATAAAGCAAACATACTGTTTTAAGGACGATGGGGCAGTGCTTATGCTGCTTTCTTTCTGGCCCGTGTTGGGCCTCTTAGGGTCACTCTACAGGATGGAGGAGAAAGACAATACAAGAGGGAATACAAGAGGGGAAGTAAAAGGAGCCAGATAGACCCCATTCACACACATTTACGATGATTTTACTACAATTTTACACCCCTTAGGGATTATTATTATTATTATTATTTTGATGGAGTCTTGCTCTGTCGCCAGGCTGGAGTGCAGTGCGTGATCTCCACTCGCTGCAACCTCCGCCTCCCGGGTTCAAGCCATTCTCCTGCCTCAGCCTCCCAAGTAGCTGGGACTACAGGCGCCCACCACCACGCCCAGCTAATTTTTGTATTTTAGTAGAGACGGGGTTTCACCATGTTAGTCAGGCTGGTCTGGATCTCCTGACCTCGTGATCCGCCCGTCTCGGCCTCACAAAGTGCGGGGATTACAGGAGTGAGCCATTGCCCACCCCCACCTGCCACCGCCCCATTTAGGGATTTCCATAGCTTGCATTCAAAACAGCTGCTCTATGTTTTGGCTGCTTTTCTCAGAGTCTTGGAGGACTGAGACATTTGGGGGAAATTTACATTGCATGTTCAACACCCAAATGGGAAGTTCACAGTTCACCAGTGGAATTTTACTTTCTATAGCTAAGGGTTTCTTGAAGCCCTTTAAGATCCTGAAGGAAGAGAAAGCCAGAACCAAATAAGAGCTGCTTAAATAAATGATTTAAAGGATATTTGATGAATTATTAACTTTTTGGGTGAGGTGTCAAATACAGGGTGTCTCTCTCTCTCTGGGATAGTGTGCATGCCATAGGATTATTGTGAAGATCAATAGAGGTAATCCACGGCAAAGTGCTGAGCAATGTGCATGGTGTTTAGTCTCCTTATTGCTGTCTTTAATGCTATTTCTATTAACTATATCTTCAATATATAAAACATACAATAGACATTGTCCAGTATAATTTAAAACTATGTTAAATTTTGAAATGGAATACGTGAAAACTTTGACAACTGGCTCCCAAGGCAATCCTAGATTTGAATTCCATTGGATTCAAATGTGTGTATAGTCTCCTTATTGCTGTCTTTAATGCTATTTCTATTAGCTATATCTTTGATATATAAAAACATACAATAGACATTGTCCAGTATAATTTAAAACCATGTTAAATTTTAAAATGGAATATTTGAAAACTTTAACAATTGGCTCCCAAGGCAGTCCTAGGTCCAAATTCCATTGGTCCAGGAATGTGGTACACCCTACAGGGCCCAGTTGCCCTTCACAAAGTTGACGGAGTCAATTGTTTGCTGCCCCTGGAGGAGCAAGCAGAGATTTGACAAGATGACCAGACAGACATCTTTGGGTGCTGATTCTACCTGACTTAAGGTGTGATTGGCTCCTTTGGTGTGGGCACTAGGCCACCAGACGGGCAAAACTTCCTCTCTCTTCCAAGCACAGGAATCTGAGCAGAATGACTTTTCATTACCAATGAATTCTTTATAGTCTTCTTTTATTTTTTTTCAATGAGTTGCTTTTATTTTTGTCAACAAACTGTGTCATTTACCATAGTAAGAAAACTCCTGTTGTTGGAGGTCTTTATCAGAGTTCCTACAAATCAGGTTAATTGGTGATCAACAGAGCTTTTCTGTCTTTAATGAGGCCTAGTAGCCCAAGGCAAGGCCTACCTCTTGATAAGGGACTTTCTTTTTTTCTTACTCTGAACTCTTTGATCACTTAAAAAAGAAAGAAAGAAAGAAAGAAAGAAAGAAACTAGGAAGAACAACCACCGGGAATGTCATTGTTCTTTAATTGCCTGATTACCAAATGTTGGAGATAAAAGATAGATGTTCTCAATTAATAACATTTACATAGATTAGCATCACTAACAAGCCTCATTAGTAGCTGCTGATTTTTGTTTAGATGGTGTCCCAAGTCATTTGCTCTCTCTCTGAATGTGCGATCGAATGCACCTTTAGTATGACAAAACATTGCCTTCTAATCTATTTCCATTAATCAGACTGTAAGGCATTTTAATACACAGACAGGTTTTTAATTAATTAAAAGTTAATATTACCTAGTGTCGACTTCACAAAAGGTTTCATGTGTTAATAAAGTTTCACAAACTGTTTCTAAACTCTGGCTATATTTCATAGAACGTAAACACCCTCATTGGATTAATCACAGCACAAACACATCTCCATTCACATAGATGAGCATCACAGAAACAGTCCGTTTACCATGTGCCTGCCGTGTGCCTTGAATTTTACATAGACCATCTCCTTAATCTGCCAACAGTCATGTGACGGAGGTAATAGAAGCCTCACTACCACGCACGTGCACACGCGTGCACACACACACACACACACACACACAGAGTGAAGGTTCAGCGTGTAAGTGAAATGCCCAGGACAACTCAGACCTACCTTTGAGTCCAAAGTCTATGCTCGTTTCACGGACTTTGAAAGGATACCTTCTGCCTTCCACATGCATCCAGAGAAAGAATTCATTGATATTTTGTGCAGAAGCGAATGTTTGAGAAAACCTACAACTAACCATAAATCATATTTTAAACCTCATCATTCACTTTTTAATTTTTGAAGACAAATGGAAAATAAACAAATAAAACTATGCAATAAACACATTTTGTAAATAGAAGGATTTGAGATATTTAAATTTATAACAATCTATGAACATCAAAAATCTAAAAATCTGAAGTTTAAAGATTTTGTAAATATATACAAATTTTATACTACTGTAAGGGGATAGGTGTAGTATATGTTTATCAAGGGAAATACTTTTTCAACTATTTTGATGAAAATATAAATTCATTGTTTTTACATCTTATGGAAAAAACACACCTCCAATATCATGATAAATATTTCATAAAGGAATAAAAAATGTTTTCAGACTCTATGATATCAATTTAAATTTCTTACAAATATGAGTATGGAAGCCACAGAATAGATTTTAAAACAACCAATATTTGATTAAAACTTCAACAGATGGACACATTTCAAAAGACTGAGAAAGGTATTCTAATGTAGAACAAAATTTTAAAAAATGTTGATGTTGGCCATGCAAAAAAAGGTGGGATACAGAGTTTTGCACTATTATTTCAAGTGAATCTTGATGTAAACCAGCAACTCTGCGTAAACACAATTCCAAAAGGAAAACATTGGAGGGAAAGTTTTGTAAAAGAAATGTAGTCTTTATTCCGCTTGAGGTACACTATGTTTCTTTGAGAGTGCATGAAGTAAAATGACAATTCTGAAATCTTATAAAGGAATCTGATTAATATTTTCTTTTCCTTTTTATTTTTAGAGATGAGGTCTCTCTTTGTTGCCCAGGCTGGAGTGCAATGGTGCAATCATGGCTCACTGCAGCCCCAAACTCCTGGGCTCAAGCGATCGTTCCACCTGAGGCTCCTGAGAAGTAGCTAGGACTACAGATGCATGCCACCACACCCAGTGTCTTATTAATATTTTCTATTTGAGTTTATAAAGACTTGAAGGAGTAGCTTAAATGAGAAGAAATTTAATGTAGCTTAAATGAAAAGAATGTGATTCAATGAGGGCATCTGGTTCATTGTCCCTTTATAGGATTCGATTTAGGGTTGTTAAAATTTGTGAGGGTATTTTTTTTTCTGCTATCAGCACCTATCAACAGTCACCCTAAAACAACTTTAGCTCATTACCTTTTCTTTTCCCTTCCTTCCCTCCAGCTCCCTCTACTCCTAACATTCTATTTAACTGCCCTTCTTAGGATCACTGATGAGATTCAAATGACCGGTGTCCTCTGTCTCTCTCTCTCTCTCCCCATCTTTGTTGACCTCTGGGCAGCATTTCACACAACTAACCAACTCCTCCTTCTTGAATCACTTTCTTTTTTAGCTTCCACTCTTTCCAGGTTCTCCTTTTCAGTTTCTTTTTCTTCTTCTCTCTTTCTTAACCTCTAAATGTGTTGTGCTCCAGGGATCAGTCATTAGCCTTTCTGCTTTGTGTATACACTCTCCCTGGATGGTCTCATTTGTTCCCACTCTCTAGGTACTATCTAAGCCATTATCACTTTCAGTTTTCTCTCCCAGGCTTAATCTCCCTTCTAAGCTCCAGATGTATTATTCAGCTGCTTAGTTTACATCTCTTCCTGGCTGACTAATAGGGATCTCAAACTGAATGTGTATAAAACATGTCTTGAATTTCTACCTTCTTCCTCAATGATCCCCGTGCCTGTTCTCCAGTCTTTCCTGTCTAAATAAATGGCACTGACATACACTCACTGCGTTAGGCCAAAGTTATGATTCATTCTTGGTTCTCCCTTCTCTCTCATTCCCTCGTATTCAATCCCTCATGTAGTTTTATTCACCCTACCTTCAATATAACTGGACCACTTCTTGTCATCCCAGCCACTCTCTTCAGTCTACAGACTGGACCAGAGCTGTAGAGCTGCAGTGGCTCTTCGATCTCATCTTCTAGCTTTCACTCTGGTCCACCTATAATCTCACCTCCACATAGAAAAGTGAACTCTTAAATATCCAAGTTGGTTCAAGTTCCCTCTCAACTCCTTCTCCGCTGGCTTCCCATCACCAGCAGGGCACCCCTTGATGGTGAGCTCCTCAACCACCACATACCAATCCCTATAGCTCCTTCTGCTCCTGCGTGCCTCATGGACACTGCCCTCTTGCCTCATGGCACTCTGCACCTCGGTCCCTTCACCTGCCTCTGCTCAGGCTGTGCTTGCAGCTCCTCTCATGACTCCCTCTTTCCTACCATTCAGAGCTCTGCTCACTTCCCAGGGACAACTCCTCAGACCATTTCCTCCTTAGTCCAGCCTCATATTGTGCCTTGTTTTTAAAATGACACTTATCACTGTCACTTTTTTGTTTTATCTTATTACTCTAGTCCTGGAATAATGCCTGACACCTAGTATGTGCTAAATAAATATATAAACAAATAACAGAATTATTACCAAGTTAGGGGTGGGCAAATTAATACACACAGAGGTGGAGGCCCTCCTGAAGTTTCCACGATGTGGGGAACTTACTATGTACTTACCTCTTGTCTCAAAGGGCTTCATCTAAGCCATCTAAGCCTCAGTGGCTGAGGGCCTGGATGCTCTGGGAAATGCCCCTGAAGCTGCCCTCCACAGCTCTTGGGACCATTCAAGTTCTGCCTTCTGCCCCTCCATGCCATTCCAAACCCTCCTACTGCTGTGAGCCTGCATTCTCCTTTCTATCTGGTCAGATGGCACCAATCTTGCTCTATAGACTGAGATCAGTGCCCCACACTCCAGCCAAGTAGAGCAGTTCAGACTTGTTGGACTTAGTTATCTAGGTGTCTATCCACCTGGCTTTTACATTTCCATACGGCTAGCTTTAGACTGATGGATTCCACATCAAGGTAGAAAGACAGGATATTACACTTGGATTTTCAACCTCCCTTACAGTGTTCCAATGTTAGTCTTAATTTTGGCTGTGATCATGGTGTTGAGTTCATTTCCAGTGCTTTATATGAGATTTTCTTTATTAGCGCCTACTTGAGCACATTCTTATTTTAAATCTATCACAAATGTATTATTACTTATTCATTTTTACTCCTAAAATTTGTCCATAAACATTGAAGTACATTTTGATTATAAATAAAAAATCATAGCTTTTCAGAAACAAAAAAAATCCAGGAAAGAATGTATTTCAATTAGGTATTTATTTTTAAAAACTTGTCTTTAAAAAATAAAGTTCTTGTGTTATTATGAAATCAATACATGCTCATACTACAAATGAGGAAAAACTCCAGAAAACAGAAGGATCACTTCCATTAGTTACGTTCTATACACACAGTCACTATTATATGTGCGTGCATTTCCATCTCTTATTTTTGCTATGTATTTGAAGCATAATTATAATCTTCTCATATATATAATATATAACAATAAAAACAACATATACATTTTCTGATTATAAGTATAATACATAGTTATTGTATAACATTGGAATATAAATGAAAGAACCTACAAATCTATGTTTTTAATTATAAAAGTTATACATAATCAGCAAATATTGGAATATCTTATAAAAATGAACATGAAAAACATCTGGAATTCCACTCAATGGAATAATTATTATTTACATTTTGATATATACCAGTCCACATATTTTGTGTTGTATATATTAATTATATAAGTAATATATTCAATATAATATGTATTTATATATAAAAGACATATATATGTTATTGAGCTCTAGAGGAGAATATACAATGTATATAAATATTTGATCATCATTTATAGAGCGAAATCCTTGAGTCTTATTCAAAGATTATATAAAAAAGGGCTAAGTAACAGAAATATCTGCCAAAGGTAGATTATTTACCTTTTCCAGTTATACAAAAACTAATGAAGTGGTTGTACAATATAGGGTTTACCACTGCAGTAAATCATTACTCAAATTCCTTGGCAGGGAAATTAAACATGATTTCCTGAAGGTAACTCTATGTAGTAGGGAAAAGAATTTTTTTCTGTCTAATGATTCACTTGGCACATTTTTCCAATTAGTTGAGCCACTGTTGGATTATGGGTTTTTGTAAGGCACAACATTTTTAGAAAATTATAAAATATATTATATTTTTAAAAAGTTAAAAAAATGTAGTCTTAAGGACAATAACTGGGCCATTTTCATTTTTGCATTTCTAGGACTTGGCTCAACACATACTTATTGTAATGAATAAGTCAAATAAAACATCAGTTGTAATGTGCTTCCATATCTTTACTGTTCTCTTTTTAGTTGTCTTAGTCCATTTTCTGCTGTTATAACAGAATACCACAGATTGGGTAATTTCACAGAAAAATGTTTTATTTGGTTCATGGTTCTGAAGGCTGTGAAGTCCAAGATTGAGAGGCTGCATCTGGTGAGGGCCTTCTTGCTGCATCAAAACGTGGCACCAGGCAGCATATGGCGAGGAAGATGATTGAGACAGAGAGAAAATGGTGGCTGTGCTTATCTTTTTATCAGGAGCCCACTCCCTCTGTAAGTAAACAACTCAACTGATAACAGTATTAATCCATTCATGAGGGTAGAGCCCCCAAGACCTAATCACCTTTTAAAGATCCCACCTCTTAATACTGTCATGATGGCAATTTAATTTCAACATGAATTTTGGAGGGGGACATTCAAGCCATAGAATTAATGAAAATTTAAAATATGCCAGTTGTAAAATTGTAAAAAGTACAAACATTTAATTCGGAAGACAAAAAGACCTGTAAAATTAACGTGTGGCTGCTTTTGTTTCATTTCTTTCATTTTAGCTCCATTAAGTGGCCAAAAGAGTGGACATTCTAAGACTTCATTCCCATTTTAGCTTTGTCTCAGCAGCTGGGCAGCCACAGCTACCCAATTTCACCAGCAGGACTTGCAGATGAACCCATCAGCCTTTGAATCTTACCTCAGGCTCTTTGGGTCAGAGAATAAACCACTGTCAAAGCAAGCGGGAAACTTCTGCCTCAGTTGTGTGGCCTGAAGATACACAGCTCAAGCTCCTCACTTGTTTTTACTGACCTTAATTTTTCACTTGTAGAAATATCCTCTTTATACTGAAGGAAAAATATTCTTTTTAATCATTGTTCTTCTCTGGAAAGAACACGCAGGATTCTTTTTCTTTTTTTTTTAAGAGCTAGGAATCCAGTTGTTAATAATCACTTACATGGGTCTGGGATGTTACATAGGTACAACAAATCTATTTACTTTTGTTAAATAAAATGAATAGTTTTTGTGATAAGAGTTACATCCAAGGTTTTTATATATTATGCAAACTTGAACACCCATGTACAACAACCTAACACTTGAAATTTGCTTGCTTTTAAAATTAGTTATCTAATAAAAATAGCAATAAAGATAGCAATCCTTATTCTTAGGCCATAGTGTCAGAGGTAGATACAGAAAAACCTTTTTTTCTGATTACTGAATTGTAGTTTTTAATTTACTGAATGATCAATTACTTTTAAAAAACGCTATTTAAATTGTTTCTTAAAGAAACATCTACCTGAATAATAAAATCACACAATTTTCTAAAGCCCCAAGAAGCTAAATGGTTTGCTTAAGGTCAGCCACCAAAGACTGGGACCCACTTCTCCTGGCTCCCAGAGAGTTGCATCATTGATTACACCATTGTGCTATTTGCATTGATAATGGTTGATAACTAAGTCTTAAAAATTTCTAGATCCATCACCAGGGTCTCTAATGTAGGCGGTGATCTCCAAGCTAAGTATCCTTATGAAACCATTTGGAAGAAGATTTAAACTGGCTGGAAAGTTTAATGCTATTAGAAAATATTCATTTTGGTAAGTACATTCTGAATGTTGTGTGTGTGTGTCAATACTCAACATATTAGACTATTTTTTTGTCATCAGTAGCTGTAGTTTATTGGCTGGGCAATCAGATGAATATCTTTCTGTAATCTTAGCTCCACTAACTTCCTTGGGACACCTCAATTCAATAATATTCAAATGAGTAGTTTATACTATTCTATAATGCATTAATCTACATTTGTAGACTCAAATTAAAAAATTCAATTGAAAAGGAATCAGTGGGAAAATGCAATGTGGTAAGCCTACTTCTGAGCAAATTGTGTCAGGAGTTGCTGAGTGAGTCTTTGCTATAATCTTGGCCTTCCATTTATTATTTATTGGGGACATAATTTTGCACTTGTAAGTCATATGGACCTGAATTGGACTTTCCAGCTTTTTCACTTACTAGGTTTGTGAACTAAGAGAGTTATTCAGCTTTCCTAAGTCTCAGTCCTCATCTGCTAGGTGGGAGAGTAATAATATCCACGGTGGAGAGTTATGGTGAAGATTATGTAAGACGTGGTGGATAAAATGCTTAGCACAGTTACTTCCATATATTATTCATTCAATGAACAGTATCCACTAATAACTAGCACTGGATGCCTCTACCTAGTATTAATATAATTACGTATTAAGATGTAGGAGACAACTCAAACTGCAACTTACTATGGAGATGGTGGTGGAAATATGCTTTGGACTGAAAACTGATTATAGGGATCAATTTCTTGTACAATTATGATGGAATTTATGAGACGAATGGGTTGCTGCTGCCCTCTTTGGTAAGGAAAATGGAACCTTCCAGTCTCTATGATCTCCCTCTAGTGTTTGAAATTTACGGATGCTAAAACATAATTAAAATTAGCTAAAATAATTCATATTCTTTTCTAGGCACAGCGGCCCCCTGCTCTGCTCTGCTTTCAGATCATGCATGTCTGTGACATCCGTGAGCGCTGATGGTGCACGCTTCCAGTCATTTTCCTGGTAAGTGTATTCAGTGATGGCATCAAATTCAGCGGTTGGAAGTCTTGCCTCAGGCCTTGGAGCTAAATACACTGAAGTCACTTGAATATGAAATTCCTTAAAGTCGTTTAACGTACTCATTAATTTCAAACGTTTGGACAAAAATTGCGAATTTGGCAAGTTTTCTCAGAAGTTGGGTACACTGAGTCCTGAGTACGACTCAGCAATTAAAAAAAAGAATCACTCGCAATGTCGAGAAATGATCCCACCAAAATACAAAGGTTTAATTTCATCAGGGAATTTCTAATTAATGACGTTTGAGTGGGTTTTAAATTCCCCAACCACATTTCCATCATTCTTACTCAACACTTGGGGAAGGTTTAAGCCTTAGGGCATCTTTTAGATGAATGCTAGTAGCCACATTTATGCTGAATGGAACAGCACCAGTAAATGCAATTATAGCAGAAAAGAAAGCTTGCATTCCCAGGGTACGCACTCACACTCCGTTACAGTGCCCCATCCACGTTTCTTTGTTTCATTGTACTGAAGAGTAATAGCAAACGGCTAACCCAAAGTATGAAACCGTCTTGATTTAATATTTCCCTTGGCCAATCCAAGAGACACTCCCTTGCTTTTATGTGGGCGCTGTTTAGGATTGATATGTGCAAGTACTTTTCCAACAGCAAAGTAGGGAGGAGGTTTCTCTTGCTTCTGAAACCTCATTGGGCTGATCCTGCAGTCTCATACCTGAGTAAGATGCTTTTGGTTTTCTGGGATTCCATTGCGAGGTGCAAGACATGATTTCTGGAAGGCTCTTAGTGTCCTGGGGGGCCGATTTCATCCAGCAGCGTAAGCAACTAACACACACACAGGCCAATTTACTCACTGTAGGACTGGCTTTCTATTTTGGCTGCCAAGAATCTCTGAATCCTCTCGCAGTGCTGGTGCAGAAGAGGGTTTTCCTTAAGTTATATGGAGACTCAGCAGAAATGAGATTGTAGTAAAGACTAAAGGGAAAAAAAGGGGGCATGATGGTTCAAAGGGTTGCCGAACATAAGAAGTGCGTCCACGTATTCTTCTACTCAGCATCTTTATAGAAGCGTATTTTTGGAAATTGCCACATTTCTTAAATGCCTTAAACACCTATAATTTCCAGTTCAGAGACTCCGGCTTCATGATACCCTGAATTGTCTTCTTTATTCATCACAAGAGTGCTATGAAATTCTAAAATTCAAGTTAACTTTAATAAACTATGTGTAATGTGTATAGATCCACATGAACTTGTAATACAGTTTAGAAGGGGGAGTTCTTTTAAAGCAATGTAAAACTGACTGATAAACTGTGATGGCTTCATAAAAATTGGGTAACAAGAAATCCCAATATAGAGAGATGACTGAAATGGCAATAGAAACAGGGTAGTGGCAGGTAATTATAGGTTTCAATGCTGCTATGGCTGTGGAAGAGTAAATATAGCACTAAAAATACTGCAAGTGAGAAAATGCTTAGACATCTTTTATATGCACATATTGGTATGCCATGAAGAAAGAAAATGCATGTTTATATTATTTATTGATAAGGGAGTTAATATTGACAAAGAAAAACTTTGGATTCTGTAAAATCTACCACTTTTCACTTGCTGGACACCAATGCTAAAGGATGATGTTTTACAGTATCAGCGTTTCCCAAAGACTGTCTAAGATCTGGAATCATCAGAAACAATGTTCTAAAGATTCGGTCACAGCCACCACATTCGTAGAAATCCTGACTCACTAGATGGGATAAGAAAAGGAATAGGTATTTTTTTTTGAGAAAGTTCTGCAGAAGATGGTTCTGATGTGTAGTTGGGTTTAAACAATTTTAGAGCTTGCCTCTTGTCCTCAAAAGCTTAAACACAATTCAAGCAAGGCAGGTCAATGAGGAAAATAAGTACAGTAGTTATGTTTGCTTAGCAAAAAACTTTAGATAGCTTAGCAAATCTACTTCAAGAGCTCCTCAGAACAGCAGGATAGTAGTTTATAGTGTCCAGCAAAGGCAGGCTCGGTATAACGTTTAGGTGGGAATGATATAACTTGTTTTATTATTTTAGAAAGCAGTTACTGGTTGCATTACTGCTTAGGTTAAGCCATTTTTTGAGTCACAGTTTCCTCATCTGTTGGGAGGAGGTTGTTTATTTGAGACCAATCAGCAATAGTTCTAGAAGTCTATGATAAAATATTTTTAAGATAATGGAAAAATACAAAGTAGTGGCTGCATTTACCTAGACACATATCGGAAGGGAATCGGGAGACAATGTGCCTGTCTAAAAGAAATAGACAGACAATTATAGACAATAGCTGTCTAAAAGAAAAGAAAATAAGGAGGAGGAGATGGCTAAAAATATATTGAGCAGTAATTACATGAGTCAGGCCCAGTGCTAAGCACTTAGTATAAATTATTTAATTTTAATCTTCATGTAAACCCTAAGAGGTTAGACAGGTCTGCAAAATGAGAAAACCAAGGCATAGCAAGGTGAAACCTATGTTCCTAAGGACACATGTGAAAGAAAGACAGAACAGGAGTTTGAACCAGGAGGGCTGACTTTGTGCTCTGAATCACATTATTTTCAGCCTCAAAATATACATATATTTGATAATATAGATTGGATTTAGTAGATTACTACAGATAGCATCCAGTGGCCCCTTCAGATAATACTGCTTATTTTGAAAGAACTTCCTAATCATTTTTCCTGTAATTTCTCCTCTCCTCACTTCCTCTCTGATATCTGGTAGCTGTGGCAGATGATGAGGTTCAAAAGCATGCCTTAGTTTGAAGCTTACCAACATGACTTCGAACACCAGCCTTGTGATGGTGTATCTTGCTGCCAAATGCCTTTTTAATTTTTCTTTCCCTCTGTAAGATACTATTTACCAGTGTCCAATCACAGGTTTGTTAAAAGTTTCACAACTTTCCTTTTGATAGTGATGCTGAAATTATGTTCCAAATGACTGAAGAAGTCAAGACGTTAAATAACCTGGACATCATTGAAGAGGAAAAAAAATTATTTAATAATTGACTACTCTTTCTATTGTTACTTTATTTTCAAGTTCTGTGGAAATAGGCTCCCTGCTGTTTGCAGTTTCTGGCTATCTTTATTCACCTCATTATTCATTCCGTCTTACCCCTCTCCCTGCTAATCAGCCCCAGTGTCATAGGTTTGGAAGCCTGGGTTGATTGTATGTTCTCTTTTGGATTCCGAGTGACTAGTAGACCCAGGTGAAGAGTCAGCCAGTTGCCAAGGTCAAGGGTATATTTTGTGAACACCACAGCCGCATCTCACATACAGTTTATGCAATGGTTACACTTCAAGGTCACAGTTCACTGAGAATTTCCATAAATCTGATGGGTAATGTGCCCAATGAGATTAGAGAGGGCTTCATGTGATCACGGTCAAATGAAAATATCTTATGTTAATTTCCTAGTACAAGCTTGAAGCAGGTAGTTAATACCTCTTTGTGAAGAGCTAGAGACACACACTGGGAAGAAACACAAGCTGTTGTCTAAATAGAAAGATGAAGCATGTGGAGCTCCTAATAGAGAAAAATGTAGATGCCAGATCAGCAGAATTTTGCTGCTAGGTTTGTGTCCATTCCCTTATGTATTCTATATTATCTGTTAACTCTTACCCTAATTGTTACCCTAAAATACATTTCTCACTTAAATCAATTCGATAAGTTGCATTTATATGCTTAGATGTCAACACATTCTTCAAGTTATTTTGTTGCAAAATACAAAACCAAGAAGGACAAAAAAGCATTAGCAAATGGAGGGTTGTTTACAGATTTAATCTCTGACTATTTATCCATATACGCATTTTTCTTTTAAGCTTTGACCTGAATCAACCCAATTCAATTCAGAAAAGCGCATTTTAAACTCTCCATCTTGGAACTGATACAAAAACGCGGACCGTACTTACATTTGAAAATAAAACAGCATTAATATTTCAAAGCAATTTTAAGAAGAGCACTGAGGACAACAGACTTGTTAACTATCTCAGCCTCTGGTCACTCAACACGGCTGAGAAGTCTAAGTCATAACCATAGTCTTACATCTTCATTGAATATGCTGAGAAATGCCCAGGTGTAAATATAATTCAAAAAATAAATGCAGGGACTTAACCATATCTTATTAATGACCAGGGACTGTTTGTTAGTATTGTAGAGATTCCATTCAATTTAACACGTTTATTGACCACCTTCCTGTCTCTCACCAGGCCTCTGGGATAAATGATGTTGGGGAGAACCTGGAGAACAATCAGGTGGTTTCTGCAGAAGCTCTGTAAAACATCATTAGGGAGGCAGGGTCTTCCTGGGGAACAAGTGGGAAATACCATCAAAGTGCATGTGATCCAATGATGAGGTGGCAAATCCAGGCAGGAGCACTCAAGATAAAAACCAGGAAAAATTGGTGGAGCTCAGTGCACTTGGGGAATGAGGTTCTAGAATGGCTCTGGAGGACGGGGTAGAATTTGGGAAAGAAGGGAGGGAAAACAAGGGCAATTTAAGGTGCAAGAATATCCTGAGGTCAAGAGAGACAATGGGCCTAATTTGTTCAAGGGTCTGCAAGCTAAATAAGCAAAGATGGTGGGAGGCAGAAGACTCCAGTTCCTGTCCTGGGTCTGACACATCCCTCCTGCATGACCGCAGAAAATTGAGTTAACCTATTTCCTCGCCAGAGAGATGAGAGCATTACAGCAGCATCTTCAAGGTCTTTCCCAGTCAAACCCTCCCTCTGCCTTGGAGCTTAGGGGCTCTGATATGGGGTCTGGAGTCAAAGAGAATTGAGTTCTAGTCCTGGCTTGAATTAATTGTGATAACTATCTTCCTAACCCCTGGAAGTCCTTCATTAAAATGGAGACCACAATGGCATGACAGTGGTTGAGAAAAATGGATACGCTTGGTATAGAGTAAATGCTTAGAACAGGTTAGTGATTTAGTGATTTTGCAAATTCTACGAAGAATGATTTTTTTTTTTTACAAAGAATGTCTGGAGAATTTAGGTGGTAGTTTTCAGTATCTACTGATCAATATTAACTATTGATCAATAGATATTTATTATAGGTTGAATAAGATGACATTTTTGGTAGTTATAAAGACCTTGCTTGCCTGTAGCAGAAATGTGGGCTGTAAGGAATGGGAAATGAGACCCGTGATGGTTTAACAGTACTTGTTACAAAGAAAGTGAAATTTTAGAAAGATTAACCTGGAGGCAGGGTTATATGTGGATCTGAACAGATGAACTCTAGGTGTAATATACTAGAGGTGGCATATAGTATTGAAGAACAAGGTTTAATTAGGAAAGACATGACAAAAAGAGAACGTGGTGACTCCTTAAGTGACAGGGAGAAAATGCATATGCATGATTCAGAGCCCCAGTAGCCAGAAGAATAGTGAAACCAGGAACAGAGATGGGGAGATTTGGAGACAAATCCATGATAGTTCTGGTACAATTGTGGAGAAAACAAACTTAGATGTGAAACCACTGAATTTCAGAGAATGGCTAGCATGTCTATTGCCTGCAAGTGGTCAAAAATATGCAACTCATGAGCTTTGTGAGGAAAGGGCCAGACATGGCAGTTTCAGGCTTTTACATACAGGTGTTCAGGGAAGCTGAGAAGAGATGAGAAGGTGGAGAGTCATGCTGCCCTACCTGGCTGCCCATGACCATCACCTGGGTGGTGTTAAAAATACCAATGCTCAGGTTATATCCCAAGATGATTTTGATAAAATTGGTCTCGGGGTACAGTGTGGGGATGGAAATTTTTAAAACCCCAGCAGTTATCCCTGAAGAGAAAAAAGAAAAGACCATAGACCATGAGTTCAGCCAACTATGAAGAGTGAGGAGAAAGAGAAGCACCTGATGAAGATTCACCTACAAATACCAGGCTCCTGGGCTGGGGCTTTGCATATGCATTATCTTGTATCGTTCTCATAGCTGTTCTCTGGTTCTCTGGGGGATGTTCTAACTCCAGCCTGAGATTCAGAAAGAGGGTGGAATGCATGGAAGGCCCCCCAGCTCCGACTCTGCAGTCATTGTTTCTAAGAGGAAAAAAAAAATGTCTTGAAGAGGAAAGTGAAGAACAAAAAATTGACTAGAGTGACACCTCGTATGTCCAGACCTAACAGCACACTTCGGCTCTCTACAAGCAAGAGTCTAAATTTAGTGTCAAATAACACTGTAAAAACATATTCCAAAAATTAGTTGGCTCTCTGTTTATTCATTTTATTCAAAACTTCATGTCTCACTCAAACCCTGCATTTTTTAGTTTGTATACAATTCTAACCAGTTTAGAAAACTGATGTACCAGCTCAGTAAATGAAAAACAGCAATTTCAGAGGGGAGAACAGGTAGAGAAGGACTAGATAATAACCAGTAAGCCAAGAAGAAGACTTAGGAGTAGAAATGTAACACTTATTGAGCATTTATTATGTGACAGGTACTATTAGAGATGCTTAACACACACGCCCTCACTTAGTTCTGCAGTGGATGTATGCTCTGCACAGCCTCTGAACTCGTTCTTTTGGGATATTTCCGTGGTGTAGGTTTTGGAGACGTTGGATTCTGCTTCCACAAGAACTCTAAAAGGAGCCATTTTCCTTTCCCTTTCCGTATTCTTTGCCAACCAGGTGGCCTTCCAATGGGTGAGGTGTACTGTGATGGCAGAAGGACAACCAGAGATTGTGTTGATGTCTCAGTGTGGCACTGAAGATCTGATAGCAGCACGCCCTGTGAAGGCGTCTACCTGGACGGATAACTGGCTTCCCTGTGTTCTTTCCTGCCTAGGCTTTTGGTTCCTGCTCATTTTCCTTGGTCAGTTTCCCATATTTTTCTTCAATTCTGTGAGTTACCTGGCATCTTTCCAAATGTTTATTTTCCACTTAAACTAGCCAGTGTCCCTTTCTCTTATTTGCAATTAAGAATCTTGGGTAGCCCAAATGCTCATGACAACTCTCAGAGGCATATTTAACTATGTACGTTCTGATGGAGGAAGAAACAGAAGTTCAGAGAGCTTAGGCAACTCAACATCACAGAGCTAGGGAGTGGCAGAGCCAGGGTCCCATAACAGGTTTTTCCTGCATAGGGCATTATGTAAGGAATAAACAGCCCAATAACTTTAGAAATCCCGAGAGCATCATTACATCATTTCAAATAATGAGAAACATTTCATGCAATGGGAGTCTTCTTTGATTTCAAGGTCCTGTTAAGTAATTGTATACTTATTTTAAAGAAAATAGGGAGGTTTCTGATACAATTTTTAAATAACAAGCAAATCCTATTTTAAATGATTAAAAATTGTATTAAAGGCAAATTATTTTAATACTGAAAGGTAAATTCTTATCTGGAAAATTCACTTACTTAGAACCTTGATAAAGGAAGTGCAAAATTTTCATTTGACAAATAAAAAAGAGACAGATTCCCAAATGTATGGATTTCTTAAGAGAGCAGTGTTTGGAGGAGTGCTAGGTCCTTTCCTGAAGCCTGGGGCTTTTTGAATGAGGGGGTGAGAGGCTAGGCACACAGGCCAGGAGGAGATGCGTAAACACGGGGTGGAGATGTGTGTGGGGCTCCTGTCATTCCAGGCGCCTGCTCTCGGGCGGGCCTAGAAGCAGTGTGTGTGTCATGTTCCTGAAACCCTCAGATGGTGATTACAACCGATTACACAAAATGCCATGTTCCCTAATCATATCACTTACATTCCTGCGAACGGCAGTGACAAGGGTTTGAAGGGAGAACATCACAGCTGTCTAATAAAAAAAGAAAATCAGATAAAGCCGACTGTTGCAGGCAGAAGATCATACACCAGCCTGCGAAGGGTGCTGGGTGCAAAGGAGTTTTGCTCTCTTTCTAACCCAGCTCTACCCCCGCCCAGTCTCCCGTTTCCAGAACCCTCAAGTCACATTGTGATGGGAGTCGTGCAGGTGTGGCGCATCCACCCGGGCTTATTTATTTATTATATGATTAGCTCATGCTCCCTGTTCTGTGAAGTGAACACTGTCACTTTGGTAAATTTAGAGCTCGTCACTGCGAGAATCTAGGCAGCTCTTGTGAATCAAAGAAAAGCACCATGAACACCCCCATCCTGTTCTTCTCCGAAGCCGCTCTAAGCTCAAGACACCAACTCTCTCTTCTGCTACTCCGTTTTTAATCTGTCTTCAAAGAGAAAGCCAACTGTCTTGAATTAAACACGAGGCGGCAGTTCTTGAAGTCATGTGTGATGAAAGTGATTAAATAATTAATTCAAACAAAGGTGACTTCTGAGTCAGGTTGGGGGTCAGAGTGAAAAAAAGTCTTGATTTAAAGCAGCGTTTACTCGGCATGCTATGGAAAAAAATACCTAATGTGATATGAAATTGCCGGGCTGGAGACGATTAACCTGTCTCCCTCGCTTCCCCAGCTCCAGGCGCTTTGGCCTCTTGCTGTCCCCTGAACAGATCAAGGCTGTTTCCCCTACCCCAGGGCCTTTGGACCTTCTAGTCTCTCTGCTGGAAGTCTCTTCTCCCCAGTATTTACATGCAGATCTCTGTTCAATTGTCAGCTTCCCAGAGTCCTTGCTATAATACTGCTCTCCCTCCTCCACTTTCTAGCCTTTCCCTCCTTTTTATTTCTTTATGAGACCTTTATTGCCGGGCATTTTGCCATATATTACTTCTCTCTCTCTCTCCTTTTGTAAAGACAGGGTCTCCCTATGTTGCCCAGGCTGGTCTCAAACTCCTGGATTCAAGTGATTCTCCCTCCTCGGCCTCCCAAAGTGCTGGGATTATAGGCACAAGCCACTGCACCTGGCGTTAATTCTTTGTTTTATTGACAGTCTTCCCAACCAGAATGTAAGTAAGCTCCATGAAGACGGCGTTATATCTGTTTTTCCTGCTGCAGTATCCCTGGCACCTAGAATGGTGCTTGGCACAGAGTACATAGAAATAAGTAGCTGTTTTATAAACGAATGAATGAAGGAACTACAAAGTAGAAATGCTTCAACCTTCTCTAAGATCAAAATTAGCTCCAGGAAAAGTTTTTGACAATAAAAGATGCTACACATACTTCCGAATGATAAAACCCACCCACTAGAATGATAAATTCAGATTTAGGCACAAACTGAATCCTTAAAAAATACAAAACAAGGCCGGCACAGTGGCTCACGCCCGTAATCCCAGCACACTGGGAGGCCGAGGTGGATGGATCACTTGAGGTTAGGAGTTTGAGACCAGTCTGACCAACATGGTGAAACCCCACCTCTACTAAAAATACAAAAATTAGCTGGGCATGGTGGTGGGTGCCTGTAACACCAGCTACTTGGGAGGCTGAGGCAGGAGAATCACTTGAACCTGGGAGGTGGAGGTTGCAGTGAGCTGAGATGGAGCCACTGCACTCCAGCCTGGCTGATGGAGCAAGACCCTGTCTCAGGAAAAAAAAAAAAAAAGAAAAGAAAAAAAGAAAAAATACAAAACAAAATAAAACTAATGCATCCAACTGATTGCTTTCAGGCAAACCATTGACCTTTTGAGATTTATTCTCCAAAGAGTCAAGAAATGTTTATCAGAAGGCATGTATGGCTTCCATTTTGTGATGAAAAGTTTCCAAGGAGGAGCCGACCTCCCCGGGTGCTCTACTGGGTGTGTATATCTGGTTTACAGCAAGTTATCTGAAGTAGACAGCTCTTGAGCCAATGTTGTGAGTATAAGTGACAGTCATCCTGATGGAGACTAAATTATGCATGTGAGCCTGGCTATATCCAGCTGTCTGGATGCACTTGTTTGATAAATCCTTGACCTGTCACCTGTCCAAAGTGGCAAGTGTCTAAGTGGGTTTGTAATGGTAATTATTCTGAACATTTCGGTACTCCTTTCTAATCTCTGCTATCTCTAGACAACTTGTTAGATTTTTCCAAGAGCCCAATTCTGATGATAAAACTTGCAGTCCCAAACTTCTCTTAAATCAGATATTCTGACTAGTTAGATAAGGCTGAGTTGCAGAGGTAAAGAACATTCCTCTTTCCCTTAATGAAGTCATCTGAGTGATATTTTATTTATAACACTGAGCAGCAGAACAAGCACAAAAACTTAGATAAAACAGTAATTATTCATATGCAGAAATTAGCTGCTCATCAAAAAATGAAAACACAGGGCGCTTTGATATTTCAAAGCAACTGTCTTAATTTGAGTGGGTTTGAGAGCAGGGAACTCTGGGAGAAGCTGGAAGCCTGGACCAGACAGTAGAGGGGTATAGGCATAGATGCAAAATGTGTGAAGGGCTTTGCAAATTCAGGTGTGTTAGGGAGGTTTCAATATAGAGGAGGCTGGGGGCAGAGCAGAATTATAAAACAGGCATTATTTCCATGGCTGGTGAGGAGGATGAGTGACAGTCTAAAGGTGGAGCCCTGGTCTTCAGGGCAGAGGTGAGGACAAGCCAGGCTTGGAGTCAGAGCCCCAGTTACCGGGAGGATGCTGGGGGCAAGGTTCTCATTCTGCGGGCTGTTGAAGTGTAAGTCAAGTCAAGGTGACTAAGGCCAGCAGTCAGTCACCTATCACTACAGCCAGCGTGGGGTGAGGTTGGAGAGTGTAAGCTGGAGGCCATGCCCATGGAAAGTGATTATGTCTGGCTCATGGGAATCCTTGTCTCTGGACAGGCGATAATTTTAGTCTGTACCAGCTGTCAAAGCTCTTTCAACTCAGAGCAAAAATAATACGTGTACAGATAAACTCTATTAATCAAAATAGCTGATTAAATTGGGTCTGTAGGCAACTTTTCTATGATGATTTAAAATTTTCAGTAAATATTTGTGTTTTTTTTAGTGTAGTATGACATATAATAATTAAATTATCAGATTTAGGTTTTACGTTATGGTTGTAACTACAAACACAATTAAGAGAATAGCTAAAAATTTCAAGACCAACGAATAAACTTCATTTTAACATCGCCTGTCTTTAGGAGAATTTCAAATAGAAATAGTGTGGTCGGAAGAAACCAGAAATTGTATGAATGTTATGATATGTGTAAAGATAATTGCTGTCAATGTAAGTAATGTGGCTTTGCTGAGTAAAATAAGATGATTGCCCTCGGTTTTCCAAAACCCCCTAAAATTGCTTCTATACCACATGTAACCACATGTGGTATAAATAAAATGTGAGTCAAAGGAATGAGGAAAGATAAACATATAATTAAAAACAGCTCATAGATACTTAGGCTCATTCATTTCAATGCTGGCATCTGCAGTTTATGGAGCGGTTATAGACCCGCAATAGATCGGCGTTGACTACATGCCATAAAACACATCAATGCAGCTTAGACCCAAATTATTACACACAAACAATAAATCCATCCTGTTAGCAGGATAAATATGATAACTCTTGATAATGGTGGAAAGTGACAGAATGTGATCCCTAAGTACATAGTTTTGCATTCTTAAGAAACAAAGATTACTTTAGCCTTTGGTGACTCCTGTGACTTCTGTTCTCTTATCTGTAGTTTGAATCAAAAGAGAGATTGTGGCCTTGAAAGCCTCTATGCTGATTACTGTTTGTGAGTCTAATAAAAGACATCAGTCCAACCATTTATTTGTGCAAATGAAATCTTCATATGTTGAAGGTCAGTTTTAGTTGAAGTTATGTAACAGGCAAAAGTCAAGGCTCTTTTGCCATTAGAATTACTCGTGGAGCACATCTTTGGTATTCTACCCTTAACCTTGAATCCTGCCTTGTATGTTGTAAGAAAAATAGTAAATGGATGTCACAATATGATGATGGAGGCATCATGGCTATGAGTTTTTCTATAGGAGACAGTTATCTAAGCAGATAGGCCTCTTCTTAAACATTGTTAAGTGAAATAGTCTAATAAAATATATTGGACTGTAGATTGAGAGTTTCATGAACCATAGTCTCATTTTGTAGCATTAGGCGATATATCTAACGTAAATGACGAGTTAATGGGTACAGCACACCAACATGGCACATGTATACATATATAACAAACCTGCATGTTGTGCACATGTACCTTAGAACTTAAAGTATAATAAAAAAATGAAAATAATTTTTTCACTATCATTTACATCAAAAGCTAGAGTCAATAAGTATTTTGGGGTAGACTGTCAGAGAAACTCACTTCATACACTATTGGGATAGAGAAAATATGTAGGTATCATATTTGTCTGTGTGCAAAGTGATTGGGTATTACACTTTACAAGGGCAGGAAGCAGACATTTTTAAATAATATATCACTTTTATTAGTGTTATCTTATTTTCGATAATTGACACCTTATTCTGCTTGGAAGCAAAAGTTTAATTCAAAAGGCCTATGTAGGCCGGGCACGGTGGCTCATGTCTGTAATCCTAGCACTTTGGGAGGCTGAGGTGGGCTGATCACCTGAGGTCAGGAGTTCAAGACCAGCCTGGCCAACATGGGGAAACCCCATCTCTACTAAAAATACAAAAATTAGCCAGGCATAGTGGCATGTGCCTGTAATCCCAGCTACTTGGGAGGCAGGAGAATCACTTGAACCCAGGAGGCGGAGGTTGCAGTGAGCCAAGATGGCACCACTGCACTCCAGCATGGGCAATAGAGCAAGACTCCATCTCAAAAAACAAAACAAAACAAAAACAAAAAAACAAAAGGTCTATATATATGTGTGCTGTATATGTATGCGTATGTATATGTTGCTATATAATTTTTCTCTCTGCAGACTTTTTAAGCAACTTTATTGAAATGTAATATACATATAATAAAATTCACCAATTTAAAAAGACAACGTGATGAGTTGTAACAAATGCATACAGTTATGTGACCATCATCATAATCATGAATTAGAACACTTCCATCACACCAAAACATTCCCTCATACGTCCATGTCATTAACGTCCTCCCCTTCTAGCTTGTGGCAACCACTGATAAATATTTTTAAGTTTAATTAAAATTTTTTTTGTTTTTTTTTTGAGATGGAGTCTCACTCTGTTGCCCAGACTGGAGTGCAATGGCGTGATCTCGGCTTACTGCAACCTCTACCTTCCAGGTTCAAGGGATCCTCCTGCCTCAGCCTCCCAAGTATCTGGGATTACAGGTGCGCACCACCACGCCCAGCTAATTTTTTTTTTGTATTTTCAGTAGAGACGGGGTTTCACCATATTGGCCAGGCCAGTCTCAAACTCCTGACCTCATAATCTGCCCACTTTGGTCTCCCAAAGTGCTGGGATTACAGGCATGAGCCACCGCACCTGGACTAATTTTATTTTTATTGTATATATTTAAGGTGTACAACATGACGTCCTGATATACATATACATAGTTAAACGCTTACTATAGTCAAGCCAATTAACCAATCCATCATCTCACATAGTTACCTTTCTTCATTTTTTTCTGTTTTTGGTAAGAGTGCCTAAAATCTGCTCTCTTAACAAATTTCCAGTGCATAATACAATATTATTAACTATAGTCCTCATGCTGTATATTAGACATCTAGACTTACTCATCCTACATAACTGCAACTTTGCACTCTTTGACCTATGCCTCCCCATTTCCCACCTTCCCTATCTCTGGTAATCATCATTCCACTCACTGTTTCTATATATTTTACTTTCCTAGATGCCACATGTAAAAGTGATCATGCAGTACTTTTCTTTCTGTACATGGCTTATTTCACTCAGTATAATGTCCTCCAGATTCATCCATGTGGTTACGAAAAGAAGGATCTTTTTCGGAGGCTGAATAATATTCTGTTTATATATATATGTGATATATGTGATGTATACGTATATATGTGTATATATGTGATATATAGGTATATAAATCTATGCATATATGTGTGATATATATGTGTATATGTGATATATGTATACACATACATGTATGTTTGTATGTATATATGCGATATATAATATTCTGTTATATATGTGATATGTGTGATATATATAAACAGAATATTATTCAGCCTCAAAAAAGATTCTTCTATTTTTGTAATATATTATATATATATATTATATATATATATATATATATATCACAATTTCTTTACCCAATCATCTGTAGATGGACACTAAGGCTGTTTCCATATCTTGGCTATTGTAAATAATGCTGCAATGAACATGAAAGTGCAGATATCTCTATGAGGTGCTGATCTAATTTCCTTTGGGTGTATATCCAGAAAAGGGATTGCCATGGATTGGTGGGTCGTATGGTAGTTTGGCCCATTTTTTTGAGGAACCGCCATACTGTTTCCATAAATGGCTGCAGCAATCTGCATTCCCACCAACAGGGTACAGGCGTTCCCCTTTCTTCACACCCTCACCAACACTTGCTATCTCTTGTCTTTTTGATACATGTAACAGCCATTCTAATAAGTATAAAGTGATATATCATGTGGTTTTGATTTGTGTTGCCCTGATGATGAGTGAGGTTTCTGCCACTATAGTTTTGCCTTTTCTGTTTCATATGAATAGATTAAAACATTATACAGTTTTTGTATTTCACTTTTTTCACTTAGCATAATGCTTTTGAAATTAGTTGATGAGGCTGTGTGTGTCAGTAATTTCCTTTTTGTTGCTAAGTAATATTCCATTGTATAAATGCATCACAGTTGATTTATCCATTCACCAACTGATGAATACTGGGCTTGTTTTCAGTGGCTATAATTCATAAAATTGCTGTGAAGATTTGAATACCAGTTTTTGTGCTGCAGAAGGATGTTTTCATTTCTCCTGAATAAATACCTAAGAGTGGTTTTGCTGGGGCATAGGGTGCATATATCATATATGTGTAACTTCATGAGAAACTTCCAAGGTCTTTTCCAAAGCAGCTATACCATTTTATATTCCACCAGCAATATATAATACTTCCAGCTGTTTCATATTCTTACCAATGGTTGGTATTGTTAGTTTTTTAATCTTAGCCATTCCAATGAGCGTGTAATGGTATCTTATTGTGGTTGTGATTTGCATTTCCTTAATGACTAATAATGTTGAACATCGTTCATGTGCTTGTCATCCATATATCTTCTTCAGTTAAATTTTTTGCATATTTAAAAATTGTGTTGTTTTCTTATTTTTGAGGTGTAAAAGTTCTTATATCTCTCTCTATATACATATTTTATATGTATATATTTTATACATGTATATACATTATATATATACTTTTTTGAGACAGGATCACCCAGGCTGGAGTGCAGCAGCATGATCATAGCTTACTGCAGCCTTGTACTCCCGGGCTCAGAAGATCCTCCCACCTCAGCCTCCCAAGTAGCCAGGACTATAGGCACACACCACCATGCCTGGTTAATTTTTTTATTTTTATTTTTAGTAGAGATGGGGTCTTTCTATGTTGTCCAGGCTGGTCTCAAACTCCTGGGCTCAAGCGATCCTCTGTCCTCAGCCTTCCAAAGTGCTGGGATTACAGGAGTGAGCCACCATGCCTGGCTTATATTTTTGATAAAAGTTCTTTGTCAGACATATTGTACCCTATTTTGTGGTTTTTCCTTTCATTTTTTAAGTCTTTTGAAGAATATTTAAAATATTTTGATGAAATCTAATTTATTTATTTCTTTCTTTAATAGTACATACCTCCTTGTCCTTTCACCATTGCGTTGCCTTGGCATCTCTCTTAAAAATTAATTCTTTATATATTTCTGGGTGTGTTTCTGGATGCTCAGTTCTGTCCCACTGAACTCTTTGTATAACTTCATCTCAATATCATGCTGTTTTTAGTATTGTAGTTTTGTAGTAAATCTTGAAAAGAAATAGAATAAGTTTTCTAAATTTGTTATTTTTTTCAAAATTGCTTTGGGTAGTCTTGGTCCTTTGAATTTTTATATAAATTTTAGAATAACTTGTCTATTTCTTTAAACATATCTTCTCATATTTTGGTTGGAATTACATTGAACCTATATATTAATTAAGGGAGAATCAGTATAATAACAATATTGGTGTATGAACATAGTATACTACTTCATTTATTTAATAATTCTTTAATTTCTCTCAGTAATGTTTTGCACGTATTACACTAAGTTTGTCCCAATGCATCTTATGCTTTTACATTTTTACAAAGATTACAATTTTTATATTTCAATTTCTAATGGTTTATTCCTAGTATACAGAAATACAATTGAGTTTTAAAAGATTGACGTGGTAGCCCACAATTTTGCTAAACGCTAAACTTACCATTAGTTTTAGTAACTTTTAAAAAATATTAATTTCTTATTCTTTTTGTGAATTGAAAAAATGTTGCTTCTTCTTTTTCAATCTGCATGCTTTTTGTTCATTTTTTTGCTTGCTTTACTGTACTAGCCAATATCTCTAGTGAAATATTGGTTAGGAGTAGTGAGAGTGGACATTCAGGCTCATTCTTGATCTGAAAGGGAAAGAAAGCTTTCAGTGTCTCATTATTAATTATGATGGTAGTTGTAGGCCTTTTTTTGGGAAACAGTAGATTTCCACTCTTAGGTTGAGGATGTGATGAATGAATGATGATGAATGAATACTTTTTTGACACTTTTTGAGATAAATGTGTATGTGATTTTTCTTTGTTAGTCTGTTAATATGGTAAATTACATTGCTTGATTTTGAAATGTTAAATCAACTTTACATTCATGGGTAAACCTCCCTTAGTCATGATTTAATATTCTATTTATATAGTTCTGCATTCGATTTCCTAGAATTTTTTTGTTAAGTTTGTGTCCATGTTCATGAGGGATTCTGGTCTGTATTTTTTTTTGTTTGGTTTTCATAATAATGGCCAAATCCAGGGTACTGAGGGCCTCAGGAAATGAGTGGAGAGGAGTATCCTTTTTTTTTTTTTTTGGTTTCTGGAAGAGTTTTTATAAATTACTCTTATTTATTCCTTAAATGTTTGGTAGAATTCAGCAGTGAAGCCATTTGGCTGTGAGTTTTTCTTTGTGTGAAGGTTTTATAACCATAAATGTAATTTGAAAACTAGATGTAGGGTTATTGATATTATCTAATTTGACTTAAAGAGTAAGTCTTGGTAGTTTGTGTCCTTCAAGGAATGTGTTCATATCATCTAAGTTGTTGAGTATATCGGCATAAAATTGTTCATAATATTCTCTTACTAATGTTGTAACACCTATAGTATCTGTAGTGAAGTCCATTCTTTCATTCCTGAACGAAGTAATTCATGTATTCTCTCTTTTCAACGAGACTTTTTAAACAACTATTTTTCTGTTTTTCATTTAATGGTTATTGGTTCTCATCTTCATTATTTCATTTCTTCATTCCTTTGAGTTGAATTTGATTTTCTTTTTTTTATTCAGTTGAAACTTTGATAACTGATTTGATTTCTTTCTTCTATTCTAATATAAGCATTTAGGGCTATAGATACTATCCCTCTAAGCACTGCATTACTGACACCACACAAATTCTCATATACCTTTCAATCAATTTTATTGTTGATTTTTTCTCATTTTTGGGGCAATTTCTTCTTTGATGCTTGAGTTACTTAGAAGTGCCTTATTAAATTTCCAAACATTTTCAGATTTTGCCACTACCTTTCTGTTATTGCTTCCTGTTTAACTCTATAGTGGTTAAATAATCTACTTAGTGTTGTTTCAATTCTTTAAAAATTACTGTGTTCAATTTTATGGCTCAGAATATTGTCTGTCTTGGTAAATGTTCTGTGTACATTTAAAAAGAATGTATATTCTGCTCTTGTTTGATGGGTTGTCCTGTAAATATCAATTAGGTCGAGTTGATTGACAGTGTTGTTCAAGTCTTCTAAATCCTTACTGGTTTCCTGTCTAATTGTTCTATCAATTATTGATAGTGGATGTTGAAATTTCAAGCCTAATTGTGGATTTTTTCATCTCTCATTTTTGTTCTATCAGTGTTTCCTTCCTGCACTTTGAAGCTTTGTTAATTGTTACATACACATATAGGATTGTTGCATCCTTTTGATGAATTATCATCACGAAATATTCTTCTTCATCCCAATAATATTTATTATTATTATTATTTTTAATTTAAATTAAATTTATCAGAGCTTACCTAAGCAAAGAACGATTTGAGAATCGGGCACCCTCCTGAGCCAGAGTAGGCGGAGAGAGACTCCAGTGCAGTCCCATGTTGGAAGAAGATGTATGACAGAACAAAGTAAGTGACGTACAGAAAATGGAAATGAGTTGTAGCAACAGCTGGATTGGTTACAGCTTAACATTTAAGTTATTTGAACATGGTTTAAACAGTAGGCTGTCTGTGATTGGCCAAAACTTGTTCATTTGCATGAGAGTAGGTTACAGTCTGTCTACACATCCAGTTAGGTTATAGTTCACTATGTGCGGGGAAACCTTTAGGCTGAACTTAAAATATGTAATGAGGCAGCTTTAGGCTAAACTTAATGTAAGTCAATTGATGAAATTATGAAATGGTTGGGTTTTAATCTACAGTCACATTATTTGTTTTATATTTTCCTTACCTTCTTTTGTACTGAGTCTTGCTATGATTCCATTTTATCTCCATTATTGACTTATTAGCTTTTTTGGCCTTACTTTTTTTAGTGGTTGCTATAGAGTTTATAGTATATAGCTTTGTCTTATCACAGCCTGCCTTCAAATAATATTGTAGACTTCATGTACAGTGAACCTTATAACAATATGTTTTTATTCCTACCCTGTTTTTCTTTGGACAATCATTATTCATTTTGTTTTTGCAGATGTTTTAATTGCCCCAATACAATATGTTTTTAAAAAATTTGCTTTATTCAATATCTTTCAGATAAATTAAAACATAAGAAAAATGTGTTTTATATTTACCCACATTTTACCACGTTGGCACTTTTCATTCCTTAGTGTGGATCCAAATTTCCATCTGCCACCATTTCCCTTCTGCCTGAAGAACTTAAAGTAGTGCATGGCTGTTGGCTGTGAATTCTTTCAGCTTTTGTTTGATTGGTGGGAATAAAAATGATCTCCAGCCTGGGGATTGTTCAACCTACTGATTTCTGGTGGCTCTTCTCTTGGCCTGTGGTAGTTTCCTCTCAAGAATGTGCTAATCAGTGTTCAACTGAAGACTCATGGAGACTCCTCTGCAGTTCTCTAGAACCCTCTTTACGGTAGCACCCTCCTCTTCAGTGTTCTGCCTTTGTCCCCCGTTTAGCTGCTTCTGCCTTTCTGAAGTCTCTCTGTGTGCTGATCGTTCTCTCTTCAGTTTAGTGAGATCATTGGATTGTGTTTGGGTTTCCCCTCCCTGTATCACAGCAAAGCAGAAGCAATGATAAGGCTCATCTCATTTGAATCCCTTCTCTCGGTTATGGCAGTCTTGTGCTGCCTGTTGTTCAATTTTTGAAAACCACTGTTTCGCATAGTTAGTTGGGTTTTCCAGTTGCTTACATTACAGTAAGCAGGTAAGTATGGTTTCTTTTCTTTTCTTTCTTTCTTTTTTCTTTTCTTTTTTTTTTTTTTGAGACAGGGCCTCACTCTGTCACCCAGACTGGAGTGCAGCGGCGCATTCTCGGCTCACCTCACTGCAACCTCTGCTTCCCAGGCTCAAGCGATTCTCATGCCTCAGCCTCCTGAATAGCTGGGATTACAGGCATGCGCCATCACACGTAGCTAATTTTTGTATTTTTAGTAAAGACGAGGTTTCACCATGTTGGCCAGGCTGGTCTCGATCTCCTGACCTCAAATGATCTACCCACCTCGGCCTCCCAAAGTGTTGGGATTACAGACGTCAGCCACCGCACCCGGCCAATATGGTTTCTTTTACTCCATCTTGGTCAGAAATGAAAACTCTTTCAGCAGACTAAAAAACAAAACAAAACAACTCTTTCTTGAAATATAACATGCATGCAGAAAAGTGCCTGAGAGTTTTCAGTGTAGGGAATTTTTGTAATTGGGTCTATGTGTGTAACTAGCACCTGGATCAAGAATCAGAACATTGTCAGGACTCCAGTTGCCATCTTTGGTTCTCTTCCAGTCTTACACCTCCCTAAGTTGAATGTCAGTCTGATTTCAAATTGTACAGGTTGTATTTTGCCTGTTTTTGAACTTTATGTAAGTGGAATATTGTAGTGTGGACTCTTTAGTGTCGGGCCTCTTAAGTATTTATTTGTAAAATTGCTGAATGCTGTTGTGTGTAGTTGTAGTTCACACATTATCATTGTGGTACAGTAGTCCATTGAGTGCATTTGCACAATTGTTGGATTTTGGCTATGACTAATGCTAGTATCAGAACATTTTAGGTAATGTGTTTTGGTGAATGTGTGTCTATCTATCTATCTATCTATCTATCTATCTATCTATCTATCGAACACAAATCTAGATGTTTAATTGTTGGGTCATAGGAGATGGATGTATGAAGCTTTAGTAGATATTACCAGAGTCTTCCAAAGTGTTGTATCCATTTACCTTTCTACCTGAAGTCGTTAGGCTTTCTGGTTGTTTAGGGATATTTTATTAAAATCTTTCTATCCTCTGTAAGAATATACCCTATTCTCTGGGAATGTATACTCTTATTGAAAAGATCAGAGAACAAACAAAAGAAATAATTCATTATACTATGAAGTAAATCATAGAAATACATAGATAAAAATTGAGAAAGTGGGGCCAGGTGTGGTGGCTCATGCCTGTAATCCTAGCACTTTGGGAGGCTGAGGCAGGTGGATCGCTTGAGCTCAAGAGTTTGAGACCAGTCTGGGCAACATGGCGAAAACCCGTCTGTATAAAAAATACAAAAAAAATTAGCCAGGCATGGTGCATGTGCCTGTAGTCCCAGGAGATGAGGTGGGAGGATCGCTTGAGTCCAGGAGGTAGAGGCTGCAGTGAGCTGAGATCGCATCACTGCACTTCAGCCTGGGTGACAAAGTGAGACCTTGTCTCAAAAAAAAAAAAAAGTTTATTTGAAAAAAAATTGAGGAAGTAGCATAGCAAAATCTTCAGAGGAAAGGTAGAACTTTGAAATGGGGCCTCCAACAATGGCATTATTTGGAGAGGCCAATAGAAAGCATCTGGGATTCTAGGAAGGGCTACTGGCATAAGCCAAGTGGCTGAGATGCAGATGATATGCAAGGTATATGGCTCAGTCATGTTTCACTCTAAAATCCAGCAAATCATTTATTCACCATTTTCGCATTTCCTCTTCAGTGGCAGGCCATGTCCTGGATTTAAAGTGGAAGTCACAGGCTGGGCGTGGTGGCTCATGCGCTTAATCCCAGCACTCTGGGAGGCTGAGGCTAGTGGATGACCTGAGGTCAGGAGTTCAAGACCAGCCTGACCAACAAGGTAAAACCCCATCTCTACTAAAAAAAAAATACAAAAATTAGCCAGGCATGGTGGTGCACACCTGTAATCCTAGCTACTTGGGATGCTGAGGCAGGAGAATCACTTGAACCCTAAAAAAAGCAGAGGTTGCAGTGAGTCAAGATGGCACCATTGCACTCCAGCCTAGGCAACAGAGCGGGCACTCCATCTCAAAAATAAATAAATAAATAAATAAATAAATAAATAATAAATAAATAATAAAGTGGAAGTCACACCCTCAAGCTGCTATCAGCTTGTTGTGGAGGCCAATGAGTATGTCACAGTGTTGGGTGCAGTTTTGTGATATGGGTTATTTAAATGTAACACATGTCTGGGAAATAGCAAGATTCATTAAGCCTCTGAGGCTCTTGCATAGGTCATAATAATGTCCTAAATGCATAAGGTGCAGGCTGAAATTATGTGCCTCCAGGACACCCAGCACTCTCCTTTTTGTCAGGCAAAAGGAACAGCTCCATGTGGTCACCAAGGTACATCATGTTCCCTTAATTTCCATTTCCTTTTCTTTTTCCCCCAGGAAACCCAGGGAAGTAATCAGAGTCAGTGGCTTCCTCCCACAACTACCACAAAACCAAAACAGGATTTGCTCCAACCAGGTCTTCTCTGAGCTTATCTAAAGCCTCCACCTCCACTTCCCCAGCAGAATTTTCAATGGAGTGGAAAAGAGCCTTTGCAACAGGACATTTTGATGAACAGGCACCAGGGCCAGATAAAAACCTAGGTTCACATTCTAGCTCTGCCCCTCTGAGTCATTTTGGTAAAATTCCCTATCTCTCTAAGCCTCAGTCTCCTTAACTGTAAATGGAGGTGTTATTAACCTCATCGGATTGTCGTGAGGATAGAATAAAAGGATACCTGAGCAGCACTCAGTCTGGTGTCTGCCCCAGAATAAGCACTTAACAAATAGCTATGATTCATTTTTTTTTAAACCTAGAATAGTCTGAATGGCATTACAGTACTAGTGTGTAACTGGTGCCAAATGTGTATGTATCAACCTTCCACCACATCCCATATGAAAGTCTGCAGAGGAACAGTGGGTTCACTGCTAGCTACTAGGGAAACTTAAAGGATGCAGCTATGAGCAGGAAGAGTTGAGCATGGCAGGGATCATAAAGCACCTTGTTTCCTATATTGTAAGGCCTAAGGTAGAAGTGGTTGAGGTGAAAATGTACTGGCTGGGTGAGATGGGAGCCTGGTAAAGAAGTCAAGTGGCCAGCTTGGCTTTCATAGGGGGAGTCCCACTGGAGGCAGATCCATTGTGTAGCCAAGGGTCACATATTCCACATCCCACATGGAGATGCACGGTCTGACAATCTTAATGTGCCCACGGATACTCCAGAGCAGGATATTTGAAATAGGAATTGCCAGAAATATTTCATTGCTGCATTTACATAGATATTTTTTGGACATGTTTATTCACTTTCAGGGTGTGGAGCTTCCTATATTTTTCCCCTAGATAAAAGTACAAAGTAATCTCTCATCTAATTTGATTTTGGTGTCATTCCTTCTAATAAGCAATCAGTATATCTATCTGTAAGTGTCCACACGAAAATACTTTGAAGAGTCCCTGGCTATAGTTAAGTGGATTTCTGAGTTAAAAGTGAACAAAAACCAAAAAACAGGAATGATGATATCCACAGACATATTTTCTTAAAAACTATTAAGGGAAATTATTGCCACTTTCTATTTATCTCTGAAATACCGATCTTTCTTAAATAAAGTGGGCTATGTATTTGGTCCAGAAAGTCCACTTTAGAATAGTGTAATCTTTCTGCACATTCTTTCAAAGAAAGTTGCTGTGGGAGAAAAACGATCAGACCAACTAAAGATAAAAATAGACACGGTGAACTTCTGAACGTCAAACTCTGTGATCTTTAGGCTAAACAAAGAATTACTGAGAGTCAATTTCCTATATAGGGAATTTACCAAATGCCTACATTTTCTAGAGTAAGTAGGAGACTGTGAGAAGTGATGCAGAAATACTAAGCATGATACCATTTAAAGTATTTAATATTCTTAAATAAGAAGATAAATCTTGTTTTTTCCTTGGCAAACAATTTTAACAGTAGCTGAGATTTACTGAATATTCGATCATCGTCGGGTGTGTGCTAAACGTTTTAAGTGTGTTATTTCATTTAGTAGATCGGGGGGCGGAGGCGGTGATCTGGCTGCAACATCTGTCAACCCATTAATCGCCAGCGTTGATTCTGCTCATCTGGCTGGCTAAGCAGGTGTCCCCTTCCTCTCTCACCACTCCATGTGTGTCCCTCCAGAGCTGCAGGCTTGGTTGAAGAGGACAAACTTCCCTGATAGAGGGAGACTATTCTTCGATCAGGGGTATGTGACTAGCTGCCCTCCCCAGCTAGAACCTCCAAACAAGCTTACTTAGAGCTCACAGAACTGTAGGAAGTTTGATAACGCTATGCTCCCCATTTTGTTATTGAGGAAACTGACTTAGGGAGCTTCTGAATCTTGGCTTGGCTCCTCAACTGATCGGCTGCAGAGTGTAGACCCAGCCTGGTCTGTCCTATACCAAATCCCCACGACTCAGCTGGGCATGGAGGAGAGAGACCTCTTGTCACCTCTCTTGAGTTTCCAGTAAGATTCTGCTTCTGTTCTGCTTCTCTTATTATAACTGATATTCTAAAGGAAAAGTTTCCTTGGTGAAAACCAACATGATGGTTTCTGGCCCAAACCCATGGGTGGGGTTGTTAAGTTTAAGCAACTCTTTCCCTCACTCCCACCCCTTCTGGTACCTTCAGCAGAGTCTTGATTTCTACCTAAAGCTCCTAAGGAGGCTCCAAGTGCCGTTATCCTTTAGGGGAGGGAGGGAACTTGCAAGACAGAAAGACTTTAGTAATTCTGGTGAATTTAGTGGTTTGAAAGCAGAACATTTTTTGGTCTTTAAAAATCAATAGGCTTTATTTCTAGAAAACACAGTTGCAACATTAACCAAATAAAAATTGTAATGCGCTGCCCAAACATAACCAGTTTTACATAGTAAAACCCAAACACGGTCAAAGGGCACATGCAGTTTAGTAGGGATTAGTTTTACTTTATATTACGGACACATTTTGACAGCATCCCTCTTTGTTTCTCCACACCCTTAAATATATCTGCATAGGAGCCCAATCATGGCTGTGGATGCAACAACACCTAGTGTTTTGCTGAGAATCTTCTATGTTCTGGACCTGTACTAAGAATTCCACACTCTTTGCTCGTTTAATGCCATGGTGAACTTAATCAATTCCCTTTGGCTGGACACTTTCTTTTCTTCTTTTCTACGGGTAGGGGCACTATTATAAATAATCATGGATGTGCACGAAAATTTAACTATGTTTATTACAATTTTGTTTTATTTTACTCAGTTTTTAAAGGTGGATTTTCTTGCTGGAGAGGGAGGTAATTTTGCAAATCAGAATTGACACAGAGGTCCTCAAGGCAGCTGCTGCTGCTTCTTAACCATAAAGCTGTGCTGTGGCCAGTTGGAGGTTCGGGACACTCCTGGTCCCTCACTTTGAGGCTTTGTGAGGTTCCACGTTAGGATAAACAGCCAAACACTAAGCACCCTTGCTGAAGAAGAAGGGGAGCCGCCCCTCCCTCTCCGCCTTAACAAAGGAGTGACTGGGGATGAGTGCTTCAAACATGTGTTATGTTGAAGACTTCTGATTAACAATGAAACAGGTTATCAGCATTGTCCTTTTTCCAATATCCTTTCTGGAAGAAGCCCAGTCATTAAAAGTACTTTGCTTTGTGGTTGAAATGGATACTTTCATGATGCCAGCTACTCTGTAGATCACCTGTCAGGTATTACATGCAACATTATTACTTCACCAGAAATCAGACTGTGATCACAGTGCCTATCTGTGAGCACAAGCTACAGTCTGCACACATTTTCTGGACATTCGTAATTGGGCCCAGTGGATGTATCCATCGCCACCACCTTACCTGGCAATGCAATGTCAAAAGTGGAGTGGGTTGGGGACTGAATGGGCTCTGCCACACTATGATCCAGAATGTTCCAACTCTGGGTTCTGAGGGATTTGGTTCCCATGAAGAACTCAGAAATCAGCAATTTTGCTTGGAAAGAGTTTATTCACCTTGGATTTGGTGGATATGGAGGTTTTGTATGGTGATTCTGTGTTTAGATAAATGCTTAAATATGAAGAGCAGAGAAAATCACTATGTCTTCTTGTGTATCACACTTTAGAGAGGCAAAGACCAGGATGCAAAGGATAAAAAGAATCTGGATTAGCTCTGGGATTTTCAGTAAAGGGAGGTTCCGGTAGGATGCAGTAGCCAGGAACATGGGTTCTTAAGCGGGACCACCTAGCACTGCTTCCCGCTGACTGTATTCAACATTTTTAAGCCTAAAATTCCCCTACAGAAAATAATAGCAATTACCTCATTGGGTTGTTTCCAGGATTAAGTAATACAATCTGCTTTATATAAACATTCAAAAAAGGGTTAACTACTCTTACTTTGGTCTACTTGCATATTTCAAAATTTCCCAAAGTTTTAAAAATATGGAATAAGAATCAAATAATGCATGCCTGTAATATTATAATCCAGATCTAATAGCTGCTAATTCTTTTTATAATTTTTTGCATTTACAAACATAATCAAAGAGAAAAAACATTACGCATCAAGTTGCATCTCTTTATAATACTCCACCTGTTCCTAAGCCCCTTTTTGCCCTCTCAAGAAACACTCACTATCATATCCTTCTAGCTGTTTTATATTCTTCTCCATACTTATGATTACCTCCCAAATAGTGTGAGAAGCAGTGTGTTCCCCTGGGTAAGGGCATGGGCTTTGGAGTTAAACCCACCTAGAGTAATTCAGGGCTCATCACTCCGTGACCTCCTGTCCTGAGACCTTAATTTGTCCAATGTTGCATCATTGTAAATCCCAGTTTCTTTAATGTGGATATGAAAAAACACCATATATTTCACAGGGGAGTTATGAGGATGTGAGAACTATGATCAAGCACTTAACTTCACATGTTCAAAGTGCTCACTAGAAGTATCATCTGGTAGCTTGCTTTTAACATTTATCCTAATGTTTTTGAGATGTAGCCTTGTTGATACCAATAAATAGAATTAATTTATTTAAACTCCTGCATAGTATTTCAGCATATACATAAGGCACAGTTTTTTTCATTTGATGGATACTAATTTTTTCCACTTTTTTTTTTTTTTGCAATTACAAACAATCTATAGCAAATATCTTAGTGTATGTCTTCTTAGAGTTCTTCTACAGAAAATAGGCACAGAATTGTTGGTCTGTAGGGTATGTGTATTTTCAGCTGCTTTACATATTGCCAAATTCCTCCCCTAAGTTATATTAATTTGCCCTCCCATCAGCTATATACTCCTATTTTTCCTCATCCTTAATATTTGATATTATCAGAATGTAAATTTTGCCATATAATGAATATAAAATGGCATTTCATAGTTGTTCATATTTTTTATTTCTTGGAGCTACTCTCCCATACTACAAAGTTGTCATATAAGTCGGTTTGGATCTGTGGGTTTAGAATAGGGGACATTGGAACTGGGCCAATAATTTGAAGGACAGCCTGAGACATAACTTAAGTGGACCAGGATGAGTGTCCAATGGCTTGACTCATCAGCTTTCAAACTGTGCTGTACTGGTCCCATGAGCATCCTTGCAAAGCCTTCAGGGGTCTGGCAGTGGGGGTAGGTTGGGTCCCAGAAACAAAAGGGCAGGCAGAGCAGGGACTCTGAGGCTGTTTCAATCAGAGTATCTCTGCCTATATCGGTTTTGTGGGCTCTTGTATACAATTTCACTTGAATAGCGTGTTCAGTGGGTAAAATAAGTTTGAAAACCAGCAGATAAGAAGGAAGACAATAGACTCCAAAAGAAGATCAGAATTGGTCAAAATGACTCTCATAATACTAATTTTTTTTTTGCTTTTTTTAATTCTTATTTTTTTATGGGTGTTCAGTGGAACTTTCCAGCAGCCATTGGCTGTGTGATATCACATCAGATAAAACACAGGAGCAGATATGAGCATCCAGCTGTTTCTTATTAAGCCAAACTCTAAATAAGTTTGTAAAAATGTACAATAATCCTACACTTCTCATTATCTTTTTTCTTTGGAAAATGTATTAACATACAATGGTTCATTTTTATTTCAAAATAAGTTACTAAATTAATATTTACATACTTCTTAATTTTAATTTCAAATGCTGTAAATGCTGACAGACATAACCTTCAGCAACACAAGCTTTCTGTGTGCTTACTATTTTCTGTCAGAGCATAAAGGGATCGTGAGACCAAAAAGTTTGAGACTCTCTGATGTAATAAAAAGAAATTAGGCATTTTCTGGGAGGATCTTGTTGGAGGGAGATTGGGATCCTATTGTCAAGCAGCTAAGCTTTGGATTTCATCAATGTAATCACTGATATACAAATGCTCAGAGCTTCCAGACTGTGGAGGTGGTTGGAAAGAAGGACTGGGGGTTAACAGACATGGGAGCTGGTTCTGAGGAAGAGAACATGTGATAATGTGTCCGGAATTGGTGGGTTCTTGGTCTCACTGACTTCAAGAATGAAGCCGCGGACCCTGGCAGTGAGTGTTACAGCTCTTAAGGTGGCGCGTCTGGAGTTTGTTCCTTCTGCTATTCGGATGTGTTCAGAGTTTTCTCCTTCTGGTGGGTTCGTGGTCTCACTGGCTCAGGAGTGAAGCTGCAGACCTTCGCGGTGAGTGTTACAGCTCTTAAGGTGGCGCGTCTGCAGTTGTTTGTTCCTCCCGGTGGGCTCGTGGGCTCGCTGGCTTCAGGAGTGAAACTACTGACCTTCCCTGGTAAGTGTTACAACTCATAAAAGCAGTGTGGACCCAAAGAGTGAGCAGTAGCAAGATTTATTGCAAAGAGCAAAAGAACAAATCTCCCACAGTGAGGAAGGGAACCCGAGCGGCTTGCCACCGCTGGCTGGGGCAGCCTGCTTTTAATCTCTTATCTGGCCCCACCCACATCCTGCTGATTGGTAGAGCCCAGTGGCCTGTTTTGACAGGGTGCTGATTGGTGCCTTTACAATCCCTGAGCTAGGTATAAAGGTTCTCCACGTGCCCATCAGATTAGTTAGATACAGAGTATTGACACACAGGTTCTCCAAGTCCCCACCAGAGCAGCTAGATACAGAGCGTCGACTGGTGCACTCACAAACCCTGAGCTAGACACAGGGTGCTGATTGGTGTGTTTACAAACCTTGAGCTAGATACAGAGTGCCCATTGGTGTATTTACAATCCCTGAGCTACAAATAAAGGTTCTCCACGTCCCCACCAGACTCAGGAACCCAGCTGGCTTCACCCAGTGGATCCCGCACCGGGGCTGCAGGTGGCGCTGCCTGCCAGTCCCAGTGCCATGCGCCCGCACTCCTCAGCCCTTGGGTGGTCGATGGGACTGGGTGCCGTGGAGCAGGGGGCGGTGCTCGTCGGGGAAGCTCAGGCCGCACAGGAGCCCCCGGGGCGGGGGGCGGTGCGCAGGCATGGCGGGCTGCAGGTCCCGAGCCCTGCCCCGCAGGGAGGCAGCTAAGGCCCGGCGAGAAATCGAGCGCAGCGCCAGCGGGCCCCCGGCACTGCTGGGGGACCCAGTACACCCTCCGCGGCCGCTGGCCCGGGTGCTAAGCCCCTCATTGCCCGAGGCCGGCAGGGCCGGCCAGCTGCTCCGAGTGCGGAGCCCGCCAAGCCCACGCCCACCCGGAACTCCAGCTGGTCCGCAAGCGCCGCGCGCAGCCCCGGTTCCCGCCAGCGCCTCTCCCTCCACACCTCCCTGCAAGCTGAGGGAGCCGGCTCCGGCCTAGGCCAGCCCAGAAAGGGGCTCCCATAGTGCAGCGGAGGGCTGAAGGGCTCCTCAAGTGCCACCAAAGTGGGAGCCCAGGCAGAGGAGGCGCCGAGAGCGAGCGAGGGCTGTGAGGACTGCCAGCACGCTGTCACCTTTCAATAACAACAGCTTTCTAAGCTGCGGATGAGACAACATGGTGAGTCCCTCTAAGCAGTGAGACTGTGAACGCAGGGCCAGTCTCCAGGCAGGAGACTCTGAAGCCACAGGTGCTCAGTATATTTGTCTGTGCTTTCTCGGGGTCTGTGTCTTTTTGGGATGGGGAAGGAAGAGAGGCTTCTTTCCCTCATCACGGCATCTTCTCCTAACTCCTACAGGGCAGCTTTTACTGAGTTTAACTCCTTGTCTTAGTCTTTGACACATTCCCTCCCCTCTGGAAAAAAATAGTATCAATTTTCTGCCTTGAGCATTTGTCAAATATGATAGTGGCTCTCCTACAGCAGTAAGATCCTCTGTACCAGCCATAGGTGATGCACCAGATGACTATTCTAACACCCTCCGTGTCCCTCCCGCTCCCCTGCTCATTGCTGAATACTCACCTGGCTCATGCACCATCTGTCTGAGAATTGGCTAAATAGAGAAGATACTGACAAGGTCTGTCCTCCTAGGTAATCAACAGTTGTCAGATGTGTGTGACTCTTCAGATGATACTCCAAAAATGCCCGGAGCCTCTCATTCCTTCACTGGATGGTTTGAGTCTGCTTTCTGGCAAGGTGTGGGGTGAGGGGATGAGCAGCTCTGGTCTGAACTCCATGTGGCAGACGTCTGAGGCTACCTTTAGCTGTTCATTCATCCACCTGTGTAGTCCTACAATGAACAAATGCGTACAGAACCAGTTACCATTCTAGGTACTGAAAATGCAGCAGGAAACACAACAGTCAAAAATACCTTGGCTGGGTGCAGCGGCTCATGCCTGTAATCCCAGCAGTTTGAGAGGCCAAGGCAGGCTGATTGCTTGAGCTCAGGAGTTTGAGACCAGCCTGGATAACATGGCGAAAACCGGTCTCTCCAAAAAAATTAAAAAATTAGCTGGGGGTGGTGGTGCACACTTGTAGTCCCAGCTACTCAGGAGGCTGAGGTGGGAGAATCGCTTGAGCCCAGGAGCTTCAGTGAACCCAGATTGCACCACTGCACTCCAGACTGGGCCGCACAGCAAGGCCCAGTCTCAAAAACAAAAAACAAACAAACACAAACCCTGTGCTTGCCTTTTAGTAGGAGACACATTCAATATACAAGATAAATATATAATATATATAAATATGTATAATGAAACACAAACCCTGTGCTTGCCTTTTAGTAGGAGACACATTCAATGTACAAGATAAATATATAATATATATAAATATGTATAACGAAACACAAACCCTGTGCTTGCCTTTTAGTAGGAGACACATTCAATATACAAGATAAATATATAATATGTATAAATATATATAACGTATTGTGCCTACTTAGCAACCTTTGTCGCTCTTGTGAACAAAGGAGAAATCATGGAAGTCAAGTTTACATCCAAGGTGGCTGGACAGACAATATGTGTTCAATGGCCAAATATATTCCTATTTTATTTTGTATTTTGAGACAGGATGTCACCCTGTTGCCTAGGCTGGAGTGTAGTGGTGCAGTCATAGCTCACTGCAACATCAAACTCCTGGGCTTAAGGGATTCTCCCACCTCAGCCTACCAAGCAGCTGGGACTATAGGCACCTGTCATCACATCCAGCTAATTAAGACAAGAGACCTTGTCTCTACAAAAGAGACTATGTTTCCTAGTCTGGCTTATTTTACATTAAGAACTTGTTCCTTTTGTCCATTATGGCTAAGAGCCAGGACTCTTTCCCTAAAAAAACAAAACAAAACAAAACAAAACACAGCAACAAGAACAATAAAACTACTTATTAAGGCCGAGGACAGGATGGCTTACTGTCTGGGCCATTCCAAACAGACATCACACCATGTGTACAAAACAAAAAGATGTCAGGACCACACTGTATCAAAATAGATGGCCATCTGATATCCCCACCATGCTCTGACTTGTCTCAGATGCCTTCGTTAGCTCATGCTAGTTAAGAGTTAATCATACATGTGTTATGCATGCAAATGCAAGTGACACACCTTCTACCTCTGGCCAAAGAATCTTGTGCCTTGAATGTGTGGGGACCCAAAGGAAAGATCATGAGCAAAACAACGATGACAACTAATGCACATTTGCCTTTTGGGTCTTGGTTTGAAAGGAAACACTTGATCATGAGGATCTGAGTTTCCGACTTCCCAAATAAAGTCAGCAATTTCTCATTGCCGCTGGTGCTGTGAGGGTGCTTCCATGGGCCTGCAGCAGGTGACTGGCAGCCTTCTGTTGTCCCTTCCGCCTCTCTCTGGAGCAATTTCCTGCTGCTCACCACCACCGTAACCACAATAACTGCTGGCAAACCGTGACCCACAAAAGTTTGCTGCCAAAAAACTGGGAGCCACACCCCCTGCCTATAGACATTGTTTCTTCTCTTGATCAAGAATCAAAGTGTCGTGAGGCCGACACTGTTGGTTGCCAACCAAGAACCACCCCACTCTCCCAGGAAATGTCAGATACTTGCTTTTCCAGGCTCCCTTGCATGGTCCAAGCCTAGAGACTGAGACCTGAAGGAAAGACTTTCTTGAAGAGGGCGAGCAGGCGGGGCAGGCAGGGGGAGGGATGGGAGTGTTGGATAGCCTCTGAGAAAGATGATTTTTTCTGTTTCAGCCAGGGGCCCAGCAGGAAACAGAGGCTCACTCAGACAGAGCAATGAAGGATACTTTCATAAACAGACTATTTACAAAGATTGGGGCAGGGTGAAGGAAAGCCTAAGGATGGCTGAGGGAATCCTCTGTGGGGCTGGAATCATGAGGGAGCCATGGCCACTCTTGGGCTGAAAGGGCGAATGGGGAATGGTTATTGGAACTGAAAGAGACCAGCCTGGCTGGGGGAGAGGGTGGCCTGCAGTGAGGGAGCCAAAGGCAACAGGAAGCCAGGGGTCAGAAGAGCCCACCCCAGCCCAGGAAGACCAGCTGCTAGGGCACAGAGAAGGAGGAGGGTGGAAGGTAGGCATCAAAGGAATCAAAGAAAAATATCCAAGATACTGCTTGCGGGAGGGAGAAAGATAGAGAGGGCGAGAGACCTAGAAGTAGTGCCTTCCCTTCCTTTAGCACTTGTCATGGGAGACCTGAGGACTGATGATACCTTGGAGGGGATTTTGTACCTATGCGGGGAAGGTGGAGAAAATCTCGAGCAAGTCCACCTGAGGCTGCTGGGCTCTGAGACCATCTCCTCTGTCCTCTGAGACCATCTCCTCTGTCCTCAGGCTACGTGAACCACATAAGTTCCTGTTGTTTAAACCTCATTCAGTTAGGGGTGTACTTGCTGCCAAAAGCATCTTAACTGATGTAATCTTCTAAAAAGAAATAAGGAATACATCTTATGTACTAGAGCCTCTTCTCATATATTTGATTTAGCTCTTTCAACAAGTCCATCAGCTGACAATGATGATTTATTTATTTATTTACTTATTATTATTATTTTTTTTGGTGACAGAGTCTTGCTCTGTCACCCAGGCTGGAGTCCAGTGGTGGGATCTCGGCTCACTGCAACCCCTGCCTCCTGGGTTCAAGCAAGTCTCCCTGCCTTAGCCTCCCCAGTATCTCAGATTACAGACACCTGCCACTATGCCAGGCTATTTTTATTTTTTATTTTTGTATTTTTTAGTAGAGACAGGGTTCACCGTGTTAGCCAGGCTGGTCTTGAACTCCTGACTTCAGGTGATCTGCCCACCTCGGCCTCCCAAAGTGTTGGGATTACAGGCATAAGCTACCACGCCTGGCCTCTTTTCTGTTTGTTTGTTTTTTGTTTTTGAGACAGGGTCTCACTCTGTCGCCCAGGCTGGAGTGCAGTGGCACTATCTCAGCTCAATGCAACATCCACCTCCCAGGTTCAAGTGATTCTCCCACCTCAGCCTCCCAAGTAGCTGGGATTACAGACATTCACCACTACGCCCAGCTAATTTTTGGTATTTTTAGTAGAGACAGGGTTTTGCCATGTTACCCAGGCTGGTCCCGAATTCCTGGGCTCAAGCAATCCACCTGCCTCGGCCTCCCAAAGTGCTGGGATTACAGGCGTGAGCCACCACGCCCAGCCCATGATTGTTATTATTCCCATTTCAGAGATGAGGAAGCCAAGGCTGAGAGAGTCCATCGAGAGGTGGAGGGCTAAGCTGGGTCACACCTGTGACTCTCTCATGATTTCTCTTGATTCTCACTGTCCGGATTCTTTGAGTGCTTGAGTCTTTCCTTTCCGTGTGGCTGAGAAATCTCTCCAACATTGAATGGTTTGTGTGTTGACCTTAGTGAAGTCTACCTGGACCCCACTTCTGTAGCTCAGAACATTCTGGAGTCTTTGCTCACTTTATGAGGCAGAACTAGCTAGTGTTACTATTTCACTTTATTGTTCTAGGGAGAACCCACTCCAATCACTCAAAGGGCCACTGGGATATGAACTCTCCTTATTTCGGAGCTGGGGAGATCATGTGTGTGCCAGCTCAACTCACTGATTTCTTCATTTATTGGACAGTTATTTGTTGAGTATGGACTACATTCTAGGTAATATTCTAGCTGCTCAGCATATAGCAGGGACCAGTTTAGCTTGTGTTCTTGTGTTAGGTAAAAACCAAACAGGCAAATAAGCAAGACCATTTTGCATGGATAAGGGGTCTAAAAAATGTAACATAGTAGAGGCTGGGGATGGAGAGGAGGATGCATTACACAGGATGGTCAAGAAAGTTTTCTGAGGAGACATTGGAGTTGAGGGGAAAATCAGGGTAGAGAGAAAGGAGGAATAAAAGACCCGAGATGAGTTCATCATGGTCAAGGACCAGAAGAAGTCCTCTGCAACTATAGCTCAGGGAATAAGGGTGGGGAAAGGACTGAGAAAAAGTCAGGCCCTGGGTGCTGTAGGGCCTTGAAGACCATGGAAGCCTTGGAAATTTATCCTAGGAATAAGAGGAAGACTTACTGCAAAGAGGGGATGATCTGATTTTTATTTTATAAACAGCATTCTGGCCTCTGGATGGGGAACAGTCTGGGTGGGGTGAAAGTGGGATCAGGGAGGCCAGGGAAGAGGCTCTGCTGCTTCTAGATGAGAGGGGGTAAGGTTGGGCCAGGTGGCCGCAGCAGGGATAGAGAGGCATGGACAGGCTTGGGGTATGTATTGGAGGTCAAGTGTTGGTAGCAGAAAAGAATGGCAAAAAAAAAAAAAAAAAAAAAAAAATTCAATGATAACTCAGTAAAACCCTTTGGATTGAATGCTCCACCAAGATTTTTGCCTGTGGGTGTCCTTTAAACTAATGGTGCCTTGGCAACTGATGTCCCCTCTATATCAGAGCTACGTCTCTGCTGGGGAGCTTTCTAACTTGAGCAGGAATTAGGATCATAGAATTTTTGACATTGATGGGATTGCAAAGATTTTCTAAGCCAACTCTATAGTTGAGCAGAGGGAGGCAAAGAGATTAAGAGATGTACTTGTGGCCGGGTGCGGTGGCTCCCCTGTAATGCTAGCACTTTGGGAGGCCGAGGCGGGCAGATCACGAGGTCAGGAGATCGAGACCATCCTGACTAACATGGTGAAACCCCGTCTCTACTAAAAATACAAAAAATTACGCGGGTGTGGTGGTGGGCGCCTATGGTCCCACCAGCTACTCAGAGCTTGAGGCAGGAAAATGGCTTGAACCTGGGAGGCGGAGCTTGCAGTGAGCTGAGATTGTGCCACTGCATTCCAGCCTGGGCAACAGAGCGAGACTCAGTCTCACAAAAAAAAAAAAAAAAAAAAGAGATGTACTTGTGAGAGAAATGAGTCAGAATTGGACAAGATCTCAGGTCTACTTTTGCCTGCCCAGAATGTTCTAAAGGGATTGCATTTCCTAAACTTATCTTTTGCTTCCAAGCAGAAAACAGCATAAAAATTTAATAAACAAATGGAAAAACGCCAACTCACAAAAAAGGAAGTTCTCAATCTAGTGAAGTCTCACCTAGTGATAGCTCCGCCAGACACTCCAAAAATCGTAACAATTTGCATTGATTCATTTTTTCAGCAGCACAACTTGTAACAGTTTCACCAGCTGACTATGGAAAGGGCAGCTATCCGTTCATTTCTGTCCAGGTAAGTGTGAGAAAGTATAAGCTGGTTGATTCTTCTTGTAACCAAGATATGCCAATTCCAGACACATTCCTCAGCCTGTATTGTGGCCAAATCCATAGTATTGATGTGTGTGGCTTCAAATGGGCAACACACTTCTTTGGCAAGAAGTCACTCCCTTTATAGCCGAGTATCAAGCAATTATAATGCCAGTCTGTAAAGGCTCAGCATAATTGGGGTTGAGAAATGTGTTGGTAATTTAAAGACAGCTTAATCACATAATTAGATGGCCAATAATAGCTACCATATTTTGAGTGCCTGTTAGGTGCTTGGTGCTTTATATACCGTAACTCATTTGAACCTCCTTATAATAGGTGTGTGGAGTGTGATAGACTGATCCTCATGCTCATATTTGCCTTCTCTCCCACCCTTTTCATGCTCTCTATGCGTGGAATACACTTTTCCATCCCGTTGATGTTGGGCTTGGCCAAGACACTTGCTCACTTGCTTTGGTCCATAGAATGTGGGTGTGGGTTTTATCTTTTTCTTCAGCAACTGCTGCTGGAAGAGGCTTCTTCTCTTTACCCTACTTGAGTTTCTGACTTCTTCCATGAAAAGGGTGTGCCCCAGGTAGCCATTACTCCTGTAGCCTGGGTCCCAGAATGAAAAACTGGAGAGCAAATCTCCACTTGACCCAAGGTCTGCAGTAGCAGAGCTCAGTTAAGGTCAGCAGAAATCAGCTGAACCTCAGCCAATCTACACCATCTACATGAGTGTGAAATAAGTTATGGTGCTATGAGCTACTGAGGCTTGGGGTTGTTTGTTACAGAACACAGTTGCAGCAACAGCTGACTAGTACATTAAATGTGTGTTGTAACGACCACAGTATTCATGATAAAAACAAGAGTCTTAGAGTTGCTAATGATCTTTCTCAGCTCAACACCAAAGGAAGGTGGCTCAGATCAAATTGTCCCCTTTAAATCTCGTGCCCTCTTTCCTCAACAAATTGTTCTTTTTCTCCTCCCTCACAAGAGGAACACACATTTTATTTTTTGGTCTGTTATTTTTCTTTGTTGCTGTTGTTGTTTATAAAAAGGTACTTATTCTCTCATAAGATCCATACTGTGGCACAAAGTGAAGGAAGTATTAAGTATATAGACGACATAAAAGGTTGCCTACATATTTTATGTGTCATTTCTGTACTAAATTATATTGTGAGCCAGGACTGAAAAACATTATTTCTGTTTTGTGGAAACATTAAATTTAGCCTTTAAAAATTAGTACTGTATCTATTCATGATGTAAAACATCATCCAGAGAGGTGAATATTATTCTCCTCAGTTCATGAAATAAATTAAGACAGATGGGTGATTCACTTACTTTTACTTCCTAGCCAGGTAATATATTGATTTTCCCCCTTCTTTTTCCTTTTAAATCTAAAGAAAAACTTCAAATAAAACCTAATTACATCACTCTGATTCTGAACTCTTCTGGAAATTACAGAGCTATCAATATTAAGTACACTTTACACCAATTTGGAAATCTATTTTGCTGAGACATATGCCCAGCGCCACTCTGATTTTTGTGTAATTGAGCCCTAAAAGGTGGTATAGTGTGGATTTTCTAATTAGCTTATGCTAAGTTAGTTGGGATTTAAAAATGTGAAATGAGAATTGGACTGACACTTAAAGATGAAGGTATTCACATAAGAAAATGGAAAGAAAGTCAACAGGAAGGCAGCTCTGTCCAATTAGACCAACCCAGAGGGTCCAGGTTTTCAGATACATGTGGATGTTTGGACTATGGGAATTGCAGGGAATTTCCAACTTGCCACTTGCACAGAAGTGACCCCCACCCCCTAATTCTTTCAGATTCAGGTTTAGAGGACTTCCAGGTAAAATCGTTTCCCAACATTGAATTTGAAAATGAACTGAGGCATTACCAATCGGCTGCAGCCAAGACAACACCACAGACCGCTCCTCCCCGGAGCTCTAGGATTGTGCTGTGTGCACACGGAGGCCTCGGGCCCCAGTTCCCCCTTCTGCCTCCTATTCCAATTCCCTAGGAGAAGCACATCAAGGGGAGAGAGAAGGTGGCCTATTTTTTGTAAAGAAATCTTGCACTTGGCAATTCTGGTAGAGAGCTCTAATCTCAAGGAAAAAGAGGGTGGGGAAATCGTCATGGCTGAAAAGGAGAAGCAAAAGGCTGGACGCTCACGGTCTGCTGACTACTAATCCTGACTGTGCACTCTCTCATTAAGAGACATTAGGCAAATCCTCCATTAGCTGCCTTTCATGAAGGGGAGGAGGTGCTGAGAGACAGGAGGCTGACATGCACAGTCCCAGCTTTTGAAAAAGGGGAAAGGGGATTTTGCATACTATAGACCTGCGAGCTTAATGTCAATCCTGAGTGAAACTCTGGAATGGATTATTAAGAGGACGGTTTGTGAGCCCTTGACAAAAGGAAGTGGTGGTCTTAGAAGCCAGGATGGATTCGCTGAGTATAAACCTTGCCAGATTAATAACTTCATTTCCTTTTTGGATATGGTTACGTGTCAGGGAGATGAAGTGTGTATGAACTTCTGAAAGACAACTGATGTGGTCTCTCATGAGAACCTTGTAAGATAAGGTGGAGAAATGCAAATTACATATTAGTGAAATTCAGGGCTGAAGGATTGATTGCTTAGTAGAGACTATTATATAAAGAGGTATTGCTATCCACCTTGAAGGTGGTCTCTAGTAGTAGGGCCACAAAACTATTTCTAAGCTGTTGTTATAGTGAGGATATAGATCAGGCCTAGCTTAGTTTCTGTTGCTGAGAATGGCTGGACTGGGTGGCTGTTTGATCCACTCCTGGGGGCTGGAGGAGGAGCAGGTGAGCTGTGCAAAGGTTATAGCAACTGAATCTCAGGTCAGGCAGGGATCAAACTCTGCAGTTGGGGGCTGGTTAACACAAAGTTAAGTCATGGCTGGTGGACAGTCACCATCTGTGGCCTCCCAGCACCCATTCACCCTACTTTCTGGAACAGCCCACATTTTCATTTGAGGAGCTACCTTATCTCTATTTTACATGCATGTGGTTCCTGCAGAGTCCCAAATCTGGCTTCAGGAAATATGTGACCCAGGTCTGGCCAATCAAGGCACCAGATCTCACAAGAGACAGCAATTAGTTCAGGGATGTGCACTTGATTGCATGGGTTAATCAGAAACGATGAGACATGTATTCAGTGCTTTTGGTTGAGCTGTGTAGGAATGAGACTCCCTTGTCCCTCTGCCCCAGAATATGCCTTGATGTTGTGATAATGTGAATCTAGTGCCCTCAGCACCTACCATGGGAGTGTTGAATGAAGCCAACATTAGGATAGTCGTAGCCAAGAGATGGAAGTAAGTCCTGATGACATTGTCTAAGTTGTGAATTCAGAAGTTAGTCTACAGCCGAACTTTGTTGTTCCATGAGATAGTAAATTCCTTTTTCTACTGAAATGTCTCTGTGTGGATTTTTCTGTTATCTTAACAGGAGTCCTAATTGATATATGGGATCTTCTGAGCTTGTCAGTGAGAAATCCAAGAAGAGGTGACAATAAGAGCTATGGCAGAGAGGAGGCATCAGAAAAGTAGTATCCTAATTACCGTGCTCTGTTTGGGGAGGAATTTAGTCCCAGAGAGAAAAAGGAAATAAAAGACAACAGTTTTAGCAGAGACATTGGTCAGTGCTCATCAAGTCCTGTGTCATTTTTTCTTATCCAAGGGACATAAAAAGTGCATTGCTGTTAGGCGGGGGCCTTTTCCCAAGTTCTGACCACTAGTCCAGTGGGAAGTGTGTGTGTGGCTTCTGGAAGGAAGCATCAGAGAGCAAGAATGAGTTTGTTTTGCTTTCAATTGCCTTGCCTTGGTGATTGTGAGGGCCACACTGTATGGGGTAGTTGGTCCGGAAGTGAACTCTCCAACTTTGCATGAGTGTGAACTTATGGACCGAGCTTTAGAGGCTTGTTTGTTCCTGCAGCATAGCCCAGGTTAATTGAACTAAAATAAACCTCATGTGACTAATGCACTAGATTAGTCCAACCCAAGGACTTGAAGATTGAGAAATTAATCAGAAGGCCAGCTGATCAGAACTGGACGAAAGAGGGTGACCTGATGCCTAGGTCTTGAGTATGAAACTCTTTCAAAGTCTTTTTTTCAAGGATCAGGATTCATTCTAGATGTAGGGATGAAGAGCATCTGCTGGTGGCCAATGAAAACGATTTCTTTCACTTAGTGGAAAAAGAGTGCTTCAAAGGAAAACCAGCCACAAAAGTCTTTTCTCCAGGGTAAGGCTAAGAGCATAGATATCTGGCCTTCCAAATTCAATAATAAAACAAAGTCAGAAAGGATAATGACTCTTTTTCATTATAGACTCCAGGATCCCAAAACATCTTAGCGGCTAGACCATGAGCTTAACATGAACTTTACTAGGGACGAATTCCTGCACCTAGGTTCAGAAGCTACTGTAGCACAACACAGACTATGCACAGCCCATGCAAAAAGACCTTAGAGCTTTATTTCCCCTAATTTTGGCATAAGTCAGCAAGGTGACCCAGGTGGTCAAAATCCCATTGCCATCCTACGTTGCATTAAGAGTAATACAGCACTTCACAGGCAGGATGTGCGATTCTTACTCAACTTTAAAGCCGGATCACACATGGAGATTGTGTTTCATTTTGGCTCCATGATCTATGAAGGACTGTGAAAAGTTGCCAAAACTTTAAAGACATTCAAGATGTTTAACATCTGTTGAACACCTACTACTGAAGAGTTGTTGATCAGCTGCTGTATCCGTTAGTATTTGTATTATCCCATTTTCCACTCTGCTATAAAGATACTACCTGAGACTGAGTAATTTATAAACAAAAGAGGTTTAATTGACTCACAGTTCTGCATGGCAGGGGAGGCCTCAGGAAACTTGCAATCATGGTGGACGGCAAAGGGGAAGCAGGCACCTTCTCCATGCTTCACGGAAGCAGGACAGAGGGAGTATGAGCAAAAGGGAAGTGCCACACTTTAAAACCATCAGATTTCATGAGAACTCCCTCACTATTACGAGAACAGCATGAGGGAAACCGCCCCCATGATCCAGTCACCTCCCACCAGGCCCCTGCCTCGACATGTGGGGATTACAATTCGAGATGAGATTTGGCTGGGGACACAGAGCCAAGCCACATCAGCGTTTATTAGATAATTCACTTTGTGCCAGGCATGGTACTAGGTCTTGAGGGTATGGGATGAGTAAGAAATGGCTCTTGCACTGGAATAGCATAGGTTCCAGAATGAGGATCTCACAGGAAATGTTAAAGAAAAAAAAATAGAAAAAGGGAATGTAGCTTAATGTAAAGAAGACTTAAATGAGATGTGTAGTTCCTGTCTCCAGATGGTTTCAGAGTTTCCATATAAAAGACACATCAGACCTGTTCTGGAGGATACCAGCAAGCAGAATTTTAATCAAAGGGTGAAATTCCAGCTTTTTTTATGGGGGCGTAAAGGGAACAGTCTTAGAGTAGAAGTAACTGTTTTTGGGTGGTAATAAGCTCCCTGTCACTAATAGTATCCAAGTTGATATTGGCTGAGCCATTGGGGAAATAACAGAATGTTGTGGCTAAGAGCGCGGCATTTAGGATTTAAGTCCCAGCTCCTCTTGATTTGCCAAGTCATTGACTTTCTCTGTTTCTTCCTGTGTAAAGTAGGCTAATAATGCCCAAGTTGCAGAGTTGATGGGGAGATGCAGTGGGCTAATGCTTGAGGAGGGTCAAGCACAATGACTGTCCAATTAATGTTCTGATAATGTCCATGCTGCCGAGGTTGCCTGCTGTAGAAGTTGATGATGATATGGTCTGGAGATCTGAACATCTAAAGAGGCAGGAATTGGATTGGACAACACAACTTCCAAGATCATTTTAATCCTGAACTTGTATGATTTTATGATTCTGTACCCTCAGTTTGCTTATCTCTAATAAGGAATTAACTCTTGTCAAGTCCTGCAAACCAAGGTTAACTTTACTGTTGCCTAGTTCCTGCAGATGCACACCTCACGCAGGATGTACATCCTATACCAAATATCCCCTCAGACATGAGCATTCTCTGCAACTGGCTTTGGTTTGCCAGACTGAGCCTGTGTCTCAGAGTGGGCGTTGGCTTCAGAGATAAAGTTTCACTGAAGTTTTTTTCTTTCCCAATAATGCCTTTTTAGTCATTTCGAAAAATTTAAAACACCAGCGAGTTTGTCTCATCCCCTACTGGTTTGGCCAGAGGGAATCACTCATTTGGTCTATTCTTTACAGCAGTTTCCCAGAGAAAAGTTACAATCTGAGCTCTCTCAAAGAATCTCTGTACATTAAGGGCAGACACTTCAGATGGAAGAGCTTCAGTCTGGCTTTTTAGAAACTGACAAAAGCAAAGGACACAGGATCTTTAACTCTTTTTAGTGGTCATCAACCTCTAGAATTCCCTGCCTCTGAGACAAAGATTTTCACAGTGATATTTAAGTTCAACATCAGCAGCAGGTGATTTCAAGGTGCCCAAATTTGTGATAACCAGGAAAAGAGGCCTGATGAAAGCTTCTTCTCATCATGCAGTAGGATCCTGTAAGTTTAACTGTGTTAAACAAGCCAGCTGTTTGACATTTGAGTGTACAACCCTCAAATCCACACGCCCTGAGGTTCCCTCCCCTGCAGTGGTCTTCCTCATTCTCCAGTGAAAAATCTAAGCAGTGAGTAGACAGCCCAGTGGGGGCAGTTCCAGCACGTGGTGCAGAAGGCAGTTGAATCGAAGGTTTAAGATGAGAAAAGTTCTCTTTTTCCCATATGGGGAGGTTTTCTTCAGCCCAGGGAGCAAGTTTCCTTCAAAGCCAGAACAAGTACATTCTGAGTTCTTTTGCTGATGAGTATTGTGCGTTTGCAAGCAACCTGCTCCTTAAGTAGGAAATGTTAGGGGAAGGGTCCCAAGTGCCATCGGCACCTAGAATTACCAATAGATTTCTTAATGCCAAAAGCTTCTCATTCAGCAGGGAATTAAACATATATCATCATATATATATATATATATATATATATATATATATATATATATATTTGTCTGTGTAAATCACAGTTATAAAATGTTTGCAGGTGCAGAGTTGAACAATTCTCTTTTCACTGTGCTTTATAATTCTCAAAGATGGTTATTAATAGGTGTCAGAACAAAGATAACTTTTTAGGCTCACAATCCCTGCAGCAACGCCTTCTGGCCCTTGATTGTTTAGGTCTGCTAATGTAACCACACTGGGGAAATGTTTTAAACGTGCTAACGCTTCTAAATGCCATTTTCTCATCAAAATATTTTCCCTTATTTGGTCCACCGAGCTAATGCATTTATGTGACACCTACATTAACACTGCAGTCTCTTCACACCTTGACCCCTTCCTTGTAGTCAAAGTACACTCCAGTGCTGGAGGCTACAGGCCTCTGAAAAAAATGGAGACAATTAGGTAAAAAGTAATACCTGGGTTTGATGGGCTTTGCAGGCTGAACCAAGGTGGTTTCTGAACTCTGTGTTACATTAGGCAACATGTGAGAAAAATTTCTTGAATCCTTATCCACATCTACATCTAATGGTACCCTGTGTTAGTCATTTCAGTCCTGTGGGTAAGAGAAATTCCTGGGACCTGTTGTTTAGCATCCTAATCTTACATGAGCTCCTGAGCGCTGGATTTTATGTCCACAATCCGCAACTTGTAACTCCAGTATCCTAATTGAGCCAGAAAAATAACAATGGAAAACCTGTGTCTAGAATGGAAATAGGATCAGATAGCAGATGTAATGAGAAATATAAGCCTTCTCTTTTCTTTTCTATTTACTTTGTGTTTGGTTTTTGTGTGAATCTATGTTGGCATGGGGTGGTAGGATGCCCTCAGTTACTTTGCTATAAGCAAAATTTCAATATTACCTGAAGGAAGGAAAGTGGAGAAGTGGAGAAACAGTTGGAGGTAGTAAGGAGAGAATGACGCTGGCAAACTCACCATCCCCCAGGTTTTTATAGTTTAGTATCTACTGTATCCCAGGATGTTAGCAATACAAAGAAAAATAAGACATAGACATAGAGACCAAAGTCTTGGGTAAAAAGAATCATTCGAGTAGGGCAGAGAAAATTAGGAATGGGAGTATGGAGGGAATGGATAGCAGTCGAGATTGTGGAATCGCATGCCAGTTCTTCAGCTGTAAATTGGCACACTGGCATCCTAGGACTGCATTGATGCCAGTGTGTCAATTTATAACCTAGCCAGACTTAGGGTCAAGATGTCAGGAGTTCAGAGGAGAAGAGTTTCATGGAGGAGCAGGTGTTGGAGACTAGAACCGTTGATTAAAATTGAATGTGGAGAGAGGGACTTCTAGGTTGAGCAAACTCTGAGTTGGGAAAGTGTTGGCATGTATGGAGAATGAAAATAGGTACTGTAAATCTCAACATTATAAACCAAATTAATAGATATTTAATTGAATGTGTACGTTTTAAGTCCAAAGAGTCAAGTGAGATTTTTTTCTTTTCCACATATTCTGCCAGAAAATTAAGATAAAGGGAACTGAGTTTGTTTTAAGAGTATTAAACTGTTAAACATTTATGAACAACGAACATGAACATCTGTGAGACTTTATCAAGGCATTTTCTGCAGAGTTGAACAGAAAATTTTGAGCATATCCAATAGTCCAAGTAAGGAAACCCTGGAATTTCCAACAGGAGGCAGGGCTGAAGGCAGAAATGGAATTGCTATTTGGTAAGTAAAGGCCTATTTTCTTATATTGTGTTTGGAGAGAGATTTTCTGAAGAGAAGAGGAATAATAAATTGAGAGCAAGTTTCCCATTGTATGGGAAAGGGGTCTAGAAACAGCTGTGTTCTTAATCAGCAACTATCCTCAGAGGAGACATCGGTGAGTTTTGTGGGTGTTAAAAATGAGTCTTCATATCCCAAAAAGTTGCTGACCACTAGCAAAGGGCCTGATAACTAGATACTCATAGAGCCAGAAGTTGGTAAAGTTTTTGCAGTATTATCCAGGGAAGAAAGATGGCATGAATTTTTGGATTCCAGAAGAGGTACCATCTTTGAAGTATTAACATTAGGCCTCACCATGGTTAACACTGTCAATAGCTGCTATGAATAGAGAACATGTTCTGTGCTTAGGACTTTTTACATACCATTTCATTTAATCTTCATGATGACCTTATGAATTACACCTATTATAGAAATGAGAAAACTAAGGATCTTTCCCAAGATCATACACTTGATGATGAAGCTGGATTTGAATCAGGTCTTGCTGGGTTTCTATTATCTTGTGTGGAGTGTGAACAAAGAAATATTGCAGAATGAAGTCCGTTTTTGAAGGATGAGTGTTCTGGGTACAAAGTGATATATCATTGTCCACTTAGCTTGATGCTTTTTTTTTTTTTTTTTTTTTTTTTTTTTAGAATTGGGGGTCTTGCTCTGTTACCCAGGCTGGAATGCAGTGATGTTATCATGGCTTGCTGCAGCCTCGACCTCTTGGGTTCAAGCCATCCTCCTGCCTCAGCCTCCAGAGTAGCTGGGAGTATGGGTGCACCAGCATGCCTGGCTAATTTTCATTATTTTTTGTAGAGACAGAGTCTTGCTATGCTGCCCAGGCTGGTCTTGAACTCCTGGCCTCAAATGATCCCCCACCTTAGCCTGCCAAAGTGCTAAGATTACAAGCAGCTTGATGCTTTTTGAAGCAGGGTTTTTTCTTTTATTAGCACAGATAAGAAACCTACTAAGACCCAGTCTTAGGTGTTTCAGAAAAAGAGTGGATTTGATTCTGAAAGAAGCATTGTTGAAAACTCATTCAAGGGCGAGAAGAGAAGAATCAAAGCAGCAAGCTCTTAAACCAACTATATTAAAAACTTTCACTTTTGTTGATTGCTTTTTTACCTTGAATAGCGGACACATCAGATTATGATAGTGTGCAAGCTTAGTCTGACTACATTTAAGAAATATTAACGCTGAATGTGTATCTAAGCTGTGTAGGAGCTTATAGGAGCTGGAGTTAAGAATATCCACTTTGAAATAAGACAGATCTGGATTCAGATTCTGGGTCAGCAGCTTACTATCTCTGTAGGCTTCAGTCTCTCACCCAGAAATGACAGTATCAATCCTTAGTTCACAGGCTTGCTTTAAGGATTAAATGGGAAGATGCCTAGTCTATAGCAAGTGCTCACTAAATGTTGCTGCTGTGTCCTCTGTGCATTTTTCTTTTCTATTCTGTCTTCATTCTCACTCTGTTACTTTCCACCCTATATTCTTTTCCTGGAACCTCCCACCCTTTCTATCCCTGTATCACCTGGGAATCTGAACAGTGCCCTTGTGATGCCTTTCACCCCAGTCTACAGGACAAACTGGAATATCCTGCCCAGTCTGGGCGGTCTGTAGGGCAGGGGAACCTGGAAGGAACAGTGAGCCAGAGAGTCTCCCTGGAAATTGGATATTCTCATGATGGCTGTGTGTCTCTTTTGCCAGATTCTCTGCTCTCCTGCTCATGATACTTGGTTAATTTTACAACCCAGCTGGAGGAGAGAAGGTGGCCAGAGCAAACTTCAAAAATAAAACTTCCGTTTTTAGTTTCTGGCATTTCCTTTTAATTTTCTTTAATTTTTCTTTTTACAAGGTAGCCTCTGGCAACTGAGAAGGAGCAAGCAGCATCTTATTGGCAAAGTGAAAAGCATTCTTAGTCATTTCTTTAGAGAAAGTTTTTTTCTTTAATAAACCAAATCAATAGTGAAATATGAACTGGGTATGGTGGTGTGCACCTGTAGTCCTGGCTGCTCAGGAGGCTGAAGTGGGAGGATCGTTTGAGCCCAGGAGTTTGAGACTACAGTGAGCTGTGATTGCGCTGGTGAATAGTCCCTGCTCTCCAGCCTGGGTGACAGTGTGAGACTCTGTCTCTGAAAAACATAAACATAACAATGAAATATGGAGAGTTGTACCCAGGTGGGAAAGAGTCTTTCCTTCTCACCTGGAGACAGTAAATAAGATGGGCTGGTGGCAGGTTGGTAAAGCATGGATCCCAGGACAGATGAAAGGGAATTTTCCAGGTATGGTTTCTGAGACAGGAGGTAGATTTTCTAGAGGAAAATTTAGAGATGAGTGAACCAGGAAGAGAATACCAAGTGTTTTTAAAAGATAATTTGCCCTGAAACACAAATTAGAGAAACTGGGAGCAGCAGGAGAAAATTCAGCAAAAAAACGGTAACACGATGTATCCAAATCATAACATTTTTGTTTCTTTTTTCGTTTTCTTTTTGAGACAGAGTAGCTCAGGCTGGAGTGCAATGGCGTGATCTTGGCTCATTGCAACCTCTGCCTCCCAGGCTCCAGCGATTCTCCTGCCTCAGTCTCCCAAGTAGCTGGGATTATAGGTGCCCGCCACCACGCCTAGCTAATTTTTGCATTTTTAGTAGGGATGGAGTTTCACCATGCTGGCCAGGCTGGTCTCAAACTTCTGATTTCAAGTGACCTGCCCTCCTTGGCCTCCCGAAGTGCCGGGATTAGAGGTGTGAGCCACTGCGCCCGGCCAGAATTATATCATTCTTTATGATTTCCTTTGACATAAACCCTGTCACTTACTAATCTCCTTTGAATCTGCTAAAACCTTGTGAAATTAGTATTGTCTCTATTCTACAAATAAGAAAAGTGAAGCTCCTCGGGTTCAGCTGACTTGCACAAAACTACGCAGTTAGATGATAGTGGAGGCTGTCACTAAACTTATTCTGAAGGAATGATTTGGCTGGTAGATTTTGTTGCTTAAAATTTCCCTTTTCTGCTCTGACTGGTACATATATGCACAATTATGCATTATACACATGTTTCCTGGCACTTCTCGTGGGGAGAGAAACTAGTTACTTATAATCTAGGACCCATTGTCTCAAATATTAGAGTTGTTTGCTTGCCATGGCCTGAAATGCTGACCAACGTGGTCCTAAACTATGGAGAAAGAAAGGTCTTACATCTGAATGCCATGTAAGAAGCTGACATTTATCATGTGTTTACTGTGGGCCAGTCACAGTGTAAGTTTTATGTACATTAACTCATTGAATCCTGCAGTAACCCAGGAGATGGGTATTGTCATCATCTCCATCTTCTAGGTGAGTAAAAGGAAGCACAGGCAGGTTAAATGCATTTTCCAAGCACTCACAGATAGGAAGTGGGGCTGGTGGCATTTAACACCAGGCAGTCTTATTCAGAGCATGCCATCTTCACACGCTTGGCTCTTTTGCATTATACCAGAGGGCTGGTGAATTTATCGGGCCAGCTTGTTGGCATCCTTATCTTGAGAGGAAGGAGCTTAGGCAGCAGTGGTGTGAGCACACCAAGGCAGAGACACACCAAGGAAATGGAGGGGGATGTGGGTACGCTGGCCACAGAAGATGGATGGGTGTCAAGTGGGAAGAATAGGTGAATTTTCTTTCTTTTTTTTTTTTTGAGACAGAGTCTGTCTCTGTGACCCAGGCTGGAGTGCAGTGGTGTAGAATGGGTGAATATTTTAACTAAGTGGCACAGATCAACAGATTTTAAACCAATGCTTTTCAGTTTTTCCTAGGACCAGTATAAATATATATCTCATTTATTTTGTTTGTTTCACCTGATACACACTGGAGGTCCAGAATATAAATCAAGGAAAGTCTTGAAATAACAGTCTGGTTGGAAGAAGGATTAAGGGAATTCACTGGAAACTGTGACACAAAGACACTATTCGTGCTTTAAACATTTTTAGGGTGGCTTTGTGGGGCTGTGGAAATTATCAGGGGAGGCTGAAGGCCCACCCCCACCCTTCTTTGGGGCCTACATGGTATCTACTTGTCAATACTATTCCATTTTTTAAATTTCTCATAAAATATTCCTGGCTTTGTTAGAAGAAAGTAGTTGCGTGTTGCATATTTTCAATAAAAAATGATTTACTTCCATTACATATGAGTTTGTGGAAGCAGTCTATGACCTTGCACAATCTTCAGCAGCATGGAATGAAGCCCTTTGTATTATCTATGTAAGTCTTTAAATTTGGTATTTAGGTTAAATACAAAATATAGTTCTTAGCATTATTCCAAGGTCACTTCACGATGGAAAAAATGTTAAAAGCATAGAAGTAATGCATGAAAAATCCATTATTAAGAGCAGCACCCCCTTATCTACAATAGCAGTTACTTTAACACGATTTCCTTGCATTGTAGTGACATACTATTGCCATCACCGCTAAAGCTCTGTTAATGTTTCCATTATATATCTCTATTCAGCGTTTCCACCAGTTTATAATTCACTGTATTTCTGGGCTAAACTTTGGTTTATGGTAATCTCAGTTTAAAAACTTCCCCGAAGAAATTAAAAACATATGAATGAAAATGTGCAGCCCATCCTGTTTCTTGTGCACAGGGGAGCAAAACACCTTCTCGTTTGGGGGATTTGAGTGGGAAATTGATTTTTGTCTTTTAATCAGTTGCGACCAGGATTATAAAGCTATTAGTGCAAAAGCATGCTGAACTAATTAACCAGAGAACTGGAAAGGATCCTAGGAGGTCTCCAATAGGCAAGGTTATATCAGAACTTCCCAGACAAATGGGGTACAATGTCCAAAGAGCCCCGGGAAATCCATTCCATAATTGTTATTGCTAACTTGTTCCACTGTTTAACAACCCCTACTGTCAGGAATTTTTTCCTTATGTTTAACTCAAATCCTTGCAGTTTAAGCCAATTTCCCACTGCTTTTAGGGGAAATGACAAACAGCTATTTGACACTGTAGGAATAATAACTTCTTTTATTTTATATACGCCACTATTGGATCCCTCCAAGGCTCAACCTTTCCAATAGAACACTTTTTTTTCCTGGTTCCGGTTTTAAAAGCCTGAATCATTGTCTCTATTTTCTTAAGTATTGGAACCCCATAATAAGCCTTAGTTGAATAATTAGCATTAATCTGCCCTGCCCATTAATGCAGAAATATCTCATGATTTTCATATGGCCAATTAAAGTGTTCCAGTCCTTTTCTTGTCTTGGAAAATAAAATTATTTCACTTGAAATTGCACATGAGCTCCAAATCATTCTCTGCCTCATTTGTAAGAAGGAGTTTGGCTCCAAGATGTGCAGATCTGAGCTGAATGCAGGACGTGATTTGAACCCAGGTCTGTCTGCTTTCAAAGCCCTCCTCACTGACCACTGATGGTGGCTTCCCAGTTTCTATGTAGGAAGGATTAAGGGACAGAATATGCTTGGCAAGGAGGACATGGAGACTTGTCTTAGAGATGCATTTGCTTGGTAAGTATATGGATTTTATATAGATTATTTTCTTACATGAGATTGAGAAAATAATTGAAATTATAGGATGAAGGTAAAACAAGAGTTTCAGGGGAAGCTAAAACTCTACAAATTCCTTTCAGTGCCAGTACAGCCATTACCCTGCAAACCTAAAAATGATCTGGTGCCTCTAAACTGTTCAGAGGTGATAGTGATGAGTTGGCAGATAAGTATTCCTAAGGCACAGAGAGGTTCAAAATCTTGCCCAAGGTTACAAAGCTAGTAAATGGTGCAGCCAGAATTTGAACTTGGGCAGTGTGACTCAGTAGTCTGTATTCTTGACTGCTCTGCTGTGCTGCCTCCCATGATGGGCACACAGATGATAGAGGGCAAGTCAAGCCAGTGCCAGCCTCACGGTAGCTCAAAGGCACGGGGCATTTAAGTGTTACATCATGAGAGATGAGCTATTAGGATAGAAATCCGACGTGGTCCCATATCAGGAAAGAGAATGCTTTATTACAGATCAAGAGGGAAAGCAGTCAAAAGATTAGCCATGAAATGCAACAATATGGAAGTGCAGAACACGAAAAGGGGCCACTGAGAGAGGAATGTTCAAGGAAGAGGGGAATATTGTTGGATAAAATGTTGGCTTGGGAACTAATCAGGTGACATGGCACCTTTGACATATTAACTTTTTAATGGCTTTCCTGCTTGGCTCAACTTGGGTAGAATATGTTTTTAAAGCAAAAGGGCTGATATGTGCATCTGGGTGCATCCAAAGAGAAGTCTTTAGTGTCTGGGCCACCTGGCTTGGCCCTTGGCCAGAATGTTCATCTTATTATTAAGGATATATGTGGGGCTTATTGAATGTATGATCTCAGGTTCAGAAAGTCAAGACAAAAACTGACCAACACAGGCTGAGATGAAGGACTGAATTTTCCAAGACCATATTCTATAAGAAAATGTGAATACTGGTTAACATAAAAAAATTTAACAAGTCAGCTGATGTATCAAAGCAGGACAGAGAGGTCAATAAGCAACAGGAACTATCATAAAGCAAGTAGGGTCTTTAATTTAAACCTAGATGGAGCCATTAATGGGGAGAGATTGTTAGGGGGAGATAAAGAAAATGGAAAATATTGAATAAAATAAAAATACAATTTGGAATGTACACTTGATAATGGCCCAGATGAGGACTCAAATTGGTTCTAGGAAATTCTCCCTTTCCTCCAAAGACAACTGGGGGAGCGGATGGCAAGCCATCTTCAAATATTAAACGGGCAGCCACATTGAAGAGTAGTTGTCCAGTATTTGACTTTGCCTGTGTGGCATCACAGTAGAGGCTCTAAACTGCATGACTGGGGCCAGTGTTGGGCTGTGATGCTGGTAATTGGTTAGTAATATATTGGTCATCCTATGATAATGCCTCCCTCATTTCCTTACTTTCTTGACTTGCTTTTCTGGACTGAGAGAATGAGGTGCAGTGGGAACTACTCCAAGTCGGCAGTTTTTTTTTCTTTTATGGTAACTAACTTTCACTAATGTCCTATTAGTGTCATAATTACCCATATGTCTGGGGTAGGCGATGGGATGGGGCCTAATAAGATGTCAGTGGTGTGAAATGCTGGGTAGGAGAGCAGATTTCTTCCTGAGTGCCAAGTGTTGAGGGCTATGATGTATGGAGTGCTGTCAGGATTGCAGGTGACAAAGAAAAACCTAGGACAAGTTAAATTTAACTTTTAGTTATTATTTGAAGGAAAGAAGTTTCAGAGCTGGACAGCATTCAAAACAAGATTTTGAATGCTGGGGGTTCAGAATGCTCCCACGCCCACCTTAGTGAGTATATTAGTTGGTTTTCACACTGATACAAAGACACTACCTGAGACTGAGTAATTTATGAAGAAAAGAGGTTTAATTGACTCACAGTTCCATATGGCAGGGGAGGCCTCAGGAAACTTACAATCATGGTGGAAGGCAAAGGGGAAGAAAAGCATGTCTTACTATGGCGAAGCAAGAGAGAGAGAGGGAGCTAAGGGGGCACTTCCAAACACTTTTAAACCATCATATCTCATGAGAGCTCACTCACTATCAGGAGAACGGCACAGGGGAAACTGCCCCCACGATCCAGTCACCTCCCAGCAGGTCCCTCCCTTGATGTGTGAGTATTACAATTTGAGATGAGATTTGGGTGGTGTCACAGAGCCAAACCATATCAGTGAGCTATATTTATAACCCGAAAAACAGGAAACAATGCACAGAGATTACCTGATTGGTACAGTTCCCCGTTTGCCTTATTTGGGCATAATTTGGCAGCTTTCAGCCTGGGATTGGCTGAGGGTTTTGCTGCTATGATTTGACGAGACTCAGTTGCTTGGTTACAAAGATATACTCCCAGGTTAAGTTATATCTTGTTTATGCATGGAACTAGTGTACAGTTCACCATGTGCTGAGACTGCTTAGGGCCAAGCTTTATTAACAAAGTATGGAAGCCAGTTTAGGTCAAATATATCTGCTGGGGAGGTGCTTGGCTGCTGCTGGTTTGGAAAAGTCAGTCCTGGATTATCTGGAAAGATTCTTAAAGGCTCTACTGCAGCAGAAACACTACTTTCTGTGCAAATAAGAGGGCTTTTCCCCATGCAACCAACATATGCAAAATTTTTCGAATAAAAGTTATCTAGGGAATATTGTTTTCTTTAAGGTCTCTGAGCTTCCTTGGGAATTAAGGGTTTATTTCAGTTGGAAACCTGCCAGCAGGTTAAGCACTATCTATGGGAATAGATGAAGAATCATTAACTAGTTCCATTGCGAATATGAAAAGCATGCAGGATGATTTGTGATAGCCAAACCATCTGAGAAGGGTGGTTTTCCTTCCTCTCGCCTGAAGGTTTTCATTCCTGTTGCATTGCCATGTACACCACTATGATCAAGGAGTCCTTCCTTGGGTCCAACTTTAATTTATTCTGAGGTCATTTAAGCCAAATTTTGTTCACTCCCTTTCTGCTCTTGCTGCCTTGCCAATACAAATAATTTTTTGTTTGTTTGTAACTATTGCTGATGTTTTATTGCTGTCATGTCTGCAGTGGTTTATTTGGAAGAATGCCATTCATTCTTTAAAAATCAAAGCTAGTATGCACATTATTCAAGAGTCAAAATTGTTCTGCGACGTTGGTAGAGCCAATCCTACTCCCACCTTTCCTCTTCCCCTCCCCTAAAGCACCCACTTTCTCGGTTCTTCCGATTATTTTGACATCTTTCTATATCTCTAACTGGCAGGCTTGGTATATCTACGTCTTGATATTTCATTTTTTTTTTTTTTAAGACAGAGTCTTGTTCTGTTACCCAGGCTGGAGTGCAGTGATGTGATCTCAGCTCACTGCAACCTCCGCCTCCTGGGTTCAAGCAATTCTCCCACCTCAGCCTCCCAAGTAGCTGGAATTGTAGGTGTATGCCACCATGCCTGGCTAGTTTTTGTATTTTTAGTAGAGACAGGGTTTTGCCATGTTACCCAGGCTGGTCTTGAACTCCTGAGCTCATGCGATCTGTCGGCCTGGGCCTTCTAAGGTGCTGGGATTACAGGTGTGAGCCACCGCACCCAGACTGATTATTCAGTTTTAAGCTCACCCACATCTTTCATATATCTTCACATATAGTTATTTTATAATTTTGGTTAGATCAGTATTCCAAGTTTACATCACTGAGACCATACAAACACTGTTTTCGGGATGTCCAAATACACCACCTATTCCATCCATTTGTCTTTGCCCCTGGACCTGCCTCCATCTGGTCTGGTTGCCATCTCCACCTGAGGCTCAGCTGTCATCCTGGGATCTCTTTGTATTGTGACTTGGAAATTATCTTTGCTCTTCTCCTATGTCAGATCTTGTTTCTTCTCTGTATTAGTCCATTTTCTTTTCTTTTTTTTTTTTTTTTTTGGTTTTCTTTTTTTTTATTATTATACTTTACGTTCTAGGGTACTTGTGTACAACGTGCAGGTTTGTTACATAGTATACATGTGCCATGTTGGTGTGCTGCACCCAGTAACTCGTCATTTACATTAGGTATATCTCCTAATGCTATCCCTTCCCCCTCCCTCCACCCCAAGACAGGCCCCGGTGTGTGATGTTCCCCACCCTGTGTCCAAGTGTTCTCATTGTTCAATTCCCACCTATGAGTGAGAACAGGCGGTGTTTGGTTTTCTGTCTTTGCAATAGTTTGCTCAGAATGATGGTTTCCAGCTTCATCCATGTCCCTACAAAGGACATGAACTCATCCTTTTTTATGGCTGCATAGTATTCCATGGTGTATATGTGCCACATTTTCTTAATCCAGTCTATCACTGATGGACATTTGGGTTGGTTCCAAGACTTTGCTATTGTGAATAGTGCCGCAATAATCATACGTGTGCATGTGTCTTTATAGCAGCATGATTTATGATCCTTTGGGTATATACCCAGTAATGGGATGGCTGGGTCAAATGGTATCTCTAGTTCTAGATCCTTGAGGAATCACTACACTGCCTTCCACAATGGTTGAACTAGTTTACAGTCCCACCAGCAGTGTGAAAGTGTTTCTATTTCTCCACATCCTCTCTAGCACCTGTTGTTTCCTGTGTATTAGTCCATTTTCATACTGCTATAAACAACTGCCCCAGACTAGGTAATTTATAAGGGAAAGAGGTTTAATTGACTCACAGTGCAGCATGGCTGGGATGGCCTCAGAAAACTTACAATCATGGCAGAAGGCAAAGGGAAAGCAAGACACCTTCTTCACAAGGCGGCTGGAAGAAATGGCAAGTTAAGTGGGGGAGAACCCTTTATAAAGCCGTCAGATCTTGTGAGAAGTCCCTCACTATCACAAGAACAACATGGGGGGGAAATGTCCCCATAATTCAATTGCCTCCACTTGATCTCTCCCTTGACACCCGGAGATTATGGGGATTACAATTCAAGATGAGATTTGGGTGGCGACGCAAAGCCTAACCATATCACTCTTTCTCCTACATCTTCCCTTTTGTGGTTTACTACCTCATTTTGGTGGTGTACATCCTCTGGTAGCTTCCTGAGTTCCTGAGCAAGCCGTAGGAAGGAAGATGTTTTGAGTCCTACCATGTCTGACAGTGCTATATTCATTCTTGTGTTTATTTGTTAAATTTGAGTAGACATAGAATTTTAGGATGACTTTTTTTCTCTCTCCAGGGTTGAATACATTATTATATTGGTTTCTAGTTTCTAGTCCAAAGTCTTCTATTTCTAATTCTTAGTGCATGACCCATAGTCTGCCATCCCCAGATGGTAGGCTCTCACCTTTGTCCCCACCGCTCTGAAATTTCATGATGCTGTGCTGGAATGTGGGTCTATTTTTATCTTTTATGCTTGGCAATCAATGGACCCTTTCTATCTGGAACCAATGACTTTTTATTCTAAGAAAATCTCTAGAATTATTTCATTGATGATCTAGTCTCTTCTAATTTCTGTTTGCTCATTCTGAAACTCATGTTTTTCAGATACTGAAGGTACTATATTGGTCTTGTACCTCCATATAACTTTTCCATTTCTATTTCTTTGTCTCTCCCTTGTTCTTTAAGTTTTTTTTGTCTTTAATTTTTAACCCTTCTCTTGAATATCGTCCTCCCTGGTATCACGCTTTCAACGTCTAAAATACTTTTAGTTTTAGTTTGGTTTCTAAAATCTTCTTTAAAACATAATATCCTCTTTTCGCTCATTGTTATATTACTTTCTCTTATTTTTGTGGGAATAGGAATGATAGTTTATTTGACAATTTCTGTCCTTCCAAGTTGCCTTTTCTTTTTGTGTGTTGTCATCTACATCTTTCATGCTAGAGTCTTTCCCAGTGTTGCAATTTTCCTTGGTTTTTTAGTATTTAAAAGAGTGAGATTCTAAAAGCTTATTGGAGCTTGCCTATTGGGAAGTAAAGTTTTGGGTGATGTGACTGGGCCACTTAGTTGGGGAAGGTACCACATTAGGATTTTTCAGTCTTTGCTTTTGGGAGAAGGTGGTATCCTGTGGAAAAAAAAGTCTTTCAATCTGTTTCCTAGAGGTGAAGCTGCCAGAATTCTGGAGCCACAAGGGAGAGATCTAGAGAGAGAGAGGTCAGGAAAGGTCAAGGAAAATTGGGGTATGACTTGACCACCCAGGGGTCAAGTAGAAACAAAAACAGTGACCAGTGTGTGGATCTTGGTGGTACTACCAAATTGCTGCCAACTTCAATGCTTGATTTGGGATATCAACCTAAATGCTTTTGCCTCTGGCAGGGCTACACCCAACCCAGCAAAGCAGCCACATAAACCTGTGTATGCTAGGCCACTAAGGCACTCACAGGCATCACTGATGTGATGTTGAATACAGCTGAAGAAACTTCATAGAGACTACACTACTGCACCCACCTGCAATCAAAGCCAATGCACCCTACCCAATTGACATCCTAGGAGACATCTGCAGCCAAAACCTTTCCATATGACAGCTACTCATTAAATTGGAAAAGATGAGGTGACCATTCAACTAGATGCACAATTATCAATACAGAGACACAAGAAATATGAAAAAGTAAGGAAACATAATACCATTAAGGAAACACAATAATTCTCCAGTAACTGTCTCCAAAGAAAGGCACGTTTATGAATTGCCTGCAAAAGAATTCAGAATAATAATCTTAAGGAAACTTAGTGAGATACAAGAGAATACAGACAAACAATTCAATGAAATCAGGAAAGCAATTTATGATCGGAATGAGAAGTTCAACAAAGATAATGACATCATTAAAAAAACAAACAGAAGGAGCTGAACACTTCAATAAAAAAAAATTAAACAAATAAAATTTAGAGCTTCAAAAGAAGATGAATTTAAATGGAAAAAAGAATTTCTGACCTTGAAGATAGGTCTGTTGAAATAACCCAGTCAGAGGAATAAAAACAAAAAAGAATGATAAAGGGCAAAGAATGCCTGTAAGACTTATGAGAGATACCATTAAGCAAACAAATATTCACATTAAGAAAATTTCAGAGGGAGAAGAGATGGAGAATGGCACAGAAAACTTATCTGACAAAATAATATCTGAAAAACTCCCAAGTCATGGGAGAGATATAGATATCTAGATCCATGAAACTCAAAAAATCCCAATTATATCAACCCAAAAAAGTTCTTTTTGAGGCACATTGCAATCAAACTGTCAAAAGTCAAAGGCAAAGGATTCTAACAGCAGCGAAAGAAAAACATCAAGTCACATAGAAGAGAATCCTCATTCGACTATCAGCATATTTGTCAGCAGAAGTCTTGCAGGCCAGAAGAGAATGGGCTGATATATTCAAAGTAATGAAAAAAAAAAAAAAACCTTCCATCCAAGAATACTACACCCAGAAAATCCTTCAGAAATGAAATAGAAATAAAGTATTTTCCAGACAAGCAAACACGGATGGAATTCACCACCACTATACTGACTTTACAAGAAATGCTTAAAGAAAAACTTTGGAAACTACACAAATACATGGAAGTTAAACAACATACTCCTGAACAACAAATGAGTTAATGAAAAAATTAAAAAGAAAAATTTGTTGAGACAAATGAAAATGAAACATAACATCTCCAAACTTACATGACACAGCAAAAGCAGTTCTAAGAGGAAAATTGACAGGCAGTTAATGCCTACATCAAAAAATTAGAAGTGTCTCAAATAAGCAATGTAACATTGCACCTCAGGAGTTAGAAAAACAGAATAAATGAAAAACAAAAATAGAGAGAAATAATAATCATCAATGCAGAAATAAATAAGTGGAGACAAAAAATATGAAATGATGTAAATATAATATATAAAACAATATAAATACAAAATAAAGAGTTTGTTTCTTGAAAAGATTAACAAAATTGATAAACTTTTAGCTAAATTAAGAAAAAAAGAGAGATGATTCAAAACATAAAATCAGAGGTGAAAAAGAAGACATTATAACTGATATGACAGAAATACAAATGATCATATGAGACCATTATGAACAACTATTTGCCAATAAATTGGAAAATCTAGAAGTAACGGATAAATTCCTGAACACAGGAAACCTGCCAAAATTGAATCATATAGAAATAGAAAATCTGAACAGACCAATAAAAAGTAACAGGGTGAATCAGTAAAAGAAATAAAGAAAAAGTCTCCCATTAAAGAAAAGTCCAGGATCTGATTGCTTTACAGCTGAATTCTACCAAATAGTTAAGGAAGAAAGAAATTATATCAATCCTTTACAAATTATTTCAAAAAAATTGAAGAGGAGGGAATTCTTCCAAATTCATTCTATGAGGCTAGCATTTACCCTGATACCACAACTAGACAAGGACGTAACAATAACAACAACAAACTACAGGTCAGTATTCCTGACTAAAACAGATGTAAAAATTCTCAACAAAATAATAGCAAACTGAATTCAGTAGTACATTAAAAAGATTATTCACCATGATCAAGGTGGTTTCATCCCAGAAATGCAAGGATGGTTCAACATATGCAAATCAATAAACATGATACATCACATTAACAGAATCAAGAACACAAATTGTATGATCTAGTCAATAGCTGCAGAAGATGCATTTGATAAAATTCAACATCCATTCACAATAAAAGCCTCCCAAAAATTAGGTATAGTAGAAATTTACCTAAGCACAATAAAGGCTATATATGACAAAGAAAGCTTTTTCTGTAAGACCTGAAAGAAGACAAAGACACCTACCTACTTTCACCACTTTAATTCTACACAGTACTGGAAGTTTTAGCCCAAGCAATTAGAAGAGAGATAAATAAAGGGCTTCCCAATTAGAAAAGAGGAAGTCAAGTTGTCCCTGTTTGCAAACAACATGATCTTATGTGCCAAAAACACTAAGAACTTCACCAAAAAACCCGAGTTAGAACTAATAAATAAATTCAGTAAAGTTGGAGGATACAAAATAAACCTACAAAAATCAACAGCATTTCTATACACCAATAACAAAGTATCTGAAAAAGGAATAAAGAAAGCAATCCCATTTACAATAGCTATTAAAAATACCTAGGAATAAATTTATCCAAGGAGGTGAAAGATCTCTACAAGCAAAGAAAACTATAAATTATTGGTGAAAGCTATTAAAGAGGAAACAAATAAATGAAAAGATATTTCATTTTCATAGACTGGAAGAATAGTCTGAAGTTGTTCATACTACCCAAAGCAGTAGTACAGATTCATTGCAACTGCTGTCAAAATACCAATAATGTCTGGGCATGGTGACTTGCCCCGTAATCCAAGCCTTTTGAAAGACCAAGGCAGGGAGGATTGGTTGAGCCCAGGAGTTTGAGAGCACTTGAGGCAACATAGAAAGAGCCCATCTCTACAAAACAAAACAAAAAATAATTAGTCCCAGCTACTGTAGTCACACCTACTTGGGAGACTGAGGTGGGAAGATTGCTTGAGCCCAGGAGTTCCAAGCTACAGTGGGATAGAATTGCACCACTGCGCTCCAGCCCAGGTCAAAGAGCAAGACCCCATCTCAAAACAAACAAACAATCAAAAAATAAAATACCAATGACATTATTCAGATAAGCAGAGAAAACATTCCTAAAATTTGTATAGAATCACAAAAGATCTTCAATATAGACATAGCAACCTGGAGGTAAAAGAACAAAGCTGGAGGCATCACACTACCTTACTTTAAAAAATATAATACAAAGCTATATTAATCAAAACAACATGGTATTGGCATAAAAATAGACACATAGGTCAATGGAACAGAATAGAGAACACAGCCATCTGATTTTCAAGGAAGGCACCAACACCACACTTTGGGGAAAGGACAGTCTCTAATAAATAGTGCTGGGAAACGTAGATATCTACATAAAGAAGAAGATGACTAGACTCTGTTTCTCACCATATTAAAAAATCAAATCAAAATAGGTTAAAGAAGCAGGGCACAGTGGCTCATGCCTGTAACCCCAGCACTTTGGGAGGCTGAGGTGGGTGGATCACTTGAGGTCAGGAATTCAAGACCAGCCTGGCTGACATGGCAAAACCCTATCTTTACTAAAAATACAAAAATTAGCTGGGTGTGGTGGCAGGTGCCTGTAATCCCAGCTACTGGGGAGGCTGAGGCAGGAGAATCACTTGAACCCAGGGGGCAGAGGTTGCAGTGAGCCAAGTTTGCTCCACTGAACTCCAGCCTGGGTGACAGAGTGAGACTCTTCCCCCTCCCCTCCCCCCAATAAAAGACAAATATAAGACCTGAAAGTATAAAACTACTATATGTAGAAAAGAACGCAGGAGAAATGCTTAATGACATTTTGTCTGGGCAAAGATTTTTTTGTATAAGAACTCGAAAGTACAGGCAATAAAAGCAAAACAGACAAATGGGGTCACATCACACTAAAAGGTTTCTGCACAGCAAAGAAAACAACAGAGTGAAGAGACAACCTTCAGAATGTGAGAAAATATTTGCAAACTATGCACCTGGCAAGAGGTTTATATCAAAAACATAAAAGGAACTCAAACTACTCAATAGCAAAAAACCAAATAATTTGATTTAAAAATGGGCAAAAGACCTAAACAGCTATTTCTCAAAAGAAGACATACAAAGAAAACAAATGGCCAACAGGCATATGAAAAAAATGTTCAAATGACTAATCATCAGGGAAATGCATATAAAAACCACAGTGAGATGTCACTTTACCCCAAATAGAAAGGTTATTATCAAGAAGACAAAAACCTAACAAATGCTGGCAAGGAGGTGGAAAAATGGGAACCCCTATATATTGTTGGTGGAAATGTAAATTAATGCAACCATCATAATGAAAAATAATGTGGAGATTTTACAAAAAATTAAAAGTAGAACTTCTATATGATCCAGCAATCCCACTACTGGATATTTACCCAAAGAAAATGAAATCTGTATGTCAAAGAGATGTCTGCACTCCCATGTTTATTGCAGTACTATCTGCAATAGCAAAGACATAGAGTCAATATCTTTGTGTCCATCAATAGGTGACTGGATGAAGAAAATATGGTATATATACACAATGAAATACTATTCTGTCATAGAAAGAATGAAATTCTATCATTTGCAGCAAACTGGGTGTATGCAGAGGGTATTTAAACTGAAATAAACCAGACACAGGAAGACTAATAATACAAGGTTGAACTCATATGTGGGGTCTATAAGGATGCTCTGATCTTGGATCAAATGTGTCCTGGATGGGGGAGGGGAGGGGATGGGCCAGTTTATTGACATTTCTTGAGTTCCAGGTTGTTCTATTTTCTGGGAATGCAGCAGTGAGCAATGCAGCAGCAAATTCTGCCCTCCTAGAGCCTACATCCAAAGGATCTTCAGTCACATGGGGACTACTGTAAAAACTTCTTCCCTATGCTTCTAGAAACATCTTACAACAATAGCATTTGTCACACCAAGCCGCAGAGAGCCCTGGTATGCAACTGTGAACAGCAGCCCTATCTCCGGTCTTCCTTTTAGGTGAAATTTCATGCTCACCTATTGGAAGCCATATTGTTTCCATGGCTCTCCAATTTCCTTTATTAGATGCTGACTTTGAGCATCAGTTTCTAACATGACCTAGGGAGGGGAAATGGATACACATAGCCTGTTACCAGTCTGCAAGGGAAGTATCCCATCTGGACAGTTCTCCAGGCTAATGCCCACCGTCACCTTCCTCACCAGGGAGCCTTGTAGACAACTTACTTATTGGCTGGCCTGTATACCCTGAGAAATAATTGTCATAAAGCAAACCTTTCAGAAAAGAAGTACATACCCTCTAAGGAAGAAATGGTCCATGGATTTGGGCTGGCAACTTGTGAACAAGGTAACATCACTTCCGTATGTCTCCTGCAAAGCCCCGAGAAACTCATGCTGCTCACATCAGGACTCTGGATATTATATGATTTGCTGCTCAGTGGGAAGACATTTAAAATTCCTGAAGGAAAGTACTTGGCATCAATAATCTCAAGTGTGTGCTACACAGTAGGATGGAGAGCAGAGAGCTGTTTTGCTCAGGGCTCTTCTCATGTGGTGTGTTGTGTGTGGCTGTGCAGCTGTTGTCCTGCATTTTCTGCAGCTATGTAGAACAAGAGACCCAGGGTGGTGGGAAGAAGGCAGGAAACCGGTGCACTGAGTATACCCAGTGTCAGGAGCCATTCGCTCTTGGATGTCTTCACAGTTTGTTCCATGATTGAACACCACACATGAGGCCACAGTCAGTGTTCATCTATTTTGTGAAGTGCATCAGCACTACCTGTGGCTTTGAGGCTTGGGCCTTTTTCCATATCCAAGGATGGACTGTGCCTGTGCCTACCTTTGTGTCTCCAGGCAGATGCTATAAATGCATGTTCATGTATTGTCTGCATCACTAGGGGTGTCCTAGTACCCCGTGTTGAACCGTTAAGATCTTACCCCACAATATCTGGTCAGGGAAGGAGCAGAAACTAGAATATGAGAAGTGATAAGTGACACAGTCCTTATCTCTATCTATTCAGGCCCAGCCAGGGCCATATACAGCTAGATACTCCACTGACATTTCCAGTTATGTCTCTGCCACCCTAGTGGACTACAGGTTCTTTGAGGCTGAAATTACAACAGGTTTACTTTCATATCTCTTGAGAGTGTCCGGCTCTGCATGGGCTAAATGAATGTGTTATTATTAGTAGTAATCATAGTGGCAACAAGAGCTTTTTGTGTTGTGCAAAAAGTACTGAACTAGGATCACAGCCACGTGGGTTCCGGTCCCCCCTTTGCCAGTCAAAAGCTGCTAATTTGGGCAAGTCATTTCTTCTTTGGCCTCAGTTTCCTCTTCTGAGGAAAAGAAAAAAAAAGTGACCCTCTGGTTTTGTTCACCTGAAATATTCACCACATTAAGCTGCAGGTCCTGATGGGAATTTGTAAATATATCAGGCTTACAAAATTCTTAGTCTGTAAAACCAGAGAAAAAAATGAAGAGTGTCAGTGATTTAAACTCACACAGTAGACGCAATGCGCAGGCATAATGTCACAGTTTAGTTGTACAAAGTCAGTAGTTGTTAAAGATAATGACGGTCGTTAGCTCCCAGCCATCGGACCACCCTCCCCGCCAATTCCCAGCACAGGGCTAGTTGCAGCTTTGTAACTTCCCCTCCAGTTGGATTGGCTTGTCTCTTGAGTGTGACTGAGGACCGTCTTCAAAATGAATTGGAAAATTACATTCTCATTCTTCTCTCCCAGAAAAAGCAGAGTCCGCTGCGGTTCTGCGTTCACGATATGCTTTCTGAATAATAGGTGAGCTGATCCAAGACAGAGAATTGCTCTCCCTGGGCAGAGAAACTGACTCTGTCTTCCAACAGCACTTCCGTCTCTTGCTTCTTCCAGCCCAAATGCTTTCGTACCCTGGAATCAGGGTTCAAGAAAGAGAAAGCCACATGGGTTTCCACCAACACGCCCACGCCCCTCCACTCTCAGGTCATTGTAGGAAGCCCCAGTCCTGCTTAGACCATCATTTTGCTCATAGAGGCAACTTTATAAGTCTCCGTTGTATCAATTAAAGTGCGGCTATGTGAGAGAGGCTGCCTTTTCTTTCTAAGGTCTCTTACTGGGTGAAATATGGACTTCTCTACGACTCTTGGCCCACCTCTGGGCTCTCTGTGCCTCTCTCATCTGTATCTTGTGCGTGGTTCTGCTAGTGCATGCTTAAATCACAATTTGAGTGATATGTCCCTTTGACTGTCCACTCTCTTAAGGGACAGTGAACTCCTAGGTTCCTCTAGGCGGGGAGTGAGCTTCATTCGCGTGTATGTCTTCTGTGCCTGCCACAACCCAGTAAGTATTTATTAAACGGAGTTAATCTTTCACGCCACCCCTACAATCATCTTCCAGACTGCACTGGGGTTTGCACACCTTCTATAATCATCCTAGATTGCCTGTAACTCTTAAAAATTTATACCTCAGTGAGAAAAAGAAAATACAAACAAGAGAACAATGCAGCAAGCACTCTCAGTTTCAAACAGACTTGCTTTGGTTTTATTGAGCATCTTTAAAGTACCATCAGGTGTTCTTACATGGAGAGTTATTTTTTTAACGTTAGATTATCTGCAGCCTGATCTTTATTTCTGTCTTTGTAAAATAGTGCTCTTCAATTTTTAAAGAACTTCATTTTAATTCAACCCAGTGTAGTTCCAATGTATGTATTAAATAATATAATCCTGTTATTTTGTAAATGTGGGTTTTTATTATAAACATCTGAAAGAGTCAAAACCTCTGGCACTTTTACTTTCAAGGTGTCACTGCTCTTTTATTCAAAATGAGAAGGGAAAAGAATCACCCACATTAGACTGGTGAGATCTGACATAGCCAAAAGCCCTTTGTCTTAAGACGCCATTGGGGGTGGCTATGTAGTCAATGCTATTAGAATCCTCTTGGAGAGATCGAATAAACACATGGATGTAAAGGAACACCGCACATTTAAGTCTAGAAGGAGAGAAAGAGTTAAGTGACCATCACCAATTACAGCCTCGGAGGGGGTGATTAAGATCCACATTGCAGGGAGGTTTTTAATTTAGCTGCCTAGAGAAGCCACCCCCAGTTGTGCCAGGCTCATCAGATCACACACACGGCTCCATCCCTTCACCCTGCTCTGCCACTCGGAGCAAATGTATCAGAAAGAGCACCAAATGGATTGCGTGACTCAATACCCTTTGCCTGCATGTCTACTGGAGTGCTCCCTCACCATTTTATTAGAGAGAAAGAAGTAGTGTATCAAGTTTAAATTAAGCAAACCAAAGTATCAAGTAGAGGAAAATTTAAAATGTGACTTTGTGCAATTTCTTGTATAAATCCTCTATTATAAACATTGGCAACAAGGTGTATAACACGTGTATAACAATCCAATGTGGCTGTGGATTGTGTTAGGGCACCGACTCTGGTTTATGGCTATATGTACTTTCTACTACAGAATTGTGTCTCGTGCCTTTTGTCATATATTTCATCTGAAATTCATTCACCCTGCACCAATCTCTTCCTAATGCTATGTGTAGCCCTAGTGGTAATGCATGTTATACTGATAACATGTGTGGTTGGTATGAGGAATTACTTTGAAGATGTGTGCCAGGAGTGAACTTCTTCTGGGTGATAATGACATAGCACTATTAGGGAGAGGGACCTTCTGGTAATAATGCTAATGACCCCTTCCATCTTTGCACTGCTTATGATGTGCCTGGCATTGTGCTGAGTGTTTGACTGCATTATCTCTAATGCTGAAAACACCTGGCATGTGGCTTCTATTATTCCCCAGTACAATAATATTGCACATAGGTGAGAACAATGGGAAACAATGTTTGTCTATAGACATTTTCATGAATGTTACATACCACTCCTGAGGTACATAGATTGAGAGGTCTACGCATCCATTATTTATATTTATAGGGCCAATATAATTGAACTTCATATTAGCATAAACCCAGTATAAATATTTATAAATTAATGTTTAATTAACATGTTGGTTTAAACAGGTTTCTATCTGTAATATGTAGCCCATGACATTGTAAAGTTTCAGAACTGTATACAAAATGAGCGCTTGTAAAGTTAATAAGCCTAATTTTCATTTGAAAAAAAAAAGCCAGGTATGAAATCGGGTATGAAAAATGACTCTCTGCACCATTTCTTATGGCTTTTCTTATACTGTATTCTTGAGTACGAATGTGGGCCATAGTTAACCGTTCAAGCCCTCTTAATTAAATTAGGAATAATGAAATATTTTCAAGATTCCTATTAAGAACATTTACTGATGAGTACAGTTTATTCTTTTTAGACTAGAGCTTGACTTAATTCAACATTCTGATTACATTGCCCTACCATAGTAGGGTGGCCTCATCAAAATAATGATAAACCTCAATTCAGTACTTTGAAAACAGCCAACTTTTCTCTTTGTTTAATAGGCTCCAAATCAGTAAACTAAATTAATCAGAAAAGTCTTTAGCTCAAGTAATGATGTGTTTTCAATTCAAATTTTTACTTTGTAAATCTATCTATTCATCATGTGCTCCAAAGGAAGGTGCACAACAATGAGGTCATTTAACTTCAGTTCAACAAAATGTCTGAAAAGATTTGTTATTTCATCCAGACTTACTTACTTTTGTTGACATGTAAAATATTTTTGCTCTTTAAAAGCTAAAGATTATATGTTGCAAATATACCCATACACATATGCATATATATATACACACACACGCATGCATGCATACATGTCTACACACACATAAAATCACTCAGCATTTTAATAACATATTAGTAAAAGTTTTTTAAAAACAACTGTATTATAACCCAAGGAGCTTTTATCCTTTATGATCTCAGAAAACTCCCTCTTGATTTAATTGCCTTTTGTATTTCTGGAAGGCCCTATTCTATTTTTCATTCTAGAATATGCTTATTCATTACTATATAATCTATTCCTCACCAAATAACTCAGATTAGTTTATAATGAAGATGTTCTAACATGAGAAAAAGTTAAAGTTAAGAAAATTGGTGTTATTTAAAAAAAATTGTATGTAACTGAAATCTAAGCAAATAAATGAGGCAGTAATTTATGATTCTCATTATGTTGTCTTTTGACAAATCTAAAAAATTTCATAAATCATAATTCAAGTATCTGATAACTCTTCTTTGAATGTAGGGTTTGGTATAAAGGACTATTTAATGATTTCAATCTGCACATATTGGAAGATCATTAAAATAAAACCAATATGAATTACAGTAAAAATAGATAGATTTTTTTACCCCTCCTTTAGTTACTACAAAGTGGTGGCCAATACTTTTATGTATAACAGGTGCTGGTTACAGTTTGTAAAGCTTTCAAAAGCTTTGTAAAAAGCAAGTTAGCACAGGCCACTAAAATAAAGCAAAATAGTTCCAAGTTTTAGTGCAAAATATTTTTATTTAAATATTGAGTTGTTTCCTTAAAAACTGAGCTTTTCAGGTAAGAATATATAATTTGCATCCAAATAATTCAAAACTAACAACACTAAATATATATATTTGATTATATTAAATTATGTCTATACCTTAGGTTTTAGAAAACATGAAAGAATTCATCTCAGTTTATGCTTAAACAGAAGACATAGTTATTATTTTTCATAGCTTAATGCTAAAGAAACTTCACTTATAAAAAAACTATGATGGTATTTTTAAAGTTTTTAAATTTAAAATTAATATACACATTATAATGTTTCAATATAAACAATGAGTCTTTTATTTTAGTAATTTAAATTTCCAGAAGAAATTGAAATTCTTTTTTTGCCCTTTATTTTTGCCATTTTGCAAGTAATTTTTCATTAAATCAAATACTATGTTAAATATTCTACTAATATTTGTTTAAATTCATTTTTAAGAAGTATTTTTCCTTAAGTTTTATACCTAAATGAAATAGAACTCAGAATAATGTACTTAATATTTTTATGTTTAAGTTTTTGTGACTTATTTAAATACTTGTACTGAAATTAATTGAATCAAAGTCATTGATTAGATATTTAAGATCTATTTAAAAAGTATTAAAATAAATTATGGTAAGTAGAGTTTAACAATAACATTGCTTATTTATTTTAATATAGTAGAGCTTTATTTTCCCTTGTCAATATTTTTATATTTATAGAAGGTTAATTTTAGACACATCTGAATATATTTCTATTTGATCGTGGACTGTAATACAATAAAAATAAAACAAATCTCATGCAGATTTCACAATTTTTACATGGGCTGTCAGAATTAGAGGTTTTTTAAAATGATAGTATAATTTTTACATTCTAACTTATAAAAATGTGCCTTTCATATTAATAATTCCACGTAATAAAATTTAACTCATATATATAAAACACACATATATATATCACATATATATATATAAAACACATATATATATCACATATATATTTCAAGGGCAATGAGAGTGGGAGGTAGCATAATATTGTAGAAAAGTAAAGCAATATCTTAGGAATTGTTTGCCCTAATATGTTTAATATATTGTAATAGTCATTTCTAAAGGCAGCATCAGGAAGTGCAGAGAAAGTAATGATTTATGAATGATTTATGGGCTTGGTTTTGATTTTATAATTTATTATTTTAAATCATTTATTATTTTAAAATGTTTTCTGTTTTAGAAAATTCTAATAAAATACTATTATTTCAGTTTCTATAGTCCATAATAAATAATAAAATCTAATAAAGTGATTTGAGTATATCTGGATCCATTGGATTAAAAATAAGCCAACATTTTGAGTGACAACTTTAATTTACTCATTTTTATCTATTGAACTTATTTCTACACTTCAGATCCCTTATACAGACCAAACACCAGTTGTAGTTAATAAAGATTTAAATACTTTAAAAAAGATGTATTAAAATTCTGAGTTAATATCATGGTTAATAAATAAACCAGGGAAAAGTTTGGCATCTTAATTTTGTTTATTCTTAAAAAGAAATACTGTAGCAGAGAGTTTTGCTAGGAGGAAAAAATGCAAACAGAATAAAAGTGAATTTTCTGTTTCTCATTGGTTTGTGTCAATACTGGCCCATATGTACTTTGTTTGCCTCTATTTATTTTTGTTACTGAAAGTATTTCATAGACATCTGAAAGATTCAATTGATTTTGTTAGTGCTTTTGAAGACTTATTTAAGTATTCTCAGGTAAATAAAGAATAAGAATTTAAAAAACTGGTAGTAAACACTTATTAAAGAATGACGAATTTTCTTTCTTTAATCTATAGAATTTCTGGTATATATCAATTCCACTAAACTGCTTTTTAAAAAGGCAGTATTTCCAATGATAAATCGGCATTTGTTTTGCAATGGACTCTTCCTTGTTTCTTAACTAATTTCTTGAAATAGAAATCCGTTTTCCTCATAAGAATGCATTTAATGTATACACATTTTATTTTCTTTGATTGCCAATATTTACAAATCCTCAAAGCAAAAATTATATAACAGGTAAATATCTGGCCGCTTTGCATAAAGCATTTTGATAGTTTAACATTTACATATCTTGTTTGATATATACTAAGCTAATATTCCAGAGTATCTCCATATTTTTTAATGCAAAGTGAACATTCTTTGGTGAAAAATAAATATCACTGACATCCTAGGATAATTTAAATTACTTCAATATCAATTCTATAAGCTTTAATTTATGACTGAAGCTTAGGTTGCTCACGGTGCAAATTTTTTCACAAAGGTAATTAGTATAATTAATTATTCAATAATTGAAATGCAGGTTAACAAACTTCCATATATAAAAGTTAAAAAAATGTCATTCATTCAAACTGTGAACTCTAAGCCTATAAAACTCTTCAAAGAACCCCAAGATATCAAGCAATCTTTTATTTAGCTAAACCTACCCCCCACCTTCACTCTTATTCATACTTAAATACTCAGTATGCTCACAGCTTGGAAAAAAGCTAGAAAGCCTTAATGGATCACTGATTTTAACTAAAGAGGTAGGTGCATATCCCTTATAAATGAATTCAAAACTATTTTTGTTTTAGCATTAATAGTTTTCATCAAATGAAAACAAGCTTCTTAGTGTAGGAGAGTAAAGTCTTGAATAGGGCACTTATTAGCATATCTTTTATTTTAAACTCAAGGACAAACATTCTAAAACAATATCTATTACATTGGAACAATGGTGCAGTTTTTTTCCATTTTCTAATATTCCAGCAGTGGATTTCTTTTGAGCAAAGGGTAACGTAATCAAAGTACAAAGCGAAGGACTCAGTAAAAACAGCAGGAACACATAAAATCAATTTAAGGAAAACAATATTTAATCTTGTCATAGTTTAAAGTTAATGGAGTGAATGTGGTTTAGCCTTTCATTTTTCATGAGGTATATATTCTCAGTTTTGGTGTTATGCCATTGAAAGTGTATTTCTGATTAAAGCTAATGAGTTGCAGATTTGAATTTTGATCTAGCCAACATAGAGATAATATATTTAAAGATGCTTATACTTTTTTGGTAAAGTTGTAATCAACAGCAAGAATAATTTCCAGTGTCATGGCATGCTTTCTCAAGATTAAAAAATATAAAAATCAGGTAGTGCTTTAGCTTTCTGTTTCTTAAATATATGCATAATCTCTTTTAGAAGATATACACATTGTTAAATTTGTGACTTTTTCCCTGAATAATCCGGAATGGCAAACGTTTCTACTAAATAAATTTTTCTTTAGCCTTCGAAAATGTATGACAATTTGGAAACTGACAATGAAATAAATTATGTATCTTGACAAAAACAGTAAGAAGGACATTTCAATTTTTAGCTAAAGAGGAACTTCAAGAGAATTAAATCAGGGATGATAATAGTCACTATTTTTATGCCAGTGTTCTTTATTTTTTCCTTTTCTACATAAGGTACTAAAAGTCTTTAATATTGGAAACACAAAACCAATCATAGAACAGTCATGATCATGTGTGCAATATTGATCTGATAATTACCACTACAAAAACAAAAATGTATCTTTTCATGTGTGATTATAAGATGTGAAAAGAAAACGTTTGCAACAAGTGCCACTGTTCTTTAAAAAGCATTTCTGTATTCACTGTATGATTGACTTAATTTCCAAATTGCAAAAAAAACCTTTCATTAAAAAAATCTTTAACTTTTGCTTTCTTTTTTTAAAACGAAAGTTTTTTTTTAAACGATATCATTGACTACACTGATTAAAATAATTCTTCCCCCTAGTTTCTCCACCGTCTTTGTGTTCGTTACCTTGTTACCTTTTGGTATTTTGGTTTGGAAGCTTTAATATAAGTGGTCCCGCTATCTTTTTGACACATCTTTCCGAGTTGTTGTCAAGTCCAACCCAAGTAGCAATCACACATCCAGAAAGACAGTAGCAGTTTCTTTTTCTAACCTGTTCAGTGAAAACAGGTAAGGACATGAACAAGTGTATGATGACCCCACTAGGTCTGCAGCTTTTGTGCCTGACATCTGTCAGACAGAAACAAGCGGGAGATGCTCTTATCAATTATAGGAGATCACCGATAGCACTGGGAAGTTGAAATGATGAAGAAGGCTTCCATTTTTTTTTTAAAGCATGCCATCTGTAGCTATTAGAAAGGGCTGAGAAAAAGACTTGTAAATGCTTGCAGGAAAAAAAAATTTTTAGAAAAATATTGTTAAAAGCATCTAGTCTCCTTTCCTTAACAGTTAGAGATTTAGGGACAGAAAACTTTGATAAACTTCTATGGCTATAGTTAGATAATAGAGCATAACATAACATACCATACCATACCATAGCAAAGTTAAGCACCAGTACCAACAAATATTAAAGATCTTGACTACCCCAGTTGCCTCATTAAATATCAACAGTTGGGACATTAAAGAATATCCTCATTCAAATAGGATTTATTATTATATCATTTTTCTAGAATAGAATTTCATTCCCTAACCTTGTTACAGAAAGCAAATATGGCAAATGACGATTTTCTTCAGATATTAAAAACAGTTCTTAAGGGAAAGGAATGTACTCTGCTAGTGAAAAAGAGAAAATTGTGTAGTCTGTCCTTCTCTCTAATTTACATGATTTCTTTTAAATAAAATCATTTACTCAGTGACAGTAAATGCGACCAGCAGATGTTTAGTTATTTGTTGAAGCAAGACAGTATATTAACTGATGGAAGTATCAATTGCAGTTATTAAAATAGATGCTATTTAGAAGAACTGTGGGATTCAGAAATAATTATTCATATAATTAGAAATTGGAAATGAGTCAACAGGATTTGTTTTGGCATAAAAAAGACATTTGAAATGACTTTAAGTATGGTTCTACCAAAGTATATCCAATACACATAATACAAACAGTAAATTTGCTGTTTCATTTTGAAGACCATACTGAGTTATTTGAGACCGACTAGATTTGGTGCAAATACAAATCCTGGTAAATTGCGTGTATCCTATGGCAACAGTTTGTTTGGCTGTCTTTAAACCTGGATATACTACAAAGTTTAATTTTTTCTCAATTAATATCTTCCATGTCCATTTGGCCAAATTGTTGCATATTATTTGACAGGAGTAGTGTATAGAGAAGACATTTAGCATTGCATATTGTAGGTAATTATGTAATTCTCCCTCTTGCCTTTAAAAATATAGCATAAGAGAAAATATCGGAATAAGTACTCATATGCTAAGGGAACTCAGAATAAATTCTTACACTGCATGAGCATAGGAATTCCTCTGTGAACATATTGCATGAAAATTAGCATCACCACTGAACTGTCACTTGGATTGAGCCCATCTGAAAGATTTCAAAACTACTGAGAACATACTAACTCTATGAAAAAACGCAGTCACCAACCCCTGAAAATTAAAACAGTTTTGTTAATCAAGGATTTCATCTCCACATTAAACCGAGGCCAAATTAGGAAGGCTATGATGCGCACAAAAACATTTGTTAAGCAAAGTCAAAATTAATGACAAACAAAATCAAGTTTCCTTTGTGGTTGATTTTCAGGCAGCTGCATCCAAATATAAAAGAGCCATCAAAGAAAGATTTTCATTAATTATTAACTCTGAACAACTTCAGAAAGCAGAGCCCTTAAACCTCCATTGACATCATTCTGCCAGTCTCCTAATCTCTGCGAGTTGTTGGTAAGAGTTGCATTAAACACAGCATGCTACCAATCCTGCCTTTAACAACCGCAACTCCAGGGCTGTACACTGCAGCCTGGAAGACCACACGAGAGAAGCTATAATTTCTGTAAAGACATCTTTAAGAAACATTTACAATCTCACATTCTGAATAATCTCCTGGGTTACTTTACCTCTCTCAACCACACAATAGGGTGTCAATAGCCTAATGGCAACATGCAGGATGCAGAAACTCATCCAATTTTTTTTTTTTGGTAGAAGTACAGAACAACTGTCATGAATAAAAAATGATGCCACCCTATAGCTTAACCTAGTTAAATCTACAGATTGTTCCTGTTTTCTTTTTTTCCATTACAGAATGGAAGAAGAGGCGCTAGTATAAATGACCTTGATAAAATGTGGAAATATGCAAGATTGTAATGCAAGCTAATAAGATAATGCAGGTTATTATGTATGATTATTAGTGTTTTCACAATTTTTCATTGATGTGAAATACTTTTCAACTCGTAAGACACTTTTCCCTGTATTGTGAGTATTGAATAAAATTTAATTTCTATGAAAATATCCTTTTAAGAATATATGTTAATATTTACAGTTATAAGTTCAGGTTTCTGCTCTGGACTTACACAATTCTGAGGCCAAAATACAGAAAATAAGATTTTCGTTCATGTTGATTTTCCATGATTGGGCATAATTATAGTTGACTAATTCACCACACTATCGTGCAAGGTACAGAGAAACAAAACTCTTATGTAGCATGTTGTCAATCTTAATGTCAATCTGGTAGGAGAGAAGATTTCCCTAAAGTACCTTAAGATGAAAGTAAAAATAAACAAATACATGTATATAATCTAAAATTTGATTTTTGAGGTTTTTTTTTTTGCTGATATATCTCCCTGGGGAAAAAAAAAACAGCTGTAACATGACAGTGGGAACTAATATTTTTCAGACCGTTTAGGCTGCACTTCCCCTATCCTACCCCCATCTCTTTTTTTCTCATTCTCTCTGTCTTCTAAAAAACTTATCAGATTACAGATGAGCATCATCTGAACCAAAATAAGTACTTAACAATCATTAGTGTACCTCTTGGAAAATAACAGCATATTTGAATAAAAATAAAAAAGCAATCAACAGCAGTAAGAACAGACAACAGACATTTATTAGATGATCAAGTTGATTTATCATAAACTTCCCAACCTTTTAGTCATAATCCATCTGACCACCCGAAAATTCTTCAGATCATCTCCTTATATCACAGAACTGGAATGGCTAGAAATCAAAATGTTAACTTTTCAAACCAATCTAAAAAGAACAGGATAAGGAAAAGTGTGTATCTGTGTGATGGTTCACATTTAAAGGTTTTATCTCTTTACTCTATTTGATTAAAGGCCTTGTATTGAGTTAAGCAGCAAATCCTGCAGAATAATTAGTGGCTGTTAGTTTTTTTCCTCTGCCCACCCCCCTACCCCCCTTTTAAATGAAAGCTTAAATGGGGGAAAATGGAATGTCAGTCAGAAACTGGTTCATACCAATCATAATAATTATAATCTATTAGAATTAAGCCATAATCATTAGAATTTCTTCTTTTCTCCTACCTTTGATGGCCTGTTTCATCTGTTTCATTAAAGCTGTAATTTTTACAGATGCTCTTGATGTTCCTACGTTTTCATCAGAGTCTAAGACAGCCTAAAGGGAAAAAATAGCTCTCTGCCTATAGAAATATATGTTAATACATTAGTTACTTGAAGCAAGCAACTTTTGCAATATGTGTGTCTGGGTGTCTATAGTTGTCTTTATTTAGGCCTGTCCAGCATTTTGTTGTGTTCTACTCTTGCCCGGCAGCTGGACCCTGACCTTCAAGTTCTCTTTTTTTCTTTTTTTTAAGAAAAAGAAAAAAAAAAAGAATTCTTTTCAGATTCCAAGTTCCCCCCCCTTCTTACCCTCCCACTGACACCATCCTATTCAGAACCGGAGATAACTTTATTCATCTACAGATCATTGTATCAAATTCAATAGGCAAACTGCTTCAACATGCCTCAGAGCTGGGCAGAACAGTTATGTCTTCATTCCCCCCAGCCCCCCAACCAGCCCCCGGTGCAATGAGATTTTTACCACCGTCTTTTCAGGCATGAAATGAGCACAGTTACAAAAAATAATTTCAAACAAGTGTTTTACTACTCTGTTGGGTCACTGTAGATTTATTTTCCTGCAAACTCCTCAATTGGATGGAATACATTACCGCCAGGCTGAGTTGCTTAGAATCATCTCTAGATAACACATGCTGGAAAGCAAGAAGGGGATCCGTTTATTCATTAACTTCCATAAACTGCTGATGTAGATTTTGATGAAAAATGTGCTTGCATCCCAAGTGTTTGCTTTAGTACAAAATTAAGAGCATCAAATCTTATAAAGTGACACCATTGCTATAATGGATTACACAAAGAACTGAAGGGAAGAATTCTGCTATACCAGCAACCAAAAGCAAATATCCTGTTCTCAGAAAACAAAATATTATGCCTGTCTGCTGATCGATTTCAGAAGAGAGAAATTAATGCCTTTCACCCTCCATCAAGGCTCTACAATATTTTGAATTCACTTCTGGGAGTTTGAAATTTTTAAAGAGAAAAATAGAGCTTGCTTAATGTCAGGAACATCAAATAACTGTTTGATGTTGGACGCTCTTACTACAAAATCAGCCTACTATCTTCAGTTAGGATAACTGAGTATCAGATTAGTTTTCAGGGTGGGAACTGGCTCGAATATGTGGATTCCCAATGAGGTAGTCAGCAGACTTTAACAGACAAAATCATTCTTTTCTTGCAGAGGTGAATTTACTTTTGAAACCCTCAGAAGGATTCTTTCTAAAACAAAAGACTCTTTAAGGAGTCCGATATGTAAAACAACAACAACAAAAATCTTGGTGAAACAGTTCTAAACTCAACCACACATCCTTATCCATTGCTGGACACTGCCCCTCCCCCATATCAGAATGCAAAGCCTGAAAGAAAGTGGAATGATTAAAATTAAATAGAGCATCTACTAAAGTCCTTAAACCAACGAACCATTATAAAACATTCTAGATTCTGAAGATGGAAAAGGAGAAAGATCTTTTTAAAAGCAGACTTACATCATTGACTAGGTGTTTTCTACCCTAGCTCCTATATGTTTATGTAGAGGGTGTTACAGACATTTGGAAGGATTTGGGAGTTTCAAAAGAGAGAAGTTTATACATTAGTGCTGCAAGTTGCAAAACACTGTTGATATTCAAATGTTTATTGTGCAAAATCTGGGATAAGCTTCAGCATGAGGGCCCCTTTAAGTGCCTACAACTCTTGCTAATTCCCCTCAGCATTGAGGCGCGCACAAAGGCCCTAATCCAATTCCACTTTTTTTCAGAAAGCCTATGCTATTTTCTCTCACATAAACTAACAACACTACCCCATCACACTGCAGAGTGGGTCAAAGAAAAAGCGCTCTCTGTTTATACTTCACCAACACTTTGTGTTTCTTGGGCAAGCATGGCAAGGAACTTTAAGTGGTTCCCCAGGCCCCACGACATCTTTAGGGGGAGAAAAGCCTTCAGGCATGGAGGTGGTAGTTTTTAAGAACAAAAAAATATAGTGGGATGTTAAGCATTCTCCTTCTCTGTTATCTGGGAAAAGACATTGATCGCTTGAGCCTCATTCTTGCAGTTGTGATTTAAATGATAGAAGTCAGGCATGCTTTGGTAAGGTAACATGCACATTTTGATAAGGTGGTATTATTTTTCTCTAGAATTGTTGGTTCTCCTTCTCTCTTTCATCTGTCTGTCTCTCTCCTTTCCTTCCTCTATATCTTCCTTTCTTCCTTTCTCTCCCTTTACCACATCCCTAGTACGATTGCCTTTCATTATTTCCTGCAGAGATTTCTTAAGCTCACAGAAACCACACTCATTATTTATTTTCTCTCAATTACTAGTTCCTGTTATCAAAATGAGAAATTGATTCTGCCCAAATTTTAGGCAAATCATTTATTGCATCTGCGATTTGGGTGACAATTTCTAATTTCAGGTAGAAATTCTTTTAAAAAATAATAACACCAGCTGTTCGCAGTGGAAATCAGGCATTTGCCTCTGATTGTGAGTACACAAGTGACCAATTACTCTAGTAATTAAGTAACTGTGGGTGCTGTTAGAAATGACCACGATTCTGTCCCAGAAGTGAATTATAGGCGTAGGGATAGGATGCCAAATTGAGAATGGGTAGGAGTCAGTTTCAGAGTTATGCTTTGGCAATTGGTGTCATCAAAAATCAAACCACACAGAATTCTGTGTCCTATTAGAGAAAAGGATGGCTTGCTTCTATTGACTTCTATTCATGATGTCAAACTGATGAAGTGCATATTGGTTATTTTTGAATATTTCCACATTTCCATAAAACCAATGAGAAGAAATTCTGATGGAAAGATATGAGGTTAGTGTGTTTGTAACTGAGACAGCAGATCTTTATGTCTCTGTCCTGAAAGATTACTTTGTGTTCAATAAAAATAGAAAACAACAAGATACATTTGATGCAGGTCTTAATAAATCTTAAAGATACTAATCTTTGCAGAAAAAAAAACATTACTACAAGGTAAGATTAACCTATGGCAATATTTGGTAATTTTCCTAATGGATCACATCAAACATTTGAAATGGTGTCTCTTCTTGACTACATCCACAGTAGCTGGGATCAATTTTCTACAAGGCACCCCAAACTAAACTCTAAAGTGGTTGGAAAAAGGAATTTTCTATGATTAGTTTGTGTCAGAAGCAAGAAAATATCAAGTCGATCATATCTGAGCCTCTAAATCAATCACATTTTAAGGTCTGGTACAAAGCCTCTGTACTTTAAGTTTCTATGTTATCTACACACAAGAACCTTGGTATACTTTCCACTTTTAAAATTTCTTGATTTTGTTTAATCTTTGAAATTATTTACAAGTACTTTCAACTAGTAAAAAAAAAAAAGTCTGCATGAAGCAGCCTAACGGTGGACAATTCTGACATCACGAAGCAGAGCAAATCCCTCTCAAATCTGGTTTGATATCTGATGGTCAGCTCTTGCATTATCGAAATTAAATCACTTATGTAATTAGCATGGTTTTCAGCCTCGCGGGCCTACTCAGTAGACAGGCCAAAGGCCCAAATGAACATGGAAATGGATTTCTTTTTTTGCTCAAGAGGTCACTATTGGAGGTGAATCTGCATTGTGAGTGGGCCGCATCTCTTCTACTGGAAAAGGGTGGCAGGACCACAGTTTCTCCTAAAAATGGCAGTGACGTAACTTAAACACAGAAAACATGAAATTATGCTCTTTCAGCATAATAGAAAAAGTCTGTGGCTTGTAACAAACTGTAATATACAGCCTAAGGGTGAAGAGTTCAGACATGAGCCAACAATGCAAATCACACTCGAATCTGGTCTGGATCCTGGTGGTCAGTCATTAAGTCACTTGAGTAATTAGCAACAGTTTATTTTTTGAGGCTTTCATTAGTTGGACCAAAGATATGAATAAAGCATTCCTTTCCTCAGGGAAGAAAAAAAAAGGGAAGCAAGGAAGGGAGGAAGGGAGGGAAGGAGGAAGGAAGGAAGGAAGGCAAGAAGGAAGGAAAGCAAGAAGGAGGGAAAGAAGGAAGGCAGGCAAGAAAGAAGGGTCCGGGAGGGAAGAAGGAAGGAAGGAAAGGAAGAAGGGAGGGAGGAAGGAAAACACATTTGGAGACAAAAGTCGAGTCAAATATTTAGTCACCAAAATATACTGGAGAGATTGATTGGAAGACAAATGTTGTTTTTGAGCTACTTGTGAAGACCCTTTCTTTCTTCCTCTCCCTCTCTCCCTCTCTCTCTGTCTCTCTCTCTTTGAGACAGGGTCTCGCTCTGTCCCCCAGGCTGGATCATGGCTCACTGCAGTCTCCCCATCCTGGGCTCAAGCCATCTTCCCACCTCAGCCTCCCAAGTAGCTGGGACTATAGACAGGTGCCACTACACCTGGCTAGTTTTTGTATTTTTTATAGAAACGGGGTCTCCCTGTGTTGCCCAGCTTGGTCTCGAACTCCTGGGCTCAAGTGATCCTCCTGCTTCAGCCTCCCAGAGTGCTGAGCCACCGTGCCCCGCAAACCCTTTCTGTTTCAAATAAACCTTGCCAGTTTCATTTACTTAGAGAAGAAAAGGAGTGCACTTTAAATTCATGTTAAAACCAAGTCAGTGAGATGGAGTGAAGGTGGAATTCAGCATAGGGAGTCAGGGTATCTGAAAGCATTGCCCCTGGGGTTTCTACATCCTGAATGTAAAACTCAAAATGCTGATGTGCTTATTTCACATTGCATGCCTGTATCAAAACATCTCATGCACTCCATAAATATATACAGCTGCTATGTACCCACAGCAATTTTTTAAAAATTAAATAACAAAATAAAAATAAATAAAACTCAAATACTTTTGTGGCTGGCACGTATCAAAAGCATATGGGGCCTCCAGTTAGGCCCATGGCCAACTGCAGAGTGCATGTCCTGCCTGAGTTATAAGTATATTCTTGTTTAACAAGGCCACTACCCTAATGGGCCAGAGGACAGCGCTTGTAAGGAGGGAGGATGCTTAGCAGGTCTGAACTTCAAAATTTTCAACATTGAAATGGCCTCTAACACACATGCTTACTTCAAATATAGTAGCATAATTGTAACATTCTCTTATTGCTATATAGCATTTATTTTCTTTAATTCAGCATAAAATAGATCACAGTAAAAAAGATAGTGATGAAGTGAGCTGTGACTTACTTGACAAATCACTTTTAGTTTCTTTTTTGCTAATTTAATAAGACCCCAGCAGCCATCCTGCTGGGTTGGTGGTCAGGCGATCTCAGGCGTTACAGGTTCTTTTTCCAGTTTCCTCTTCATTCCCATAGTTGGCCCAGCTCCTGGGGAGTGACACAGCACCAAGGTGTTAGGAAGGCCTCCTCAGCTGGCCATCTATCACAGGCCACCAAGTCATACTTGAATTCTGACACTCTCAGGGGCTGCTGCTTCCTGGTCATTCGGTCCAGTGGCTCCATGGCTTTTATATCAGGTTTGGGACATGGATGAATCAGGGGTGACTTTGGGAGTTTCTTTCTGGGGTTTCCCCTCTGAGCTTCTGTTTCCAACATAGTGCAGGCCTCAGTTTCTCCCATAGAGGCACTGTTGCCAACATCTGGCCTCTTTTAGCTCAGAGAAAGCTCTGCCTCAGCCTTCCCCTACAGTGCTCCTCTCTTCCCTTTCTTGAACTCCTGACTTCAAGCTATCTTCCTACTTTGGCCTCCCAAAGTGCTGGGATAACAGGTGTGAGCCACCGTACTTGGCCTTCTCTCTCTTCTCTTTCTTTCCAGGATCACAGCACAGTGTCTTTGTGAGCTTCCAGGGCTGCTGGGTCAAAGTCCTTTAGGGGCAAAGAGGTAAGAATAAATACACTAAGTGGGTTAGGTGTAAAAGAAAAGAGGGCTGGGGACTTTAGTAGCTGGAGAGTAACTGAATGCCTAAAGCCTTCCAAATTCAACGGAAAACACACACAGAAACACACATGCTGTGTACACACACACCACACACCCATGTGAGTATCCTAGTTTAGCTTTTATTATTATTTTTTAAACACAGTCTCACTCTGTCACCCAGGTTGGAGTGCACTGGTGCAGTCTTGCTCACTGCAACCTCTGCCTCCCGGGCTCAAGCGACCCTCTCACCCCAGCATCCCAAGTAGCTGAGGCTATAGGTGCATGCCACCATGCCTGGTGAATTTTTGTATTTTTCCTAGAGTCAGGGTTTCGCTATGCTGCCCAGGGTTTCGCTATGTTCGAGGCTGATCTCGAACTACTGGGCACAAGTGATCCACCTGCCTCGGCCTCCCACAGTGCTGGGATTACAGGTGTGAGCCACCACGCCCAGCCTTGTTTAATCTTTCACAAAATACAGGAAGAGTCCTTGAATATCTACTTTCAATTCTAGAAAACTTTTTGAGATAGAGAAATACAAAAATACAAAGCGCTGGGCTACCTGGTCTGACTGGGGTGATGGTGTTGGAGAAATTCAATAACAAATAACAAAATAAAACAGAATACATTAGTCAATAAAAATGATATTTGACAATTTTTTAAATAAAAATTTTTAATAAAAATTTTTAATTTTTTAATAAAAAAATTTTAATAAAAATTTTTAATTTTTTAATAAAAAATTTTAATAAAAATTTTTATTAATAAATTTTTAAAATAAATTTTTTACATAAAAAATTGCTACTTTTTGTGTTAAGTTTTTTTTGAACCAACTGTAGTGTGTTAACACACTTAGAAATTTTATTCAAATAAGCATTTGGGTGTCCCCTCTTTTTACCTGGCTCTCTGGTGGGCAGTGAGGTGGATATGAATCTATACTCCCCACGGAAAACACTCACTATGTACTGGGAACAGCCACAGACAATAAGAAACCTGTGCAAAGTAAGTAATTTACATGCAACACTTAATCCTCAAAACAATTGAGGGAGGCATGATTATCACGCCTGTTTTGCGGATGAGGAAACTGAAACACAAATAGGTTTAGCAAGTAACTTGCTCAAGGTCCCAGAGCTGGGAGGGGGCAGAGGTAGGATAAAATTGTTGTTTGCTCTGACCTCAGCTCTTAGGAGCCTTCACTATGGCACTGAGTCAAGCTGATCATTTATATCCAGTAGAATTTATGGGGCTAGACCCTGTCCTTTAAGATGCAGACTGACATCAGAGTCTGGAAAAGAGTTATTTGCTCAAGTTTATGCTTGGTGTGAAGATGAGAATTTATCTATCCAGGCTCTGGCAGGGCCCAGACTCTGGAAGGACCCAGTCAGGAGGCTTATGCAGCTGCCAAATCAACCCCAAAAAGATGCTCCCTGGAGCCACTCACTTTCTAACTGAAACACACCAGTCCTATTCACAGGTAGATCAGCCAGCAAAGGCTTATTTAAACTCTGCTCTCGACAGCTTTCTCCCACCTTATAAACTCAAAAGGGGACAGGCAGAAAGGGGCTCACAAAAGCCTCTTCTCCCTGCAGCTCTTGTAATAGGCTCATTAAGCACCCGCCTGGGCTTGTTACAAAATACTTTGGAAGCAGCCGGTAAGTAGCTGACTGTTTGTAACAGATAATATCAAATTGGAGAAACATGTAAAAGCACAGACAAAAACAGTAAAATGAGATGTGCTCTAATGATACCAGCCAAATAAGCAGGGAAATAATTAGTCACTCTATGTACATGGTTTGGGATTTGTAGCAGAGCTAATTTTATGTGAGGCCACGTCAACTTTTAGCTTTGGTGTTTTATGTATGGGGTAAATAAAAGATGTTCCATGGAGAATCCTGTATCGTAGGAAACAAAATGATGCTGCTGTCTCATTATGGAAGTCACAGATAGTATTTCTCAAACACTGTTCTTCAGCCTCTCTTAAGGGATGCTGTGGAGTGTTTTGATTATTTATGTTTTTCCTTTCATCAGATATGAATTTATGTTATATAAACGAGTCTAATTTTAAATACAATTATTTATTTATAGTAAAGAGATGATATTCATGTTTTTGATGTTAATGCTAAAAACCAGTTTCTTGATTTACAGTTAATTCTTCCAGCCTGTCATCTTCTATGTGGGACGTTAAAGTGGGTGCTGTATAAACATTTGACTACTGTTGTCTGCCTTCTGAGAAAGTGCACCTCAAAGGGACTTATATTTTGAGGGAGAACTTCTGAATTTGGAGAGAGAATTTGGTTTTTTGCTACCTATGAAATAAGCTTTAGCTTATGTATTAAGTGCTATTACATTCTTTTCACTGAATTTTGCTCAAGAAAAATCTTTTATTCTTCAGAAAACTACATGTACAACCTCTCTGGGAATGAAACATTTCATATGTCTAAAGATATAAAAGACATAAAGAGATAGTTTTGCATACCTCATCAGAGAAGAACCATTGGAGTGTTGATTTTATTGATACAACTTTTGATGTCCTGAATATTTGTTGTTAGACGTAATTTACAGAGGACCTTATTTATTTCCTCGCTATCCTAGTTAGACACATTGATATGTGAATTGTAGTCTTTACTCACCATTGCCACCCCGGATCCCTGCCTAATTATAAAAAATTACTCTTATATAAGTTTGAACGTTACTTCTTGTCTTCTGATTTGGGCTTCATGGGGTACCCAGATTCTAAAATTTGGGAAGAGACAATCGTGTGGAGAGGGAGGCCTGACCCTGAATGAGGGCCCCCAACTTCTAGGCCTTTTCCTGCCTCTGGTGCCACATCTCACCATGGGTACATAACCTAAGCCAGATGTCCCTTGAGTTCTCATCTGTCAGATGAGAGGATTGGAGAAATAATTTCTCTGTTGACTTCCAGCCCTAAATTCTATTTTTATAATGTGATCAATGTAAATTGTACAGACACACAATCTACCATAGGTATCCAGAATGAGCAAACTTACTTCATTAGCTGTATAACTTCTGGAGGGGAAGATGACTTAGTAAAAAATAATCACAAATAATCTTTTTAAAACTATAAGGCATTTTACATCAAGTGATATTGGATGACAGATAGATTTCTTCCTTTAAAAATTGTTATATGAGGTGAGGTACAGTGGCTCACACCTGTAATCCCACTGACTCTACAGGTTGGGGCAGAAGGATTGCTTGAGGCCATGAGTTTGAGACCAGTCTGGGCCACATAGCGAGACCCCAGTCTCTACCAAAAATTTAAAAGTTAGCCATGCATGGTGGTGCATGACTACAGTCCCAGCTACTTAGGAGGCTGAAGGGGGAGGATGGCTTGAGCCAAGGAGGTGGAGGATGTAGTGAGCTATGTTTGTGCTACTGTACTCCAGCCTAGGTGACAGAATAAGACTCCAACTCTCAAAACAGTTATGACATGAAATATCTTTTGTTTGCAATGTAATTTAACTGGACAAAGTACCATGCACATCTGAAGATCTCCTTTCAGACAGTTGAACAATTTTGTCAAGATCAGGCATGTACATATTCTTTGACCCAGTAATTTCACTTGTAGGCATTTTTCCTACAGATATAAACATACATATGTGCAAGATGTCTATTTACGTGTGCACACTGAAACATTGTTTATGACAGCAAAAGATTGGAACAATCTACACGTACATCCAAAGGGAACTGCTTAATAAATCAGGGCACTTACATTTAATAAAATACCATATATTGCTATGGAAATGAGCAGGTCTTTTCCTATAAGAACTGATATGAAAATATCTTCAAAATGGATATTAAGTGAAATAAGCAAAGTGCAGAATGATGTGCAGAGTAGTCCATCATTGATTTTCTTTAAAGTATAAACATGCACATATTACATGTATATGATATCTCTAAAAGTTTACATGAAAATCTGGTAAGCATGACTGCCTGAGGGAAGAGAACTGAGAGTCCAGGGGATAGTGATAGAAAGTTAACTTATTTTTCACCGTGTATCGATTCATACCTTTTAAATTTTGTACCATGTGTATTCACTACTTATTTTTTAAAAAAAGCAATACTAAAAGCAAATATTTAAATGCTTTGTGTGTACCAAGTATTGCTCTAATGCCTACATGTATTAATTCAGCGAATCTTTGCAATAACCACATGATATTAGAACTGTTACTATGACCTGTGTCTAACAGACACATAAAATGAGGCGGGAGAAAGTGAAGCCGGTTGCACAAACTCACACAGACGAGTGGTGAATAATCTATGCAATTCCCTTCCTAAAGCTCTCCTACTAAAGTTTTATTTTATTCGTTTTTTTGAGACAGAGTCTCACTGTGTTGCCCAGGCTGGAGTGCAGTGGTGCTATCTCGGCTTACTGCAGCCCCCACCTCCCAGGTTCAAGCAATTCTGCCTCAGCCTCCCGAGTAGCTGGGACTACAGTCACCATGCCCAGCTGATTTTTGCATTCTTAGTAGAGACGGGGTTTCACTGTGTTGGCCAGGGTGGTCTTGAACTCCTAACCTCAGGTGATCCACCTGCCTCAGCCTCCCAAAGTGCTGGAATTACAGGAGTGAGCCACTGTGCCTGGCTTCCTACTAAAGTTTTAGAAAAACCCTCACAGAAGCCATATATGTCATAAATGCATACACAGACACATACATACAGGCTTGTTCATACATACAGGCTTATTTAGGGCTCCTAACTTTTCATAGGACTATCCTTTCTCAATATAAATGCTTCTCAATTGAATTATAATATAGGGTTTCTCACATTCCAGAGTAGCTTCCTAATTGTACATGGTTCTGCCCAACCTCAAGGCTTAGTGGTGGTTCTTTGGCCCATGTAAGAGCAGCTAAACTCCATGTGGGGATGTGTCTGTTCCTGATATAACTCTTAGTGTTTGGAGATCCTGTTTCTCCTCACGTTGTCAAAAGCTGAACTTTTACTGCCTGCTCAACAATGTAATGCTCACTATCTTTTAAAATGCTGTAGTTCTCATCACTCAAATTCACATACATTTGTCTTTCTTGGACACATTCTTTTCTTTTTTTCTTTTTTCTTTTTTTTTTTAATCCAAGACAGATTCTTTTTTTTTGTCATCCAGGCTGGAGTGCAATGGCATAATCTTGGCTCACTGCAACCTCTGTCTCCCAGGTTTAAGCAATTCTCCTGCCTTAGCCTCTGGAGTAGCTGGGATTACAGGCACGTGTTACCACACCCGGCTAATTTTTTTTTTTTTTTTTTTTTCAGTAGAGATGGGGTTTTGCCATGTTGGCCAGGCAAGTCTTGAGCTCCTGGCCTCAAGTGATCCAACCGCCTCAGCCCCCAAAGTGCTGGGATTATAGTCCTGAGTCACCATGCCCGACCAGACACATTTTTTTCCTAAAACATTATTCCAAATGTACATTAGCCTAAGCACTCAGGAAACTCTATCAACTACCTGCTTTCTCAGGAACAAACAATTTTAGTTTAGTTATAACTACAATGGTAATTAAAAGCAAAATTTCCCCCTAAAATCAGCATTTCATTCTTTCCTCTAACCACCTGTAAAGAGGACATCACATTATTTATTGACACACTGCTTGCACCCTTAATAGATATTCAAAAATTGATATTGTTAACTGATGGATACAGAACTCAGTGCACTTAGCAATGACAAGCAAACTAGTTTCAAATGGAAGAAAGAACAGAGAAGTTGTTTAATGGTTAGGAAAGGTGCATTATCTTTTGTCCTTCACTGTCTGTTATTTAGGAATTAGCTTGACGATATGAGACCCTTTCTCCAGTATGTTTAATTACTTGCCAGCCATTGCTTCAATTTTGAGTTGTCTCTGCTGATCAACTTCTAAGTTCAGAGACTTACTTCAAGCTACTTTCCGTCTGACTGTGCATGGGCGCTGTAGGTCTTAGATTTCTCACATAGTGTGTCTTTTTAGGTGACTTGTAGCCAGTTTGACGTTGTTACAAATAAAACAGTACAGCAAAACCAAAGAACCCTGAAGCCGCTGCCCCTCAGGTATGAGTTCAGGACCTCCCAGAAGGTGGCCATGAGGATTCAGACCTTTGCTAGGGTTGAGAGAAGGGAAGGGAAAGGAGAAAGGTCACACCCATGAGGTTTGCCTTTCTTTCCAGAAATCAACTTTAAGGCTTTGACAGATTACATTCAGTTGGAGCACACTGGCCTGAGAATGTTTTGGTGGGTGGAACAGAAGTTTGTTTGTTTAATAAGCCTTGCAGAGATATATATTTTTTGGAGAAACCTGGAAACTCCAGTTTCATTCTGTTGCTTTCTACTCCCCTTAAAGTATTTCATGAAATGTAGATCTTTTGAAGGGATTTATTCTTTTACCAGGCATGGCATTTGGAAGTTCATAGTATGAGCAGTGAGGTTTTGGATCTCATATCAAAGGGTTTAAAGTTAATGATTTTAAGTATGGCTGGATTTTATTGCTCCTCTGGTGGGCTGAAAACTTCAGCCACTCTTTGACCTCTGCTCAGTCAATTCAATTCCATCTAATGCTCTGTGACTAATATGGTGGATATTTAATCTACTTTGCTGCTGAAATTACTCTTAGAGTCACTTTTTTTTCCTTGAAAAACTTCCTCCTGAGAGAAATTGCTTATCGTAAGCTCTAAATATGTTGCATATTACAGAATACATTTTTTAAAGCTTTTCTTCCAGAGACAATTAAACTTTGTCACTTATTTTGCTATCACATTACCAATAAGACAGGAAAAGTTATATTCTTCTTCCTTTTTTTTTTGACAGCCTTGCTCTGTTGCCCAGGATGGAGTGCAGTGGCATGATCTCGGCTCAGTGCCATCTCTGCCTTCCTGGGTTCAAGTGATTCTTGTGCCTCACATCCTCCCGAGTAGCTGGGATTACAGGTGTGCACTACCACGTCTGGCTAATTTTTGTATTTTCAGTAGAGATGGGTTTTTGCCATGTTGGCCAGGCTGGTCCCCAGCTCCCGGCCTCAAGTGACCCACCCACCTCGGCCTCCCAAAGTGCTGGGATTACGGGCGTGAGCCACTGAGGCTGGCTGAAAAGTAATATTATTCTAGAAGTAAAAGTAGAATCAAGAGAAGAGTGAACTGAAACCTACCTGATCCTGTTATTTATGTAGACATCATAAGTAGCCGTGTCTTAGCCAAATATTTCCTGCAATGTAATTAAATTAGGAGAAAAAAATATCAATGACTGTTAGGGTTATGAGTCTTAAGTAGATTCTTCTACCCACTCCCTTTTTAAGAACACATGTGGCTGCTTTTAAAGGCTCATTTGGAGATAAACGCGGTCTACAGGTTCAACAAGCAGGACAGCGACTGTCTTGCGCACTTGGGAAAGAGTGGTCCCAATACTGCCTGAATGGGTATAGAGACATGACATTGCCCTGAAGATCATAGGAATGAAAGTTAATCTTTTCTTTGTCTCTGATTCGTGGTGCGACTCCAGACAAGCCTTTTAAATCTGTGTTCCTGGGGAGGGGATCTCTATGGTGCCTCCAGAGCTCCCCTTCTATAGTTAACTTAGATGAAGCCGTGGTCACATCTGTACCTGAGCGCTGATTAAGGTCTTTGGGTAGTCACTTACAGCAAGCAGGTTCAGCAGGAGGTGGGCAGAGTGGTACCTTTCCTGGGGCCAACCTTTATTCCTCAGGTACTTAAATATTTGCAGACTCTGCTTTCCACTGTTAATCACATTCAATACAAAGGTCCAATGAAGCCCCCTTCCCAGGGAAATTTGCATTTCGACAGGGATCACAGCCCTACACTGAGGAGTAGTTGGAGAAACTGGAAAAAGCCCTGGAGCTCCAGAGATGAGTTTCCAATCCTGGTTTTACCACCCACTCATTTGGTGCCTTCTGTTTTCTGAAATTCAGTTTCTTTAGCTAATGAGAGGGGTGGATGGTAATCTCTGATCTTCCCTCTAACTGTTAAAACTATGGCCATCTAGAAATACAGACCTCCGTCAGGTAGTGGAGATCAAGACCAGTTGCCTTGTGAAGGCCAGTCCCAGCCCCAAGTTCCCTCCCCAGTGACCATATCTATACATAGTCAAGCATCCCACAGCAGTGGGTGGGGTGGTAAGAAGAAAACTAGATTCAGGTAAGCCACAGGCAATGTTCTATGCCTCAGTTTCTCAAATTAAACAATGAAGATACTACAGTTGACCTTCCATATCTGTGGGTTCCACATCCCCAGATTCAATGGCAGATCGAAAATATCCAAAAAAAGAAACAAAAAATCAAAAAATGATACAAATAAAAATCAATACAGTATAACAATTATTTACACAGTGTTTACACTGTATAAGGTATCATAAGTAATCTAGAGATGATAAAGCATAAGGGGGGGATGTGTGTAGGTTATATGCAAATACTACATTATTTTATATAATGGTCTTGAGAATCTGTGGATTGGTATCCTTGGAGGTCTTAAATCCCATCCCCTGTGGATGGGATCATTTCAGCATCGCAGCTCCTTATCTGTGTATACAGTCGATCAAGTGTCGACTCATCTGATGACTTATCTGACGTCTGAAGAGGAGTAGAGGAGACTTGGTGTCCAACAGAGTCTAGGCTGGGTTCATGACATGATTCATGAGCCAGAACCACATATTCTTCTCTTTAGACAACCTCTTCCAAAAGATCAACAAAAATGAAGTTTATCTGGGAATTGTCAAATCTTTTTCAAATTTAATGTATATATGTATATAAGGTAGTATTCAGTGAATATTTGAGAAATGTACAAATCTTTCATCCATACCTGTGCACGAGCTATATTCTTCACAGCCACAGAGCTCAGGTCCTCACTGGTAAAATTGAGGTAATAATAGGCTTTATCTCATAGGGTTCTTGTGAAGGTTAAATGACAAGAGACAAGTAAAGTGCTGTAGCTTAAATACAACTGCAGTAGCTAAATACAACTGCAAGTTAAATACAGCTGCAAGTAGGTTACCGTAAGATGTTTAAGATAAAAGTTCTTCCAGTCAGTTTTTCTCTTAATGTAAGTGCCTGTTTGACTTTACCTGTTACTTTCGTTCAATAAAGTTTGTGTGTTTCATTTAAAAAAAAATCAGTCAAGCGTCAACTGTATACATAGATAAGGAGTTGTGATGCTGAAATAAACCTAGATAGTGTTCAGCTTAGCAAATACTTGGTATATGTTTATTTCCCTCTGCCTATCTCTCTATTCTCCACTACCACATTTCAGACTTTATTACTTCTACCATTCTCTTCCAAAAGTGTAAGATGGGTATATATAGAAGATTGAACTGCTGGCCCCAATTTTTCACATCCTTCCTATCCATATTCCACTCCCTAAAACCCATATAACTTTGCAGTTTCTCCAACAGAAAGCATATATTTCACACCTGGTTTTGGGTTTGGCCGTGTGACTTAGTTTGGGTTGTTGGCAGATGTGATTCAGACAAGGGCTTGAAGTGAGCCTTCACAGTGGGGCTTGTCTCGTGGGCTTCTACCATTGTCATGAGAAAAACATGTCCTGGCTGACTACAGGTTCCAGTAGGGGGATGAGAGACACAGGACCTGAGATGCCCCATGAGCAAGAAATAAACAGTCACTGTTTTATGCCCTGAGATTTTGAGGGTGTTTGTTCTGCAGCATTATTGTGACAATAGTTGACCAATTGAGTTGCCCTAAGCAAGAGGCAGAGAAATAAAAAAAAATATTAATCTCAGTGTTCACTAATATATATTAAATGTTTACCATAGTATAGTTTTAAGCTACTTCACTTGTTTTAAGCACTGTACTTGTCTGTTGTCATTTAACCTTCACAAGAACCCTGTGAGATAAAGCCTATTATTACCTCAAATTTACCAATGAGGAACTGAGGGAGAGAGAGGTTATGTAACTTGTTCGAAGTCACATAGCAAATGAAAGGCTAAGGAGAGATTTTAACCCAGGTAATCTGGCTGGGTTCAAAACTACCTATTGTCTTATAATATTTTTATCATCATCATCATCAATAATAATAATAACAGTAATAGTAATTGCTATTACCATTTATTGAATGCTTGAGAATAGCGAATTTGCATAGTGTGGTAGGCAGTTTCTAAGAGGGCTCACAGTGATCCCCACCCACTGGTATCCATACTCTTGTATGATCTCCCTTTGAATGTGGGCTAGACCTAGTGATTTGCCTCTAAAAACTAGAATATGGCAAAAGTGATAGAATGTCACTTATGAGATTGGGTTACAAAAGGCTGTAATTTCTGTCTTCCCTCTGGCTATTTTTTTGTTGTTGTTCTGATGAATCTAACTGGCATGGTGTGAGATGCTCTGTGCATGGGCGGATGTGGCAAGGAACTGAGCGAGTGCTCCAGGCATTAGCTCATGAGGAACTAAGGCGCCTGTCTCACAGACTGGGCAGAACTGAATTCTTCCCACAACTGTGGGAATGAGCTAGGAAATAGGGCCTTCCCAAGAGAGCCTTCCGATGATGGTAGCTTCAGCCCATATCTTGATTGCAGCCTTATGAAACCCCCAGAGCCAGAGGACTCAGCTTAACCACACCTGGAGTCCTGACTCACTGAAACGCTAAAAGAAGGAATAAATATTTTAGGCCATTAAATTTCGGAGTGATTTGTTATGCCTCAATCAATAACTAATGCACTGTTACATTCGATTTGTTCCTCATTGCAGTCTTGTGTCTCCATTTTAGAGATAAGGAAATAATTTTGAAGCCAGATCACATGGTATTTGAAATTAGAACACTTAGAGAGCTATGTTTAGAAATTCCCTGGAGTGAGCCCGTGATAGAATCTGAATGCTGACACTAATCCCTGGTGAGGTGCATTGGTGTCATGGGCAAGGGGTGCCCCTGAAGGGCCCAGGCAGGACACAGAGAAGAGTCCCAACAGACTTCCCTGCCACAATATGGCTTCCTCCAATGCGGTCCTGCTCTAGTAATGGAATAAGATTATTAGTTATTTTTCCAATGAAGGTACTATAGATCCCATTTAAAAAATCCCGTATTTGGTCTGAAGTGGCAGCAGCACATTGTATAGATGAAGCTGTTTTATAATCACATTGTAAATTAGTGTGCTGGTCTCCGGAAGGATGCTCAGGACAGGCGGGCGAGCATAGGTAGACCAGGCTCTGCAAATGACCAGCTAGATGTGTGATTTTGGACAAGTTGCAAAGCCTTTCTGAGCTTCATTGTTCTTACCTTTGAAATTGGGGGTAGTCCCTTCCTAAAAGGACTCTTGTCAGAAACAAATAGGATAACAGATGCCTGACTCATCGTGACTGCTCATTATGTGCCAGCTGGGATGAACACGTGTGGATAAGGGTTAGCAGGACGATGCATTAATGATCTGCTCACCCTCCACCCTATATTACAATCATCTCATGAAAAAAAAGAATGAAATTAATTTTTTGTTCTCTCTCTCCTGAGGGCATAGCTTCTGTTTTCAGTGTTTGGGTGGGTATTGGAAATAGATTTTGGGTGTCGCAGACAAAAATTGGAGAACCATCCTACCCAAAAGATGACCCCAATATATAGATTGTGGTTTGGAAGTTGTATTTGTTAAATAGGTTAAAGGCTGTAGCGAGCACCTCAAAGGTTGCAGTGGCTTAACATAAAGCCAAGTTATTCTTCCTCACCTCACAATTCAAATGCAGTCAATAGGGGAGCTCTGCTCTGCTCTGCCAGACTCAGCCTGCTGCTTCTACTTCCTCTCCTTCCTTCTTTCTTCTTCCCTCCTCCCTCCTTCTCCTACTCTTTCCTTCTTCCTTCTTTCTTTCTCTTCCTCCCTCCTCCTCCTTCCTTTTTACTCCTTTTTCCTCCTCCTCTTCCTCTTTCTTCCTTCTTCCTCCCTCCTCCTCCTCTTCCTCTTTCTTCCTTCTTTCTCCCTCCTCCTCCTCCATCACCTCCTCCTCCTTCTCCTTCTCCTTCTCCTTCTCCTTCTCCTTCTCCTTCTCCTTCTCCTTCTTCTTCTTCTTCTTCTTCTTCTTCTTCTTCTTCTTCTTCTTCTTCTTCTTCATCTTCTTTTTCTTCCTCTTCCTCTTCTTCCTTGTTTCTTTTAAGAGACAGGACCTCACTATGTGTCCTAGACTGGACTCAAACTCCTGGAATCACGGACCTGAGCCTTCCGAGCAGTGCAACCACAGATACACACCATTGCACAGGGCTTGGGTTTATTTTATCTTGAATCCCCACCATTTTCTGCCTACCCAGAGACCTTTATATCCAGCCAGTAGATGAAAGAGGGCATGGAAGATTCCACAGGAGGTTTTTATGGACCAAGGCTACATGGGGTGACATGACTCCTGCCCTCATTCTGTCATCTAGAATCTAGTCCCATGGCTCTCACCTAACTGCAAGGGAGTCTGGCAACATGTAGCCTAGCTTTGTGCCCAAAAAGGAAAGGGACACGGTGTAGTGAACACATAGCGCATCTGTCATTGCAAGTATAGACTACAATCAAAAGCACAAATATTTCCGTGAGAGATGCAGGGCCAGTGCAATGCAGAAGGGAGTGAGAAGGACTGTGGAGGACCAGCCTGGAGTCTCCCATTCTAAAAGGGCACTCCCATGTGAGCACATAGGCTGGCTCCCAGATCTTTCCAGTTTTTAATACAATTGGGAATCTAGATGTTTATGTGAAAACTTCTAATTTTAACATGTTAAGTCCATGAAATAAAAAAACATAAAATTGTGCAAGCTGAAAGCATATTTACGTAGGTTTCACTTATAGGTGACCAACTTGTATTTTCTGATCTATACGGACTGAGGGGATGAATATCAAAGAGGGGAAGGCATGGATGCTTGGTGCTTTCAGAGGCAAATGGAAGATGAGGAGTCTTTGATGGCCTTTGGGTTTCCTGAAGAAAAGAGAAGGTTTCCGGGTTCTGAGAGTGTTGGAGACCATCAAGACAGAAGGATATTTGATAGGCACAGGACCTGATGAAGGGTTAGGGCTTAAATACCTGCCTTGGCCTGGAGCTGATGGCCATCCTACTAAGGAGCAGAGGAAGGGAGGGAATGACTGCTAATGGGTATGAATTTATTCTGGGGCTGATGAAAATGTTCTGGACCTAGTTGCAGAACCTTGTGATTCTATTAAAACCGTTAATTTGTACGTTTTGAAAAGCGAGGTGTATGGCATGTAAATTGTATCTCAATTTTTAAAAGTTTGTGGTGAAGATTGTAAATGTTTGGCCATTTGAAAATGCAGCTTTTCAGCAGGGAAGTGTGTAAGGAGACTGTGTCAAAGACTTGGGGGAGTCTGAAAGAACAAAATGACAGTTACAGTTATTTTTCTTCACCCTATGAAGTCTGTAAATCTTATCTCCTTAAGATACTTCAAACTCCCAGGAAAGAAATAAAGCTTGACATGGGTTTATTAGGTGCCTGTGTTGCTTCCACAAGGCCAGATGACACTGCTGCTTTGCCTCCAGAAGTGCTATTCCATGTTTTAGTCATGAAGCCTCAGTTGTTTCATCTGTCAAAGATGCCTATTAATGCTGTGTCTATGTGAGGTCATATATAGCAGAGTATATGAGCTCTGGAGTGGGAAGACATGAATTCAAGTTCTGTTTCTATTATCTGGTAATATTGGTAACGTTATTTAATTATTGTAAGCTTCAGTTTCCCCCTTTAAAATAATACATGAATTATATCCTCCTGCCATCAAATGAGACTGTGTAGTAGTGACAACTCTTGATTGCAAGTGACAGAAATCCAAATCAAATTGGACTGAATGCAAAAGGGAAGTTTTGGCTGACAGAATTAAAATTCCAGAGACAGGTAGTCCTGAGGCATGGCCAGACGCGGGAGCTCAAATTGTAGTGCCAGGGCTCATATTCACTATGTCCATCCCTCGGCCACACTTTCCTCTGAGTTGACTCCACCCACAGGCAGCCTCTGCCTTAGTGGTGGTACACTGGTGCCAACAACCACTGCAGGTTCACATTTTAACTCTTAGCAGCTGCCCCTGGGGAGTGGAGTGGGAAGGGCAGGAAAACACTCCATTTTCTTTTTTTTCTCTTTTTTTTTTATTATACTTTAAGTTTTAGGGTACATGTGCACAAAGTGCAGGTTAGTTACATATATATACATTTGCCATGTTGGTGTGCTGCACCCAGCAACTCGTCATTTACATTACGTATATCTCCTAATGCTATCCCTTCTCCCTCCCCGCAACCCACAACAGGCCCTGGTGTGTGATGTTCCCTTTCCTGTATCGATGTGTTCTCATTGTTCAATTCCCACCTCTGAGTGAGAACATGCGGTGTTTGGTTTTTTGTCCTTGCGATAGTTTGCTGAGAATGATGGTTTCCAGTTTCATCCATGTCCCTGCAAAGGACATGAACTCATCATTTTTTATGGCTGCATAGTATTCCATGGTGTATATGTGCTACATTTTCTTAACCCAGTCTATCATTGTTGGACATTTGGCTTGGTTCCAAGTCTTTGCTATTGTGAATAGTGCTGCAATAAACATACGTGTGCATGTGTCTTTATAGCAGCATGATTTATAATCCTTTGGGTATATACCCAGTAATGGGATTGCTGGGTCATGTGGTATTTCTAGTTCTAGATCCCTGAGGAATTGCCACACTAACTTCCACAATGGTTGAACTAGTTTACAGTCCCACCAACAGTGTAAAAGTGTTCCTATTTCTCCACATCCTCTCCAGCACTTGTTGGGAAAACACTCCATTTTCAAAACCTCAGAACCCCTGGAAAGAAATACATTCTTTTGCCTAGCAAAAGTTTGAACCTAGTGGAAATTACAGGGACTTTTCCTTCCCAAACCAATTATTTTGGCCAAAGGGATGTGACAAGCTACCTGTCTAGGCCCAAGCCATATGCTTTCCTCTCTCAATGAAGTACCAATGAGGGAGGGTGGTTCCCCCATGGAAATTTTGGGTGACATTGGTGAAAAAGAGGTGATAGGGTTTGGCTGTTTCCCACCCAAATCTCATCTTAAATTGTAGCCCCCATAATTCCCCTGTGTTGAGGGAGGGACCCAGACCTAAAGAGAGATAATTGAATATGGGGACAGTTCCCCCATGCCGTTCTTGTAGTGAATAAATCTCACAAGATCAGATGTTTTTACAAGGGGTTTCCCTTTCTGCTTGGCTCTCATATTCTCTCTTGTCTGCCGCTATGTAAGACGTGCCTTTCACCATGACTGTGAGGCCTCCCTAGCCATGTGGAACTGTGAATCCATTAAACCTCTTTTTCCTTATAAATTACCCAGTCTTGGGTATGTCTTTATCAGCAGTGTGAAAATGGACTAATACAAAAAGGATAGGTAACGAGTAGAGGAAAATAGCAGATGGCATTGTACAGAACTGTTTTCAATGTCTTTTGATTATCACCTAAATTTAAAAAAAATACATTTTACAAGAGAACCTGGTACACACATATATATGAATGAGACAATTTCAAGAAAGAAAACCAAGCATACTGCATGTGATTGACTCTGATATTTTCCATTCTCTCCCATTCTTTTCTGTTCTATCCTCTTTTATTTCATTAAATATAAAATTGTTATCCAGTAATTTTATTTTACAACTCACAAATAGGTTTTAACCAGCAGTTTAGAAAACACTTCTTTCCAAGAAACATGGTAAAAGAGCACCATAAAGTAGTAAAGCACTATTCAAATGTTCACATAACAATGTATATTAGTGTTCACATAAGGTCAAGGCCATATTATTTTTACAAAGAGAATATAAGAAGAAGCGAGCATGACTGATTTGAAACTATAAATTGCTGATGCCTCAGTGATTATCCAAGGGCAGGATGTGTGGATTGACGAAAGCATTCTAACTTTGTGTGTCCAATGCTTTGATAATAGGTATAACTCTTAGGCTTAGGGTTCACTTGTAAGTAAAATGGGCCCCAAATAACAATGACTTAAAGAAGATAGGAGTTAATGATTTCTTCCTCACGTTAAAGTATGGAGGCAGGAAGCCTAGCACTAAGGTGAGATACTTTTCCATGAAGTCTTCAGTGATATAGGCTTCTCCTGGCTCACAAGGCTACATGCATAGAATGTGCCCTCGTTCTTTTGATTTAGATTGATGACTAGAGTTTCAGTTATCACAGGTGCAGCTCAGGTGACAGATAAAGGGGTGAAAGGAGAGAGATCATATAGCAGAGGTTGTACCAGCCAACTTTTCAGAAAATTTCCCAGCAGCTGGCAAGTTCCTTTATATCTCCTTGGCCAAGTCTAGCTGCAGGAGAGCCTAGAAAAACTGTCTAGTTTAAAAGCAGAGATTTTATTATTCTGTATGTAAGTTAGCTTTTTCTATGAAACAAGTCACCCCAAAATTCAGTGGTGCAAATAACAATCATCTTATTTAGCACATAGCTCTCTGGGTCAGGGAGGCAATTATTTGCTCTGGCCCAGTGTGCCTGACTTCAGTTGGCCCTGCTCATGGGTCAAGGTCAGCTGGTAGGGCAGCTTCACATACAAGTGTGGTGGTTGGAAGGCTGTTTTTTGGCTTGGCTCACCTCCATATGGGTTCTCATCCTCCAGTGGGCTACCTGGGACTCATTACGCTGTGCTTTCAGGGCTGCAGGTACAGCAAGTCCTCACTTAACATTGTCCTCAATAGGTTACTGTAACTTCAAGCAAAACAATGCATAAGGAAACCAGTTTTACCACAGTGTAGCAATATACCATAGGAACTTCACTTTTGTTTATATCAATTACCGTAGGCTAATGATATAAGGCTATTACTATAGGCTAATTGATATGAAGGAGTTAAGCTCCTATAGCATGTTTCTGGTCACAAAACCACCACCAAACTGCTAGATAGAGACCAAAACAGTTCTAATATTAAACATTAAAATTAATGTGAACTATACAAGCATTTAAGAAAGATTAATAAGTATAAGTAAGTAATTATTTACCCAAGTAAGTTAGTTAGGTAAGTTAATTATTTACCCAATTATTCAAGTTCAGGGTCATGGCACCTCAGGGAGCAAAGTGAGATCCCTCCCCCCACAGAGGATGCCATTCCATCACGACGCACATTCACACACACCCATGCTCACCCAGACTGGGACCATGATGACATACCAATGAACCTAATGTGCACGTCCTTGGGGATGTGGAGGAAACCGGAGTATCTGGAGGAAACTCATGCAGACATGGGGAGAATGTGTAAACTCAACATAGACAGTGGCCCTGGCCAGTAATTGATTTTATTTTCTCATCAGTGTTGTAATGAGATGATGTTGAACAAAATGATGTTATTCAAGAACCTGCTATACAATCTAAAGGGGCAAGCTCCAATGTGTCAAATGTTTTCAAGCCTTTGCTTGAGCCACATTTGTTGATGTTCCATTGGCCGAAAAGGCTAACCCTGATTCAGAGGGTAGAGAAATACACTCTACCTCTGGATGGGAAGGGAATAAATTCATGGACGTTTATTGCAATTTGTTACACAATAGAATAAGAAAAGAACAAACATTTATGGGAGAACTAGCAGTCTCATGTTTCACCATGAGAAATATTACACTACCTCCACCAATGTCTATTGTTCCAAACTAGTTATGACTAACTTCCTGCATTTTATCTTCACCTGAGTGTGCCTCAAGAATCTAAAATTCAACACATTCAAGACGTAGCTTATAATCCATCTCACACACAAAACAAAGCTAAAGAAAACTCATCCTCCTACAGTAGATGACACACCATGACCTTTCCAGTTTGTTACTCAATCCAGATTGTCATCCTTGACAACTCCTTCTCTCTCACTTTCTCATATGCAAACTATAAGCAAATTCTGTTGATTTCAACCTCTAAATATCTCTGGAATCCACTCAAGTATCTTTATCTTTATTGCCATTACCCTAGTCCAAGGGGCCTGGCATCCATTCCTGCCTCCTGCAATCTGTTTTTCATTTTGTGGTACAAGTGATGAAAGTACAAATTTCATCATGTCGCTCTCCAGCTTAAAAGCTTTCATCATTGTCTTCTTATTCTTGGGATAGAGATAAGTAATTGATAAGATCCTGCATGAGCTATTCCCTGCTATCCTCTCTCTCACTTTCTATACGCTTTGCAACATCTGGCTTCAGAGGTAGACAGAATAATGCAGTTTTAAAACAATAAATCATGATGCAAGTCTTGACCAAATGTCCCTTGGACAACCACCATCACTCTCAAAGGATTCGGCCCATGGGCTACAAGCTCACTGTAGAGCCATTTTTTTTTGTGGGCAACTAGGAAAACACATTTCTTAGTCTTTGAAATGTCCTCTTCCTTTGGGCAGGGAAGTAAGGGAGACCCCCTCTGAGAGGTTACGGTACTATGGGAAGGCATTTCAGAGGTCACTGTTTGTGACTGTAAGTAATAGCTATTAAAATTGGTTGATATTTATTGAGCACTTATTTTAAGTACACAGCTTAATTGAAGCCACATGACAATCCCATGTGGTAGGATTCTTGTCATTCTCATTTCTGAAAGGTAGAAATATGAATAATCTGCTCAAGGACACAGGTAATATTAATCAGACCCACATTTCAAATCCAGGAGAGTGTCATTCCAAGTCGAAATTTTTACAGCATGCTCTACTGCCTCTCTTGACTTTTATTACAGGGCTGGGGAACTGGTTCAGTAGAGAGGGGACCAGCTGCATGGGCCAGAGCCTTAGGAGGATGTATGGAAAGGTGAAAGGTGCTTTACCTTGGGAGTTCAAATGGAGTCACTCAAAGAGACTGGTCTGAGCTGAAGGTCAAGAGAGAAATGTCCCTAAAATAGAGATAGGGATGGAAGAGAAAGGGAAAGAGCAAATACTGGGTCAACTTAGATGAGAACTGGCTCAGAGGAGAATGCCAGGGGTCCAGATGGGTAATTTGGTGAAAGGACAGATGTTAAGTTAATAAGGGGCTTTTTTGGGGGATTGTCACACGACTTTGGGGGTTTCCTTCCTTGAAGGCTTGGTGGTTGGATATTGTGAAAACTAATGTTAGGTAAGGTCAGATGTCATTTCCCAGTTCTGATCTTACACAACTTATGTGAGGCAGTCTGTAAAGTCTCTACAGTAGGACTAACCAGCAACTCTGTTTCATTAGGAGTTAATTCTGTTTTATCAGGCGTTAGCTGGGCATGTCCCTTACCTGCTCTAATGGGGAGCAGCACTCCTGATTCTGTCTCTGCAAGGACCCCTTGTTTGAATAGGATGCCAGGAAAATGGGCTGGATTTGTCATTGAGAATACTGCTGTTCCAATCCTTCTCTACCCAAAGGTGTTGGAACCTGAATGAAAGTCTCAGGCCCACTTAACAGCAAATTTGACAGTGACTGGGATAAAATCATTGATGTTTAGCAACTATGGAAAATCATAAACCTGGAGGAACAGGAGATGGTAAACTCAGGAACTAAAGGCAGCCTTAGTCTACAGCAAAGGTGTTAAAACTTGACAAGGATGGGTCCCATGGATAGGAGAGCCAAATGCACAAGAACATGATGGTTGAGATGTGCTGCCTCACATTTTATAAAAATCTCAACATCCTGCAGCTTTGGGATTGTCTTACCTAAAAGGCAGAGATTAATTTAGCCTTTATCATTACTAGATATGGAGCCTCTAAAATGAGCACCATGGGAGACTTTTTGCATCCTAAAGTAATCTGAAAATAGAGAAACTGAATTTTTTTGTTTGTTCTTTAAAGGAGACATCTAGTGTCCCTAAATGTGGGAGAAGGAAAGAGACAAAATGGTGTTGCTCAGGCTGAAATACCAATACTCCCTTTTATACCACTTTTTCATTTCCTTAAGGCTAAACATATCTGATTATTTACAGCCATACCAAAAATCTGTCTATCTAAAATTATGCAGCAATAATACACAATATCAGAATTGAATTGCTGACATCTAAAGAAGGTTTGCACTTGGTAATTCATTGTCACTCTACTTTACGCAGCACAAAGGGCTGTGCCACTAGGAAAACAAAAGCTACATGATTCAAGGGATCTAGGACTAGCCTATATTTGCATAGATGCCATTTTACTTTACCTAATGAACTTGTGAAGCCCAAAAGACCACTTACTTCTTGAGTTCCTGGCTTGTGACTTTGTTCCTCTTTCTTTGTGGAGTCCCCTGTCTGGCTGGTGATTTCTACTGGATATTGGATCATTTGGTTGTTTTGCCTGGGCTGTTGCTCTGTTACTGTTATTCTCTCTGCTAAAGATGATGAGATGTTGTTGCAAAGTGGCTGTTGTTAGTTCCTTCTTAAGTCCTTTATTTAGCATTCTTCAGTATTTAGCATAAAAAATTCTTTAACATTCTTCATTTTCTCATACATCTCTGACAGTAAGAGCTAGGCAGAGCAAGCATTGAGAGGCAACAAATGGTGTATCAGGTGGGATCCTTGGTCACAAGCATAATAAACAAATGCTGGCTAACTTAAGCAGGAAGGGAATGTATTGCAGTGATCTCAGGTAGCTCACAAACCAATGTGATGGTGGCAGAGCCAGGCTTGGGAAATAGGCAGGAACTGAGGCATGAACAATCAGCTCAGCAGGAACAACATGTTTTTGGGCCCTTCTGACTGGACCTTCCACACCACTGGCAGCAAGGGTCAACTACATCCCCATTCCTGCTGCTCCTGCATGAATAATGCCCTACACTCCAGAATCCCAGGTAAGAGCATTGCTTGGCCAAGCTTTGGAAATGCACTCTTCAGTTGCCAGCTGACAGGGAGAGTATACATCTGGCCCCTTTAGCCCCAGAGGTTGGCTGGATGTGCTTCCTGCCAAGGAATCCTGCCCAATGGGGACTGTCCCTGAATACAAAGGAAGTCCCAGAAGGGAGTTTCAGACAGAAGATGGACTTCTCTGCATTGACTTTGGTCTCTCTGTGTCTCACTACCGGATTTGCGACAATCACGATGTGTCTTCTGAAGGCCTTGGAACAGAGGTTGTCCTGGAGTCTGAGAAAGGATGAGACCACAGTTGTGAATGATTGCAGGCACTTCTTGGAAAACTGCTTTGTTTTTTCCAACAAAATCATATTCATGTGTCATTGTATATCAGCATAATGCCACAGGGCCACAATCATGTCCCATTCAACTCAGCCCCCAAAGTCTAAAGATTATAAATGGCATTTATGAGCTACTTGATATGCAATCCTTCATTGATATTTGTATATCCCTAGGGAAGGTTTCTGTTGATGTATTATTGTTGCTATCATGTCTATTTTACGGTATCTATTTATTGCAGGCCACTCAATTCTTTGTAATAATGTAGGATGATAAATGAGTGTGTTAATAACCAACTAGAACCTACCTAGAAGAATAACTAACTAATCATATAGTAAATAATTAAATGAAAAAACAAAACACATGTAAAGATTTAAGTTCTGGACTACCGCCAAGCAGATTAGACCACACCCATTTACGATCTTGTCCATTTTCCAACAATAACGGAGTAGGGGTCAACAGCCATTCTTGCTCATTCTGGGTCTCCTCTTGCCCTAGAATTCAGGTAGGTGGTCTGACTGCCATCACTCTGCCCAGCCCCCGCAATTCTTGCCATGACTGGGTGTACCTTCTCAGTTTAGAGGAGAATGAAATCTGTGTTCTATTACCTATAGTCCAGCCCCTGTGATAGGTAGAATCGCCCCGAAGATTCATGCTCTAATCCCTGAGCCTGTAACTATGCTACACTACATGGCCAAAGGGACTTTGCAGACGTAATTAAGGTTATGGACCTTAAAATAGGAAGATTATCCTGGATTATCTGAATGGGTCCAATTTTGCTACAGGAGTCCTTCAGAGTGGAGAATTTTCTCTAGCTGGAGACAGAGAGATACTGCAGAATGAGAGGTTGAAAAGATGCCAAGTGGAAGACCATTGCTGATTCAGAGACCGAAGGGACCAGCTGAGAACTGCAGGGAGCTGCATTCTGCCAACAACGTGAGTCAGCTTAGAAGCTGGTTTTCAGAGCCTCTGGATAAGAATTCAGCCAGTGGGCATCTTGATTTTTACCTGATAGACCCAGAGCCGAGAAACCAGCTGAGTCCATGTGGACCTCTGGCCTGCAGAACTGTGAGATAATACATGTCTCCTTCTAAGGTGCTAAAATCATAGCATTTTGTTATGGCAGCAATAGAGAAATGAATACGAGGTCGGGTATGGTGGCTAATGCTTGTAATCTTAGCACTCTGTGAGGCCAAGATGGGCAGATCACTTGAGGTCAGGAGTTCGAGACCAGCCTGGCTGACATGGTAAACCTTTTGTAAAAATACAAAAATTAGCCGGGTGTGGTGGCACATGATTGTAGTTCCAGCTGATCGTGAGGCTGAGGCAGGAGAATCACTTGAACCTGGGAGTTGGAGGCTGTAGTGAGCCGAGATGGTGCCCCTGCACTCTAGCCTGAGAGACAGAGTGAGATTCCATCTCAAAACAAACAAACAAACAAAAAATGATTTTTTTTTTCTGACATGGTTTAAAAAGCCCATAAGACTTTGAGGAATAGGAGGTGGTTCTGTGCAACCCCACTCACCGCAGTGGGAGCCAAGTTGAAATGATTCTCAGGGACTCTTTGGGTAGAGGCTGTAGCATCAAGCAAACAAAGAAAGCCTGAGCTGGCCCCTAAGCTAGCTAGAACCTCATTGACTCATCACCATCTGCCTGGACATGTCAAGCTCTCAGCAGTTCATAAGGAAGATAGCAGATGTCTGTTAGCCCATGGACAATGTGCAAATGCATTGCTGAGGTGGGGGTGAAGGCCAGGCCTTGGAAAACAACAGAAGGAAATCGTGGATAAAAATCCCTCTGTATAGATGGTAGTCCCAGTGTGATGAGGCATTTTTTTCCACAAAATTCAAATATACAAGTTTAAAGAAAGGATACATTAAGAAGATGAAAGTGTGAATAGTAATAGTGACCAATGCTGCCTGCTAAGAAGGTTAAGACATTTTCTCAGCAGAGCCTGGGCTGAGTTGCATTTACCTGGCATTAAGGCAGCACCCACCTTCCAGTAAGGACTTCCTGTCTTAAAAGCAGTAACCTGGAGTATCACCTTTATGAAGCACCTGGATTAAAAGAACTTGGAAGTTGAAAAGTTACTCTTTACAAAGCATCAAATGGATTTCCCTTTTTTTTTTTAATAAGGATAATCTATGGGCTACACAGTAGTCATTTCCATTAAATAGCCAGCTTGAAAAAAAAAAGAAAAAAAGAAGGAAAAAGCTTTGAAAACTTTACTTGCAGTATCTTTTCATTCTTTCTTTGATGTATTTGGAGTGAGGAGAATACATTAGTGCCTTTTAGCTTGACAGCAAAGTCTCTCAAATGTAAGTGAATGGAAAAGAACTGACTAGAGTGTTTATTTCATTTTCAGAATTCTAACGTCAAGACTGTTTCCTCAAAAGGCCAAAAAAAAAAAAAGCAGAAACAATGCTGAAGTTTTAAACAATGCATTTACTTCTCAGGAGTAGTCAGCTTCAATTAAATGGATGCCGTCCCACAGGAGATTTTCTTAGGAACAGGTAGAATTGTCAGTCCGTGTACCCTACAGCTCACGGCCAAGGTGATGTCCACATGGGCACCTGGTTGTCATGCTGGAGATAGGCCTCAGAGAGAAGAGAGTGAGACTTGACTCCACAGTCAAGACTGCCTGGTCTCCCATAGCCTGTTCCCCATCTCAGTTGACTGCTAGATATCCACCCCCACTCTTTGCCCTCACCCAGCCCCCTCTCCTTCTACAGAAATGGACATTTTCCTGGCCCATGACCTCCCACTTGAGATGAGATTTCTTATGCTCTTTGATGACTAGATGTACTCTGTCAACAGAAGTAAGAGTTTTGTGTGCCACTTCCAGGTCTTGACCTTAAAGGAGGGAGATGTGCTCCTCCTTTCTGTCTCTCCCCTGCTGTCAGGGTAAGATGTGGACTGTGTTCATAGCAGGGACCGAGCACCTGCCACCCAGATGAAGATGGCATCCCGAGAGAGAGTAGTTCAACAAGATGGAAGGGATCTGAGGCCACAGATGACTTTTGAAGGAAACACTGTCCCACCATCTACACCTGCCATCTTCAGAGCCATGTGGGGAGAAAAACTTCTGTGTTATTTAGTTACTATGGTTTAGCATCTCCTTGTCTTCACAGCTTAGCCATTAGTCTCCCCTACTAACCAGAGACCTTTAGTTGCCTCAATGACTCCTACAGTAGTGCCCTTCCCTAGGTCTATATGACTTTTGCTAAGTCACTCATTTAAAAAAGGTTAAGCTTAAATTATGTTTCAGGCATCCTATTCTGCTCTGGGAATAGTCATGGCATTCAAGACTGGACACATATGTGTTCCATGAGCCATTCTCTTAGGGTTAGCCCTAAACTTGCAAGCCAGCTTTTCTGACAATCCTCTACTAATGTGTGGTTGCTCCTCCTGGGAAAACTGGTGGATCCTAACATTAGCCTTTTAGACCATCTTTACACTGAGAGTTTTTAGGAAAATATGGCAGACCAGGTGGAGAAAGGCTTGGATTCCACTGGGCCCTAATAGTGTTTCTCCAGATTCAGTGTCCAGAGCTATTGTTTCCTGCTCCAGCGTGATTGACATTGTCTTATTCCCTTCCCTACTGGGGTTTCAAAAGAGATACATAGGTTTTGAGGACATCTTAAGATTTTTGGCTGAGTCTCCATCTGTTGACTAATTACAAGCAAAATTTTTGCCTTTTTTTAAAAAAAGCTAGTATTTGACAAAAATAATTTTTAAAAATCATTATAGATAATGACAATGTAAGTGGATGTTTTTCTCAACCTCCTCAGGCCTAGCAAAATTTAGAAATACAATGCAGTGCTTAAAATATATACACATCCTTAAGTTTTATGATGCCTAACTTTTAATACAGCTGTTTCATGATTTTAAAATGGTCTTATATGGTGTGATATATAAATAATGCCTATTTACAATATAAATAAATGTTCTTATACCTAGTTATGAAAGTAGAGTAATCCGTTTTAAGAATTCCTTATATTTAAAAAATTCAGTTTTAGGAAGCGGGGTAGCTACTACCATTCTAACAGCATTCATCATGAGTTATTTTTTTTTTCCCTAGGGAGTTAATGTATTTCAATCTCATTTGGTTTATAAAACTTATTGACAATTCCTGGGAACATACACAGAGACAGACTGTGCTGTTTCTTGACTTTTTGGTCCCCTAGAATTGAGGGTGAAGAATCTTTCTTCTATAAATAATGTCTTAACACCTTGCAGGCACACACACACCCACGCACAATTTTATAGACATGCAGTTTGTTCACACAAAATTCTGCAGGGAAATAAAAGCTTTTCCTACCAAGCTGGTATAAACAGCAACAAATCAGAAGAGGAGCTCTGCAGCCATTGGTGCACCGTCACTTACCCAGTGGGATGGGAACTCACTTAATTATAAGAAGTATGTACATATTAATTTTAAATTTAAATAGAAGAATATATGCTTACAATATATAAACCATTAGTTGATCAATCAACGACTATCTCATTGGGTATTACTAAATGCTAGATACTATTCTAGACAACAGGCTACAGCAGTGAACTAGACTTACCTCAGTCCTAGATCTGTAGGATTTTATTTTCTTATAAACCAATCGTAGGACTCAAGCAATAAGAAAAACAGCAAAAAGAAATTGACCAGTAGTAGAGGATCATGGATGCACAGAAAATATAGTTTCAAGATGGCTTGGTGTGTGTACTTTCCCATCCTGACCATGGAACATCCCCAGATTTTCTGTCTTTGTTCATTTGCCAGTTTCTATTCTTTCTTCTCTGCTCCACTCTCTCCTCAATGTTCCTGCTTCCCACTGATGTAGTAATCCCAAAGAGGACACAGAGGTTAGGACGAACCATTATATGACCGATTGTGGGATACTGGATTTCAGTTCTGTGCTCTTCATGGATAAGCGTCTTGGTTTGGTACCATGAGGGAACATTCAGCGATTTATCGAGCTTGGAGGATGAGAAATCTTACAGATTGTGAATCGACTGGAAGGGTCAGTCTGAACTGGCCAGATGTGTTGGGGCTCAGGAGTAAGATGGAAGATGCCTGAAGAGTGCAAGCAACCCAAACCTGCTCTGGTGTCTGTAAGATAAAGTTCATTTATCCAAGGAAATGAAAGAACGATGTCCTGAAGCTCAACCACTTCAGAAAAATGCCTGGGCGAGGGAATGGCAGCAGAGCAGAACTTTCTGTACAGAGCTCACAGATGCAGCAGGCAGGCAGGAACAACAGGGCTCAAACAGCCCATGAGCCTTGCTCTCTCCTGCCCCCAATTTTAAGCACATAGTCAACTTCATATCTGATGTTAAAATCTTCTACTCATGGGATGAACTTTAATCCAACCTACACTGTGATTTCAAAACAACCTACTCGTTAGGATAAAGATGCATCTGTAAAAGTTGTCAAAAGTAAAACTAACATCAGATGAGTTATTGGGAATTACGGCAAGTCAACAGGTGAGGTTTTACTGATGGAAGTTTCTAGGAAGTGGCAAATAATGTAGAGAAAGAAGAACGGCTGCAGGTATAATCTGAGAGATTTATCTCTGCACTGACTAGGAGAGGAGGTGTTTTTATTTCCATGCAATTGGTGTTTGTTTTTAAGATGAAATTGCTCTTAAAAATAGAGAAGATGGAGCAAGTCAAATGTGAATACCCTCACATTACATGGGTTCTATATTGCCTGTTTGTTTTTCTCATAACTTGTGGCAGAGATTGCTACTTGTCCACTATCTGTTCTCCCCACAGCCCTCCGTGAGGGGCACACACCATCTGGAGTAAAGACTTCATGTTCCAGCCCCTCTTGTGGCTGGATAAGGCCATGTGGTTGAATTTTGGCCAGTGGGACTTAGGGACAGTGTCATATGCAGCTTTTGGAAGTGCCCTTAAAGGGAGGGCTGTACTTTTCTCCTTCTCTTTCCTCCTTCCTCCCGTTGTGATGTAAAGCAGTGGCTGGAACTCCATGTTGATCGAAGCCTCACTCCAGACATTGGGAAGCTGCAAGCTGCAGGGAGTCCCTGATGATTTTGTGAACTGGCTGTACTGGAATGCACACGGCTGAATTTGTGCGTGAGAGAATAAAGCCTTGGGGTTCAAGTCACTCTTAGTCTGGGTTTGCTGTAGCCTGCGACCAAACTTAATCCTCACTAACTCCGAGTATATTCCTGTTTGGACCTCACACCCAGAAGGGTGTCTCCTGGTCTCAGGGACAGAACTCTCTTTCACTATAGGTTAGTTAGTATATTGGGCTGCAGTTTAAAAATCAGCGTCTTAAGTGTTTGGTCAAAGTTGATTAATCCTTCAGGCTCTTACTAATGGACTCATTGATAAAATCGAGTTCTTATATTTAAAATACAGCAAAATATTTGAACTAGAGCCTAAACTTTGGTACTTAGCGAGCTTGTGAAGCTTAACTTGAAATAATTAGGCAGGTCAGACTGTCATTACAATAAAAATAATCCACCTAACATCTGTATATCTAATTATTAAATATCAAACCTTAATACATTTTGATTACCTAAGCATTACAGGTATATTTTAGCAAACTTTAAAAGCACAGAAAAGTACACATCAGAAAAAAAAGAAACACTAACCTTATCCAATACTGTAGAAATTATCCACTATTAACATTTTTGTTTTTTTCAGTTGTATTTATTTATATATTTTATGCATAGTAATTCACATGATAACAAATCATATCAGTCACAGGCATTCCTAATTTGAATATGTATTATGTTCCAAAGTTAGTAAGCTAGTCAGTTGATTTTGGATAAACCCTCCTAGGAAAACAGTATTTTAGGTGGAGATGATGTTCCTGGACTTGGTAATGACAATAACACTCTGAAAATTGGGTGACAGGAATTGAGAAGAGCCTGTTCTACTGTTCTACTTTTCTGAGGATAGGCATCCTTGGGCTAAATTGTGAATAGGCAAAATTGACACTGACATGCCCATTTTATTCCTTTTTGCTCCTTACTTCCCTAGATTTCTGGGTTTAATGGAACCACATGTGCAAAGGACATCTGAGTTTTCATTGCTCAATAACACTTCCATTACTCTTTTTGGAAGGAGAAATGCTCCTTGCACTCATCAATTGTGTGGTTCATGTGGAGGCTGCCAGTTACCTTTCCGTGAGTCTCAGTACCAAGCCTGACAATGGTTCTTTCCAATACCCTGGTCAGAGCACATGGTCTAGGTATGAAAGTTGGGTCAATCAGTGTCCTGCCAATATATATATATATATATATATATATATATCACCTGGTCTTGAACTCCTGGCCTCAAGTGATTCTCCTGCCTTGGCCTCCCAAAGCACTGGGCTTACAGGTGTGAGCCACCACACCCAGCCTGATATTTTTAAAATAGAGCCACTAGGGAAGTCCTTTTCTTTGGTTTCCCCACTGACATAATCGAAGTCCTCAGCAGCCTTCTCCCCCTGGATTCATGGTGATAATCCCAAACTTTTCTTCTATCTCAGTAATTTGATTTTCAGCAACATCAAATGTATTTATTAGCTATATAACAGTGACATTCGTGTCTTCATTTTTTTTTTCAAGGACCACACTTTGCCTTTTCATTTGATCCTGTGGTTTCGTCATTGTATTGTTGATCATTTATTTTTACTAAATCAATGACCTTCCTGTTTTCCTATAGTATAGAAGACCCAGGAAATTTTCCTTTCTGTTCTTTGCACTATTGGCCTATTTTTTTCCTCTAGACCTCATGCTCTTTGCTGTGTGACTTTGTAGTTTTTCTCTCTAAAGAGGCAGTTTTTCTCTCTTTTGCCCTGCCCTTTGACTGTGGGTTTGGCCAGGGCTATGCTTTGGTAAATAAAATAATGCAGAGATGATGGTGCACCAGGTTAAGGGCTGCCTTAAGAGGCCTTGCATATTTTCATTTGCCTTCTAGCACCTCTGCCATAATCATGGGAAAAACATCTCTGGGCTAGCCCACAGATTTCAGGAGGAGGCTGAGAAATGTGGAAAGCAGAGACATCCTAGTTGAGCCCATCCTACATCAGCTGACCCCTAGACAAACCACAGATGTGTGAAAAATAATAAATGTTGCTTAAAGCCACTGAGTTCTATTTTGGTGTGCACTGTAGCAATAGTTAACAAATACAGTATGCAAAGTCCCTCTGTTTCCCTAATTTTTTAATTTATTTTTAAATTGAAAATTGTAGATACGTGTGGTGTTGAACATGTTTTGATATATGTATACATGGTGAAATGGCTACATCAAGGGAATTAACATATCCATTGCCTCACATACTTATCATTTTTTTTGTGTGTGTGGTGAGAACACTTAAAATCTACTTTCCTGGCAATTTTTGAGTATAAAATGCATCATTATTAACTAGAATCACCATATTGTACAACAGCTAGGTTGTACATCTGGTTGGTTTATTCTTTCTTTCTTTTCTTTCTTTTTTTTTTTTTATGATAGCCATTTTGGCTGGTATGAGATGGTTTCTCATTATGGTTTCTCATATGGCATTTCTCTGGTGATTAGTGATGCTGAGCATTTTTTCATACGCTTGTTGGTCCCTTATGTGTCTTCTTTTGAGAAGTGTCTGTTCATGTCCTTTGCCTGCTTTTTAATGGGGTTGTTTGGTTTTTGTTTGTTGAATTGTTTAAGTTCCTTATAGATTCTGGATATTAGTCATTTGTTGGATGTGTAGTTTGTGAATACTGTATTTCATTTTCTATTGCTGCATAATAAGTTATTACAAAACTTAGGGGCTTAAAACAACAATTATTTTTCATGATTATATAAATTGACCAGGCATGTCTTCTTTGCATGGTGTCACCTGGGAGGTGAGGTGGCTGAAAGGTCCAAAATGGCCTAATTCACCTGGCTGGCAGTAAGTGCTACCAGGGAGCTCTCCTGGCGGAAGCTGACTGAGACCATCCTTCTCTAGGCATAGAAATAGGCTACTTGGGCTTCCTCACAGCATGGTAGTATAAGGGCAGATAGATATCTTACATGGCAGCTGGCTTCTAAGAGTGAAAAAGCAGACACGTACAGAATGTATCAAGCATTTGATTATGAGACCTGACTTCAGACAGCATTACTTATGCCACATTTTATTGGTTAAAGTAGCTCACAGGGCCCAGACCAGTTTTAAAGGAAGGCATGAATATTGGGAGTTGGGTTCTATTGGGGTGGGTCACTGAAATGAATATATACAAGTGTCTGTATGTATATCTACATCGGCACCTCTGTCATATCTGTCGATTTCTCTATATCTGTATCTCCATACACTTCACACACTTAAATGTAGTCTTTATTTTTTAAGACAAGCCTATTCAATTTGCTCAATATTTGAGACTTGATATTATCTGAGAATGAAGAATTGAAGTATGAACAGATCACAGCATTTCAGAGGAAAAGAAGAAGTTAGAGATCTTCTAGTTAAACTTCATTATTTTCAGATGAGAGAACTACTTTGTTACTCAGCACTATCTCCATTAGGCCAAATGGCATTTACTCTCTTTTTTTTTTTTTTTTTGACAATACTAGGCAATTATTTTACATTTATTCAGTTGTTCCAACATCATAGGAATTGAACAGTAAATGACTGTAATGCCCCAGTCAAGTAGCACATTCACAATCTGATCACTTTTTTGGGATTTTGCTAATTATCTTACATCTAAATTGGAGTTACTACAAATGAAACTCTGATTTTAGAGGCAAACAATCAGGATAAACTTGATGTCTTTGGGAGTTTTCTGAGAAAATAGAAAACAGTGCATATCAACCATAAGTGGGAGAGATAATTCTCCATTGAGAGATGATTTTGCTTAACTGAGCAAGAAAAAAATGCATATTTTTAAAAATCCCCAATGACTTAATTCACTAAGAAATTTTGGTTTCATTTACAATGTTGGATGTGAATACAAATGTTGTTTTGTAGGAAAGTTGATCTTTAGACTACTTATTTAATTTATATTAGTCCATTTCAACCTGTATTCTATTTAGTGATCCCAATGTGCTAGATAGCCTACAGAGATAAAGAAAAAAAGGTATTTATGTCCAACAGTAGGGGAGTTAAATTAATTATGGAACATCCACATGATTTACCATGCAGATATTACAACATGTATTCTTGGAGAATAATGCCACAAAGAAATGTTCAGGATAAATATGTAAGTTAAAAAAAAAAAAGAGTGCTAAGGGCACTCTTATGTGTGATGTGGACAGATGCAAAGTGTATTCCAATGCTTGGAAAAGCAGCATTTGTGAATAGCAAAAAACAAAAGGAGGCAAACCAAAATGTTAATAGAGTGAATTATTTCTGGTTCCTAGGCCTGGTGTAATTTTTTTTCTTTATTTTTCAAATTTTCTACAATCAACAGCTATTACTTGTCAATATGGAAAAGAAATAAAAAGTTATTTAAATGTATAGAAAACTACTCATCTGTCTGTCTGTCTATCTGTCTATCTAGCTCTCAATCTATATTTGTGTGCCTTGTCTGTTTTGCTGTTTGTTTATTTCTTCACAACTCTTCATCCTCCTATGTTTGCAAGTGTTCCTAAAAGGCAGAAGTAATTCCATAAACATGTTATGTTTCCAAAGAAACATATTATAAGCCACAAAAATTCTAGGACAATGCATTTCATTAAAATTACCCTGAAAGACCAAAAAACAGGCACATCTGAGCCTAGGGGTAGCCTGTCCACAATGAGGGCATGGGCGTCTACAGAACACCTGATCCTGACCCTTGCCTATTGCATCCATATCATCATAGCATAATGCCATTTGATCACAAGCCATCTTTGATCAATGTTTAATGATCAGAGTTTATGTAGCAATCAAAGGCATCATGAAACAGCAGATATTTATAGCTTATGGCCAATTGAGGATCTGCAAAACAGCCGTTTCCACGGTGTGATACAGTTCAATTGACGCCATTGGCATTCCACAGCACACAGAAACATATCAAAGACATTTGTTATGCTTTGAGCATGAAAGCGAAGTAAAACACAGATAATTTGAGAAACTAGAAAACTTATCAGGGATGGGATCCACGAGCTGCCTGTCAGTTGGCAGACACAGTGCCACCGAGTGCTTGGCAGGACAGTGCATGCATGCAAATGTGGGCTGTGCATGGCGACAGCAGGTTTTCCTCCAACTGGAGGATGTTGCTATTCAAGGGGGCTGATGAATGAAACCAGAATTGCATCAACTGCAGTGGAAAGGCGGACAGGAGCACGAGACAGCTGCGCGGGTGACCGCTTTACAACTAGAAGCTATCAATCAGAAGGCGTGAAAGGCCCAAATCCAGGGAAACCAGGATCCCACCCCCTTGATACCAATCCTAATAGAGTGCCAGTCACCGATGCAAATATGGGGCCGAGAAGCATGCTGATAGTCCCTGCCTTTCCTGCAGAATTAACTCAGCAAAAATTGCTCCTTGTTTTCATTTATAGACAATGCCCACGTCTTGTCTGAGAATATTTTTATATAACCAAGGCTGTTGCCATCCTATCTTGGAGTTGTTTGTCCTGTTTGGGACATTTTTTTTCAGGTGCTAGAGCATTGATGGTTCTGGACTTCTCTCATAAGCTACTGAGCTCAGGGTATCCATGGGGAAGGAGTTGAGTCTTTGGGGTCTGAGCCTGTTTCTGAGGGAATATTGTACAGAGGTTAAGAACATGGTTTCTAGAACCAAATGATCTGAATTCATATCCCAGTCCATCACTCATGGTCTGTGACTTGAATTTTCTCATCTGTAAAATGGGTTAATAGCCACTTCCAAAGATTGACCTGTAGAGCAGCACTGCCCAGTAGAAATATTATTTGAACTACATATATAATTTCTCATAGCAACATTTAAAAAGTAAAAAAAAATTAAATAATATTTTAGATAGACCAATAAGTCCAAAATAAATTAAATATATAATAAATATTAAGACATTATTAATCAAATTTGGGGCTTTTCTATACTAAGTCTTCAAAAACCAGAGAGCAGTTTACACTTATGGCACAAGTCAATTCAGAGTAGCCACATTTCAAGTGCTTAGTAGCCATGTGAAGGGAGTAGCTACGTATTGAAAACCTCGAATCTCTAGGCCATGAGAAGCATAGATTTATGAGTAGCCTTGAATTTTTGGAAATAAACTATTTTAAATCTTCCACAGATTTAACTAATCATATATCTCTGAGGTCTAAGGCTGAGAAGGCAAAGATTTTCCTCTGCCAGAAAAAAAAATCAGAGAAAAAAGAAAAGCATAAAACAAGCACTCTGATGTTTATAATTTCTAAAATTCTAACCATCTCAATCACAACTATCTGTGTGAGATAATAGGCCAATTATTTTTAGAGCTCTTTAAAGTAATTTAGTAGACAAATATATATGTGGATATACAACTGGGATACACAAAAAGTTGGCTTAAGCCACAGATAAATTATTAATCAATAAGGAATGTTAAATTCTGAGACCCAAGTGGACTCATCAGAAGGAACCACCTCCTTACCTCAGAATGACTCTTGTATTCTCCATCATTAGTAACATTAATAACATTAAAAATAAATACATGTGTCCTAGAACATTAATAATGATAATCTTGTCATCTTTGAAAATTTCGAGATCCAGTTACTTTGCACAGTAGGATGCAGATATTACACAGAAAATAATTAACTTATTAATTATGTATTTGATAGAGCATTGCCTATCATTATTATATTGTCATTGTTGATGTTCTGTTGTTGAATATTGCTTTGCAGCTTTTGCTTTAGAGAGACTTTATGAGAAATAAAATCTTGTGTGATTTTCATATTTACTCTATTAAGCAACTTAAGCATTCTGGGACATTAATGCGTGATATAGCAGATGGAAACTATCAGATTTGGCAACAAGGAAATATATTAACCTGGCTTTGCTGTGGGCCTCCACTCATTAATCTGAAATGTTGCTCATGGAGCATGTGTCCTTGAGTCAAATGGACGCCTGGATGGAAAATATGTGGAACATCCATTTTAGGCATGCACTCGGTTAAGTTAATCATTGATAAACATTTGCATGAAGGTAGAAGGTACTGAAGACGCAGGTTTCACATATCTCTCTCATATTCACTTATTTCTGCCATTACAAATTCCTCTGTCTTCGAAGCTGTTATAACCAAAGGGAAAATCGTAGCAGACAATATCATGGAAGATATGGGTCGGTTCAATAAAGATAATATCCTGATATCTAGTTCCCCACTTCTACTCTAGTAAAAGGCAAAGCAGGCTTGTTATGATGTAAAGATTAGACATCAGAAATACTGGAAGGAAGCAGAGTGACCGTGGTGGTAGGGAAGAAAGTTCAGTCTGTCTCCACCACCAATATCTCCTGTGTCCTGGCGGGGGAAAGAAAGGGTGAAATTTTGTTTTGTTACTTGCTGTGTTCCCAGAGCCTTAAAAAAATGACAATCATATCAATGGCTTCCAATAAATATTTTCTGAATGAATGAATACATGAATAAATGGGACAATTCTTGAGGAAAGACTCAAACTCGTGTAGGGGAAAGCACTTGGACTTCAGATTAGAGATGCTCAGGTTTAAATGTCTGTTGTTTTCTACTTGTGCAACAGTACCCATCACTGTCTTTGAACCTCAGTTTTCTTATCTATACAATGGAAATCATAACTGTCATACAAAGGAAGAGCTCTTTTAAAGTTTCAGTATTTGTAGTTATAATCTCATTTAGAAAGTCAACCCATTTAATTATCTGAAGGTACATTACACAATTGGATAATTGGGAAATTTTGGAAGCCGTGTGAGAATTAAAGGAGATAACATAACCAAGACTTTGGCACAAGGTGTTTCTCAAAATTGGTTTTAATTTCCAGGTGTTACAGTTGGAGGAATTTATTTTGTTAATATAATTTTTATGTTTTCTACATTATAGGTAATCAATATGTGCTCATCAAATAAATATTTATTTCAATCAAGGAAGCCTGGAAATATCTTTTCAAACAAGATAACTGGCAAAAGATTCATACATCGGCAGCATTTGATCCTCAAAAAATATTTTCTCTATGTTTAGTCATCTAGGATTTCGTTCATTTTTCTGTTTACCCCTAAGTCTATACCTCCAATTTTCTTCTTTTTTATATTTGACTATTGTGGAACTTTTTTTTCTTTTAAAAAGAAAAAAAAATCCAGCAAAGTAGTTAAGATTCAAATTAATTTCACTTAATTTTCATATCAGATATGTTCATGGAGATGATGTAGTTAGAAATATTTGTAATTATATTTGGGTTTAAATTTTGGGCCCTCTTTTTTTTCTGAATTTCAAGTACTTGAACATTTTCAATAAACCCTGAAACGATGTTACACAATTTCTGAAAACATAAAGCCTTCTAAAAACAATCAATTCATTTCAACAATTTAGACAACTGGTCGTTCTTTGGAAACAAATCTTTGACTCCATTGGCCTGTCTAATGGGTCTCTTTCTAAAATGCCTGTTTAGCAAACGGGAGAGAAATTTACGGGGAGTTAGGGCTTCTCCTATTCAGTTTCAGTCTCTGTTAAGATAGGCAAAGGCACTGACCTGAGTCTTTTTGTGTGAAATCCCTGAGTCTGAACCAGGGACTAAGAGAGCTGGTTTTGATTAACCTATATGGCGAGTCCAATGTAAATGCTATTAAAAACTCATTGAATGGCATAGGAACTGATTACTTACCCAGGGAGTTCTAAGTAAATCGAAGCAAATTGCCTGAGATTTAATTTAACAAACATTTACTAAGCATCTGCTCTGCTCACAGCACTGTGCTTAGAGTGATGGGAGATGCAAAGATAAAACAGACGCAGGCTGCCCTCCAGGAGCTCGTGCTCTGATCTGTCTGACATCCCCAGGACCAGCATGCATCCTCAGTTGTAGCTTGAGAATATTTTACCCCCAGGTCAAAACCTGAGGCCAACTGATCTTGTTTCATGACATACAGCTAGAGAACCGCTGACCTGCTTAGACAACTGTAATAAATGCCAGGGTGTCAGGTGCTGGAAGGAGCACATGGGAGAGAAAGAGTTACCCCATTCTCACTGGGAGCACCAGGAGGGATTTCGTAGAGGACACAGGCCTTAAAAGAACACTGGGTATTCAACAGGCAGATACTAGAAAGGTTTTCCAGGCAAGCGAGGAGTGGCTTGAATGATATTTTGAAAAATAGCAGTAATGAAGTACTTACTCTGTGCCAGGCATTGTTCTTAGCCCTTTATAGGCACTAACCCACTTTTTCTCACAATTCTGTGTATAGGTAGGGATACTTAGCCCCAGTTTACAGTTGAGGAAAGTGAGGTACCAAGAGGTTAAGTAACTTTCCCATGGTCACCCAGCTAGGAAATGGGGAATGAGGATGCCAGTCTGTTTTTGTTTTTTTGAGACGGAGTCTCACTCTGTCACCCAGGTTGGAGCGCAGTTGTATGATCTTGGTTCACTGCAACCTTCTCCTTCCAGGTTCAAGCTATTCTCCTGCCTCAGCCTCCCAAGTAGCTGGGATTACAGGCGCATGCCACCGCACCTGGCTAATTTTTGTATTTTTAGTAGAGACAGGGTTTCACCATGTTGGCCAGGCTGATCTCGAACTGCTGACCTCAGATGATCTGCCCACCTCAACCTCCCAAAGTACTGGGATTACAGGCATGAGCCACCGTGCCCAGCCTCAGTTTGTTCTTTATCATGTTACTGTGCTGTCCTTCCAAACCTTGAGATAGGAAAATTCAAAATGTGTTCAAGTTTCTGCACATATATTGGTAGGTTGGATGATAGCTTCATGGAGGTGTATAAGCCACATGGTTTGCCAAGTAGATAGAAGGTAGATGTGAAGGTATTCTGTATGAAATGGGAACCATGAGAAGTATGTATCATTGGTTGAATATGGATTATAGTAGGGGAAAATATATTAGGAAGAGGGGGGCAATTATTAATCTCTTGCAATAATCCAGGTGACAGATGGGTAAAGGAACGATACAGACTCACGGCAGTGAGGACAGAAAAGGTGGACTAGGAAAGAAACTTTGAGAAGACAGAGTGTTAACACTAACCTCAGCAAGCTCATCTTGCCCCCACAACATGTTCTTGCACTTGCTCTCTAGAGGAGAGTAGAACCTGTTGTTGATGCAATGTGTGTGCCAAATCACCAGCTTCATGCTCTGAGGCTCAGGCAAAATGCTCGGCGTAAGACTTGGTCCTTTGTAGCATAGTCTCAAGCAAGTTCCAGATCACTTCTGTAAACAGCACTGAGCACACACCCCTGCTAATGCCCTGGTCCCAGGGTACCAGTTGACTACTTGAGAGTCTGACACTTTTTGGGTACTTCTGAGTTACAGCCAGTGGCTTATGGAGAAAAAGGGGGAGAGGAAAAAAGGTTGCATCTAGTCCTTTAAAATTTTGGATTTTGTGGTGCCTAAAGCTCTAGTTATTCTAAGATTCCAAACTTTTCCAAATCTTGTGCTTAGATCGGTAGCCAATCTGTAGAAATGTAAAGCACATTTCTTCCCATGTCATTTATTCAAAGTGTCTTTCCTTAAATGTAAAATAGATTGTCTAATGATAGCACATCCTGTTTTCACTTCGTTTAATCTTAAAAATGGCAAATAACACTTTTAAGAAATCAAACATGAGAGTATATTTTAACTGCCACCCAGTTGAAGGGAGGTTTTAGGCCTGCATAATTAAGCAGGAGTTCTGCTATGATTACTTAAAACAGAAACTTATTTGGATACATTTGAATATTGTTGTCATTCCAGCAAGACTTTACAAAAATATTTTTGAAGCAGTGGCTATTTGAAGCTACCACTGGGAGAGAAATAGAAAGGCCATGGAGAAGAAACTAGCATTACAGATGCTAGAATCGCAAAGTCTCCCACATGGTTTCATAAAGGCAGAACTGCTGTCACAGATCCTGAATTATTCAGACCTGTGCTTTGGAGTAACAAGGCTTCAGTATGCCGAAGATGTTGTTTAAGGCTTCTGGGGTCACTGCAGATATTAAAAATTGGTACCAAGGCTCTAGACTGCTAATCAGACTATGGCAGAAGGACTCAGACACACTGCAGAATTCCTAATAATTCAAATAAGATCTGGTCAATGGCATTTTTTTTAAAATACAGAATCAACACATCCACATCTAATTAGTGATACATTTGTAGGAAAAATTCTCTAGTGTCTATCTCAAGTTACGGTAAGCCACGAGGAAACAGAGCTTTGGTATGCAAGAAAAAGCATTCTAATGGCTAGCCTGATGTAAAGTAACCCCTACAGTGAAGTTATAATTACAATTTTGTCAAGAGAGTAGGGAAGTCAAAGTTTCACAGGGAAAAAACCTATTTACAGAAAAATATTATGCTTTTCATTTGATAGAAAAGTAATTATTGCAAAGGGACTCCTGGAAGATCTTGGAGACAGTCACCCCCTCTTTAATAAGTCCTTGTGGCAGCTAAGTGGGGATCAGGAGTATTCTTTATCAGGTTTGCATTCAAGTAGCACTAAATCTATGCAGGTAGGAATTAAATAGTATCTGAGTTTAATTAAAATTATAAAAAAGGAGAAGAATGGTTGGTAGACTGCTCGACTGCATTTTAACCAGTAACCTCAGACCCTAATTAGAAATGCTTTTCATATCTTCTCTGTGCAAGGGCTTAATCTGACGTGAGTCTGTGAGCGAGGGCTTGGGGACCGGTGTTAATTCTGCATTCGATCTCAGTTTGTATGGAGGCGGGCGGCGCTGATTGACCGCACCGAAGCACAGATCCCATGACCTTGCAGGGATTTTCATGTGAGGTGTTAATTGAGAGGGTGGGTTAATCTTTGAGCATCATTGTCCCCAAGCTCTGGGCAAAGTTTGTGCTTCGTTTCCTTACTCAACAGTACATTTGATCTCTACCTTGTCCCTCCATGACAGTTTCATAAGCCCACCACAAACTCTCTCTTGATAAATTTGTTGGGGGAAGATAAGCTCTTGCCCTCTTGTTTGATTTCATGAGCTTGTTTTTGTGCCCAGCTCAAAAGGGAGAGGAGTGTCTCACCGAATTATATTCAAGTCCTACTTAGAGACAGATAAATGCACATACAGTAAAGATCTCAGCTTCTCCTTCTTGCTCCTTTTCCTGCTACGGCCCCTCCCTTTCTTTGCGTGGTTCAGTCTCTCAGGGAAAAAAAGACATGACTTATCTGTCGGGAGAGGCAGAGCATCAAACACTAGAAGCAAATGGGTGACAAATTTAAAGGAAAGATATCAATGGTATTCCATTTGAGTGCTGTGAAAATGTTATTGTTTATTCCTCTTTTGGGGAAAGCCTAAAATAATGAGAAAAGCAATGAGATATAGGGGATAGTATTTCTGTAATAAACACACACACATACACACACACTCTGCAGTGTTCATATAGCACTTGTGTAATGGGCAAAAAGGCAGCCTATTCCTTTTGCTTTTTAAAAATAAATAATGAATGACTTTTTCATGTGTTATTGTATAGGCCTGTCTTTTCTATCGTGAGGAGTAAATTTTTACTGGAGGCAGGATTAATGTATACTGGCTGACCTTAAAAATGACTCCCAAGTGAGCAGGAAGGTAGTTAAAAGAAGCAGAAGTAATGGTATTCACACAGGAAACACAGAAAACGACAATGATTAAAAAAAAGATTATGAAAGAAGCACAAACGTTAGCTGTCCTTGACATGCAATGCGTTTCTCCGATGTGTTTCATTACAGCAGCTGTAGATGAGTTTAATTACAATGCTTCAAGACCCTTTTTGGCGCCATTGCTGAAACGCAGAGAGAACTCAGTGGGACTGTGGACAGCCACAGCCCCTGCCCGCCTGAGGGGCTGAGGGAAGAGGCGGGGGCTTGTCACACAATGGGTCACTGTGCCCTGCCAGTGGCAGACTTCCTCTATCGCCTTCTCTGCCTTGGCGAGGCAGGGGTACCGAAAGAGGCAGAGGTGTCAGGCTGCTGGTGCAGAGAAGTTGTCAGTTTCCCTGGACACCACCAGAATAAGATGCAGCCACTGCTCCAGTGTGAACGAGTGGCCTCCCCACCAGCTCCTGCCTGCACTGTGCCCCCTTTTCCAGCCTGGCTTTTAATTATTTCGAATAGTCTATTTAATTAATATGAAACAAAAATTCTGTTATTCGAATTGAGTTTATTTCAAAGATATTGATAAAGTAATATTCCTCCTCATCCTTGTGTTAATAAGTTAATGGTTTTAACATTTAAAGACGTCTCATGGTTCTGATAATAAAACTAACCTTTGGCCAACACAGTTACAGAGTCTTTCGCACACACTGACTGACTTAATACACTGACATCTAATCACTTGCTGAACGAATCCCTGGATATTCAGATTCCTCCAAATCACACAGTTTTAGTGGCTGGAGAAACAGAAACTATTTCTAATTTGCCAAACACATCATAAAATTATTTGTGTACTTGTGTTGTGTGAGAAAAGTTATTTATTAAAAACCTGTTGTTTCTTCAAAAGCATTATCCTTTTCCTGTATTAGATTTTTGACTCCTTTGCAAATGAAGAACTTGGATGTAATATGCATAGATATATGCCTAATTCCAGCCATGGTTAAAAGCAGCAGGCTCATTTCAAGACGCTTTTATTTCATCCATTTGTCATGCATTTGCCTTAAAAGAAACCAAAATCCTATAGTTTCATTAGTGTTGCAATCAGCTTCCTTATCTTGAGGCCTAGGGTCGGGGGTAATGCCACAGGGAAAATCAGTCTTAAAAAAGCAATCTTTTCCATCACTGGCTCTAAGCACAAGAAGGCTGCTATGGCACCCCAATATCCAATACCTGGTCACGGTTTCTGCTGCTTCATTCTGAGCCCAGATTTCAAATTAAAGTTTGACTTTGGCTTCTCAAAGGAAAAGGTTTCAGGAGCCGGGTAAACAGCCTCAGCCTGCACCAAGGGGATTAAGAGGTAGGGCCAAGAGTGGAGGGAAATTGAGGATATGACAGAGGCCACAGTGAGTTCAAACAAAATTTGGCCTACAGAATGCAGGAAAAATCCCCTGGTGACAGGTGCCATCTTGTGGGTCATTCTGCCACTCTGCCTCCTGCCACTTTTTATAACAAGAACAGATAAAGGAGAACTGGATGCTTAGAGTCTTAGAATTGGAAAAGTAATTCAAGAAGATGTGAGTGGAGTTGGCTCTAGGCTTTTCACGATACTGTAAGCATCAGTATTTTGCTTTCCAGCTTTGAGTGCTATTAAGAAATTTAAACGAGTGTATAGAGGGAGAAAAAAATAAATGTGTAACAAAAAAATGTCTATTTGAAGTACAGGATGTAATCATTTCTAAACATCTGAAAATGTTTGCTTCTTGAGAGACATGTACAAAGTAAGTTCTTGCTTGGGCAAGACCCAGACCCCAAAACTACTCCAATTAAAATTTGTCAATCTTAAGGAATGTGTTTCTAACATCTGTAAGCATTTTGAGCTCAGGCAGATATTCTGGTCAGCAAATTTCTTCAAGATAATTACCTTTGAACTGTCTCCCATGTAATTCACAGGTCCACCAATATAAGATCTTATCCCTTTCTCTTGAATTGGATGGTCTAACAAAGAAAAACAGAAATACACTAAGTAGCTAAGAAGTTGGCACTAACAGTAGAGGTTACGGTTCATTTTTACAAAACTCATGGGGTTTTCACACTTTGCCAGGAGATCACGCTCTTTAAACATGCAGGAGGAGACATATTTCTTTGGAAGATGGGGGTGGATGCAGCACTCCAGTGCCAGCCTCAATGTCTATGGTGCAAATGTAAAAATGAACAATTTTTCACCATAGACACTGGTCCTGGCACTGGAATGCTTTGTAACAACATATTTCCCTCCTAAGAAAATTACTTAAAACTAGGACCCCCAGTCTCCATGTTGTATCGGTCAATGCAATTTTATAATATATAATACAACGTTGTCTTTACACATTCACATATAATATATCTCATTATTTTATAGACAATTGCATTTGGACTGCAAATTTCATTGCCAAGTCCTTAAATATCCAGTAGGGTCTATGTTTCTTGTTTCTTGGGTTTCAAAGGATAATTAACTTAATAATGAGCTGCTGTGAGCCTTTATATTAGCTTAGTTGAGAGCCAAATTGCTAAGTATCTGTGGGGTTGGAATCATAGGTCTAGCCTTCCATTTGGTTAGTTCCAGGCCTTTATCGGATTGAGGGATACACTGGGACTTACGTGGCAATTCCTGACAATGGGATTATGTTGAATCATTTTATGCTCCTCACCGAAACATTTTGGTACTTTTCTGGAACCCCACATTTTCTGCTGTGTGTAATTTTTGAAAGAGAACGTGAGTATTGCCTTCACATTCTTCATGGGAAACTTTTTGACATTTTAAAAAGAGACCACGAGAAGTTTATTAAAGGGTCATAAAAACAGGTTACTATTGAAGATGGTCCTTTCTTTGCATCTTGGTCTTGCCAGTTTCATCTACCTACCCATGAGAGGAATATTCAACAGAGCTAGAGAGACTGCGTGTTCCATTATGAACCAGCTTTGTGATCCCAGCCCAGGGTTTTTATCTGAGCATGAACAATCTGGCTTTGCGGGGCAAGTGTGTCAGCTCGCCCCCAGAATTTCAGCATCAGGCCGGGGGCCTCTGCTGCTGAGCTAGCCTCCACCCTTTGAACTTCTCCACCTTCCCACCAGTTCCCCCAAAACAACTCTGCAAAAGACAGGAGTCAGCCCCTGAAAAGCATACCAGGCATTTTAAAACACAACCCTGACATTTCCTCAGCATTTCCATAGCTAGGACTCTTCCCGCATGCAACCTTCCCCGCTACCCCCCTTCAATCAAATAAGGCACCCGCTCTCTCATGCTACTGCAAAGAAGGAAGAAAAAAAAGTTGGCAATTTAATTCAAACAAAAGAAGCTTGAAATCTATAAGCACAGCAACTCCGAGGCTTCTGGCAAATAGAATTCTAATTAGTATGCTGCTATTTTTCTTTTAGACAGATGAGCGATGCCCCCTATTGACTCTAGCAGGCAGGCTGGTAAGGGGAAAAAAATAAAATAAAGGGGGGGGGGCGGTGGGGGCTAGCCAGCAAACACTGCAGATTGCAAATTATATTGCAAACCTTGCCAAGTCCCAGCTCTTGGCATCAGATTTTTAATGACACCCTGGAAAAGGGAAAAAGAAGCCCTCAGCTAAGGGATAAAAATGAAGGGTTTTACCCCTGTGATAAGTCTTCTCTTAAAACCCAAATGGCCAAGCGCACATTAGGGTTTTAAAATATTCATAGATAGAAGTGAAAATGAGGATATGAGGAAGTACATTTGTTGCTTGGTCAATTGACAACTCATTCTGCATGTTAATACAGAGCGATGATCTAATTTTAAAGAGATAGCCTTTTTTTTTTTTTTTTTTTTTTTTAAGCATGACTTTTGATTACTCTGAGACTGAGGGCAAAAGATCACAGCGAAGGCTATGATGACACAGACACTACTTTCTTTTGATGTAGACCTTGGACTACTTCTTTGGTCAAGAATTCTGGGGGCTCTAAAACTATGCTTCCCTTCTTATGTAATCTCTCTGATGTATCTCCACTGAGGACTTTGATACCCCCCCTTTTTTTCCCATCTCTTTTTTCCTTCTATGGTACATGAGGCCCTTCACAGTTGTAGAATCTTACACACAAATAGATCACCACACACAGGAAGGCCCTTCCTTTTAATAATTAGGCCACCTTCTGTTCTGGGGAACCTTTTTTGGCATACGTATTCCCATGTTGAAGGTCTGCGAAGCACCAAGGAAAAGCAAAAAAATTGTTAAAGAGCAAAACATTAGCCTCTATCCAGGCAAAGATAACATCATGGTCTACATAATAAGAATCCCATGAAATTGTTTCTAATTGAAAACTTTGAATCTATAGTCTAAAACATTCATCCACAGACCAGTTTGCAGCTGTTTCGGGTGGAGGTGGAGGAAGTTACGAATCTATTCTACTTATTTCTTGGTACAAATTTAAATTGGATTTTGTCTTTTCAGAACAACATCAGAGGTGCAGAAAAAGCATTCTAAAAAATCTACAAACTGTTTTGACTTTTCTAGTTGAAATATCAGGCTTCTCATGCTTTTGTCCTGAGTGAGCAGAAGGATATATGTTGATCCTGGAGGTAGGGTAAATTTCCAGTGCAAAACAGTGAGAACTCTTAAAAAGCAAAATGGTAAGATTAAAGGCAAAATGCGGAGCCCTGGTCAACGCAGGACTCCTTACAGTGAAATATGGGAAGTGAAAACAGGTTGCGTATGTCTGTGGTCATGCTATCCTAGAAGCAGTGCCAGGGTGAATTTACAGAACCAAGTGGAGTGAGCCAACCAAAGAAGCAAAGTTAAATTCCCCCCCACCCCAAAAAGAATGGAATATTTAAAAATTTATCTTTCAAGAAGAAATTATACCCCAAACTGTAGAGAAAGCTTTTGTCGTTGTAAGAATAGGCAGCATACACTGAGGGCCTCCTGGATGCCATTAGAATCAAGGGTTTCCTTGGAAAAATATAGAACGAATGACACTAGGTCCCACCATGCAATCTGAACTCTATTTAGGTGAAATAAATCTATAAGCTATTTAGTTGAAAAAGTGGATTTTTTGTTATATGTAAACTTATTTAAAACGTTCTATTTAAAGCAATCTGTTTTAAGGTCACCAAGGAATGGTTCAGAAATATGCACAAAAAAGATAATTCTATTTTTTTTAGTAAACTGCTTGCAAAGCAGTTACTGTCAAAACCTTGTTGTGTGAGATTGTATTAATAGTAGGAAGCTTAGAACCAGCATTGTCGGTTGCCGCTGGCACACATGGGCCTGCTTAAGTTTTAGGGAATGCCCTTTAAATGTAGTCCTGAATAATGATCCACATTATTTGCTTCTTTAGTGACTAAGACATTGTTTTTAAGGACAGTGTTTTATATATTTGGAAGGGGAGAGATGAGAATAGTCAAGCCGTTAGCATATGAGACAGACAAAAAGTTTATGAGTTTTAATAAAGGTGGCAAACAGGAGAGTCAAGTGCTGCTTCGAGAGATCTTGCCATTGAAAAAGGGGCAGTGTCCTATCAATTATCAAAACTTGCAATTACTCCTGACAGAGCTGCTTTTCAGTGAAAAACTTTCTCCACCTCCCTCCCCTCCCCCCACCAACCTCACATACTGGTTGAATTTCGTTTGCAGGTGAAAAGAGGTGACAAGCAATTTTAGCACCCAATGGCTTAAAGGAGTTCAAATGACCACTGAAGTCATATTAACTTGTCAAATTGACCAGTATTTTCTGTCATTGAAACATTAGAATGAATAGCTCCAGACAATAAAATTGTTTCAATTATACTGCATTAGGCTTGGGCACAAGTAAGTAAAGATGCAGAAGGCAAAAGGGGAACCCACAGTCCACGTGTTCTTGGATGCTGACAGTAGAATTCTACTGGAAACCATTTAAATGCATACCTGTTAGGAGGATATTGGCAGTACTTGTAAATGAATTCCCATTAAGGAAAGTGGACAAATAAGTCTACATTAGTCCAAAAAATAAAAAAAAGAATGCAACTGTTTATTGTAATATTGGCTATGGATATGAACTAGATTAAATGAAATTATCCCAAGTTATTAAAGTCACAGTAAATTGGTGCTAATTATACTAATTGAGTATTAATTGAGATTTCTTTCATAAATAGCAAGGAGGTGAGGTAAAAAGGAGCAATTTTCATAGTCCAAAATGAATACAGTTCTGTTCACCCTTCTGTTTGCACCAGAAGAGGTATTGATCCTTTGCAATCCCCCCTACTTTGTTTCTCCTAAGAGGGAAGCTGCCTGCAGGAGAGAAGACTGGAGCTGGTATGGATTCCTGCACTGTTGCAGACTGGTGCAGAGGGGGAAAGCCAATTCAGAGTTTCCTGGTGGGATGGCACGTGGGCGCACATGCATGTGTGTGGGGGGGAGTGTGTGGCATTGCCCAGACTTCGAGGTTCTGATTGACAGACCACTGGGCCACACTCACCTTCTGCCAAGACTGACTCTGCTACTCAAGCAATTCTGAAGGTGCTGGGTTGTTCTCAAGCCAAGAATTTTAGAGTTGGGCTGCCGGGCACAGGGCAGATAGGAAAATTGAACAGGGTGTGTATTGAGAAAAGTGAGGGGTGGGGAGCAGACTGATATCATCTCTTCTTTTTAGAGAAAAGATCCATCGTATGTTTGAGGTATTTTTATATCTTTATAATAATGCTTTCTTCCACATCAAGGGAAGATTAAGGCCACTGCCAGAAAACTATTATCATAAGAAAATATATTCTTATCCTCTACTTAATTTTGTTTCTCTTGAGTTGGAACTATTGCAGATCTTTAGTACCCCCGTGGTCATCCACTGGCCTATTTTGGTGTGGCCAAAGTTCACAATCCTTAATATTTTAAGTAAATGATTCTCTTCTAATTCTGTTTCATTTCACAAAGCCATTGATTTTGACAATGTATATTGCACACCTATTATGTTGATAGCAGTGTGCTGGGAATTGCAAGGGATGGAATGATAAAGAAGACATAGTCTCTGGCTTCAGAGAGTGTACTGTGTCTGTGCATATTTGTGTTTGAGCCTGGACAAGTGAGCATTTAATTGTGGTATAAGGTAAAATATGATTTGCCCCTTTAGCTTCCCATGCCATTTAGAAATCTCTTTTTAATAACTCCCTTTTCTTATCTTTCTTTTATTCAAATGTAATGAAAGATGTTCTAGCTACCAAATGAATCACTTCCTTTTCAAAGTTAAACCAAGAAGTTACCTTAGGTGCCAGTGGAAGACACTCGTGACAGCTGAATCTGTATTTTGTAGCAATCATGATCTGCAATAAATGGCATTTATGTATGCTTCACAATTACTTGTTTAAAAGCCCATTTAAAAATGTTAGATTCTACACTAAAAGTCATGGCTATGTCTTAAAATATGTTGGTTTCGTTGACTCCAGTCATTTTGTAGTTCTTTTCCAAACAAATTCTGTGTACATACATTATGCATGATTAAAAAACCCCACACATACAATGATTTGCTGCATATTTATGCTACAATCAAATCCCAAGGTAATTCTGTAGTCAGGACAGAGCACATACTACTCTGCTGTAACTACTGGCTTGATACAGTAAATTCAAAAGGGAGCATTGGGGGTTAGCAGTTGCGGCTGAAAGGGAAAATCAAGAAACAGCAGTAGCATCGCTTTTGTCTTCAGCCTGCTCTTCAAGATGTAAGAGTCTCCAGTGGGTGGGAGACCTACATTCCACCTCCCAATTCTGGTGATAACCCTGCCGGTTACACTTCACAATTACCTTTTTAAAATGCCAATTAACCCATTCAGTGCTGTTTGGCATACTGTGAGCAGTCAGTGACAGCAATATTGCACACTGTAGTCCTACAGTAAGGCATACACATACAGAAGCACACACATGTGCACATGCACACACATGATTAGGACTGGAGTGAGGGAGGGAGGGAGAAAGGAAGGGAGGTAGGGGAGGAGGATGGCGGCAGAGCTCTTGGTGGGTGCAGCAGCCCTAGTGTGTATTATTGTGGTAGTTAATGTTGCATGGGAATTTAATAATTTTTTTCCATTGATAAAAATCAAGAATAAGCAGATACAACGGTATTCCTGTGCCATTGAGAAGTATAATGAAGATCTGAATGTACAGATATTATTCACAAGAAAGAAAGCAGTAAATGAGATTTGGCAATATCCCCCATTTTTAATTGTATCTCACCAGCTTGAAAAGCAACTGCAAGTTAATTTTAACCATATCGTTTTGGATGTTATATTTAGTGTTTACTCTGAAGAAAGTAGCATTGATTTAAACTCAACATTTTCTATTTCTAGGCAATTAATAAAATTACTGTTTACTTACATGGCATCTTCTGCCTCCAGATTCAAAACACTCCCCCAGCACTTTCTCATTTCTTCTTGCTAGGGGGTACATCGCATGGGAGATGGGTGTGTTTGTCTTATTTCATGAGTAAAGAAACGGAGGCATAGAGCCCTGCCTGCCTGGTCCCTTAATGTGTGTTGGACAGAACATCCTCAGAGTTTCTGCTCAGGGCAGGGTGTACTGCCGGACCGGAGTCCCATGCTCATCTGGAATTCTGGACTTCCATTGAAACACTCAATCAAAAGGCACAGGAATTTTCACTGATTGACCAGAGAGAGGTGGAGTGGGGAGGCAAAGTGGGGAGAATGAATCGCTAGCGCCAGGCAGTAACTAAAGAAATGAACCTCTTGACGACAGGTAGTGTAACATGCTCAGAACTTTGGGCACGTCTTTTCCTAGAGAAAAACTCCTCTGATAGAGACAGGCACGTTCACAAGCAACATGGGCTCCTGCATTTACCAGGTGTGCACAGGCATATTTCTGCCTCAGTAAATTTGTTGCAATGGGCATATCCCAAAACCCAGAACTTAGTCTGTGGAATAAATGACTTATGCTAACAGAATGAGTGAAATTCAAGCATGAATCCAGGCTTTCTGGCTGAAAAGCTGACCCGGAAGCCTAACTCCATTGGTATAACAAGAGCTACTAATATTAATAGGAAAGAGGAAGACACATAATTTCAATCCTGTGGTTATATCTAAACCTCCAGAATTAAGTGGATTTGTCACATTTAAGTTTTTTTTTTTTTTTATGAAAGTCTGTTTTTAGGCTAGTTTGTAAGCAACTTTCCATTAAAATATTGATTTGAGGAATTACCCAAGCTGAGCACAAATATGCTTGCATGTTTTACATGGTTAATATATGTGAGTATTGTTTTATGAGTTGCTATAATTTTGCAACAGTAACTAGCAATGTTTCTCTGCATTTGAAATGTTTGAAAAGCTTCAGAAGTGAATTCCCAGGTGGTAGACAATGACTTTTCTCAATGAACAGTGAAAGTTGAGCTGCTGACACACTCTTCTGGGTACATAAACACAGAGGTAATTGATCAATGTTTCAAGTAAATTGTGGTTTTTTTTCTTTAGCTTATGTCAGAGTATATTTTTCCATATTTCGTCTGTCTCTACTGCAAGAAATAAAAAATTAAAATGGACACTCCAGTTTACCTCATATCTGAACAGGGGTAATAACTCATTAGTGGAATTAGGCTGTGAGTTAGTAATGGCCAAGCAGCCATTGCTAGTTATGTGTGACTATTTAGCTTTCAAACTCGTACATATATCCCCGAGATGAAGGAAAATAGTTTATAATATCTCTAACAAAACACATAGAGCGTTTGAGGGGGTTGAAGAGCACGGACATTCTAAGTCTGTCTTTGAGCCACAACAAATAAAATAACTAAAATCCAATACAAACTTCCCCATTGGGTCCTTATACTTCGTATTTAGAAAATGCCACAAAATAATAAAGCCTCAGGCAATGTTAGTGACTTCTGCAGTTTATCTGTTGTTCCATTCCAGGTAGTTTTGAAAGCTCCACAGTGTTTAATTTAAAAGTTCTCCCCAAGCCTCAGTGTGTGGGGGTAGAGGGGTATGGGTATATACAGTTGATATGTGATTTAATCTAAATCAAGGCAAAAAGGGAGACATTCTGTATATGTGGAAGAGTATATGTATATAAACATTTCACACTCATATGAAAATCAGAAAGAAGAAGTAATTAACCATAAGAAGGACATAGTAAAGTCTGATTCGATGGTGCAAATCAATCTGATCCAAAAAAATGGAGATTTATCACTCAAACTGCCCTGGGTTTATAGTTCATCCTAATATTTCCATAGATGAGACTAAGAATGGGTAAGGAAGATAAGCTGTAACTTATGATTTTCTTTCTCTTTCTTTCTACTCTTTTTTTTCTCCCTCCTTCCCAGAGTAGATTTTAATTTTTAAAGGATATTTCACTGTTTTCTAGTAGTCCATGCATATAGAATATAGAATAAAATGCAACATGAAAAAATCTACTGAAGAAATCACAATTTAATATTTGTGATTTTTAAAAAAAGATATTCATCTTAATACACACCAAACACAAGCAGATCGGGCGAAGAGGAATTGTTTTATATGCAATGGTCTGTTGCGTTCTCTGTATCAACTGGGAAAAAATTACTGCGAACGTCTGGACAGAGAAGCACCTGGAGTTATAACAGATGTTCTTTGGACAGTTAAAGAACAGGCAGTTGACATATTTAGGGTGATGTGTCACAGTGGAAGAAGACAATATGGATTGGTGGCTCTTAGGTTTTAAATAACACAAATATGATTGTAGAGTTGTAAAGGTTGGAAGGACGTGGTAGCATTTCAAACATTGCTTGTTAGCTCCTCATGAAGGTTAAATAATAAAAACAAAGGTTAATGGGGGTTCAGCTTGCTGCAAAGCAATAAAGTCAACTTCATTACATCTATATCTATAGGTAGATAACGTACACCTATATATGTATATCTATTTATCTATATACCTTTCTAGTGTCTTTCTAAATGGGCTATGAATACAATAATCCTCTATCTAAATATACTTAGAATGGGATAAAAAAATTCCTTGGTAAATTTCTGGGGGGATTGTCTTTTTACCTGAATTAACATGTATAATTCTAGCATATAATATGTAAATACATTAAGAAATAGAGTTTAAAAGGTAATCACATTAATGCCTTCCTTGTTGAAGTTTTAGCAGTTATTTTCCAAAGAAAAAGAGAGAAAAGACAGGAGTTTAACAGTGTATGACACTCAACACAAGTATCTCACAAATGTGAACATTGTTGAAAGAACGTAATGAAAATAATAATTTGTATGATGCCATCCCAAAGATATATCTGAGGCATGCCCGCTTTCTGATTATGAGGTTGAGAGTAACAATGCTATTTTCTTCATTTTATGGCAAAAGGTTCACATGAGGTTTTTGAAACACAGTTTCATGGGCACACAAAAAATAAAAAAAGTATATATTAATGTGAACTTCTTTCTTCTCTATCAGCTCAGCACACATTATAAATGTATGTGTAGCACTGTAGGTGCAAACTACAATAGGTGGATGGATATTTACCCAAGGAAATTTGAGCCACGGCCTTTCATTTTCAGAGAGCTGCTACCTAATCTCAGTGTAGCATCAGGACAAAGGACACCTCATTCCTCTTGCGCCTGCCCTGCGAACCAACCCTTTGTGAACCACCTAAGCGATTAGAATAATGGGCTGGGAAAAAAAGATAAAATACAAATTTCACTCAGATCTGCGTTGGATTACTTCCTCGTGCCCCTGCCTTTATTGAGCGATTTGGAGTTTCATTAGAATTCAGAATTCCTGTGGAAAGAGAAACCACGGTGGCACGGACTTCTCTTTCAAGGGGATTGCAGGCTGACCCATCAAAATGAAAAGGCTCAATGTTGTGCTGACAGGTCCCCAAGCAGCCCTGAGTGACAGCTTCATTTCAGGAGTTCTCAGATGAGGTTTGAATTGAGGGGGGAGAGGTAGTGCTGGAGATACTTTTTTCCCTAAAAGTGTCAGAGTCAACTCTGCAGCTCACCGACCAGGGGCAAAAAAGAGCAGAAACCAGTCTCTGCTTGCCCATCTCCTAATTTATTATTAATGTCTCACTAATATTCACTCCGCACGAGGTTTCATATGAGACTTAGAGTTCTTAGCCATGGATTCCTTTTAATTACGACTGTGGGGAGAAAATAAAGAGATAAGAAAGTTAGTTCTGTAAAGAGACTACAGCCAAAAGGTACAACACTCTGCCTGGACAGTTTTTACAAAGGAATCCTATTTAAGTAGGGCATTCTCCAAACCAGTACTGCCACACACATCTCATCAGACAATGAACTGAAGTCTATCCTCTTTCTCCGCTGATATGATCTGATCTGAACCACAGTAATAATGAACAATAATAATGTATAATGGTTCCTCATAATTGTGCACTTGCTGTCGTGGGATAAATCTTATACATCTTTTCTAGAAATAGCACACATAATAAGATGAAATGGGTATCTACAACTCTGTGGATGAAAAGTGAGAAGATTTTTAAATTTCCAAGGCAGTCAATATTCACTGAGTCACTATTCCCATCTTCCAGTACTCCAGCCACTAATGAAAGGCAGCTTAGAAGAAACAGACAATAGACAAAATTCAGCTTCCCCATAAAACATTTCTCTCTTGATACTATCCCATGTGTATTTTTATTTCAAGAAGGATACTCTGTAGATAAGAGAAAATAACAAAATTCATGTGATTTCTTAAAATAATAGCCATAATTTTGAAAACTCTTTTTTAAAAAAGAAAAATGTCTGTGGAATGCAGATAAAGAACTCTCCTTTTCTCCAATTATTATACATCCAAAATTCATTTATTATATTTCTTCTTATATTTCAAGAAGAGTATTTGCATTGTCTCTGAGTTGTATGATAAAACCACAGCAACACAACACTGTCCTTAAAATATATATGTTATTTTTTTCAATACTGCAATAGAGCCCAAAGTGGCATAAATCTATTGCACTGGCAAAGTATGAGTTAAGGATAATCTTGGAAAACTTCATCTTACATATTTTGTTTTTACCCAATTTCTTATGTTTTATATTTTCCTTCAATAAATGTGTTTATATTACACGTTAGAGTTGTCTTCAAAATAACTTTTTATCTGGTCGTATACTTCCAAGAATTTATCATATTCTCTATCCTAAAAAATGAAGAGGATGGAGAAATTCACCTTTTCTATTTGGAAAGATGATCTTAAAAGTCACATACATTTTTAATCAATTAGGATATTAGGGTTCCTTTAACTTTAAGGAATTTCATCTGCATATATGATATTATGTTAATGAAATACTGAATATATTTTTCAAGGATTACTATTATTGAAATTTTTGTTCCATGTTTCCAATAAGAGTGAATTTTTTAGTATAATTTTCTCTGGATTCTTTTATTTCAGGATCCTAAAATTTTGTGACCCTAGAGCAAGTACTAACTATGAAAGTGAAATAGAGAATGAAGGAATTATTTAATTAAGTCCAGCAAAACCCAACCAAATCATCTGTAAAATATATTTGTTTTCAACATCCAGGTATTTTCTGTGTAAAAGGTTGAGTTGTATGCTGACTTATTGGGAAAAATAATTGAGTTTTCCCCTTCACTTTGCCAGTGAGAGGAAATCAGTACTGTAATTGTTAAAGGTTACCCATACCTACCTCTACTACCGTCTAGCATAGGTAAAGTAATGTACACTGTGAAGTTTCCTGCTTGACTGTAATGTTTTCAGTTTCATCCCATTGATTCAACAGCTATTTATTCAGCACTTACTACAACCATGCTGGAAACCCAAGAGTAAATAGGCTGTGTTACTCAACAGGACTGAGGTACAGCCGAACTGTCAGGCAAGGTTGCTGTCCTTTGGACTTGCCTGCTTTCTCTCTATGTAGGAAGAAGAAATGGACATACCGTCCAGGAAATAGATATATGTTACATTTCCTTATTCCATAATTAATATTAATAACCCTGGACAGAAACTACCAAGTTTCTAGACCCTTATAGTACCACCTTACCCTTTCTGGATGAATCCTTCACATGTTGATACATTTTATCCAAATGAAAATTTTGGTACTGTAGGTATAACAGACAAAGAGAGAACAGAAAACTAGAGATGAAGTTTGGGAAAAGGTCAAGAAAGTAAATAATGCTTCTAGAAGACACAAAAAGAAAAATGAAATGGTAATGTTGGGAAAGTTTTAATACATTTTGCCCTAAGGAAAAAAACTACTTGTTGAAATTCTACTTAAGACTGGACCTTTTCTCTAAAAATTGTGCTTGATGTGAATTAAAGCAACACAGGGAAATTTATGGGCTCCTTCTAAGTTCTACCCAACTCACCGCAAAACTGTTCCTAGTAGGTGTGGTATACTCTTTCAGATTCTTTGTGTGTATGTATATGTGTGTGTGTGTGTGTGTTTGTATGTGTACAGTCTATATACATATGTGTACCTACATGTGTGTATATATAAATATATATTTACCTGGATGAAATAGCATATTATAGAATATTCTTTTTTCTTTAAATATATATGTGCATACATATGTATATGCACATATATACATAAATGTAGATATAGCTAGGTAGGCATTCATGTGAAACAAAGAAGCCTATTACTTTTTAATGGTTGCATGATATTCCATCATAGGAGTATAGTACAACTTATGTAACACACATTTGGCTTGTTGTAAAATTTTGGTATTAATAAAATAGCACATATCATGCAAAGACACCCTTGCATAGGTCTATTCATTCTTTGATTTTTACCTTAGGACAAAATTTAAAAGTAGAATTTCTGGGTCAAGCAGTATGCTCATTTAAAATGTCATTGCATATTTCCAAATTGTCCTCCAGAAAAGTAGTAACAGTAACAATTGATGGACTGCGTGTTTTCTAAAACTTGCATTTTTTTCCTTATTGGTGAGGTTTGGCATTTTCCATATGTTTATTGGCATTTTAATTTTTTTTGGTTCATGTCTTTTATTCCCTTCCTGCAAATTTGTGGTGTGTCTCAACTTTATTTATACTCTCATTTTCATAATTTTCTAAAGGAATTTGACTTTAAAAAAATAAGACAGCCAATGCTTTGGTTTAATTTCATTGCTGCTTTTTGAAGTGACTGCTGTGTTTTTATATACTTTTATATTTTGTTGTTTTAGCAAATTCTTCTATATTATAATTGTGTATGCTGGAACAAAAAGTTATATTTCTTAATCTAGATAAAATATTTCAAGATGTTGTAATTACAGTCCCCTCTAAAATCATATAAATAGACGCATAGCTGTGTGATTTGTAATTAGTTATGTCCATTGATAGATCCTGGGCCCAAATTGCCTGTATGATCAATATTTATTCAGTATCTAGTGAATAAAAATGGAGTGCTGACTGCTTTTCAAAAGATTCTTAGATAAAGAAATAGGTCACAATTTTCGTGTTCTGAATAATAGTTTTAAAGATGGGATAATTTAGAAGAAACAAAGTTCACATTTGACACTCATTCTGTATCGTAAAGGTCTCCAATAGCACAAACTCTGAGAAAAGCCTGGAAAAACCATACAGCCTAATTGGTCACTTAAAATATTGCTTAAAAAAGAAAAAAATAAATCTGTTTAAAATTTGCTTTTAGATCTGATGCAGCATGTAAGAATAAAATTAAAATATCTTAATAATTAGAATTAGAGTCGTGAGAAAAAATGATGACAATAAATCACTGAAATGATTTCCAAGCATGTTTTGACCTTTTACACTAGACACTAATTTTTGAAGACCTTTTGAAAACCGAAACAGAGGATGATTTAAACCATCCACATTCCTCCTGACTTGAGCTTTCACAGACGTGAATGCTGATTGGAAAATCCTGTCATGGTTTCCCTGAAGAAAAAGAGTAATAATGACTATATGAATATGACATTTCAACATGCAATGTGATGCAAAACAAGGGTTTTTTTTTTTGTTTTTGTTTTTGTTTAAAAAAAAAAAGAAGAAAAAGAAATCTACCCCCAAAACATCAACTACACTGGATGCAATTTTAGCCCAGTGTGGATCTTATTTGCACCCCGTTACTCATAAACACCCAAATGTAACTCTTTTACTAGAGCTCCTTTTGAGTTCAATGTGATAATGAATGTGAAGGGTCTATGTGAGGGGAGTTGGGGAGGGGGGCACTTTGTGATTTTGCAGGTTCACACCAGATAGGCATTTTTTATAGCCTGAAAGGGGATGTTTTCTTTTGTTAATGGCTTACAATCAGATGAAAGGACTCATCACTCTATTTTAGTGCTCCACCACATGGCGCGTATCTTTTATAAATTACAGGCTGGCGTTGTGTGCACTTGGGGAGAGAAAGGTTGGTTTTTCTCGCTGTGAGCCATCCTGCCTAATTGTCGTATGCAAATAAAAGCAATTATAAGGCTTTTAGGGTGAAGGGATGACAGCTGAGTTTGGCAGTTGAGAAGGCCTCACCCACCTTGTTGGCATAGCAACAGGGAGGAAAAGGACAAAATGGTGTGTATACACAGGAAATATATATGTTTTGGTTCAAGAATTTTAAAATATATACCAGTGTTGAAATGAAAATGTCAATATGTGTAATGAATGCCTTTGTTTAAAATATTATTTAAATTAAACTCTATTTATTTCTCGGCCCTTTGAATGATCCTTGTCATCTAACTACCATTTATCTGCTGTCATTTGTGATTTTTAGTTGCTACTTTTAAAGTTCTATGCAGATCATAACAACAGTATTCAGTAATTAGGAGATTATAAGTTCTTGATTTTAACAACCTTTGGAAATACCACTGGGTGAAAGTTTTGTGAAAGGAAATCCCAGTAAAGGAGATGATGTAATGTGGGAAAATGGTGCAAAGTATGCAGCTATCAGTGCATAAAGTTCAATATTAAAAAAAAAATGTTTGTGCTAAAGTGTTAAACAAGTAGAATAAATAGCATGCTACTAGCATACAAAATTAAAATGAGTCACAAATGGATATCTTCTATGGCAATTTATTTCACAATTACTCTTGTGGAAGCTTTCATGAATTAAATATGAGTTCTGTCTTGAAATTAGGTGTTATAAGGCTAAATTACAAGAGGCAGGCAGTAATTGAGGTGGCAGCAACACAGGGTCTGGTGAACTAATCTCTTGCCATGTCACATGGCTCACCTTCAGCCAATGAGATGCCTCCCATCACAAAAACAGAGGCAGCTGAGAAAAATTGATTTCTCATCTGAGCCATATTTGATAGCTTTTGAAATCGAAAATTGAAATTAACTAACCTAAGCCCCGTTGTAACAAAAGAGCAAATTAAATATGCAACATCGTTTCCTATTGGCAGTAAGAGGGCCTGCCAAGGTAAATTTGTAAATAGAGTTTAAGATGCAATTCTGTTCTCTCTCTCTCTTTCTCTTTCAGTGTAAAAGTATAAGTGTATAGTGGCTGTATAAATTATTTATATAAAAAAATCATCAGCTGCAAATGGCCACTGTGGTTAAGGACTTCCATGGAGAAAATGATTGCATTAGGAGAGCTCATTGAATGAATTAAAATTAAAAATCATCCTCAATGATTTGCTCATCTTACCTAAAATAAAAAGTAGGAATATTTTAAACTTTTTTCCCCTGAACTTTATTTTTTTTCTCTCCCCCCAAACTCAAAGAACAAATCTACCATAATTTACTGAAATTAAAAACAACCACAACCACTGTGGTATAAATTAAACCACCCAACTGTCTTGTAAATAATTGTAAAAATTAATTTTGATTCACTAATTGCTTAAAAAAAACCTATTACTTCATTGTGTCATATGTGATAGTTTCAAGTCTGACCACTTTAAAATTATTTCCCAAATGGATCCCAGTGATTTGGCAAGTATAACTATTGATTCTGAATGTATAAATATACTAGATCAGATGAAGGAAATAGGTGTCTCAGAGGCTATATCCTAGATAACCCAGGAGTGACAGTTTTTAATTTATTATTTCACCCCTGCTTGTGCAATAGGCTGTCCAATATAATGTTTCTATCACCACAGAAAGTGTTCGTCCTGACTTTTTATTGCCTGAATTTTTTTTAAGTAGGCAAATTAATTTTATATGTTTGAATGATAGGTGATTGAAGATAAAAATCATGAAATCACAGTACAATCCTGTCTTCCTTGTTCAGATCTGTACCGTACATATAGAATTCAATGACAAGCATAATGGAGGGTATTATACTTAGCCCGCCCGTCAGCCCATAGATCTGGTAAAATCATTTTCTGTTCTAATTTATTATTTTTAGTGTCAATCTGACTCTGAGGAGATAAGTAACATCATTAGGTACTGGGATCAACTACTCAGCACTTTTTAAATGCAGTTTAAGTAGTTGTCATTATCTGTACTGGAAGACATAGTCAAGGTTCAGAAAGTTTTTCTGTTACATAGAAGTCTTGTTGGAAAGAAAGCCTTAGGAAGATAAAGTCTAAAAACACTACTTTCATTTCCTTTGTAAGAACCAAATTTCAAGGAGGCACCAAGAGGCCCCATATTACTTCCAAACCATAGGTAATGCCCAGATCTCATTTCTCCCCTGAGCCTCTAACCAGAGCTCCAGTTGCACAGCTGTGAAGACGGACTCAAGCTGCCCTCATGTTCTTTGCCCTGCTGTTCGCTTTCTATTGATGGTGCTGAGGGAAGGAAACATACCCAAGTTAAGTAACCCCAAAGGAAAGGAGAAGAAACCAAAGATGGACTCAATCTAGGTACAGGACATTTCCTCCATGAAATTTTTTTACTCAACTTTCTAAAAAATGCTTTTGTAAATAATATTTTTATTTGTAATAAGTTTCACCCTAGAAAAGTATTGGCTACAGATTGATAATTTGCATTATCCAGCCTTGATACGCTCCAAATCGTTTTAACCCAATGATCTGACTGAGTTTCAGAAGTAGCACTAATTAGACAGAAATAAGTGGTTTTTGGTTCCATTTTATGGATGATTAATAAGAAACAACCATGAAAAATTCTAAATCATAGATTTTAATTGGTCACATTTCCTGTAGTTGGAAATTCAAATTTCTAACTTCATTCAAAGTGCATGGATTTGAATCAGTTTTATTTCTTAAAGCTAGAAATCAAAAAGTTTAAATGTTCAAGATCCCATCAAATTTTAAGCATAGAAAGAAATTTATGTACAATTCTTAGTCAACTGGTGAGATATTCAAAGTATTTAACAATTGGGGATTTGGACACTGATTATTAAGGAGAGAGGCTAGCTGTAAATAGCTGGCATGGCTGTGGGATTTTGCAAAGACTTGAAAGCAGCCCTGGATTCAACCAGTATTTATTAAACACCTACTACATGTCAGGATCAATGCTTTGTAATCGCTGCCTTTTTTATATTCTCTTTCTTGTTTATGCCCTTCACTTTGTAAAATGCTTTGCTAATATCTAGATGCTTTCTCCATGTCTTCCAAAATAGTAGCCCTGTCAAAAAGATGAAGTACTTCAAAAGCCCTCCCTAGTGGTGAGATTTCAGTGCTTTTAAGTGATTAGAAAACATTCACCTGAAAATTTGGTCTATCATTCATTTCACTGCATTAATTCTCACCTCCTTGTACCTTGTTTCTACCTCTTTAAATGGAGATTCTAATACACATGGCCTCGAGTGGTTTTTGGGTTTTGTTTTATATATTAAAGGAGGTCAGATTTCAAAGCACTTGCACAGTGTCTGGTCTCTAGCAAGCTCTCAATGAATGGTTGCCACTAACTTTTCAGAAACGTGGTTATGAGCTCAAAGCAAGGATCTAAGCAGAGAATGAACAGTAGGCACACTTTTCGGGAGGATTCTTGCTTAAGAAGGAGAGGACAGTAGTACTCTGAGCCTACTACGTGCATTCTTTAAGGGCATTTCACATTGATTTAACATCTGATTTAATCCTCACAATAACCCTGAGACAAAGTTACTAGTCTTAAAATGCCCATTTAGGCTAAACTATCAGAGGGTAAGTAGCCAGGGTTCTAACTAACATCTCTCTAACTCTGTCATATTTTCTTTTTATTAAAAAGCTGTGTCAAATAACTGGTGTCAGACATTGTGCTAGCATCAAGCAGCTCTAAACATACTCATGAAATATATAGGAGTTCTACATAATGGAGAGCCGGAAGTAATTCTTATCTCATTTTTACAAGTTCTTCTTTTAAGACTGTCTATATATATATTCATATTGTCATAAATGTATAGTTGTATAGACAAACAGAGTGGATGATCTGTAAGTTTCAGTTAAGTTCTGGAAACAAAGAGATGTTTAAGGGGGAAATGCCTCTTATGTATATTCTTATATGCATCATTCAGATTTCTTTCTGAAGAAGGTCAGATTCATGCATCTTAAGCTACTGTAAGATTTGATAAACACACACTCCAGAGAGTCCTGTACACTCAGGACTCACACCAATCAAATATTTTTTGTTGTTGGTGTTAGGATCTAGTATTTGCACAAGAAGTGTCTCTTCAAAAACTTTTCTGTATGTTGACTTTTATTTTATTTTGCTTTTTTGCCTAAGTGGATTGAACTTACAGTAACTCAGTGAGTGCACTGTGATACCTATAGCCTTAGTTTTGGAACACTAAGGATCAAATCTCTTTCTATTTTATGAATCACAGCTTCTTGAAACCAAGTGTCTCCTGAGGTACTGGAGTTATATCTGAAAAGAAGTTGGCTATGTCTCCTGTTCTCATCGTTTCTCTCTCTCCCTCTCTACTGGTGAATACAGACAAAGAGGCAGCTATTATGATATAATATGGCACACACAACACTGGAAATAAACGGGAGGTGTCATGGGAGCATCTAGAAGAGATAACTCACCTGAAACTGTGAAATCAGAAAAGTAGTGCTTTCTCTGCTGAGATCTGGAGACTGAGAACCAATTATTCAGGTGATGGAGGTGGTGGTGATGGATGGGGCAGGCTCAACACCAGGGCTCAAAGCTGAGCAAGCAGCACATGCAAGGGCCAAGATATCAGTAGAGAGCATGGCCCAGTACCAGAACCCAAAGTCAGTAAACACAGCTAGAGCACAGGGTGTGTGAACTAGAGGGCAGAAACTGAGATGAGGTTGAAGAAAACGGCAGAGGCCATATTATACCTGTCCTCCATGTCATGTTCAGGAGGACAGTTAGAGACCTTTAAGGCATTTTGAGTAAGAGAATGGTGTAACGGGAATATTCCCCAATTGCTGTGTATGTTAGAGGCTATCAGACAAGCGGCAGGGAAGATGGTTAGGAAGCTGTCGGCAGCAATTCAGATATGACATGGCAAGGTTCCACTGGGGTCATTCTGGCTTTAGAGATGGTGAAAGTGGAGAGATTTTTGATAGATATTCAGGACTTGGTGATAAATTGGCATGTAGGGGCAAGTATGGTTAAAATAAAGACTGAAAGATAATAACTAACTCCTGCACACCAATAATAGAAAGATAATCCAGAAGAAAAATAGGAAAGAGAGAGGAATTAAGGAACTCATATGAGAGGAAACATGAGGGGCCAAAAAACATATGAATGCAACCTCAGCCTCACTTTTAATCATAGAACTGTACACTACCACCAAAATGAGATACCATTTTGCACCCATCAGATGGGCAAACACTAAAAAATCTGACAACGCCGCACATCAGTGAAGGCGTGAGTAAAGAGCAGCAGGCATTCATACCTGGTGGGAGTCGAAATTGGTGTCACTTTGGAGACCAATTTGGCATAATCTAGTAAAGCTGAAAATATGTATGTGTTCCATCTAGAAAATCTACTTCTAGGTGTGTATCCTGGAGAAAATCTTACTCTTGTGCAAGAGCAAATGCGTAAACATATGCTCATTCTAGTATTGTAGCGTACAGGTGACTTGCATGTGTAATTGTATTGTAAAATTTTAGACAACATAAACATCTCTTGGGCCTGGAATGGATAATCACATAAGGTATATTTATATGATGGAATATCACACAGCAACTAAAATTAATGATTCAAACACTGGCGTTCCAACATGGATGGTATTCAAATAATGTTGAGTTGAAAAAAGACCAAACAATAGTATTACGCCAGTAAGACACCATTTGGTTAACACTCTAAAAGATGTCAAAGAAGATGGTATATTGAGTATGTTGTATGTATTGTCTTGATTATGTATATATTATAAATGTGTAATAGAACTATAGAGGCATGGACTGAAAAGACACAGGCCAAATTTATCATGTCAACTCATACTGGACTCAACCAGTATTTAATATGCACAGTATTTGTTAAGCATTTATTAGTGGCTGAATCTGGAGAGTGAAGGAGAAAGAGAGGAGAATGTGCTTGGAAAAGCAATGGAGTGAGGTATAGAGGTAGTTTCGTTGTGTTTATTTATATTTTATTGGAGAAATAATGGTATGCCTTTGTTAATTCTTGGTGGTGAATACAAGGATTTATGTGCTATGACACCAAAATTAGATGCCTGCCGAAAAATTGTCTATAAATTTAGAAAGAATGTAAGTGATGTGAGATTAATTATGTGGGATTGTTGGGGAAAAAAGGCTGATTGAAGGAGAGTGTAGGGCAAAGAGGAGGGAAGAAGAAAAGAGAGGAATTCAGCACTTTTTCAAGAAGTTCCACTTGCAAAGAGAAGAGACATTGCTATAGTTGAAGGGAAGTGTTTTGTGTGTGTGTGTGTGTGTGTGTGTGTGTGTGTTTAAAGAAGAAAGTGTTGGTACATATCTAAATGCTAATGGGTTGAAGTGAGTTCCTGAAGAGGAAACTAGCTGCTTCTTGTTACTGCAGAAAACATGCTGTGGGTGAAGTCTTGAGCAGAAGGAAGGGCACTTCTCCTAATGGAAGAGCAGAGGAACGAAGGGTTGTGGGCATAAGCACATTAGGGAGGTGGCAGGATGTTGTGTGAGGCCTCTCACAATGGTGTTTGAATTTATGTCTTTGCAAAGAGAGCAAGAGTTAGCTGAGTTAAAAACTTTAAGCAAATGTTGGAATTGCTCTTGTGGAGAATGGGAGGAAAACAGGCTGAGTAAGAAATAAAGACTGGCTGGAAGAGTTGAGGACTTGGATGAAATTGGAGATTTTCAATTTATCACGGCCTCAGTGTCTAGAGTTGTGTGGTCTGCTCCGGCATTGCTCAGCTGAGCAAGTAAACAGTGGAGTGGATCCAGAGCTAAGTTTTTCTAGGCAGATGGGATGGAAGATCCCGAGAACATGGGGGTTAAGGAAACAACAAACCTTGCCTAACATAATTGCCACTGAATCTCAGATTGATAGAGAAGGAAGTGAGGTCAGGAGGAGCTGGAAGATGACGGGTAAAATAGAGTCAGGAGAAGGGAGGAAACACTAGTAGTAGGAGAGTTGAATGGTGATCACATAGAAGATGTTGAGATTTTCATGACTTTAGGATGGAGCAGTTCTTAGTGCTGACATCGTCAGGGGTGTGGTAATCAGAATGGGTGGCAGAGATGGATGAGAAATCAATGGAAATAGTTTAAGGAGCTGAGTGGCAAGGGAACCGGCTGTGTGCCCATGAAGATGCTGAAAGCATCTAGGATGATGTTGTCATTTGGGAGGGAATGGACTGTGAACCAGATGCTCAGGTCTTGGATGAGTGATGGATAAATAAGTGATGAGGGCAGGACATGTTCTGGCTCAGTCACCTGAGTCTCAGTGGATTGGAGGAGAAGGTGTCTGGACTTAGTGAGATGGATCAGCAAGTGCATCTTAATTCTAAGGTTCATGAAGGTCTAGGGGATGAGGCAGTCTCCACTTGAGAAGATGGTAAAGGAACAGTGTCCTTGGGAGGAAGTCAACTGTTAGTGGGGACCATACAATGAAGGAGGCCTGCCCCGAGGTTGAGGATGGCTTGCAGGTTCTAGAACAAGGTCCCAGAAGGCACAGTGAAACATTTGGCTGGGAAGCAGAGTGGGAGTTTGGGGAAGGGGTCAGGCAGTACAGAATAGGGTGATAATGAAGGTACTGAGCAGGGAGCTTCCCATCTTGAGCAGTGTGGACCAGGATAGCAAGACCTGGTGCCTTTGAGGCACCATGAATGAATAACTATGGCTTCAAGACTTTCGTGAGAATTATTCCAAGCAGTCTTCTTGATACTGCTATCCAGAAATTTGTAACCAGAACCCAGGGACATATTCCAGCAAACATATAACTTTTGTACCATTTAAAAATAACAAAGAGGCTTTTCTGTTGTTGTTGATGATAAATTACATATTTGGTGCATTTGTGGGAGGGTGCTGTCACAATGCTTTGAAGCTTAGACCATCAATAGGATGTACTCCATCCAGCCCAGAAAGACAGTCATGCCCCGCAGTGGTGTGGTCCAAAGCTATGCAAATCTGCATCCTCCCTAGAATTTTATAATTTGATATGTTTGCGTATCGGATTTTCTAAAACCAAGTCCCCTCTGAAGGATATTAACAGGCAACAATGAGGATGGTTTCACTTCCTCCCGAGAAGTTCAGGGAAGGTGAGACCACTTGAGAGGTCTTCACAGTCTTTGTTGATGACATTCCACTTAAACATAGCCCTTTTGCCTGACATGAGGTTTCACTGTGTGAGCCAGCGTTGATTGATTTCTGGTTGGCTCTAGTGAATCTAAGCCCTTTAGGTCAGTCTTAAGCATCATAAACTCGTTTTCTTTTCATGAAGATGCATTTTGACTTTAGTGGTAGAGTCTGCTTTTAGTCAAAGGGACAGAGGAAACTCGCAGCTTCTTGTTGCCACTCTATCTCTCACAAATGAAATGAAATGAAATGAAATGAAATAATACCTGCTGTTGTTAGTTCCTAAACTCTACAGATTCAGTCACACTGGCATCCTGGGTTCAGTTCAATGAAATCACTTCCCTGTGACTGGCTTAGAAATCTTGTGCGCATATATGCTTACCTAAGCTGGACGTTTTCATGGTCTTCCTCCAAAAGGAGAAAATAATCAGAATGCCAGTAATTCTGGGAGGCTTCAAAAATGGTCACAGCCATAAAAATCAGAGTGAAGACAGATCTATACCGAGAAAATTTCTGTAGAACAAATTCTGCAGAGAATATTCAGCCACTGGACAAGGTTGATAATTCTGAGAAGCCTACTGAGGCACTTAATCTTAAAACTGCCAGTGCAGAAGAAGAAAGCACCCTCTGTCCACGCTTGAGATCTTTGGAACAGGTTTTTGCTTTTTTCCTTTTCCTTTTAATTCTCAATATACAAATGGTTTGTGCAAAAGAGAGCTTTAAAATAAGCAGGGCAGGCCCTCCCAAATAAAAAAAAAATGTAACTTGATTAGCTGAAACTTTTCTGTGCTTCCAAAGATTAGAACGCTGAAAAATTTCCTAAAAGAATGCTAGTTTTGTTAAAATCTATTTTGATGTATATGCTATAAAAATTATACAGGTTTCAGCAGAATGAAGCTTTAAATGGGTTTGCAAATGCCGCGAGAATGGACTTTCTCCTCAACATTTAAACTTTATAAAACCAGTGTTCTAAGAATCACATGCCTGCACATTTCAATAGTTAATAACTTATTCCCCATGAAGTGAAAATACAGGGAATTTTTCTCAGAAAAGAGTACATTGATGAAAATATAAAGGAATGGCTTCACAGGAGGACTTCAAAAATAAGAGTTTTGATGTGTTTTATTTCCTCCATCCATAGTGAAGGAGGAATTTGCTCACTTCTGACTTTTTCAATCTCCAACATTTTACTCAAATACCTCCAACCCTCTAGCCCCACCACCTTCTCATAGGAATGCAAAGACCCCACACCACCCCCAACACCTACAGTGAGAGTTAGCTGCAGGCTACAGTTATATAATATCACAGAAAAAGATTAAGAATTACATTATTGTTGTTGCTGGAAGGCTGTATTATAGCTATTTCAGAAGAGAGATTTATAGCAGTATTTAATGAATGCAACTAGTTTCGTTATCAGTCAGTAACCATACCCATGTTGTGCATATGGTAAGATTAAATTAAGCCATTATAATAACCTTACAAAAGGTGACTATTTGGTGGTGGCAAGTCTGGCTAAATGAAATCGTATTAGCTTGATGCCATGGTATTATTCATTTCGACACAGGTTGTTGGCCAAGTCTGCCCAAAATGTGCCTTATAATTTTTAGGCATTTCCCTTATTAAGGAACATGGAAAGATCTAGCTTGAGGATGTAGGTATTATTGGAGTTTATCAATCTCAACCCACTTAGAAATATCACAGGCTCAAACTTGGAAGCATAATTTCTTTGCAAAGTTAACGTTTTCCACCTTTGAACAATTTTCACATGTTTATTTTTACTAGGAATTATTTTTTCAGAGATGGTTATATGAAGGGTCATTAGACAGGCTAGCATACCGGAAGTTTCAGAAAGTTAATTCAAAATTTTAAAGAGTTGCAAAGGAAAAAAAATCAGTCTGGAGCTAGTGAAAAATGATCAACAGATAACCACTGGTTATTTTAAAGGTTTTATGTAATACTGGTTTCGTAATAAGTCATAAATAATACATGCTTATTACACTGATAATATGTATTATACATATGTATGTATACTATATAATATATATTTAATTCAGAGAGGGAATCTAGTCTCACTATTAGCAAATTTCAGCAATAAAATATTCTTGGCTATTATTTCCGTTTCCACTGACATTTTCCCAATTATTTACACTGTTCAAACTTGAAATAATCTAGGTGAGAAAGGAAAGGTGGTTTTCTCACAATTTTTAAATGAATACCTGAGAAGGTAGGCAGGGTGCCCTTATAATTTGTGTTTTGGCAACCTGATTAGACACAATATATTAGTTACGAAAATAAAATCAGGATATTTAGATTTTTCTACTGAGGGAAAAAACAGAGAAATGATATGGCAATATTTCTTAGTCTCAAGTGTGGATCTTGGCTATTAGATCCTTACACTGCACAGCTAGAAAATTTAAGAATTGTCAACTGGCTGGGTGTGGTGGCTCACACCTGTAAACCCCATATTTTGGGAGGTCAAGGTAGGAGGATTACTTCAGCATGTGAGTTTGGGACCAGCCTGTACAACAGAGTAAGACTCCATCTCTATGAAAAATAAGACCAAAGTTAAAAAGATAATTAAAAAAAGAATTGTCATCTTATAGCTAGGCCTAGTCACCCCAAATATGGACACTGGCACCCCAAGAGACACATGTTGTAAAGCCGATCTTGCAAACAACAGGGTTCAAAGCTTAGCTGAGTACCTCTGGAACATTCTAGCTTTCTTTTTAATTGACTCAGTGTACAAAAGCCACATAAGAGTAGTTATAAGCAATAATGCAAGTTACGGATTCATAAAATGAGGCTCCTCTGACGGTACAAGTGTATTGGCAAAGTTCGTTAAGGTCTGGAAATCTCACTTTCTGGTTTAAAACATCATTTCACTGATGCCCAGACTACTAAAGTCCTTCTGTTATAGTCTCATAGCTGCTTGCTTGCCTGCCTCCCTCCCTCTTTCCTTCCTTCCTTCCTTCTTTCTTCCCACCGTCCCTCCTCCCTCCTTCCTTCCTCCCTCCCTCCCTCCCTCCCTCCCTCCCTCCCTCCCTCCTTCCTTCCTTCCTTCCTTCCCTCCTTCCCTCCCTCCCTCCTTCCTTCCTTCCTTCCTTCCTTCCTTCCTTCCTTCCTTCCTTCCTTCTTTTTGACTGAGTCTCCTTTTGTCACCCAGGCTGGAGTGCAGTGGCACAATCTTGGCTTTCTGCAACGTCCACCTCCAAGGTTCAAGCGAATCTCCTGCCTCAGCCTCCAGAGTAGCTGTGACTACAGGCGCCTGCCACCACGCCCAACTAATTTTTGTATTTTTAGTAGAGACAGGGTTTCACCACGTTGCCCAGGCTGGTCCTGAACTCCTGACCCCAGGCGATCCACCCGCCTCGGCCTCCCAAAATGCTGGGATTACAACCGTGGGCCACCACACCTGGCCCTATAGCTGCTTTCTCATGGTTTCATAAGATGTGTAGTTATACATCTTCAGGATAATAAAATAAAAGTCTCTCTCCCCAACTAGTGTTGCTCACCTCTGTATCCTTGCACCTGCCACAGCCACTGCTGCATAGTAGGTGCTCAATAGATGTTCATTATGTGAATGAAAGGATCTGTCAAACAGTTCAAGTGTTTTCTCATATCTAGACATTCAAACCAGTGGGTTGCTCAAAACGAAAGTCCTCTTTAGGGGTAAATTTGTTAATTGTAAAGTAATGACAATACTTCAAATTTGTAGAATGTTTTAAAAGAATTTTTTAAAATCTATTTTACTTATGACATTGACTTAGATGAAAGAGGAAGGAGTCTTCAGTAAAATCCCCAAATGTCTTGTAGTCGGGAATGTTTGCTATAGTCAGTGGAATGTTTCCATCAAACAATTCACTCAGTGTATTTATTTATGTGCATAAAAGGACTCAGTCTGTGAGATCTGAGAATTCTTTCTGAGCTGGGCCGACAATATGGGTGAAATAAAAAGCGGAAAGCTCTCATGTAAATAAAATGGCTTGTTATTAATTCCTTACTGGATATTCCTATAAAAATTTAAATGACAAAACAGCATGTCTGTCTCATGGTAAAAAAAAAAAAAAAAATCACAGGTAAATTAATTCAAAGATCACGTGACTTTATTGAATGTTTTTCTCTTTTCCTCAAACATCAATGTAATTCCAATTTAAAATGGGCAATTTGCTTGTGAAACAAATGTTATATATCATTTAGAAACTGACTTCCTAATAATGCCTCTGAGTTTTTCTGTGTTCTGGATATTTAAGTATTTACATATACATTACTAACCCTATTAATTTTACATTGCAATCAGAAGAGGCCTTAACTTTTATTTTTAGCTAGAGAATTGCTTCTGCTCCAGGATCCATTTCAAGATAAAATTAATTTTAACCTATTGATAGAAGGATAGAATTTTAAGTCATGTTCAAATTTTATGTTTTAGCTAATGATTTCTTTATTTCTTCCTCTATATATATAACATGGGGTTTTTTATGTATTTCCACCTTATAGAACCTTTTAAGCCTTAGCTTAAAGTTCTAAGTACTTATTTTGTCTATTCAAAACTTAATTAAACATTTGTGGAATTTTGTCATAATCTTATAACATGAGAACCCCAGTTAAAAAAAGACTAAACTTTTGCACCATATTTTCATATGGTGGTTGGTTTGTTATTCATTAAAACAATCCTTTGTTTTTCAGAACTATTTATTAGCAGTCTTGAGTGTAAGCTCTTTCATATACGTCACATACACAAAATTATATCTCCATATTGTGTTAAAGCTAAAATAAACCTTTAGTATTTTTTTTCCAAAGGTTTAAGACTTAAAGATTCTGATGTAAATAACCTAAGAATATTCTGCTCGTCCATTGTTGGAAGGGTATTCCATAGGGGATATTGTTAATGTGACTGACAAGTCAATTATATCCCATTCACAAATGTTTTGATGTCTGCAATATTAATAATACTGCATTGCCCATGAGAAGTGCTACCCTAACTACCGGCATGGAATAGTCACAATAAATGGCAGCAAATGTAATTCTAACCTCTGACTCCTTGACAAACAGCATGGGTACTCTCTGCCGCTCTGCCTTTAATTTCAGTGGCATCAAAGGAAAACTCAAGCGCCTCGGAAAATAACTCTAGCCCCGTGTCTCTGATAAAATAAAATGCTTACCCACAGACATAAATTACCATGGAAATAAAAAGAGGACCAAAAAAATTACACAGTTTCCTAATGCTCTTAAATCAAAGTAGCAGAGGGAACCGAGAACCATGAGCAGAGCATATGTATTAGGCAGCCTCACTGCTTGGTGAACAATCTTTGATAGCTTTAGTCCAACAGGTTTGCTCAGTTGATGATGGGGGAGTGTTATTGATAATTTTCAAGAGCAGAGTATTTTAATAATTATTTCTGTGGATGCTGCATGAAAATTTTTGCTGTAGAGACTTTATAAATTAGAATTCAGTCAATAAAAGCCATAACTGTGAGTTTAATAGTCACAAAACTATTGACTTTCTGGGGTTCTCTGCAGGAAGCCAAATGACAGGCAGCCTCCCACCAACCTTATAAGCCATGATTTGCCTGTCTTCTGCCTTTTCTCCCATTCTCCTTACCTATCTTTCCTAACTCCCTTCCTATCTTCCTTTCAAACTTCCTTCTTAACTATATGAGATAAACAATTCTCATTAACAATAAACAAACAACATGTGTAAAATTAAAGCCCTCCTTGACACTCACTCCTTTCTCAGAGGTAACCATTATAAGCAGTGTGTTTTGCATCTTTGTGGTGCAAAATACGAATATATGCGTGTGCATATACACAAATAACTTGTGTGTTTTAAATCACTATTGGGATCAAAGTGTACCTATTGTTGCAATTCTAAAATGACTTTAAAATGTTACATAGCAGTACTTAAAGATTTGCCTAATTCCTTTAATATGCTGCATAATATTCCATGATACAAATATGTCAATTTCTTTGAGTATTCTTTCCTTGATAAAAAATAAATTAAATTGTTTCCAATGATTTGCTGTCAACGATAATGCTGTAATGAATATCTTTCTCACTGAGTGCACATGCAAATATTCTCTACAGTTTAAACCAGAAGTGAAATCGTTGAGGCAATGAATGCATTTGTAGTTTTACTGGGTGTTGCCATGTTGTTTTCCAAGGGAGCTGTACCAATTCAAGTTTCACCAGTCTCTATGATATTTCTGATTACATTACATTACATCCTCTGCAGGTCTTGAGATTGTCAGATGTGCTGATTTTGCAAATCTGATGGATGAAAAATAATACCTCCTCATGATTTTAATCATATTTTACTAATTGCCAATGAAGTGGAGCCTGTCTTCATTGTGTGTTGACCTTTAGTGAATTTTCTGTTCAATCTTTGTCCTTAAAAGCAATAGCAGCTTATTTGAAATATAACTCATATACTTTGAAGTTTATCTGTGTAAAGTGTACAATGTGATGGTTTTTGTGTATTTGCAAAGTTGTGCATTGATCACTCTGAAAAGAAACGTCATACCCATTTACCAGTCGCTCGCCCTTGTCCTTCCCTGGCAACCACAAATCTACTTTCTGTCCCTATGGATTGTCCTCTTCTGGACATTTCATATAAGTGCAGTCATACAATATAGGGCCTTTTGTGCCTGGCTTCTTTCACTTAGCATGATGTTTTCCAAGTTTCCCCCTTGTTGTAGCATGTACCAGTACTTCATTATTTTTTGTGGCTGAATAATATTTCATTGTATGGATGTACCATAATTTGTCTGTCCATTTATCAGTTAATGGACTCTGAGGGTGTTTGCCCTTTTTGGCTATTTTAATGTCACTATGAACATTCATGAGCAAGCTTTGGAACATATGCTTTTAATTGTCTTTGGTATACATCTAGGAATGAAATCGCTGGGTTATGTAACAACTAAGCTTAATCCTTTGAGGAATTGTTGGATTGTTTTCCAAAGAATCATTTTACATTCCCACCAGCCATCTCTGAAGATTCCAGATTCTCCCACATCATTGCTAACACTTGTTATTATCTGTGCATTTTGTTACAGCCTTCCCAGGGAGTGTGAAGTAGTCACATTTTGCTTTTGCTTTGTATTTTCCTGATGAATAGAGATGTTGAGTATCTTTTCAGGTGTTTATTCGCTATTGGTATATCTTCATTGGAAAAATGTCTATTCACATTCTTTGTCCATGTTTAAATTGGGTTGTCTTTTTATTATTGAGTTGTAAGAATTTTGCATTCTGGATACAGGTCCCTTATCAAATACATTATTTGCAAATATTTTATCTCATTCTGTAGGTTATCTTTTCACTTTCTGGATGGTGTCCTTCGAAGCATGAAAGTTTTCAATTTTGATGAGGTCAAATTAACCTATTTTTTTGGGACACTTTTAGTTCATGTCATTTGTGATCATTGCCTAATCCAAGCTCACAAAGATTTGCTCCTTTGTTTCTTTTAAGTGTTTATGTTTTTAACTCTTTTGTTGTTGTTGTTGTTGAGACAGGGTCTCACTTTGTCACCCAGGCTGGAATGCAGTGGCGTGATTTGGGCTCACTACAGCCTTGATCTCCTGGGCTCAAGTGGTCCTCCTGCCTTAGCCTCCCAAATATCTGAGACTACAGGTGCATGCCATCACACCTGACTACTTTTTTTGTATTTTTGTAAAGACGGGGTTTTGCCATGTTGCTCAGTCTGGTCTCAAACTTCTGAGCTCAAGTGATCTGCCTGCCTTGGCCTCCCAAAGTGCTGGGATTATAGGCATGAGCCACCACACCCAACCTGTTTTAAACTCTTACGTGTAGGTTTTTGATCAATTTTGAGTTAATTTTTTCATATGATATGAGGTAGGGGTCCAATTTCACTCTTTTACATGTGAATATCCTGTTGTTCCAGAATAGTTTGTTGAAAGGCTATTTTTTCTTCAATGAGTTGCCTTAGCACCCTTGTCAAAAATCAGTTCACCATAAATGGAAAAGTTTTTCTGCCCTGAAGTCTCAGTTCTATCTATTTGTCTATCTTTCTGCCAGTACCACACTGTCTTGATTGTTGTAGCTTTGTAATATGTTTTGAGATTGGAAAGTAGGAACTGTCAAAAAAATATTTTTTTTAAGATTGCTTTGGTTAATCTAGGCACCAATTTTTCTTTTGGGTAGATTGTCTTCAACTTATTGACCTAAAGGAGTTCTTTTATATTATAAATAATACTTCTTTGTTTGCAGTAACAAAGATTTTCTCAAGACTATCATTTGACTTTTAGTTCAGTTTATGATATTTTTCATACCAAGTTACACATTTGATAAAGCCCAATGTACTGAGTTCTCTTGTTTTGGCATTGGTATTTTGTATGTAAATAAAAAGGTTTTTGAAAATGAAACAAAGTACTTCAAGAGTTTCTTTTGATAATTTAAGTTTCTTTCTTTAGTTTTTAAATGTATCTATAGTTTATTTTGAATATTCTGCATAGTGCTGTAGCTTTTTTGCTTTTTTGTCAACTGAACAGTTTTTTTTTAACATTTACTGGATATTCTTCCATTTCTTCACTATCTCAAAATCACTCCATTGTTACATATTAAATTCCAATATATACAGTATGTCTATACCTATATAGATCTATATCATCTTTCTATCTATCTATATTTATATATTTCGTTCTGTGTTTCTATATCTCTCCAGTGATTTACTATTCTAAGGCAATACAAATACATGCTCTTAATGATTACAGCTTTGTAATATATTTTGCTGTTTGCATAGCAATCCCAGTTCCCACTATTTTTTGTTGTCCTTTATTTATATTTTTAAAATTTCTTGGCTATTTGTGTACATTATTTTTCTTTGAGATAAATATTATGATTTATTTTTCAAGTTCCAGAGACTCCTGTTGCCATTTTGTTTGGAGTTATATTAAATTTCGGAATCATTTGGTAGGGTATTGCCATTCTCAGAGTCCTCCGCATTACTGTCTAGGAGCATAGAATGTTTCCTTATTTGTTTGAGTCTTCTTTTATGGCCTTGCATTAACTTTTGTGAATTTCTTCACATAGGTTTTGCAAATTTCTCAGTGTGACCTGTTTCAAATGTACACTTGACTGCTGGTCCTTTGGAACCTGGAAATGGATTTTCTATTGACAGGATATAATAACAGATGGTGGTTAATCCCACCTATTACAGCCACGTAGAAGAGGCAGGCAAAGGAGCTGAGTGGTCAGGGCTGGGCACCAAAGTTCAATGATATGGGTCTGAGTCCCAATCCCACCTCTTCCAAGCTGTGTGACTTTCAACAGGTTACCTTCTCCTCTCTCTCTCTACTCATTTCTTTGCGTGTTAAGTGGAATGATAATAGTCCCTCCCTCAGAGGGTTGTTGTAGGCATTCATGCCAGACATATAAGAAATACTCAATAAACATCAGCTAGTATTATTAAGTTCCATGAGGACATGCTTTGAGATCCAATGTAGGGCATATGGTCCAGGCACACACTGAACTCCCCATTTGTCCTTCAGCTTTGTGATTGAGGTGAGGTTGCAAGGAATGGGTTTGGTCAGGTACATGATGCTGGGACACTTTGAGGCTTCCAGATGGAGGAGGCAAGGAGAAGGGAGAAGAAAAACAGAACAGGATTTAGCAAGAGCCATTTAAACATAAGAAGCAATCTGGATGCTGCCTTCATAGAACTCTGCAGTCTCTCTCAATCAGAGGCTGCCGCAGCATCGTCACTTGCCTCCCGGCCTTTGGTCTCCCTGCAAATTGCCCCTGTCTAAACCAAGGCCTCCCAAAAATGTAGCTCTCATCAGAGCATTGCCTTCAGTAGGCCCTGACTGGCTTCACAATGCCCATAAAACAGATCTGGGCTACTAAATGTGGTTTGAGAATCTGGTTCCTTTATTATTTTTGTAGTCTGATATCTCTTTGCTCTAGTGATCTATAATTTCTTTCTGTCCCTTCCTCCCTTTCCAAACTCTTTCTTTAAATTACTTAGGTTTATAGCAGAGATCATTTCATTCTGAAGACTTCCCCTGGCTTCTTTCCCTTCTGGATAAATGCTTGCTGTTTTGTAGCTTAAATTGTCTTCCAGACTCTGATTTTCCTAAGTAGCCCCCAAAAATGTCCTTACATCTAGTAGCTGTCCATATTGTGATTAGTGAAATATACTATGAAGGCAAATGTGTTAAGTCGATGGCACAGATACTCTTTTTACCCTAAATTTCATGGCCCTTTCCTCACCACATGGAGATTTGGTGGAGACAAATACTATGAAATGCCTATACGTTGTCTATTGACTTTCTAATCAATTTATACCTTGCTGGAGTACATAAAATACTGCATACGGTTTTCCCCTCCCCACCAGGCATACAGTTTTGGCTACTCCATAACTTAATAAAAGCTCAAATATTGACCAGAACTTCAGTGGTTAACCCTAGAATAGCCGGTAAGGTATGGATGCCAAAATGAGTTATCATAACAATCTAAGCTTTACAATTATTTGGTAAAGTAAAGTGGTCCTGACTGAATCGGGGCTGAGGGGATGGAATGCCGATCCTAGTTCTGGTACAAATGGGCCTTTGACCTTAAGTGAGTATGGAAGAGTTTCCAGGCCTTTTTCAGTTATCCACCTATGGACCAACTAGAGGCTTTTCCAATGTTCTTGAAGGTTTCATCTAACTGAAAGCACTGTCATTTTGCATCGTTCTCCTGCTGAAAAGTTATGCATTCCATTCAGAGTTACTTGTTAAGTCCTTAGTGAAAGAGGCTGAACAAAAAAGAAACAAAATATCTGACCCCTACCATTGTAGAATTTGAAATATATTACATAATTAAGTGATATATAAACCATTTACTTTAATTTCATGTTTTGGTGTCTTGAGTTTGGATAACGAGTCTGTTCAAAATCCAATTATCCATTCTATTTTCTCACCCTCCACTACATACGTGAATACATTCATTACCCACTTCCCAAAACCACTCCCCAGTGCCACAAAACACATAAAGAGAGCTTTGTGAAGAGGTGGTATTCGAAGCAAGTGGACGGGCAGACTTGAAAGGGAGGCATTAGTCCAGGTCTCAGAGCCAGGGTGGAGGAAGTGTAAAATCAGGAGTGGGAAAATCAAACACCAAGACGTTCAGTTTGGGGAGAACAGAGGGAGCCTTGAGGGTTAGGGTCTTCAGAGGGGACAGGGTGGAGAGGGAGGAGTAGACATTTTTCAACCAGGATTGAATGGTAGATTCAAAAGAAGACAGACAAAGACCAGAATTAATCTTCAAAAAGAGCAAACTGTGGTACAACTTAATAAAGATATTAACATGACTCAAACACTCCCCTTGTTTTCATCTATTAAGGAGAAAACTGGTCAAGGTCCAAATATGTACCTATAAAGTGGCCCTGAAGTTAGATGTTTGATACCCGACCAATTACATCTGTACAGTTGTCGGCTGGGCATCTGGTCTCTCATCAAAGCAATGTGACATTTAAGATACAGAGTCAAACAGATGGCTGTATTTTGCTGAACTGGACTTTAATGAAAAACTCCAGATTCTTTTGTTGCAGAGGAAAGGGATTATTGCCATAGAGGATGTTCATGATGGGGGGAAAAGATAATGCTACATCAAAGAATTGAAATGAGCAAGGAAACATTGAGATGATTTCACTTCTCATGAGAGATTAAAAAAAAAGTAACTCAGATAATGTGAAATGTTCCAAATTTATGCAAGAGAAAGCTAAAGTCAGGTTGCATTTAAAATCCCAGTTACCCTCTTTAAAATGAAAGAAACTTCAGCTAACTTTATTCAGTATTAAAAAACCCAAGAAATATGGAACGAGTATTTCTTCCACGAAAACAGGAAGGAAAAATGTAAGGTAGGATTAATGCCACATTATCAGAGAAAGGTGATTAGGAACATTTGAATTTTCTAAACAATCTCAGCTTTCCAAGCTGAACCATCCCCAAATGACAATGGCATCCTTGTTTTCTATAGGTTGTGCCCCTCTTCACGAGGAACCTGTTAAATGCCCGCAAATCTTTACGGGTTGCCGAAGAGAAATTATCACATCAGCTTATCAGAAACCATGGCCCGGGTTCGGTTATATCCCTGTCAGAAAAATAACTTCTTAGACTTGGTAATGTTTTTAATGTGATTCAAATGGTTTTGAAACTCCCGATTTCAGAGTTTCCATTTCCCAGATAATTATCTTTGTAACATTTTAAAAGGGAAAGAGTAGAAGAGGGTATGCGAATATGGTTCTTTTCCAAAGCTCACTAATTGAATGCAAATAAATTGTAAACTCATTACAATGCAGGGTGCTTTAATTAAAATGGTACATGTGACATCATAAAAACAACAAGAGAATGAACTTTACTTAGAATTTGATAACCTTTTATAAATAATAGTTCTTAATCAGAAGCAGAAGGGGGCACAGGAGCATTCAAGAGTTGTTTGTAAATGCAGACGCGTTTTCAGCACAGTAATTGTCTTTACGAGGGAAGTCACACAGAGGGAGCTTTGCTCGCTGAGGCTTAGAATTTATTGACTGCCTGCTAAAGTTATGGGCCGCAGTGTAACATTCCAGCACAGTACTACTTGAGATTCTAAGAATCAAGTGTCTCCAAAGAGGCTTTCATTAGTTCCCTCAGTACCCACTCAGTATCTCGTGACACAGTTTCAAGTCAGGGGTTTTAAGTGCATCTTCTAATAACTATAGGCAAAGGAAAAATCAGTTTGCTTTCCTTTAACTCCTAAAAATAGCACTGATTGTCAGGTAAACATCAAAGGAAGTGATGGGTGAACTTGACTTTGAAAAATACAAAAGGCTCTTAGACACAATGTGTAAAAATGATTACATGGTAGCATGGTTGCGTCTGCTTCAATGGAACATTTTTCCCATTGATATTTGGGTCTGTTTAGTTATGAAACACACACACACACAACAATTCCCAGTGCTCTTTTAGCAGGGTAAATAGAAAATCAGAAGGGTTCTTTTAAAAAAATTCTTTTATGATTACAGACAACGCTACAGTTATCAGTTTATGCATCTGCTGGATCTTTCACTGTGCACGTATTTTTAGTAAAATGAGATCGTACTATACACACAGTTCTTGCAATCTGCTTTTTCCAGCCAATGATCTACATGTATCCATTTCAGTAAATGTTCATCCACTGATATTCAGGCTGTGCTTGGCTTCCATTATTAAACCTACATATCTTTTACAAGGTACATTGCAGAGCCCACATTGAAACTGGCTGCTATGCCTGCGAATCTCTTTCAGTTCAGCACATCTCCTGTCCCGTGACCATGACTTGTTCAACAGAATGGACCAGTGTGTCTGCAGAATGTCCCACTCTTTGAAAGTGTTGGCTTGATTCTAATTCTGCTCTTTTTTAACCATCATAACACAAATCTTTTACTTGGATGTTCTTTTTTTCTTATTTTTTAGCTAGATCTTGTTTAGAGAATAAATTATAATGGTCAGAAAATAAATAAATCAAATGGTCAGAAAGCTGAGTTAAAGTTTTCACAGCACTGTTGCATCATTTACTTGGTACTCCTTTTGGTAGAATCATAAACATTCCCCATTTGAACACATATATTAAAAAGCGAGATTATTCCAACATTTCTTCCCCATCTCTTGCTTTCAGTACTGTGTAAATGAACACAAATTCTTGTTTATAGTATCCTTTAGTGAAAAAGAGAGAAAGAGAGAAAGATTGAAGATTCAATTCCTAGTGGTTTGCTTTGTTCCCAAATAATGCTGTTGATAAGAGGTCAGCACGAATATATTCAAATCTCTTGTAATAATTTGAGATCATTTTCACTGTCCTAATTTCTTGAGAAAGTTATGAGCTGCCCTCCTATGTTATACCTCTGATAATCTTTCCAAAGTTATGATGAAAATGGGTTAGTAATCCAGATGTCAATCATTTCCTCAGTCTCTCTGATTTTCACATATTATTTATTCACACAATTTCATATATTTACATAAAAATTAAAGTGATTTTTTTTTTCAGGGGAAAACCAAGATGGCTTTAAAAAATAACTGTGTACCATGTAATTCTAGTTAGACAGGAGCTTTAATTCTATTTCAAAATTTTATAATCTTTTAAAAGTAACAAAAATTCTCTATCAGTGTTATTGTCTATAATTCATTTATTCAAACTAATATGTTACTACTCTGAAATTGGATATTTAGATTCATTATAAAATAGTAACATTTAAAAATAGAAAATATTTACAGAATGCTTACAATGGTCGAGGCACTGGAATAAGTACTTTCCAAGGATTATTTTATTTAAGTCTCACAAAAATCCTTCAAGGATAGATGCTACTATTATATTCATTCTACATCTGATAGAAAAGATAGAAAAGCTAAAATGTGTTTTTTGGGGGGAAGGAATTAAAAATGCACATTTGGTAAAGAACCTACAGTTGAAATACACTTTGGTGACCTGTACTTTTCAGGTGGGTGTATTTTAAAATAGTCCTCTTTTGAGATGTTGTCTACAGTAGCTGTCTGTCATATGCCTGGATGGAAAATACCTACTTAGGTCAGTAGCATTTCATTCCCCAAACAGAAGAATCCAGGAAATCAATAAAATGTGAGTACTGTCAAACTATTAGCTTTGGTGAGTACTAGGATGGTATTGTTCTGTCCTGTCATTGAGAATATTGTGGATGAGGCAGTTTAGATGAATGGCCTTTTGAGAGGTTTCATAGTAGAAGAGCAGTCTAGGGCTGGCACAATGACTCAAGCCTGTAATCCCAGCCCTTTGGGAGGCTGAGACGGGCGGATCACGAGGTCCAGAGATCGAGACCATCCTGTCCAACATGGTGAAACCTTGTCTCTACTAAAAATACAAAAATTAGCCAGGTGTGGTGGCGTGCACCTGTAGTCCCTGCTACTTGAGAGTCTGAGGCAGGAGTATCCCTTGAACCAGGGAGGCGGAGGTTCCAGGCAGGAGTATCCCTTGAACCAGGGAGGCGGAGGTTGCAGTGAGCCGAGATGGTAACACTGCACTCCAGCCTGGGCGACAGAGTGAGCTCCGTCTCAATAAAAAAAAAAAAAAAAAAGAAGAGCAGTCCAAAGGACTTCCCAACCCATCTTTGGTATTTGCATACATTTTATTTATCTGCCTATGCTAACGTTGATGGGCTAATTCATATAATAGGGACATTTGTTTTGAAAAAGTAGACAGAAAAAAGAGCATGTAAATAACATCCCATTAAAGACTTTTCATTTGTTGTTCTGTTTTCTTTTGGAATAAAACACATAATTTTTTTCTATATAAATATCTTCCAGGAAGTTAATCGCCAGGTTTCTACAAATAAATATTCTGACTATTTTAGTTGTGTAGTTTTAGCCATCACTGTAATGATTCAAAAATTTTAAATTTTAATGCAATTAACAACTAAAATATAAGAATGGTTTAAAAAGCAAAGAGTTCAGAAAATAAATATTATATTTAATTCCTAGAATAAGAGATTCCTGGATTATACGAATTGCTATATATCATGACTCAAATAGCTGATTAGTTCTTTTCTTAGGTGACTACTAAGTATAATCTGGAAGGGAAAAAAAAGGGTGACATGTTATTTCCAGAACTTGGATTTGAAAATGCTTTACAAAGCTATCCAAAGCCAAGGACATTCATTAAAATGCAATTATCTAAAACAATATTGGAGAAGTTATTTAATCATGATAACAGTAAGAGTTAAAGTAAGTAACTAAGTAACTTTTATGCTAAGCACTTTATCTGAGTTAATTTCATCCCCACGACGATCCGTATTATTCCCTGCTTGCAGATGAGGAAACAAGCTTAGTGAGATTGAAGTCATGTCTCCTAATTCTGGGTCTCACAACTAAGATTAGATATTTTGTGGATTTGAAAGTAAGTCTGTTCTGTAAGCCCAAGCCTCTGACTCCTACGTCATAGCAACTCCCAGGCTTTTAAAAGTTCAGCTCGATTTAATATAAAATGTTTGATAAAATGTATTCAATTGTTGACAGCCATCATGGAGCTTCTACTAAGCACCACCAGGTGGAATGAAAACAGGGGCGATAGAAACCATAACTGTTATGTTCCGCCCTCTGGAGGCTTCCAGACAAGTAGAGAGATGTGAAGACTATTATTAAAACCATGCAACTGTCTGTATTAATTAGAAAGGTGAATTTCCGAGTTCAGTTCCCTTTTGCGGGGAAAGGGTGATGGTCAGAAGGGGCAAAAGTCACTGATCTTCCAAGTGAGAAGGTAACAAATGCTTCTTAGGGGCAAAAAGTGTTCAGGTCATGTGCACAGCAAAACTGACAAATGTAAATAAAGATAAGATAGTGCATAATGTTCATTTTGTATCACTCTCTCTTGAGAATCCATTGTGAGTGAATTATTGGACTTGTAATACTAGTTTATCTGTAAATTTTCTAGATTTTATTTCCTTAGCCATTAAATGAAGTATGTTTAGTTGTACATTAAAATACTGTTTCAACATGATGATGTGCAATTGTATATCTGTCAAAATTGAGAGAAAAAGGAGTTAAATGTTATAATCAACATTTAAGATATGAAGAAATTATCTTTAAACTTTGTAAGATAATGAAAAATCATGGGAAGCACTGAATATGTTCTCTATCTTAAATTATTGCTTGGATAATATAGAAATGCAGGTTCTTTCTATATTATTTTTCTCATCAGTTCTCTTTCTTTTGATAAGTATTGGCCACTATATTTTTTTCAGCATGATATTTTCGCCACAAATAAAACAAAGCTCCCTACAACTTCTATGTCTATAAAAATTCCTCATTTCCTCCAACCTAAAAATAAATCTTTTAATGGAGCCCAGAAAACTGAGTATTTGCCCACAAGCCTAAAATCTGAACATTGGGAATTATCAAGATAGGTGTCATTATGGAAAAACCGCCTGCATCAAATCAGTTTCTTACCACCCCCATAGTTTACCTTAATAGAAATTCTATGCCAGAAAATACCATGGAGCCAAAGAGAGTTGAACAATAAATCCTGACATCCAGCGTGCACTTAACATATAGAAGTTGTTCACTTAGTGGCTTTTTTTTTTTTGGCAGAATGCAAATAACTTTATTAAAATAGTATCATTCATAAAATAACACAACAGTAAATATATTATTATAAAGATGAGAAAATAGCTTTTATCAAAATTTATTTTGTTTAATATATAATATTTTCGAATGCAAGATAGCATTGGGTTTGTAAATAGGTTTTTAATTTTTTTAATTTTAATTTTAATATCAATAATTTTTGAAGTACAGGTGGTTTTTGGTTACATGAATAAGTTCTTTAGTGGTAATTTCTGAGCAGTGTACGTTGTACCTAATATGTAGTCTTATATCCATCAGCCCCCTCCCAACCTTAACCCCCAAGTCCCCAAAGTCCATTATATCATTCTTATATCTTTGCATCCTCATAGCTTAGCTCCCGCTTCTAAGTGAGAACATACGATGTTTGGTTTTCCATATTAAGTAGTTTTATATGAAAGAATGAATAATAAACATTAAAAAAACTGAAGCACACATCATCACATTTATAGTGAGTCACACATATTACTTTAAAATTGTCTTATTTTGTTATAATTTAAGTGTCAAAAGAGCCAGAGGGCTGCAAAAACAGAAAATGCTTTACTTCAACTTCAGTTTTATTCTGGTTGTTGTTCTAGGGAATAGAAGTTCGTGGATAAATATCCATAGAGCTGGACTCAAGAAACTTCCAATCAAACTGTGTTTGGTAGGACATTAAAAAGAGCTTTTAATGTTGGGATTTTTCCCTGTAGCTGGTTACATAAGATAGTAGGAATTCATAGTGTAGATTTGTGTGGCTAGAAATGCTTTCTAGACACCTTTTTAAGCCCAAGCTTGAGCAGTTATTAACCTGGGAAGTTTCACTAAGCCAGTTCACAGAGGGTTGGCATAACTTCCAAACTGGCCAGAATGCCAACTTCTACAGGTACAAGGTGGCTTTTGATTTGGATTTCCTATCTAACCAACCAACAGGGCATGCAAAAGGAACATGGAAACAGCACAGAACATGAGAGACCACCATTCCCTGCAGTCCCCTGTTCTTTCAGGGATGCGGGCTGAAGTTTGGTTGTAGTGCAGTCATGAAATAATGAGGAACCTTCCAGGTTAGAAGAACCAGGAAAGCAAGGACCCTCAGCCCCTGCCAGGACCATGTCGGTACTGAAGACTCCACTCACTACCAGACATGGAAACTCTTGGCTCTGACTTTGTTCTGTTCTGTTTTCTTTCCTTCCTCTGTCATTAGGCCTAAGTATGGCTTCTTCCCAGGCTTCTAATACCACCAGGATTCCTTGGACGACAAGAGCAAGAAAAATTGCAAAGAAGAGGATGTGCTTCTAATAAAACAAAAAATTCTCTAATAGGATGGTGGGGGAGAAACTTAAACTTTCTGTAGGTTTTTTTTTTTGTGTGTGAACATCAGACTAAAGACACTTATTTTCTCATAAGACTGTTGTAAGAGTCAGAGGACGTAATACAAGGGAACCATGAGGCACCGGTAATCAGATCACATTCCTTGGATTATTATAATTAGTCATCCACAGTAACGTGGTCCTGCTTCCCACTTCAGCTGTTGCCTGCTCTGCATTTTGATGGCTGGAAGGGAATCCCAGTGCTCCTCTAGCATAGCAAACCGGGTGGTGGACTTGGCAATACATTTTTGTGCAATAGCTGTTGCTAACTGTAGCCTAAGTTTTTATGCTATTAATTTCCTCTCCTTCATTATTGGACTCTTTTTCTCTTTCTCTTGCTTTTATTAAAAAGATGACAAAAGAATTGCACTGTTTAGGTTACAAGGCAGTTTCACATACAGTATCTCATTTCATCCTATCAACAACTCCTTGTATCATTATTCTCATTTCATAGATGAAAAACTGAAACAGTGATAAGGGGGAAATTGCCCCAGGTAATTCAGGCAATGGTGCTGGACTACTTGGTTTTCTACCACACCGCTTTTTACTGTATGTCTATCTTTTCCATTTTTTAAAGTTGGTTGGTTTTACATGAAAGCACAAATGAGTATGGGATAATTGACATAGAATAGATAAGATCTGAGTATGGGAAAAGCAGAATTGTGCACACACAGTTGGGGTCTCCAGAAATAACCTCTAGATCCTAAAGAATGAACTCAGCCTTCAAGTTCTTAAGGGTATTAACAGCCCCTCCTTTCGAATCTGTGATCTATGACTCTAGAATCCAAATTTACCAATTTGCATCCCCCAAGGATGCATCTCAACTTTTTTAATGAAGAGAGATTTCTTTGAATATCAGCCAGAGGTCTGCATGTAGGAAGAATATGTGCCCTACATAGCCTATGAAAGAGAATAAAAACCAGAACCTAAATCATTATCTCTTTCTTTCATTTACCTTCCTGTAATGGACCATACTGGGCTAGAAGACATTTCTGGAAATTCTCCTAGCTGGCTGAAATACTTGAAGGGTTAACACCTAATGACCGATCCTTTTTCCGAAGGCCAAAAACCATTTTCAAAAGTAGAGGGCCATTTATCTGTTTTTCTTTAACAATTTTAAATATGTACTATATCCAAATCTTCACCCATGTTACAAAAGCACTGAAATCAAACAACCATGGTTCATTCCTGGCCTTTGATTTTTATATCCATGCATGTTAAAAAAAGAGAGAGAGAAGGAAACCCCAACATGTGTGCTGCCTTTTAATAAAGATCATATTAAAAATTCAATAAATAGCAATATCTCTGATCTCTTAACAAAAGCTTCTGGTGTACAGGAAATTAAATGAAAAAAAAACCTTGTTAATCCTTTTTGATTTCTGTACATTGTAGCTAGAAGCATAATTCTTTAATTCACAGATTTCTCCTTTTTTTTTTCTTTTTAACATTAAAAAAATCTTTTCCTGCACAAACGTTGTCTGGGCAACACTATAAATGCAGCTTGATTCTCAGAAACATTTAAAAATAAAGGGGGGTGGGATGAGGTGCGAGCAATTGTGTCATCATTTCATCCCAGTGGCCTTGGAAGGAGGAGTCCACCTCGAACCAGGTGATAACCTGATAGACTTTATCTTGTCTTCTCTCGGCCTCCCTGAAGCCTGCCAACACTTCGGCTGGCTGTTAGGCATTTTAAATATCCCCCCTGAGCCCTAACCTCACCCCCTTTCTCTTCTTGTCAGCTGGAATGTCTCAGAGCTGTCAGAAGCTTGTTGCTTATTGATGTTTCCGTGTGTTTTATGTCTTTTCTGAGATATGACAGGCCCTGACACAGTGCTGATTTCAATCAGGCTGCTTCTGGAGAGGCCTACGATTTTTAGTTGCACTATCCACGTCTCGAGCATACTTCAGAGGCTCCTGTCTAATGAAAATGTTTCAGGAGGCCGAAATAAAGGCCCTGTGCTCAACAAACAGCAGCTGAGGAATTCGCAAGGCTTGAAAAAACACGTGTGCATGCACACGCGTGCAAGCACACACACATACATACACACACACACACCCCAGAATCACCGCACCGCCCCCCCCTTCCTGCTTTTGTTATAAGAAAAGCAAGAACAGAAAGTGACCTTGTGAGCCAAAGGTTCTGACACTGAATCAAATCCCTTTAGACCTGAACTGACAGGCTGGGCCTGGCTTTAGATTACGTTATCACATCTTAGAGCGAGGCTTGTATGTACCTCAGGATTCCCTACATGTAAAGAGCTGGCGATTTTACCCCTGCTGCCTATTAAGTCAAGTTCTGATGTCTTGTCGAGAATGAAAGCCTATCACACACAGAGGGCTGAAATAAAGGGGGAAGAAAACAACCAGAAATGGAAATAAAATGTGTAGCCGGCAGTGAACTCATTTCTGTTATTTACAAGGCTAGCCATCGGGAGATTAAAAACATTAGCAAATTAGTCTTCATAAATCCAGTGTGATTTTCTGAAATTTATACAGACATCTAATTTGATATGTCATGTTGGTCATATTCAAGCTGGGCAAATAAGGGGCTCTGGATACTAAAGGACCTTTTATTTAGCCAGCTTTGGCACATCGATTTGAGGGTCACCATCATCAAATTCATTTCCAGAAATCTGGGCAAGAGTGTAGAACACTCAGTTTTGTGTACATGTTTAGTGAGTGCACACACTTGGTCTAGTCAAATGACCTCATTGTATCTATTTCACCAATTGGAAATAAGAATGCTAAAGTCCTTTATGCTTTCTAAGAAGGACTTCTTTTCATTATTGATCTTTTACATTTTACAAGTCAAGCAACTGATGCAAGCTTCTCAAAGGCAATAAAACTCCAATGATGAGGACCAGATTTGAAACTTTCTCAGTAACTAGTGTTCTCCTTTTCTACATGACAATGCACTTCTCACTGGACTGCAGTTAATATTTGTGACATGATTAGGGATTTCTAGAGGGGAAAGACACAATATTAGGCTAAGAGAGTCTAGAATGAAAGTACTTCTTGAAGGACAAATATCTAAAGTGAAACAGGCATTAATCAAAAATCCTCAAAAAGATCTCCAAAACAACTTTGCCTGTTTTTTTTGTTTTTGTTTTTGTGGGAAAAGTGTGGAGTGGTGGTAAGAATAAGGACTTGAGAGGACAACATCTCAAAAGTCAGCCATTGGGCAATTCAAGGGACCCAGCCTGATTCCTTTATGCTCATGGTTAAAAAGTGAGGCTTCACATGAGAATCTAGATTCTTGGCTTATCTGGAAAAATCAGCCAGTCTAGAAGTGATAACAGTCAGCTGTCACTGTGTGCCAGCAGCGCTGATTAGATGGGCCCAACGTTCCCTGAGGGGGTCACAGCCGACCCCCTCTTTTTGTCTCTTCTATACTTAAGGCTCTGGTCCTTGTAACATCTGATTTATAAATTTGGAATCCAGACAGCCTTCGATTTGTATTTCAACTCTGCCACCTACTAGTTGTGTTGCTTCGGACAATGTCCTTAACTGTTCTTAGTTCAAAAATGTGAAAAAGAAGTCCTGCCTCAAATATTATTTGTATAATGCGTTGACATTACAAATACGAAGTGCTTGCTTCATTTAAAAAATCCCTCAATAAATGGTAGTTCCATCTTCCATCCCTCCTTTGGAGAAGAAATGTGATCATCCGGTGTTTGCTCTGTTTCTAAGTCAGGTTCTTGACTATGCTACCCAAGCTAGAGTTTTAGTATGTTTAGTAAAAGAAAAAAAAAATTCCTCTGCCTCTAAGCCACAACGAGTGAAAATTACCTCTAAAAAAAGTGTTCTTTCACCTCTATTCCATTTTTAAAATGTTATGATATTTTTAACAATATTAATATAATAACAGTAGCATGTGTTTATTGGGTTACTCTGTATTTTATGACTTAGTATCGAATTTGTGGCTTGTTTCTCCCGGTACTGTCACTATTAATTTTTGTTCCCATTTTTTTCATCAGCTGGAACATTGTCATAGAACTATTGCCTGCCCGTGATAAGCAGCCTCTGCTATTATTATTTCAGGTCTGCTTATCAACAGTCAACACATCTCCCCAAATTATTTTTTTTTAAGAAAAACTATATTATCAAGTTAACCCCTTGGTCACCAAAGAGCCTTCTTCCTTCTGGCCACTTATAAGAATTCTGGCATGATGTGCTATGAAGTTAGAGGATTAGGAAAGCAGTCAGAAAGAGAACTGTCACTATGAAAATACCTCAGGGGGTAGAGCATGCCTTCACAGTATGACTTTAAGATATAAATTTATATTGGTCCTGACTCATGTCCCAGTATGGGCGAGCTGGAGCCCGGGAGTCAGGGTGGCTACTGACCCTTGGAAGGGTTGGTTGAGAAGGAAATGCAGCCCCGGAACTCCCAGAGATCACGGGCCTGCCAGGCTCTCTGAAAATGACTGCCAATTTGGCCTAGTCTCAGCTGACTGCATGCCCAGGAGGGAGGGAATGGCAGTAATAAAGCAGTTTAGTGAAGAAAGATATTGCTTCAAGCTCCCAAAGCTTCCAGTCTATTTTATGACAACATTATTCACTCATATATCCACACAGACATGCACACACACACACTCTCACACATGCACAGACACACAAAGGCTCACATAATAATCAGGATATATACCATCTTTTGTGCAGAGAATGATTTATGCCAAAATCATTATCATTTAAAGCTATGTTTGAAATTACCCCAGGAGTAGTAAAATACTTTAGAGTTTTTCTTCTGTAGTTAAATAATCAGAAAATGCTGGTAGTATAAGACCAACAGGCTAGATATGGCCTGAGGACTGGGGTTCTGTTGGCAGCCCCACAACTGATATCCTGGCCAGTTTTCCATATGCTATCTTACTCTTTAATTGGGACTCATAAGATGCTCTTAGGATTAGAATTCTAAGAATTACTTGCAACATTTTAGAGAGTGATGCTACTGACATAGTACTAATTTATATTTATATATACATTATGTTACAATATATAACATATATGCAACCATTACATCAATATAGCATCTTAAAATTAATTATACACTACTAAAATTTGCCACTTTCAAATATTTATGCTTTTCTATTTTTAAAAAAGATCACCATTCTGAAGATTCATAAGCAAGAAAGCAGGAAATGGTTAGAAAAAATGTTATTTCTAATGGTATCTTCCTATTTGAGGAGCAAATATAAAAGCCACATTTTAACATTACAGGGAGAAAGATGCTATGCTTTACAATGACTATGAAGAACTAAATTTTGCTTGCTACATTAAGATCAGCAACTGTTCCTACGATTTTCACAACCACCTCCAGAAGTGGAAGAATGATTGTTTCCACTTTACAGAAGAGAATACTGAGATTAGAGAAGTTAAACAGCACGCCCAAAGCCATGCAGCTAACACAGTTTTAATACAGACTTTCCTAAGTTCTGCCTCTGATTTTAGTAAGCTTTAGAAGTCCATGGTGTAAACAAACTTTCTAAATGTTGAAGCCCTTTATAGCAGGATTCTGTTATGTAATTGCCCTGAGATATTTGAACATTTTATATGCATTTCCAGTAGAAGTAAAATTTAAAAAAATAAAAATAATAACACCAGTTCATAATACATAGACAGTAATAATTCATTTTGTTGTAAATAAATGCATCCCTGCAGCAGTGTTCAGCCTGTAGTCCCTAAGACACGGGTGGGGAAACTAAAACTACTTCCAATTCATTTTATAAGGTGGAATTATTTCTGTTCACATTTGCCATAAATTGATATTCAAATTTAAAGATTTTCTATAAAATATTTTAAAGGAGATAACCCACAGTCTTTCCTGTCTTGTGAAAGAAACAGCGTCTACAATTGACTAATTACAGGGAGAATTGGGCATTCCATGAAGATTAAGGGCAAGCAGCTAATTACACCCACAAGTGGCTAACAGCAGCTACAATTAGCTGTTTATAGAAGCAATTATTGGTGTAGCCAATTTTGTACCCCAAAATAATTACAGGTGCAAAATCTCACATGCCGTTAGAAATGCTCTCTTTCAAAACGCTGGCCCCATGTGCGTGTAGATTTCTTCATTCATTCGCCTAGATAGAGAAATAACCAGAGCGCTCCCAAATTTGAGATGCCAAAATACTATCAACTTTTAAACTATCTTTCATGAATTTATTTTATGCTTGAAAAACTGTAATTAATTTACCTCATATGCTCTGTTAATACTTGAAGCCTTAGCAAAATAACTGTAGAGAAAGCTTATAGGTATAAGTTTCCTTTCTTCTTTCTGAGGGTAATCCACTAATTAGTTGATAGCAAAATATATTTTAAAACATGTTTGGAGATAAGATCAAATCACATCGTGTGCTAAGATTGTCCGTGTCAAGTTCTGGGTTAATTCCTTGATCTTGAAGTTGGCATTTCATTCACATACTCATGAATATACATGTCTGGAATTCCTCTCTTTTCCAGGATTTTAGTCTAGATGTGCAGAGTTAAAAGGAAAAATGCCATGGGTGATTCTTAACTTTCACAACTTCTTGAAATTCATTCCTTGCTCTGGGCAGCCTGGAGATATGGATGTGATCAGAGTTTATTTTTTGGCTCAGAATTGAAGCAAATGGCACATCGTCTTAACATACCTTCCCAAAACAAACAGTTGTACACCTCCATTCCTAAACAGATAAGAAACTACAGTCAAACAATAAACCACCATGCTTAGATTTCAAGTTTCTATTTGGATTCTAAATAATATACATGTAAAGAAATAACTATACGTGTACTTTTATCTTTTCATGTAGGGAGTTTTTCACTTTAAAAAAAGTTCTAATCGTCATGTATTCCATTGTGGATCATATCAATCATTATTTCCTTGAAGTCACAGTACAGGCAGAAAACAATCTATTCTTAATCAATCAGGAAACATTAATTTAAAGCTATAATGTAATCTGATTTTAAAAAGCCAAACTTGAAAAGCAAGCATGAGACTCAATGAGACTGCAATCTATTCATGACTGTGTGTTTCCAGAAATTAATCAAATTCATGATTTCAGAAATGAATCAAATTCAGATTTCCTGGTTGAATCATAGAGAGAAATGATTGCTTGATGAGCAATTTGATCAGGGTTATTTACAAGTAGAGAAGGTGAAATTGAGGTAGGAAAACAGAATGCTTGGACTTCGGGGAGCCACAGTGCCATGGTCTTAGCCTTGGCACTGCAGAGATTTCCAGTTCTGACTGTGCTTCTAATTTGTCTCTGTGACCTTAGTCAAGGTACTTCCATCCAGGAGGAGCAAAGTCTCTTTCTGGAGGGACCAATAAACACCATAAAGTACACTTTGACTCACTTTTTCTGTTTATAAAATGTGATTTATTATAGTTAATCCTACTTGGATCACAAGAAAAGACCAAATCAATTTATTCATTCATTCATTGAACAAATATTCACTTTGTAGAAAAATAATATCTAATGCTTAATAGCACTTGTCATGTGCTAGGCACTTGTCTAAACCCTTTAGAGATACTAATCTTTACAACCACCCTTGTGAGGAAGGCGCTATTATTAGTCCCATTTTACAGGTGTGAAGATTGAGTCACGGAGAACTGAAATCACTTGGCCAATGTCACACAGCCGGAAAGTGGAAGAGTCAAGGTCTGAACACAGACAATTTCATATCATATTTTATCCTATGTCCAGATTGCTCAGGTCTCATTCTAGACATATACAACCCAAACTGTTAGAGAAATTGCCTTAGAATATTTCTCTGTTGGAGAGAGGCCACAACGGTTCTGCACAATGGGGAGAAGTCTCATATTGGGAGAGCTGACTTTTTAAGTGTGACACTCATTTCATCACTTTATTTTTGTGATTTGTTTGTTGCCTTTCAGGGTAGCCTGTAATTTCCCATTAAGCTACTTCTGAGCATAAACTCCTGCATATCAGTGCTTGTTGCTTAGGTGCTTAATATTAAACTGGGTATATACCCAAAGGACTATAAATCTTGCTGCTATAAAGACACATGCACACGTATGTTTATTGCGGCATTATTCACAATAGCAAAGACTTGGAACCAACCCAAATGTCCAACAATGATAGACTGGATTAAGAAAATGTGTCACATATACACCATGGAATACTATGCAGCCATAAAAAATGATGAGTTCATGTCCTTTGTAGGGACATGGATGAAATTGGAAATCATCATTCTCAGTAAACTATCGCAAGAACAAAAAACCAAACACCGCATATTCTCACTCATAGGTAGGAATTGAACAATGAGATCACATGGACACAGGAAGGGGAATATCACACTCTGGGGACTGTGGTGGGGTGGGGGGAGGGGGGAGGGATAGCATTGGGAGATATACCTAATGCTAGATGACGAGTTAGTGGGTGCAGCGCACCAGCATGGCACATGTATACATATGTAACTAACCTGCACAATGTGCACATGTACCCTAAAAGTATAACAAAAAATAAAAAATAAACATGTTTGTGTGTGTGTGTGTGTGTGTGTGTGTGTGATAGAAACTATTCTGAGATGAAAAGCATTCTATCCTGCTGCAGAGGCTGGAAAAAATGTATCCTCCAGCACAGCAAAATGACCCAGCTACAGTAGACATACATTCGAGATCTACACAGGAATGAGTTTATATAGAATACAGCCACCTCCTTTTTCACTAGAGTAGTAGACTGACTAAATATTTAGCTAATTGAAAATACTGTTTGCTTTTAGGAGGAGCTCTCTGCACCTGCATTGTAAAAAAAAACTGGTTTAGAACTGAAGAAAACGTTCACTGGATTTTTTTTCCATAGAGAAACCGTAAAGGCAAATATAGCATCTGCTTTACATGCTTGTTAAACCAGTCAGGACATTAACAGAGAGACAGATAGCTGGAAAGCCAGAGAATCTGACGGGATTTCCTTCTTAAGTCAAGCTTCCACCACGGGATTCTGGTGGCAACCACTGGATTTGGCATGAGTTCCTCACTGCCACTGTCGTGGAGCTCATCATGTAAGCTGGAGCAAGATTAGGTTATATGTGTCTGGCTTTGCCTCATTGGATGAAACTTGGATGGATGTATCAGAAACAGATCAGTTTTGAAATCTTTGAAGGTAAAGTTAAATGACTTTCAGAATCAGATTTGGGACTCTAGAAAACAATGGGCTGTAAAAATGAAAAGGATGAAACCATCAAAATAGAATCTAGTTACAGGAAATTTGGCACACATTCCACTGTCTTTAAAACTGACAGTGTGTGTGTGTGTGTGTGTGTGCATGTAAAGAGAAAAACACAACAAAGTGTGTCTTATACAATGATGTGCTAATCTTGTTGATGTGTTTGAGGTCACCTTTCCATCTAATTCCTTGTTAATTAGCAACTGAATTTCTACCGATGCTCCTTTTAGCCTGATATTTTTATGTTGCTATATATATATATATATATATATACACACACACACACACACACAGACAGACAGACAGACACACACACACACACACACACACACACACACACACTGGAATACTATTCAGTCATAAAAATGAAATCATGTCTTTTGCAGAAACAGGGATGGAACTGGAGGCCATCCACTTATCTTAAATGGAACAGCTCAGAAACAGAAAGACAAATACAACATATCCTCACTTAATGTACACGTGGACTTTGAGTATGGAATGACAGACACTGTGCGAAGTGGTAGGGGAGTGGATGATGAGAAATTTAATACTTATTGGGTACAATAGACATTATTTGGGTGATGACTACAATAAAAGCCCGAACTTCATCACTACACAGTGTATCCCAAAGAGTACAAAACTGCACTTGTACCCTTTAAATCTGTACAAACTTTAAAAAAGGAAAAGAAAAAACTCAGATGGATCCTCACATGAAGCTGGGAACACTTTTAAATTCTAGATTGCATAGCAATCACAAAAATTATACATCTGATCAAAGGAGAGACAAGAATGGCAATGAACTTGTTTAAACTGTGGAGATCTTTAGACAGCCATCTGATTATTACCTATCTGCAAACTGGAATGCCAATTTGCATAAGAAAAACAGGGGAGGATCATTAGAACTCCAAAAATATTGGTGACTTGAAAACTACATTTCATATTCATCAGTAACATAAAATTAATACCAACGTACCCCTTTTTGTAACAATATTTTGTAAATTTTGGGAAGAAATAGCTACCAATTTGATCTGAGTTATTTTAGGGACTTAAGATACTGAAGCGTTGCTCTCTTCCTGCCAAATATATTTTCCAAGAAATATGACCTTGTGCTTGTTCCCCCGGCAGGGACCTCAGTTTATAGTTACTCCTTACTCCCCAGAACAGCTGACCTCTGAGCCCTCTCACACCACTTCTGTTTCAGCTGTGGCATCTCTGGAGCCAGGAGTCTATGTGGAGCTCCAAGACACTGTTTGGCAGCTCTTCCACCCACTGGGAAGCCCAGTCTTAGAGGTAAGACGTGGTTTTGATCTTCAGGAGTTCTGTTCTTTATTAGTAACCACTGACCTTGTTTCCAAGGAGTCCAACAAAATCATGTGTGTTCACCTCACCTTTTATTCTATTTTCAAAGGCATCCGTGACCCAAAGAATATGAAGATCGCCTGTTTTAAGAGGCTTATTTACAAACGGTCACTTAGTGTACCTTTCAGAGTGAAAAATGTTACAAAACGAATTCGAATGCAGACCTCAGGATTCTGATGATTTTGAGATAAACTGGACCATTACACAACAAAGTGTGTCTTATACAACGATGTGCTAATCACTTACTGATCCCTGCCTTTGTTTACTCCTTCCTTCCTTCATTTAGTATTTACTGAGTATCCATTAAAGCTGGCACTGTGCTAGGGACTGAGGATATGGCAGTGAGCAGAACACACAAAGTCTCTCCTTTAATTACTCTTCTTATGGTTGGGAAGGGACAGCAATGATAAATGAGTGAACAAACAGACCAGGCATCGGCAGATAGAGGGGAAGGCCATGAAGGGAATGGCAGGCTGATGTGCTGCGAACACAGGGAGAGCGTGTTCTGGGAGATAATTTCTGAGCTGAGACCTGAACCCTGGAGAGGGAGGAACCATGAGAAGAATGCTATAGTCCATGAACGTGGATCAACTCCTGTGGCAGCCTAGTGCAGCCGCTCCTGGAGGAAGCTCACCCTTGATGCAATGGGACTCTGCCTCCCTCCAGGGTCCCATGCTTGACTGGAGCCCCTTTTGGCCCAAGCAGCCTGGATGCATTGCCTCCACAGACCTCTGAGAAAACTAGACCCCACCTGCTGGAAGGTCAAGTTTGGGTTTTGGAGCGGCACAAAAGATTCAGCAATTTCTTTTACTTTTAGTTGTGTAAACATCTGGAGATTTTTCGGATCGTGTGTAACTTACTCTCTTTAGAATAGAACACTAAACGAAAGACTATGAGAACTTCCAAACAAAATTTGTGGTAATTTTTCCTTATGGGAGAACATAAAAAGAAGGACCCCCTGTTATAATTGAGGTTCCTTGGGGGGCGAATGTAGGCTTTGACTCGAATTTGAAAGAGTAGATTTATTTTCTTTGTAGCCTGAGTTCTCCAGGATGCATGCAAGTGTACTTGGGCAGTTTATTAGACAGCTTTTTTTCTTCTTTTCCCCCTCATCCCTTCTAAATCTTAACTAAGGCTCACTGGGAAGAGAGGAGCTGTCAACTAGTGTTTGTTGAGCACCTTGCCTGGGTACCAAGGTAGTGCAAATATGTGTGGCTGATTTTGTTCCAGTTTTCGTTGTGGCTCTCTAACCCTTGATAAAACTACACTTCCAACCTGTTGCTTAGCAATTAATACAGACAACTAGCTGCAGACTCTAACAGAGAAAACGTATGAAGAGTACTTTCTAAATGACCTGCGCATGGGTTACAAAATAACTTATGCCATTGCTTCTTCCATTCTATGATAATGGCAGGTGGGTGGGGGCGGTGGCGGAGTCCTTGTTTAGCTAGAAGAAGGATATGACATTTGTTTAACTTAACTGAGACTCCACTTAGGGTTTTTTTTTTCCTCCATCTAAAGATACAAACTAAACCTGTGGATTCTTATATTTCAAAATAATCCCTAGAAAGTGAATCACTCAAATAAAAGTGCGATTGTTGGCTGTAGGTCAGAATGACCTCTTACTTACTGTTTTACTATCTACTCTTTCTTAGTGAACCCTCACTTTGGCTCTTCAATATGGCACAGAATTTGATATGAAGTGCTTCAGATATCTAGCTATTAAGGTGTCTTCCAAAAGGGGACCGTCTCAAAGGTGGTCTTACTTGCAAGGCAACCCATCAGCATGAGTTTGAATGTATATAATTGCCAGTGGCTCACCACCAGGGCTGCCCTGGAATACCTCAAATAAGGGGGTTTAAAATTACCTAGTCAGCACTGGGGTTTCTGATTTCATGGTCTAGGCTGGGGCTGAAACTATTATTATTATTATTATTATTATTATTATTATTTTTGACGGAGTCTTGCTCTGTTACCAGGCTGGAGTGCGGTGGCACGATCTTGGCTCACTGCAACCTCTGCCTCCCGGGTTCAAGCGATTCTCCTGCCTCAGCCTCCCGAGTAGCTGAGACGACAGGCACCCACCACCATGCCCAGCTAATTTTTGTATTTTTAGTAGAGATGGGGTTTCACCATGTTAGTCAGGCTAGTCTCGAACTCCTGACCTCAGGTGATCCGCCTGCCTTGGCTTCCCAAAGTGCTGGGATTACAGGCGTGAGCCACCACGCCCAGCCTAAATGTTTTTTTAAAAAAAGCATTCCAGATTATTTCAGTGTGCGTTAGGTTGAGGCTGTCTGCGTGAAGACTTTTTAAACATCAGAAAGCTTAAGCAGGGCTCATTCCTCTTATTCTCCAATTTCATGATTTAAAGTGGCAAATGTTATCAGTCACTGCAGACAAGGAATGAAAAATGGCCCACTATTTAATAAATTATTGCATTAAGCACACCATGTATATATGACTTTCAGAAGAGCATGATAAAAAACATTGCATTCCAGACACAGTAAGTTGCTAATCTTAGTTGCCTCAAATGCTTTTCTTTCCATAAATAAGCCAAGTCTTTCATTGTAGCAGGACTCTAGGGCCTTTAGTCCCATAGCCTTTCAGATATGCCACTGAGACATGATCATTTGCAGCAAGCATGCTAACAAGTTTCTAAGATTATAAACAGTTTACCTACAGGCATTACAGAGAACAGAGTATTTGACTGTCAGGTACACACAAATCCCTCAGAAACAGACACTGTGTTTTCCTGGATGCTCCATAGCAGCTGAACTTCTGGGTAGGTGTGTCTGCAGTTGTTTATCTCAGGTAGCAAATAGAGAACAGTATGTTTTTAATCATTTATCTATGAAGACTTGGAATTCAATTCAAATCCCACTTAAATACTGCATCACTCTTTTTATTCAAAGGCCTGGTGAGTCTTCTTCGATTCTTTAGAGAATGAATTTAGGTGTGTGGGGAGAGATAAATAACAGTATGTGAACTTCTCCGCTTGACCACTGAGCAGACACACTCTGGATAATTGGCTATGGCAGGGCATATTTCCCCATTACAATCTTTTGTGAAAGTGTTCAGAGTTCCACTGAAGGCATGGAATCCAATTGTCATGGAAGTCTTTTCTTTGCCTCCCAATTAACAGAAGACAACTGAATGAGTTTTACACACATGGTTTCCTTGTAACTCTTAGATAAACTGCCAATCATCACTTATTATTATTGAAGTAGAGTCTCCAATTTAGAAGAGATTCCCCCTTAGTCTTTTCCCATCATATTCCATTTTCCTTCCCTTAGGGCAGTGTTCTTTAGGTTGGATCCTTGGTTCACCTTATCTGGTGCACTTTTAAACTGCAGATTCCTGAAGTGTATTGGCTCAGGGTCTCTGGAGTGTGGTCTGGGAAGCTGCATCCTTAAGCACCCCCAGGTGAATCTTATGCAGACTGAAGAGATAGAAGCATCACTTTAAGTAGCTCAGAGACTATGGAGAGATGTCAAACCATAGCGGACAGAGAAGTGAATCAGGAGAAATCCACTCCCATGAGAGTTGCAAGGACCCTTTCCATCTTGAGTAATCTTTGCATTTTCCTTAATAAACATAAATAAAGAGGTGTAGAAACATCTCTGCCTGTAGAAATAGACAAATAATAAGATGGCCATGGCTTCTCATTCTGTCTTCCTTTCTGAAGCTAGTCCGATTAGGATCATGTGATTATTCTCTGAGTATCTCAGGTGTAGTATCCCTTGTGTCAAGGTCCAGAAGAAGTGCTGTTATCATTAATCATTAATTTTGTTGTCCAATGAACTGCATGTTGCTAGGAGAAGTTAGGCTTTTCAAAATGAGTGAAAACTTATGAGAAGAAATGCCTGATTAACAAACCCCACAGGCATGGCCAAGGCCTACCAGGCTCTGGTGTACAGGGAAGGACTTTACCAAAAAAAAATCCCTAACTTTGAAGCACCTGGCTTTGGACAAATGAGCCGTAGGTATAGTCTTTCTGTCTTCCTCCTCTCTTTTCCTTCTCTCCAGATGAGTTACACTTGGAAACTGAACTTTCAGATTATGAAAGAACTCAGAATTACAGGAAAGAATGAGATGGCAAAGAAAAAATAAGGGATAGAGTCTTGAACTGGCAGCCTGCGTGGCGTTTTCATGATTGGGAAATGCCTCCTACAAATGTGGATTTGTGGATTTTATTGAAAAAGTGAAAACTGTAGCCGTGTTGGACTCTCCCGTGTGGCAAAGACTGGAGAAAGATGAGCTGAGCCAGGCCTTATCCGATTTACTGTCATTCTCAACACTGGACCAATGGTTCGAGACTAAGCCCGCTTTAATCACTTCTGTTACCCGCCAGATCCTCATGGAATGTGTTTTGTGATTCTAGCTTACTGCAAATGACCAATATAAATTGCTTCTCCTCAACTCCAAAAATGCACCAAGTTTTTACTTTGATTTCTGAAATTCTAGCTACCACTTGCATATAACGGCAAATTAGCCTGACCAAATTGCTTTAAAAAAAAAAAAAAACTTTTGCATTTTGAAAGAATGATTATTTGGGAGGGGGAGGGTAAGGTCCAAGAGAAATTTGAGAAAGGCTTGAATAGGGAGAGCATGTGGAAGTCTTAGAGCAGTCTGAAGCCGGGGTGGGATGTGTGGGATGGGGACAAGTATCCATAGAGGGTTGTGGTGATGGCTTAATTTTTTATGTTAACTTGACTATGCTGTGGTACATTTTTCTGGTCAAATACTAGTCTAGATATTGGTGTGAAGGTAGTTTTTAGATGTGGTTAACACCTATAATCTGTTGACTTTAAATACAGGAGACTGACCTTGATAATGTGGGTGGCCATCATCTAACTGGTTCAAGGTCTAAGAACAAGGCCTGAGGTTTCCCAGAGAAGAGGAAACTCTGACTCTTGGTTGCAACATATAAATCCTATCCGAGTCTCCAGCTTGCTGGTCTGTCCTACAAATTTCAGAATCAGAACTGCAACATGAACTAGCCCGAGATTTTTTACTGACCTGCCTTATGGATATTACATTTGCCAGCCCCCAGAATCACGAGCCAATTCCTTACATAAATTAATAAATATACACACATATGTATACACTATTGGCTCCGTTTCTCTGAAGAACCCTGACTGACACAGGTGTCTACTTCAGTATTCGTCCAGGGAATCCATATAACCAAAAGAAAGATTCCGACATGACCAGCCCTCTCAGCTTCATGATTTCATTACTATTCACTCAATAACTCCCTATGGTTTGTCTTGAGATCCCAACACATCCCTCATTGGACCAATAATATGAATTATAAAACAGTGATTTTAAAACCACCATTTGGAAACAATCCGTACACGAACTGGGAAATGCCAAGAAAAATAATGAGATAATGTTCAAATAAAGAAACTAGAACTCCCCCGTGCCTCAAGGTGACCCTCAATGTATGCTTCTCCAGGGGTTGTACACTTGCTCCATGTTCAACACATTTCAGAAAATTATTCTTTCAGTACTGACTTCGATTTTTGTGTGTGTGCCAGAAGTAAGTTGGCTTTGTTATTTCATATTTACATTTTATTTTTTTACTTGAAATTGCTTTGTCAAGCTTGAACATCTACTTTTTTTTCTCTAGCACTAAATTATTTTGTCTGATTCCGAAGAGAAAACCAATGCTTTTATGTGATGATTTCCTGCCCCAGCTGATTTTCAGAAGTGAGTATGAAAGTTGAAAACACAGGAGGAGTTCCAAAATTCTCCAAACTATATGAGTAAGCAAATTAAAATGAAAACAAAGTTAAGTTACTAGACTGTGATGAGTAGGTTTAACTGGAGACGATGCCTTTTTTGTTTATCGTCATATCCCCAGTACCATCATTTCATCGTCTTACAGTTTACAAAACACTTTATATTTTACAAGGCAATTTGAATGTCCTGTATGTGTCAGGAAGGGTGTAGCATGCTAGACTCTATGAAATGTGCAAGTGATATAAAGATAATTACATATCGGTTACTACATTTAGGAATATTACTTACCCATCTACCTATCCATCCAGTTGTCACACAGCATATTTCTGAAATGCCTATTATGTGTCAGGAATTGTGCTTGGTGCCAGCCCTACAAAAATGAACAAGAATGACATGTTCTTAACCCTCTTGGATTTGATAGTCTACCAGAGGAGAAAGGCAGTTAAATAAGACATTATAATAAAACATGCTAAGTGTGATGGCAGACAAAGAAGAGAGTGTGAACAGAGCAGGGAGCAAGAGGCCAGAGGCAGGGCTGCAGATGTTGGGAGGGGATCCTGTCCACGGTGATGAGTATGTCTACACTGAGATCTGAAGTATTCGTAGGGAAAAATTGGAGGAAGCATGACATTACCCAGCAAAATACAACATTCAAATTTGATTCAAGAAGAGGTAGAAAAGTGATTGAACAGATATATAAGAAAAATTTGGGAAGACAATAATCTACCAGTTGTATTTTTTTATTTAATTTAATTTTAATTTCAGGGATACATGTGCAGGCCATGCAGATCTGTTACACAGGTAAATGTGTGCCATGGTGGTTTGCTGTGCCTATCAACCCATCACCTAGTTACCAGTTTCCAATAGGTGACACAACCAAATGGATTTTCAGCTTAGCGTGACATAACTTGAAAAAAGTGAATAATCACTGTGTTATTTACACCAGTGCTCTAAAATTTTTAATGTATTTACACACTGCCGGAGGATCTTGTTTAACTCTAGGTTTTAATTTAGTAGGGCTGGGGAAACATGATAAAGTGCACGTTTAGAAAGTGCTACTGACCTGAAAATTGCATTTTGAGGAGCAGCGCTTTTTACCGATCCAAACCAAAGTTTCTCAATCTAGGTTAAGAAGCTAGCAGCAATTCAATTTCAAAACATGATAAGACAGTGAAATTTTGCTTGTAAAAATAAAAAAATGTATTAGCAAATTGAATTCGGCAGTATATTATAAGAATAACAAAGCATGACTAATAGAAATTCAAGAAGGATTCAACATTCGGACTTTTACCAACATAATTAATTATATCAACAAATATAATTCATTTAATCAATAGATGCCAAAAAGACAATTTCAAAAATTCAGCAACTATTACTAATAAAATATTTCTTGCATAATCTAATTAAATATGATGAAAATACATTTGTCAAAACAAATAATAAGCATCGTATGTTGAAATACTGAAATCATTTTAAATTCAAATGCATTGCATAGATACCCTCTATTATTTAACACCTTTTGGAGGTTACAATAAAGCAAGAAAACAAAATAAGTTGAATTAATTATTGAAAAAGAAGAGATAAAGTTATCTTTATTGGCAGAAGATATGATTGCTTACTTGGTAAACCTTTGAAAAGCCACTAAAATCTAGTAGCATTAATAAAATAATATGAATTAAAATTAATAAGATGAGATAAATATTCATAGCTTCTCAATTACAGCAATAACTAGCTGAAAGATGAAAGAAAAAATGCACTCACAGTAATACAATAAGAAGAAAAATTTGAAGACAAAAATTGCATAAGAAATCACCGAATTTAAATGAAGAAAACCTCAAAATCCTATCGAAGATCAAAAGCAAGACACAAATTCGAAAGAATAGTAATATTTTTACTATATAATATCAAACTTTGTCAAGTTAAGAGGTTTTAAATAATTCTAATTCAAATTCTAATTGGTGTTTTGGGAGGATGGGTAAGGAATGAGGCAGAAAGATTTTTAAGTTCACATAGAACATATATTGGAACTAGCTAGGAAAATTTTCCAAAGAAAAAAGGAGTATGAAAAGTACATGAATTAAACATTTGGTGAATATTTGAATAATGGTAGGGTAGCAAGAGGCCTCTTCAAGAGACTTGGGAAACCCAAAAACTATAAAGGAAAACAGGCATATGTTGAGCAGATATATTTGTCACACACCAGACAAAGAATTAGCTTAAACAATCCTGCAAATTTATAAGGGAGACAAACAACACAATAGAAAAATAGGAAATGAGCTTGAAGACAAAGAATAAACTTAGTAAATGACACTGAACTTCCCTAAGAGTGAAGGAGCTAGATATGAAAATAATGTACAATGTCTTACTGGCAAAATAAAAACAGGAACAAAAATAATACAAAAAGCTGTAAAATATAACATTTTCAAGGATGTGGGCAAATGGGAACTCTGATGTATTGCTGATGGGAGTATAGATTACTACAACCTTTTTGGAAAACCATCTGGAAATATCTACTAAATTTAAAAGCTCATGTGCCTTTAGGCATAGAAGTGCCACTCTGGGGAATCAATCCTTCCAGAGAAAAAAAAGGCATCAATAAGTAAGAACTTACAAGAAAATTTGTAGAAACATTATTTTCACCTACAAAGAAAGTTAATAAAAAAGGAAAGAAAAAAATTGAATATTTAGTAACAGCCAGATAGTTTAGTGAATAATGATGCATGTGTAACATGGAGTATTTTGAACATGGAGTATAAAAAGAATGTGATCTATTTTTGTCTTTTGATTTAGGTAATGCCCATGACATTGTAAAGTGACAAGAGCTAGTTTCAGAGCAGCATGAATAACAGGATCTCAGGTTTGGAAAAAAGACTTTATATGTATGCATCTATGTTTGCATGTGTTTAATGTGGGGATGGATAAAGGTGGATAAATTCAGAGAAGGCTCTTTGGTCTGATTATCCCAAAGGAGTAAATACTGCATAGTTTTGACAGGGCCAGATTTGATGGTTTACATTTTCTTTATAATAATAGCAATCATTACAACAAATTTCAACACAAACATAAAAGCATGATTAGCTGTAAGCTAGTAAGAGAAGGAGGTGGAGGAAGAGAGGAAATGGTCCAAGTACCGAGAAGAGCCCAGGAAGAAGCCTCAACGTAGAAACAGGAACAAGTTGGGAATGGGTTGCAGGATCACACCTTGTAAAGGAGCTCTGTGAGTTGGCTTGGGCCTGAAAGTAGTGATATGCCATTGACCGCTCTTAAGGGAGGCAGACGCCTGATGAGATGTGAATTTTAGAAATAATTCTAACTGGATTGAAGACGGCAGAAAGTAAGAAAAGGAGAATGGTAGGTAGGCTGCTACAGGAGTTCAGTTAAAAATGCTGAAGGCCGTGGCAGGGCATAGTGGGGATGGGGCAGCAGAAAAACATGTGAGGACCATTTTGGAGGGAAAGCCTTCATGCTTAGTTGGACATGGGGGGTGAGGGATAAGGGAACCTCAGGTTGGATTGGGGGAATGGCTTGATGTGAATGCACTAACAGAGGCATGGGAGGAAAGATCAGGAAGGGGGCGTCCCTGGGAGAATTACGCGTCCTGCCCGGGTGTGCTGACCCTGCTTTCTCACACACATTCTCATCGACTGCCACGGCTCCTTGGCTTCAGAGCATTGCCTCCCCCTGAAGGTGGCACCTTTGGAAAGGGTGACAGTCATTTGGATGGTATGGTTCTGACTTGGCATTTTAGAAATCAGTTGCCTTGCCCTATAGTCACCTAAGTCTTGGAGTCTTGGAGTCCCAAATCTTAGAGGAAATGCCAGCTACAGAGGCATGAAGTGAGTTGACTGGCTCTTCTTGCAACTTGCAAAATGACACCATGTCTATCGTTGGATGCACTTCAACCTTTGGGTGAATTTTACGGCAGCTGGAGCTGCCATTTCAGCTCAGCTAAGGCAGTCCTGCCTCCCACCCCATTACTTTCAGAGAGGGGCCCCGGCTTCATCTTGCTTGTGCCACAAGAATCCAACTGAACACTCCCCATGACTCCTAAAGGAAACCTGAGTTATCAGTGTCTGCCTAGCAACCAAAAGGTGACACGTGGGGCCTTCTTTTCAACCCATTTCCTCTTGATGAGAGGAAGGGATTCTCCTGCGAGTTATTACCTGAAATAATACCATATGGTAAAATGTAAACAACATCTGCATATTCATGTAATAATTTCATCTGTTTAATTAGTTCCAGCAAAGCAGTTTACCCTCTGAGGCCCTTGCTGTCAGCTAGACGCTCATACGTCCCGGGCTGGCTGTCGGGCTTGACAGCCTTCTATTGTTCATTCTCTACTTGCACCTCAGCAGTTACTGTAAGTGAATCTTCTCAGGGGTGGGGCGTCTGTCCCCACCGATCCAGATACTGCGGGGGCGGATGTGGGGGAGCTGTCAGCTTGGCGTAGGGATACTAAAGACAGACTTGACAGATCAGGTGATGCTGGCAAAAAAAGACAGATGAGATTATTTATTTCTTGTACCTTCCTAATTTGGATGTGAGTTTAGATGAGCTTTTGAGGTAAGGAGGTTTTAATTCTTTGTGCCATGACCTCAATGGAAAACATCTAAGTCAGAGCGACCACACAACAGAACTGGAGTCCACATCCCATTTTGCTCAATCTCAGGGCATCTGACAGCACATTTGTTTAGCTAAACATGAAGCCATAGAGAACTCGACAAATGTGTCCTACACGCTCAGGGAACTGCACAGGTATCCACGTGGTAAAGAGGTGAAATGTGAAAGCGAATAAACACACACACCTGCATGCACACACACACGCACACACATAGAAACACACACAGAGATGCAGAGATGTTGGGCTGTCTTTTGAACTCAAGGAGTTTCTCTTCCCCTTTCCCCCCATAGCAAGATAAGAAGTGATCTTAAAGGTCTTTTAAACCAGCATTCAGAGCTTCAGATCTCCTGGACGTCTTGTTAAATTGCAGATTCTGATTTAATAGGTGTAGGGAGGGGCTCCAGATCCTGCCTTTTTCTTTTTCTTTTTTCTTTTTCTTTTCTTTTTTTTTTTTGAGACAGAGTCTCATTCTGTCACACCAGATCGTGCAATGGCACAATCTCGGCTCATTGCAACCTCCTTCTCCTGGGTTCAAGCGATTCTCCTGCCTCAGCCTCCCGACTAGCTAGGATTACAGGCATGTGCCACCACGCCTGGCTAATTTTTGTATATTTAGTAGAGATGGGGTTTCACTATGTTGGCCAGGCTGGTCTGAAACCCCTGATGTCAGGTGATCTGCCCGCCTCAGCCTCCCAAATTGCTAGGATTATAGGCATAAGGCACCACACCTGGCCAAGGTCCTGCATTTTTTTAACAAGCTCTCAGGTGATGTTGAGCTGCTGGCTCTCGGAGTCCACAATGAATAGTGAGGATATAGACATCTTACTCATTTTATAGATGCAGGAATTGAAGTGACATGTCCAACCTAATCCAGTTCATTAAAGGTCAAATCAAAACTAGAACTCCCACTTTATTGGAAGCCCAGGGCTCTTCACTTGTGGCTGTTGGTTTTTTGTTTTTAATCTTTGAACGTGCATACAAAGTGAGAGTTGGTCTTCTTGAAAAGCATATAATTAATATGAATAGCAATATACTTCAGGCACTCAGTGACCAACAATTTCTTTTTAACCTCTAAGGTCAGGTTGACATGAAAAATAAGGTGAGGCCGGGTATGGTGGCTCATGCCTGTAATCCCAGCACTTTGGGAGGCCAAGGTGGGTGGATCAACTGAGGTCAGGAGTTCAAGACCAGCCTGGCCAACATGGTGAAACCCTGTCTCTACTAAAAATACAAAAATTAGCTGGGTGTGGTGGCGTGCCTATAATCCCAGCTACTTGGGAGGCTGAGGCAGGAGAATCGCTTGAACCCAGGAGGCGGAGGTTACAGTGAGCCGAGCTCATGCCATTGCACTGCAGCCTGGGTGACAAGAGCAAAACTCCATCTCAAAAAAAAAAATTAAGGTTATAAACTTGATCATTGTAGTTGCTACATCTTATAGAGAATCCCAGGATATTGTCATGCTTCTAGAGGTGTACAGTTCTTATGTACATCTCTGGAAACCACTATAAGCATTGTGTTCTTGAATCAGGGTTATGAAGAATCTTAGAGATTTGGTCTTCTCTTTAATATCCCAATCAAATTATAGTCCAGATTTTATTTGAGTGTCTTTCATAATAGGGAAAGAACGGAGTCTTGGCACATCACTTTTCATTTTGTGACAGCAAGCTGAAAGCTAGAGACCTTTTTCTTGTATGGACTCAAAATGATCACATTTGGGGATGGCTCTGTTCTCTGGAACCATCAGAACCACTTGATATTGGATGTAAAATTAGCGCATTTTTTTTCTGGGGAAAGGTGACCCCTGAAAATATAAAATCGTAGAGCTAGAGCTGAGTAATCTGATTCATCTGCTCACTATCCATATATTCATTTCTAAAATTATGTTTAAGAATACTTCTATACTCTAGCTACTTTATTATGAATATGGTTGATTTCAACAGAAAATCCCCTCATTAAATATGGAGCATAGAGGGACTTCCATTTTTGTTTGTCAGAGTAAGGACTGGGCACGACCACCTTCAAACTAGATAGAAGTTGACGTAGTTGTCACTTTGCATTTTCAATATCTTTTTTTTTCTATTCTAGGAAGAAATTGTACAACTAATGGAAACATTTTTCCCCTCAAACTACAATAAAATCATTTTTTAAATTTCTCCTTCCATTAAGTGGCTCATACGTGGAGATTTTTATGCAGCCCTAAAGTGATGCCTAAATTAGCGCTCAGAAAAGTCAATTATACTTTTAAAGCTACTGTCTATAATTGTTATAGTCTTTTTCTGCATGTATCCAAATTGTTTCTAATGGGCATTTCAGGACATGGGGGTTAATGGTATCTTAGGGAGGCAAAAATGCTGGCCAAAGCGGGGTTAATTTATCAAAATAACTTTGCATGGTGTTGTTTCAAAGCAATTTTAGTGTTTTCCAAGTCTACTTAACTCCTAGCTGGTCTTTTACAGTGTTTTTAAGTGGAGATATACTATTAAGTTGCTTTATCTTAATACAAGTGTTTCAAATAATTTGGCATTGAATCTACTCAGGTTAAAGATTTTACTTCTACTTTCGAAAATGAAAAGAATACCTATCAAAGATGAAAATGTACCTAATTAAGCTGTTTTTGATATCTTATTCTGTCAGTTCTTTTGCTTTTTTTTCCCGCTCTCTCACAATCTTGACAAGGGAAATGCCCGTGCTCCGATTTACTGGTCTCTGACTAATCCAGTGGTATTCACGATGGCATTAGCCACGATCAATAACTAATTATTAAACCAGCATTTCTTTCCAGGGCTTCTTGTTAAAAAATTGCTTTTGGCTGAGAGAGACAGAAAAAGGTCGTCACTTTGACATGGTCTCGAGTCTTTCAAAATCCAGTGGGTCGTCCAATTGAATTACTGTCCTCAACTAATTGATACAAATTTGAACAGAAGAATGCTTGTTACTGCAGAATCTCGTAATGATATACTTGGCAAGAAAGTGTTGGGGAAGGAGAAAAAAAAAACAAAAAACAAAAACCCGGCACCAGTTACAAAGCATCCACACACCACTCTAGAATTAGAAATTAGAAAAATATTAAAGTTGGGGGGATGTGTGGCTGGACACAATTTGATGACCTATTCAGACTTATCATACACGCAGTATTATGAACACTGAGGTAGTCACTGTCTCCTATTTTTATAGTCATAAAAAGACAAAGAGTGCTTTGATATATTATTTAACTTCTGTACTGATTATAACTTGCAAAGCATTTGAATGACAACTGTCATTTTATTGTTACCTAAGGCTCTTGGTTTGAGCCAATTGGATAGAATGTTGCTTTCTGAGTGACACAACTTTGAAAACTGGGATTGTAAAAAGATCAGCACAAAACAATGCAGGCATCAAAAACATAAACCGCTTCTCCCTGCCATCATCCCTCCTCCCCAGCTAAGTGGCAAATGACAAGAGAGTGAATAACATATCTTCCTCCATGAAATCTTTTATGTTTGCTTATTGATTTAAACATGAGATTAGACTAAGACATCCAATATGTAGGTTTGTTTTGATGAAAAGTTTAGATTTGGAGGAACGGCTTTAATCGAGCTACAGAATGAGAAATAGATCTACTCCCTCACCCATTTGTGGGGGAAAAAAATCTGTCATGCTGGTGTTTCTAATTGCACTTCACAACTGGACATGTCCTTTGGGAATCACGCTTCTCCTTTTATTGGTGCTTTGTAGGACTGTTCTGTCAGGCCAGACCTGCCTCTCCTGGAGCTTCAGCAATTCTCTGTGCATTTATCCTACTCTAGGTTGAAGTTCCTGGAAATGTCCTTTTACCTTAAATGTTCTTTGCCTTGTCCTAATGGAATCTTTTGAAACCTCACCAATACTGGATTTATTTTTCATTTTCTTAAACTGCTTAAAACTTGCTGAACTATCTCCCCTTCCCTCTTTTACATCTGATTTTAAAAGCAAATTTTTAAACAACAGCCTTTATAGTGAAATTAATCTCTACTGCTCAACCATATCTGGCAATTTTTTAGTTGATTCTCTTGGATCTGTGGTACTCTGCAATGTGATATCAGGCCGAGCGCTTTTAAATGTTTTAATTGAATAAGCTTCCTTTTAAAAATTAAAATCAGTGTTCGCTTAGATATCCTTTGTGTGAAGTTCGTTCAGATGGCATAGTCAGCTGGTCACTGTAGAAAATTGAGGACCATTGAGTTATATTGATCATAACTATAGTCATAGCCAACATTGAGCCAGGCAGGAGGCTTCGCCCTTTGCCCAGATTCTTCCACTTTACCTCCAAACAACAACATAGAGCACATACTTTATTTTAACCACACAGATAAGGAAACTGAGACCTAAAGTTTTAAGTAATTGCCCAAGGTTCTAGTGCTCATAAATGGCAAGGCATGGATTTGAACCCATATCTGAGTAAACCCAAAGCCTGCAGTCCACAGTGATAGTCATGTGATGAGCACCATAGGGAACAAGCTGGAGAGGCTGAGGCTTCCATCACTGAGAGAACCCAGTTGCCAACAGGGAAACACTTGAGCTGGACCCCTGCGATGTGCCTGTGGCCTCAGTGCCTATCCAGGCCTGAAGGTGGCAAATGCTGGGGTTCTTTCAACCTCATTTAAGAACAGAAGAGGCCAGATGCTTCGGAGAGAGGATTTGTGGGTTCCCTTTCAAGGAGAAGAATAGAGGACTGAGATGTACGATGAGATTTTCCATGGTTTGGGGAGTAATCTTTGAGTCCCCAAGATTTCAGGTTGCAGGTTTCTCTCTTTCCAGCAGAAAGGAGCTTTGTCTGAAAATATCTGTCCTATACCACCTGAAATATGCCATTTAGTCAACAACCTGATACTTAGGAAGGTTAAGTGGGCTCTGAAGTAGTTGACCCATAGTGAGAACTTATTTTCTTTTTGAGATGAGTTCAGAGTAAGAGTTTTGGTGCAGAAGAAAGGAGGAAGGAGTGCACCGTCTGAGGGGCAGGGAAGGCATTGGCAGCCATGACAAAGAGAGGGCAGAGGAAGGAAGAGTGGAAACACCTGAGAAATGGCAAAGGACCTCAGAGAAGAAAGGGCTGGTGCCAGATATTACCTTCACCTGACTCTAATTCCACCCTATCTATTGCGTTCCTCATTTCTGGAAGTGAAACCCAAAATGGAAAAGTGGCTTGCAATTTTACTCCGAGATCCTGCAGTGGTGTGTGAAGGCGAAGAGTATTCCAAATGATAGGCGAGCCACACCTATTGATAGAAATAAGACCAAACATATCAGTTACGACGCTCCACTTGTCAATAGGTTATAATTTCTTAGACCAAACAGGCCTGAGATTAGAGATTAGATTAAAAATAAAATTCAACTCTGAGCTATATACAAGAAACATGAAATGTGATAACAGAAAAAAATTGGGGAGGGAGATTCAAAATACATCTGACAAATACAAAGGAAAGAACCACAAGGTTTATGATTTTAACATCAAAGTATAACTCTTGGGAGGGGTTGAGGAGAGAGAAGAAAGAAGGCCACTGTAAACAGGAAAAACCACCATGAAGATAAAATACTATAAACCTTCATGGAGGAATAACATTTTATTGACTCAGAAAAAAAAGAAATGAAACCTCTGTGAAATACAGGAAGAAAAAGAATCATTCTAGAGAGCCTTAACCTATCAAGTAGGCAAAAATGGATACAATTTTAGATCAAAACAATAAGGATAAGACTGTAGATGCAGACTTTGCTTACTAAAACCTTAATGTTCACAAATAAAAATTTGAAACTCCAGAGTTCTACTTTTATTTTTTTTCGAGACAGGGTCTGGCTGTGTTGCTCAGGCTGGAGTGCAGTGGCATGATCTTTACTCATTGCAACCTCCACCTCCTGGGCTCAAGCCATTCTCCCACCTCAGCCTCCCAAGTAGCTGGGACTACAGGCACACACCACCACACCTGGCTAATTTTTGTATTTTTTGTAGAGATAGGATTTTGCCATGTTGACCAGGCTGGTCTTGAACTCCTGAGAGCAAGCAATCTGCCCTCCTTGGCCTTCCAAAGTGTTGGAATTACAAGTGTGAGCCACTGTGCTGGGCTCCGAGTTCTAATCAACAAATTTAGCCTCACCTCTCCATTAAATTGGAGTGAATTGCTTATCTGTCTCTTCTAGTACATTTAACAACTTAAAGAGAGACTATGTCATTTTTGTTTGTTTTCTTGTGCCGTCTAGCTCTGAGCTTTGTATGGAAAAGGGAATCAGCAATGTTTTCTTCTTTCTTTCTTTTTTTTTTTTTTTGAGACGGAGTCTCACTCTGTCACCAGGCTGGAGTGCAATGGTGCAATCTCGGCTAACTGCAACCGCCGCCTCCTGGGTTCAAGTGATCTCCTGCCTCAGCCTCCCGAGTAGCTGGGACTACAGGCGCCTGCCACCATGCCCAGCTAATTTTCGTATTTTTAGTAGAGCCGGGGTTTCACCATGTTGGCCAGGATGGTCTTGATCTCTTGACTTCGTGATCTGCCCGCCTCAGCCTCCTAAAGTGCTGGAATTACAGGTGTGAGCCACTGCGCCCTGCCAAATGTTTTCTTAAATAAGAAATGTAAGCTACTCTGAACCGGTTAGTCAGAAATGTCATATAATTTCCCATACCAAGCCTTGAATAAGGTCACACATTACCCCAGTGATTTAGCTTCTTCCTTCCTGACCACTTTCATTGCTAGTCTCTTTCCCAGTTGCTTGGATTCAGCCAAGTCCTTGCCAATTTCCAGAATATTGGCTTGTGGGGCTCTCTCAGTATCTTCTTGCTCCTTCTCTTCTCTTCTCTTCTCTTCTCTTCTCTTCTCTTCTCTTCTTCTCTTCTCCTTCCTCCCTTCCTCTCTTTCTCTCTTTCCTTTCTTTCTTTGTCTTGCTCTGTTGCCCAGGCTGGAGTGCAATGGCGCAATCTTGGCTCACTGCAACCTCTGCCTCCCGGGATCAAGTGATTCTCCTGCCTCAGCCTCCCAAGTAGCTGGGATTACAGGTGTGTGCCACCATGCCTGGCTAACTTTTGTATTTGTAGTAGAGACCGTGTTTCACCATGTTGGCCAGGCTGGTCTTAAACTCCTGATCTCAGGTGATCCATCCGCGTTGGCCTCCCAAAGTGCTGGGATTACAGGCATAAGCCACTGCACCTGGCCTGTACCTTCTCTTTCTAAGCTCTTCCTATTTCCCTTACAATCTTCAAGTGTCAGTGTAATTATCACCTTTTCTGAGAAAGCTCTATTATTTTTAAAAGTACCTTGGATTTTTTTTTTTATCAGGTATGGTAAGACATGCAGATACAGAAATGACTATTATCAAAGAAGAAGTTTTTTTATATTTAAAGACTACTAGAAACAGGAGGCATGGCATGCCATGTGTGGCAACAGGGGGAAGTACCAGGGTTGGTCGGGGGCAGAGGGAGCCAGGAGAATGTGTGGGCAAGAACCTTTATTGTGGTTTTTACGGGAAAGGCAAGGCCAGGCAGGGTGAGCAGGCTTAGGTTTGGCTAGCTTGAATAATTTTGGGGCTCTGGAGCATGAATGCTGTTCCTAGTTGTAGTGTACCTGGCTGATGGATAGTGACCTGGAGTGAAAGAGCCAGATGAAGGAGGTAGTGGAGGGGAATGGGCTTTGGACTGGTTGCTTTGCACATGACAGGCACACTTGCAGGTGAGTCCTTTACTCTCTGTAAAATTTGGCTAGCCATGGAAGGCACAGTCTCTTCAGGATCAGCTAGGCCCCAAATATCAAAACATCAGAAAAGACAGAAAATTAATACATCTATAACAGCCAGTCTCGTTGTTGTGGTTTCTTCCTAGAATTTATCATATGCTGTATTTTTTTTTTTAAATGGAGATAGCTTCTTACCATTTTGTCCAGTCTGGTCTCAAACTCCTGGGCTCAAGCAGTCCTCCCGCCTCAGCCACACAAAGTAGCTAGCACAGGCATGCACCACTGCACCCGTCCAGTGCTGTATATTCAAAATATTTCTATGTGCTTCTCCAAGATTTAGCTGGGCTATTTATTTTCTTTTTTTTTTTTTTGGTGGTGGTGGTTTTTATTCTTGGCTGCATATTAAGATCACCTGGGAACTTTTACAAAATACCATTGCTATAGAACCACACAAAGATATTATTTTTTTATTTCTCTGGAATGGAGAATGGGTGGCAGTGTTTTTTGAATTAGATGACTGTAATGTGCTATCACAGTTGAGAACCACTGCCCAGCCAATGAACGTGTAGCATCTGATGAACTAGAGACATCAGTTATGGTAATTTCTAAGTGTTAACATTAACTCAGAGATGAGCAGGAAGGTAGTGACTATTTACATAAATGATAGGAATTTAAGAACATTTATCTACTTAGTATTTTTAAATTAAACTTCAGGTAACATTGAAGAAGTATTTATTTTGTATCTAATGCAATGCATTACTATATCATATGCATTTATGAGAGTTAATTTTCTTAATTGAAGAATTGTATGCATTGCAAGCACTTATTAACTTAGAGTTTTAAAAGTTTTTAAAATGTCTGAATCATGTAAGAGAACTCAGAAAAAACAGAGATGACATGCTAATGAAACTTTAGAGTAGAGTTCAAATAGATTCTGAGATGGAAATGAAATTCCTATATGAAAATGGATGGGGAATATTGAAAAAAAAGAAAAGAAAACAATTGGAAATGAGAAGGGGAGGGAAACACTGTTGGAATAATGAAGTGAAAGTACTGGATTCGAATAATGAACAGGTGAAATCAACCTGAACAAGCAAGACATAGGAAATATGAATTACAGCCAGGAGCACTGCAAGATATTGGGGGCAAGAGTTAAACCCATCAAATAATACACCGACTGCTATTCTGATGAAGAGGTTTCATGCAACCCGCACTGAAGCCCCCTCTTCCATGATGAGAGCTGCTCACAGCTGAATGCAAGTTGAGAAACAAGAAAACCACGGGGAAGCATAGCACAACCGAGAAATGGTGTCCGCTTCGACAGGGCTGGGATTAAGTCACCAGCTAGACCTTGAGGGTATGACCACTAGTCTTATTAAATATTGTGCCTAAAAATGGGTTTGCTAATTGTGTTTACAAAGAAACATATAAGTAGGTAAATTATATTTATTTATATTTTATGAATAGCTATTGATATCTGTTAGAACACTGCATGTTACATCAGCTTCAATTAGTTGGTAATTATTTGTTTGCTTACTTCTGTCTGCTTTCCCCAATAGACTAGAAACTTCCCAAGAGCACAGGCCATCTCAATCTTGTTCATCATTCTATCCCTGGTTTCCGTTGCATTATCTAGCACAGGATTGCCCAGTCTTTTGGCTTCCCTGGGCCACATTGGAAGAAGAAGAATTTTCTCGGGCCACACATAAAATACACGAACACTAACGATAGCTGATATATATGTATATATATATATGATATATATATAGTATGATATATACTAATGATAGCTGGCTAACTAAAAAAGAAATTGCAAAGAAAACCTCATAATGTTTTAAGAAAGTTTATGAATTTGTATTGGGCCACATTCAAAGCTGTCCTGGGCTACATGTGGCCCACGGGCTGCAGGTTGGACAAGCTTAATCTAGCATATAATTGATGCTCAGTAGATGTGGGTTATGATATGATATAATGCCTGCACCACAAGATACAAGGACAGAAGCATCGTAAAATCATAATGCAAGTTGGGAAAGTACAATGAAAATATGGAGTTGTGAAGGAGGACTTGAATGATCCCAACTGGAGATTATGGAACAGGCTTTTGTAGAAGGTGGTATCTGAAATGGGGCCAGAAGTTTTCAACAAGCAGCGATTTAAGAGCAAGCACTGAGTTTAACCACTCTGGCTTTGGTCACTACCATGGTGTTTTCTGGAACCACATAAAATGTCATGGGTCCATGACTGTCTCCTCAACCTCCCCTTGAGTCATTTTCTCTTTGTCTTTGTGTTCTCTGAATCCAGGCTACCTGAACAATGCCATTGCTGCAAACTTCTTATAGGATGGCAACCTATTTTTTTCTGTGCTTCTCCTTGATAATTCCCATGTAATACTTGCAGTATTTCTATTTTTCTTCTCTGCCTTTTTTTTTTATTATGCTTTAAGTTCTGGGATACATGTACAGAATGTGCAGGTTTGTTGCATAGGTATACACGTGCCATGGTGGTTTGCTACACCCATCAATTTGTCATCTACATTAGGTATTTCTCCTAATGCTATCCCCTCCCCTAGCCCGCCACCCCCCGACAAGCCCCAGTGTGTGATGTTCCCCTCCCTGTGTCCATGTGTTCACATTGTTCAACTCCCAGTTATGAGTGAGAATATGTGGTGTTTGGTTTTCTGTTCCTGTGTTAGTTTGCTGAGAATGATGGTTTCCAGCTTCAAAGTAATAAAAAAAGTCTTAGAGTTTGACAAGTCCATGAATACATCAAGTGGGTTACTTGTATATTTTTTGTACTTTATATTCTCTATTTCTTCATGTCCTGGGCACAAGATCCTCCAGTATACTGTCAGAAAACAGAAAGTAACTTCATAATGCATGCATATAAATAGCACACATTTTGTTATTCTGGGAATTATTTGGGTTTACCTCTCATGCAACAGGTAAAAAAGAGGGAACCACTAAATAATGAGTAAGGAGAGATACGATAACTTCCCTAGTAATCTTACCTATTACCAAAGAAAAACTATTCTGGACATAGTTAAGACCTTATCCAAGGACACTGTATTACTTCCATGATTATATTAATTTCTTATTTCCTGAAAACTCTAGTTCTAGTTTTTTACAGAAATAAAAAATGAAATAAACCAAGTATCTCCAGGTAAGAATGATAAAGGAAAAGTAGTTTGAACCAGCTTAATCTGGGTCCAGTAAAACAACATTTTAACACTGCTGTTTTCCATTTTTCCAGCAGCCAAAATATTAAGGTATGAAAAACCTATAGTTAACTGAGAAAAAAAGAAAAAAAAAAAACCAAAACAAGCCTCTTTCCACCCTTGAAGTTCTTCATACTGTAATGCTGGGGCAGGCCTGTTGGGGGAGGAAAGACTCCTTTTGGATTTACAATATATATTGACCCTTCAAATAATAACTTAGAAGTAGAGGAGCTCTACCTTGCCCCTCACTGAGTTGTAATTAGTTGCCAGTGAACAAAAGCAGAAAGTGAAAACGAATGCTTGTAAACTAGCCTCAACCACATCAAAATAGAATGGCTTTTTGCCATTTCCACTGAAAGAGAGACCTTGTTTTTGGTCTCTGCAACTTGAATTTAGATCTGAAAGACAATTCTCAGGTTCTATTTTCCCTTTCTCAATCAATCAAAAAGAGTCCTGAAGATAATGATTAGGCTGGATAATGATTTTACAAAATAGAAGGTGCATGTCTTGTCCATTTACATCTCAGAGTCATTCATTACTTCCTGGAATACTAATCATGGTATTAGGCCTTATCGCTTGTTTTACGGCAAAGGGTCAACTGACAAGGACCTAAGGAGGACTCTGAGTATCTGAAATGTAAAAGAAACCTTTCACAGAGGAGTGTTAAATCATAAATGCTTGATGACTTGATGGTACCTTTCATTTCAGTCAAAGATGGAGAAGAGACCCGAAAGCAATTGTCTGCTCCTGTAGTTACTAAGTTAAAAGCAAGTCTTCCAGAGTTTCTCTTCAAGGTGGGGATCGTTCTGCAGTTGTGGTGTGATTAGAGAGGACTCCATTTTTCAGAATTTGGAAGTTTCACAGGATTTCTTACTATCTCATATCTTTTCATTCTCACACTAGCAAAAGTCAGAGTGCTGAAGCAAAGTTTTTTTCCTCTTGCTCTTATAGTTTCTGTCTTCACCAAGAAGCAGGCTGCTTGGGAGACTCTATTTCCTTTTCTAGTTCAATTAAGCTGGTGTCTAGAGCCATTCAACTGAAAATCTCCCATTTATTTTTAATGACTCTTATTTTTGGAATTTATTGTCTTGAATGGGAACATTACCCAGTTCAATAGCCAGTTTATAGAGTAAAAGTTGGCTTGATCTAATAGTAAGCAATTTTTACTTTTAAAAATGTGCAGAAAGACCTGAGTGCAATCACTGTGGCAATCTGGTATGAGATACTCTGGTGTGAGATTCAGGATATAGGGAAGTCTCTCATTCCATCTGCAGTTAGGCTTTCTCAGGTCTAGGATACTTTATTGTTGGGTTTCAGTCTTCCTTTAAGTTCTGAAATTCAGCACCACAAAACCTTGGCAGTTGCAAAATGAAGGTGATTTTGACTTAACCTTTGCCCTCTGGGCCATGACTTGAGGCATACTGTGGAAAAGACGGAACTAGCTTGCTTAAAAAGTGTTTATGTGTTTTTCTTTTTTCTTTTTTTGACCTTTAATAAAAACTTTATTTTCTGTGAATGGCTTATTGATTTGCAAATTAGTTGCATTAAAAGTAACAATAGGTTGCGAAAATTTTCTCCCATTTTGTAGGTTGCCTGTTCACTGTGATGGTAGTTTCCTTTGCTGTGCAGAAGCTCTTTAGTTTAATTAGATCCCATTTGTCAATTTTGTCTTTTGTTGCCATTGCTTTTGGTGTTTTAGACATGAAGTCCTTGCCCATGCCTATGTCCTGAATGGTAATGCCTAGGTTTTCTTCTAGGGTTTTTATGGTTTTAGGTCTAACGTTTAAGTCTTTAATCCATCTTGAATTAATTTTTGTATAAGGCGTAAGGAAGGGATCCAGTTTCAGCTTTCTCCATATGGCTAGCCAGTTTTCCCAGCACCATTTATTAAATAGGGAATCCTTTCCCCATTTCTTGTTTTTCTCAGGTTTGTCAAAGATCAGATAGTTGTGGATATGTGGCATTATTTCTGAGGGCTCTGTTCTGTTCCATTGATCTATATCTCTGTTTTGGTACCAGTACCATGCTATTTTGGTTACTGTAGCCTTGTAGTATAGTTTGAAGTCAGGTAGTGTGATGCCTCCAGCTTTGTTCTTTTGGCTTAGGATTGACTTGGCGATGCGGGAGGAAGACTTGGAACCAACCCAAATGTCCAACAATGATAGACTGGATTAAGAAAATGTGGCACATATACACCATGGAATACTATGCAGCCATAAAAAATGATGCGTTCATGTCCTTTGTAGGGATATGGATGAAATTGGAAACCATCATTCTCAGTAAACTATCGCAAGAACAAAAAACCAAACACTGCATATTCTCACTCATAGGTGTGAATTGAACAATGAGATCACATGGACACAGGAAGGGGAACATCACACTCTGGGGACTGTTGTGGGGTGGGGGGAGGGGGGAGGGATAGCATTGGGAGATATACCTAATGCTAGATGACGAGTTAGTGCGTGCAGCACACCAGCATGGCACATGTATACGTATGTAACTAACCTGCACAATGTGCACATGTACCCTAAAACTTAAAGTATAATAATAAAAATAAATAAATAAATTAATTAATTTTTTAAAAAGTAACAATAGATAATATATTTTTAAAAATATATAAATTACTACAAATGAGTGAAACTGACTATACATTAGGAAGCCTTTGTCATATGGAACATATAATAACTGATATATGTTACTTAGTGTTTGCTTTGCCCCTCCATTCACCTACACTAGTCTGCGGCATTGCTGGTTCTTCCATTGTCAAGAGCCTTCCCATCCCATAGACACCCAGGCTGTGAAAGCTAAGGTGTGCTCTTGACTCCAGATTCTAGTAATCAGAATCAGGACTCTAAAGGCACAGGAATTATATAAAAAAGAAAAACAGGAGGGCAAATACTTGGAATTTGCCCAACTCGTATCACAATCAAATACTGGAAAAAGAGCTCAATTAAAAAATTTATATTTTAAACAAATATATCATATATAATACATATATAATATATAAATATATATAATACATATATAATATGTAAATATATTTAAATATATAATATATATTTAAATATGTAATATATATTTAAATATGTTATATATTTATATATTTAAATATGCAATATATATCATACTATATATATAGTACTATATGTATTTTATGTATATACTTACGGTGTTTTTCATATGGGTCTTCTCATTTCATCTTTTCAACAGCCTTGTTATAGAAATACTCCTGTAATGTCTACTTTACAGTGGTGGAAACAGGTCTGTGAAACAGGTTCACTGCACACTGGCTATCTACTTGCCTCAGTCTGGTGAAGCAGGCTCAGACACAAGTTATGTAAAGCATGTTTATTACTTACAGACAAGCAGCCAGGGACAACAGAAGCCTAAGATTGTGAGCGTGTCCTCCAGACTCAGGAAAGCTGCTCAGGGCTAATGGAGTCTTATCTGTATGTGCCCCACTTGCACCGCAGCCAAGGCATGCTGGAAAGCAGCCTGTCCTGGGGTTTATAGTTTGGGAATCACTTGAAATTCTGGGTGAAAGCATTAAAGGGCACTGGGACAGAGCCTGGGCTATTCCAGTCGTTCCTCCCTATCCCAGGATGTTGCATTCCAAGTACATCCTACAGTTACTCTTAAGAACTACAAGCCAGAAAGGCAGGGAAACTGGGTCAGTCCAAGGCCATCCAGAGAACTGTCCTGCAAGACCTGGTGGCGACTTGAACCTATGACCCCTTGGCCTTAAACCCCATATCCTTGTTCCTCTCATGTTCTGCACAGCAAGGCCCAGCAAGCATCATGGCCCTCCTCCCATCTTCCACTCCTCAAAGGGCTCTCCTATTAATTTTCCCATTTTAAAATTATTGCACATGTTACTGGTTGTCAACTTATCCATCCTTTGCAGGATTCTCCAATTTTGATTGGGTTCGCAATGTACTCATTCAAGAAAATTAATTTCTCAGGCTCTTTTGCAGGTGAGAGAGGCTATGTCTGTTTTGGCTAAGAAATCCTACTCATGGTGTGCCCAAGAAAGTTATTATTTCCAGATATAAGGGAACAGAGCAATGGGCTTTTCCTTTGATCTTGCCCCTTTCTTTTTGCCTTAACTGAATTTGTGCCTTAACTCATACAGTAGAACAGCTGTTTTACAACCACAAGGGTGAACGAGACATATTTAGAATTGCTGAGTGGAAAGATAGAAGGTGCCTGAGTCTGCTGGCATTATAGAGATACCACAACATCCCTGGAATTGTCTACTTTGGGATTTGTTAATATAAAAGAAAATAATTTTTGTTAGGTTTGTGTTATATGTGGTCAAATGCAATTCTGAGAATAAGTTATTGCTGGGGGACGAGGCGCGGTATCAGAGAGGGCTGTTAGAGCTGGAACAATAGGAATCCTGAATCCTGGGAGAATATATAAAGTCAGTATTCCAGTTACCTACTGAAATGTAACAAACCACTCCAAACTTCATGGCATAAGGAAACAGCTTTTTATTATGCTCAACAGTTTCTGTGGGTGAGGGATTCAGAAAGACTACGAGGAGGCAGGGGCATGCTGTCTGGCCTCACCTTGGAAGATGCAAAGGCTGGAAGTGTTTTGAAGACTGAACACTGCAATCATGTGAAGGCCTGCCTGCTCACAGGCTGGAGGTCGATGCTGACTTATAAAGAAAGGCTTGTGCCTTTCCTGGAGAATCAGTCTAAACAACTACCTGTGGCCTATTTGTGTGATTGCCTCCACTTCTTTACAACCTGGTGCTGCATTCTGAGTGCAAACATTCCAAGTGCGGCATCATCTTGAATGGCCTAGCCATGGAAGTCACAAAGCATCACTTGTGCCATAGTCACCATCCTGTCATCCTGATGGAAGGAGTGTCAATATCACAGTAGAAGAGTATGTGACATGGGAGATCTTGCCATGGCCATCTCAGAAAATACAACCAGCTCTGGCATTGGATGGAATTAACCAAACACCCAAAGGAATACTAAATTCTCTTTAGGTTGCTTTGGACAAGAACAGGAAGAGAAGGCATAAAATATGATAAATACAACAGATATCGTCTGGTTCCATGTTCCCATCCAAATCTTACCTTGAATTGTAATAATCCCCATGTGTCAAAGGTGGGACCAGGTGTAGGTAATTGGATCATGGGAGCAGTTTCCCTAGCCATGTGGAACTGTAAGCCAATAAAACCTCTTTTCTTTATAAATTACCCAGTCTTTGGTATCTCTTCATAGAAGTGTGAGAAGGGACTAATACAACAACCTTTATCTTTTGAGTTTTTTTCAGTGTTACGTGTTTGTGAAAAAGATTTAAGATATTAATTAGTAACACCATCCATTGGTTGAGATGTTCCTGTGGGCCAGGCATGATACTAAGCTGTTTACATGCATTGCCACTTTTAATCTTCACAATAGCTAGGAGGTAAGAATTATCATCCCCAGATCACAGGTGAGGATCAAAAAAGTTGAATAACTGTCTCAGTCTCTATAAGAGCAGCATTGTCATTCAAATTCAAGTCTGCCAGTCTCTAATGCATTTCTTCATACTTCTCATTTATATAAGAAACTGCACAGCCTATCTCTGCCCAGGCTGCTCACGACTGACCTCTCATCAACCTATTTGGTCCCAGGTCATGCACTGTACTCTAATTCTTACAGCTATATCTCTGGCTTCTTACCAGCTCAGCTGCCTGTCTGTGGACCCCTTCACTTTTAGACCGTGGCTATGCACTGGGATTTCCAGCTGTGACTTTTCTCTGGTGTTCAGTGTCCACATTTGCTTCATGTGGGAACTTCCTACTCTAGCTCTCCCAGTTTGGAGATCGCTGCTTTGCCCTTTTTCTTCCTTTCAGAACAGGCAGAGATTTAGACACATGTAATAGCCTGGCAAAGCAAACCTTTGTTGGAGCATTGCCAACTTGTAGTTTTCTTGCTCATTTATAAAGAAGACAGATCTCTTTCATGCAAGGGTAAGGTTTTAGTATCAAGTAATGAGCATGGTCTTAAGAAGCAGTCAGAAGTGTTGGTTTAAAATTGTGAGAAAAGACATTTAGTGCAGTGCCTCTTAAACATTTAAGTTTCATCTGAAGAATTTGTTAAAATGCAGATCTGGGTGCATTAGGCCTCGGTAGGGCCTGAAAGTCTGTATTTCTAACCAGCTTCCTTAAGGAAGCTAATGCTGCAAGTCTGTGAATCACATGTTGAATAGGGAGGCTCTGGGGCAGTGATTCTCAGCCTTGGCTGCACACTGGAATCACATGGGAAACTTTAAAAATGACTGACACCTGGATCTCACCCCCATAGATTCTGATTAAACTGATGTGGTATGTGGCCTGAGTGTTAGGATTTTGAAAACCTCATCAGGTGATTCTAATGTGGGGTTGAGGTTGCAAACTACTGCTCCGGGGGTTACACTCATTCATTCATTGAAAAATTTATTGCGCACCTACTGTGGTCCAGGCTCAGCAGTGAGCTGCTAGGGATAAAACAATATACAAGAAACATACAGACTCTAGAAGGAGAAACAAATAATAAACAGAAGAACAAACTCTGCTATGATTTGAATGTGTCCCCCAAAGTTCATGTGTTGGAAACTTAATCCCCAATGCAACACTGTTGGGAGGTGGGGCCTAATAAGAAGTGTTTAGGTCATGAGGGCTCTAATCTCATGAATGGATTAATGTCATTATTGCAGGAGTAGGTTTGTTATTTATCAAGAGAGTGGCTTTGTTATAAAAGCAAGTTTGAAGGGTGAGCAGGGACAAGGAGGGAGGAAGAAGAGAGGTGAGTTAGTGGGCTAAAGGGTACACACAGTAATATAAAAAGAGTAAGTTCAATGTGTGCGAGCAGAGAAGGATGACTCTCCTTAACAAAAAATGTACTTGGGTAATGGACACTCTGAATATCCTGACTTGATTACTTTGCATTATATACATGTAACAAGTTTTCTCATGCACTCCATATATGTGCACAAATAAAAAATAAGCAACTTTGGCCCCCACTTGCTCCCTCTCTCTCACCATGTCTTGCCCATCTACATTCAACCATGGGCTGACACCAGCATAAAGGCCCTTGCCAGATGCTGGTGCCATGCTCTTGGACCTCCCAGCCTCCAGAACTGTGAGCCAAATAAATTTCTGTTTATTATGAGTTTCCCAGTCTCAGGTATTCTATTACAGTAGCCAAAATGGATGAAGGCACATTCCTAGTAAGATGTGTTAATTCCCCCGCTGTCAACATTAGACAGATCAACAAGACAGAAAGTTAACAAGGATATCCAGGAATTGAAATCAGCTCTGCACCAAGCGGACCTAACAGACATCTACAGAACTCTCCATGCCAAATCAACAGAATATACATTCTTTTCAGCACCACACCACACCTATTCCGAAATTGACCACATAGTTGGAAGTAAAGCACTCCTCAGCAAATGTAAAACAACAGAAATTATAACAAACTGTCTCTCAGACCACAGTGCAATCAAACTAGAACTCAGGATTAAGAAACTCACTCAAAACTGCTCAACTACATGGAAACTGAACAACCTGCTCCTGAATAACTACTGGGTACATAACGAAATAAAGGCAGAAATAAAGATGTTCTCTGAAACCAACAAGAACAAAGACACAACATATCAGAATCTCTGGGACACATTCAAAGCAGTGTGTAGAGGGAAATTTATAGCACTAAATGCCCACAAGAGAAAGCAGGAAAGATCTAAAATTGGCACCCTAACATCAGAATTCAAAGAACTAGAGAAGCAAGAGCAAACACATTCAAAAGCTAGCAGAAGGCAAGAAATAGTAGATCAGAGCAGAACTGAAGGAAATAGAGACACAAAAAACGCTTCAAAAAATCAATGAATCCAGGAGCTGGGTTTTTGAAAGGATCAACAAAATTGATAGACCGCTAGCAAGACTAATAAAGAAGAAAAGAGAGAAGAAACAAATAGATGCAATAAAAAATGATAGAGGGGATATCACCACTGATCCCACAGAAATACAAACTACCATCAGAGAATACTATAACCACCTCTATGCAAAAAAACTAGAAAATCTGGAAGAAATGGATAAATTCCTCGACACATACACTCTCCCAAGACTAAACCAGGAAGAAGTTGAATCTCTGAATAGACCAATAACAGGCTCTGAAATTGAGGCAGTAATTAATAGCTTACCAACCAAAAAAAGTCCAGGACCAGACAGATTCACAGCCGAATTCTACCAGAGGTACAAGGAGGAGCTGGTACCATTCCTTCTGAAACTATTCCAATCAATAGAAAAAGAGGGAATCCTCCCTAACTCATTTGATGAGGCCAGCATCATCCTGATACCAAAGCCTGGCAAAGACACAACAAAAAAAGAGAATTTTAGACCAATATCCCTGATGAACATCAATGCAAAAATCCTCAATAAAATACTGGCAAACTGAATCCAGCAGCACATCAAAAAGCTTATCCAGCATGATCAAGTGGGCTTCATCCCTGGGATGCAAGGCTGGTTCAACATACACAAATCAATAAATGTAATCCAGCATATAAACAGAACCAACGACAAAAACCACATGATTATCTCAATAGATGCAGAAAAGGTCTTTGACAAAATTCAACAGCCCTTCATGCTAAAAACTATCAATAAATTAGGTATTGATGGGACGTATCTCAAAATAATAGCTATTTATGACAAACCCACAGCCAATATCATACTGAATGGGCAAAAACTGGAAGCATTCCCTTTGAAAACTGGCACAAGACAGGGATGCCCTCTCTCACCACTCCTATTCAACATAGTGTTGGAAGTTCTGGCCAGGGCAATCAGGCAGGAGAAAGAAAGGGTATTCAATTAGGAAAAGAGGAAGTCAAATTGTCCCTGTTTGCAGATGACATGATTGTCTATCTAGAAAACCCCATCGTCTCAGCCCAAAATCTCCTTAAGCTGATAAGCAACTTCAGCAAAGTCTCAGGATACAAAATCAATGTGCAAAACTCACAAGCATTCTTATACACCAATAACAGACAAACAGAGAGCCAAATCATGAGTGAACTCCCATTCACAATTGCTTCAAAGAGAATAAAATACCTAGGAATCCAACTTGCAAGGGATGTGAAGGACTTCTTCAAGGAGAACTACAAACCACTGCTCAATGAAATAAAAGAGGATACAAACAAATGGAAGAACATTCCATGCTCATGGGTAGGAAGAATCAATATCGTGAAAATGGCCATACTGCCCAAGGTAATTTATCGATTCAATGCCATCCCAATCAAGCTACCAATGACTTTCTTCACAGAATTGGAAAAAACTACTTTAAAGTTCATATGGAACCAAAAAAAGAGCCCGCATCGCCAAGTCAATCCTAAGCCAAAAGAACAAAGCTGGAGGCATCACGCTACCTGACTTCAAACTATACTACAAGGCTACAGTAACCAAAACAGCATGGTACTGGTACCAAAACAGAGATATAGACCAATGGAACAGAACAGAGCCGTCAGAAATAATGCCACATATCCACAACTATCTGATCTTTGACAAACCTGAGAAAAACAAGAAATGGGGAAAGGATTCCCTATTTAATAAATGGTGCTGGGAAAACTGGCTAGCCATATGCAGAAAGCTGAAACTGGATCCCTTCCTTACACCTTATACTAAAATTAATTCAAGGTGGATTAAAGGTTTAAATGTTAGACCTAAAACCATAAAAACCCTAGAAGAAAACCTAGGCAATACCATTCAGGACATAGGCATGGGCAAGGACTTCATGTCTAAAACACCAAAAGCAATGGCAACAAAAGCCAAAATTGACTAATGGGATCTAATTAAACTAAAGTGCTTCTGCACAGCAAAAGAAACTACTGTCAGAGTGAACAGGCAACCTACAGAATGGGAGAAAATTTTTGCAATCTACTCATTTGACAAAGGGCTAATATCCAGAATCTACAAAGAACTAAAACAAGTTTACAAGAAAAAACAACCCCATCAACAAGTGGGTGAAGGATATGAACAGGCACTTCTCAAAAGAAGACATTTATGCAGCCAAAAGACACATGAAAAAATGCTCACCATCACTGGCCATCGGAGAAACGCAAATCAAAACCACAATGAGATACCATCTCACACCAGTTAGAATGGGAATCATTAAAAAGTCAGGAAACAACAGGTGCTGGAGAGGATGTGGAGAAATAGGAATATGTTTACACTGTTGGTGGGACTGTAAAGTAGTTCAGCCATTGTGGAAGTCAGTGTGGCGATTCCTCAGGGATTTAGAACTAGAAATACCATTTGACCCAGCCATCCCATTACTGGGTATATACCCAAAGGATTATAAATCATACTGCTATAAAGACACATGCACACGTATGTTTACTGCGGCACTATTCACAATAGCAAAGACTTGGAACCAACCCAAATGTCCAACAATGATAGACTGGATGAAGAAAATGTGGCACATATACACCATGGAATACTATGCAGCCATAAAAAATGAAGAGTTCATGTCCTTTGTAGGGCCATGGATGAAGCTGGAAACCATCATTCTCAGCAAACTTTTGCAAGCACGAAAAACCAAACACTGCATGTTCTCACTCATAGGTGTGAATTGAACAATGAGAACACATGGACACAGGAAGGGGAACGTCACACACTGGGGCCTGTTGTGGGATGGGGGGAGCGGGGAGGCATAGCATTAGAAGATATACCTAATGTTAAATGACGAGTTAATGGGTGGAGCACACCAACATGGCACATGTATATATATGCAACAAACCTGCACATTGTGCACATGTACCCTAAAACTTAAAGTATAATTTAAAAAAAATAAAAAATAAATAAATAAATAAAACAGGTTCAAGAGGGCAAAGACTCTCTCCAAGCTCTCCTTGAAGAAGAAATCTGCCTTGGGTACAATGAAATACATTCTGCCACCAATAATATGAGTTTGAAAAGAGAATCCTGAGCTCTGGATAAGATGCAGGCTGGGTGTGGTGGCTCACACCTGTAGTCTCAGCACTTTGGGAGGTCAAGGCAGGCAGATCACTTGAGGTCAGCAGTTCAAGGCCAGCCTAGCCAACATGGTGAAACCCCTTATCTCTACCAAAACTACAAAAATTAGCCCGGCACAGTGGTATGTGCCTGTAATCCCAGCTACTCGGGAGGCTGAGGCAAGATAATTTCTTGAACCCGGGAGGTGGAGGTTGTGATGAGCCAAGATAGCACCACTGCACTCCACCCTGGGTGACGATGAGAGACTCTATCTAAAAAAAAAAAAAAAAAAAAAAAAAAAAAAAAAAATCTAAACCTAAGAGACACCTTGAATGCACCTTGTGAAGTCCTGAGCAAAGGGTCCAGCTGAGCTGTACCTGGACTCCTGACTCATGGGTAACGTGTAATAACAAATATATGTTGTTTTAACATTCTAAATTTGTGGTCATTTTGTACTCAGCAGTATGAAATAAATGCACTAAATATTGCTTTAAAAATTTTTATAAATGTGATAGCTTCTTAGATATTTCTCTGTCCCATTATTGTTTTCCCCCATAGGAGATAGATTTTCTCCTTAATAAATTTTGTATCTATAAAAAAAAAAGATGTGTTAATTCAATTTAAAGCAATGGTCGGACTGTGTATATGAAGTACAGTGTCCATTAAAAGAAACCCAACTCTAGAAGTATTGATTGTAGGCTCCTATACATTAGTGATTGTCTTATAAATTGTACCTATAATTAAGAATTATAAAATTGTTCATCTCTTTGGATACAATAGACTCTGTCTTAAGAATTCCTCCTGAATGGAGAGGAAAGATAGAAGGGAAAAGCACTGTGCATTGATGCATAATTGAAAACAACCTAATAGGGAGAAAATTAGTTATGACCCAAAAAGTCTTTGAAATTTTGTGCACCTATTGGAGTGTGAGCCCTATGAGGGCAAAAACCACACCCAACTTTTCATTTGCCTTAGAGCCAGAATTGAGCTCATGGCCTGGCACTTGCTAGAGTCTCAGGGAATATGTGCTAAATAAATTATTTAAAAGTTATGATTTTATAAAATTTGAAGATATATAGATACATATATTATGATATTTGGTTAAAACTGGAATTATAACATTGTAAGTTCAATATGATTGCAACTATATCAACCTTAAATAATTTTTGAAACAAGCTGAGAGTGTAAATTTAGAACAGTATTGTCTTTAAAAGAATTCAAATCAGAAAACCATTAAAAATAAACCATTAAAAATAAAAGTTACTGTGTCAGACAAACACATTTACAGGTGATTTTTCTGGTTTTCACAATTTTTCCTGAATATTTTTATAGAGATAAGTATCCACCCAGGTGAACAGAAATGTTCTTTTGATTCATGGCCTAACTGTATTCTGTTATAATTCTCATGGCACACTTTTCTCCAGGGTTCTAATCACAATTTGTAATTATATATTTGAATGTTAAATGTGTGATTATTTGTTGAAAGTCAACCTCTGTTTCTAGACCAAAATCTTCATAGGAGCAAGGGCCATGTCTATTATGTCCTCTGCTGTGTTGTCAAGATCTGACATGATACAGAAACACAATAAATTTCTTGATATGAGTAAGTGGCTAATGAGGTACATTAGAAATAATTACTATTAAATTTTCTCAGGTCAACATCTTCTCCTCCATATATAATGCAAAACCTTGGAATCCCAACTTACTGTTTGTTCAAGTACTTGATTAGAATAAATATGCCTTTTCAAGGAGAAACGGGCTGGGCACAGTGGCTCACGCTTATAATCCAGGACTTTGAGAGGTTGAGGTGGGAGGGTCACTTGAGCCCAGGAGTTCAAGACTAGCCTGGGCAACATAGGGAGAGCCCAGTCTGTATAAAAAATTAAAAACAAATTTGTCAGGCATGGTGGCACATACCTATAGTCCCAGCTACTCAGGAGGCTGAGGTGGGAGGATCGCTTGAGGCCAGAGGTTGAGACTGCAATGAGCTATGATCGATCATGCCACTCACTCTAGCCTAGGTGACACAGCAAGACCCTGTCTCAAATAAATAAGTACATACATACATACATACATACATACATATATACATACATACAAAATAAAATGGCCAAATTGATGTGGAAGAGAACTGGTTTGTGCCTGGATGACAATACTGGCCATCATTCTACATTTTCACAACGGGTTATCCCTACACTGCCAGGTGTGATACCAAAAGTATGGGATCCCTCTTTAATTAATAATGAGAACAGTCTTCAAATAACAAAATCTCTAGCATAAATTGACTATAATCCCAAAGCCACATGGATTCATTCACTATTGAGAACCTCTCGGTTACCTAAGACCTCCCTGTGGAAGATCATCAGAAAGTAAGGATGTGCCATTCCCAGGAGCAAGTGGCCTGCAGTTCTTTCTTTCTCTTCTCCTCACTCTGTTCTGTATCTCAGGCTGCATTTTACTGGTTCTCATGGCAGATGACTTCTAGCTGAGTTCAGCCAATGGGAGGCAGCAGAAGGAGTTGGGAGGAGGAGCGGAGGAACACGGGTATTTATCTCCCCCTTTTTCTGCTTTGAGGGACAGCTCCAGTGGTAGCTGTCATTCTTCCAAGGTTCTAGACTTTCTCCCTTTATCTGTCCAGCCCTGGGGCAATAATGCCTTCCTGTTTCTGCTAACGCCGGAGCTGCTTACCCATTTCCAGTTGGACTTTGAGGCTTTCCCATAGCCTGTAAGACAATTTCCCTGTATTATTTCTGTTTTAGAATAATCATAGTGTTTCTGTTTTCCTGGTTGGACCCTGATTGATTCGCACATTATCTTAGCTCATTTTGAAATGGTTTTGATGGAGTTAAGACTTAATGTTATAATAACAGCTGTTTTAGAGAGGCAATCTAAAATTAATTAACATCTGAATAAAATTTCATGTCATTTGCAAAATCTTGTTTAAAGAATCTATCCATAATTTTATTCTTCTAATATAGATCCCTGTAATTATTTCATCCTGGAATTCACAGCCAGAAAGGAGTTTGCCTGCAGACTGCAAGCTTCTTGCAGGCCGAACTTAGACTTCATTCTTCATAACCTTGGCACCAAGCACAGTGCACAGTATGTGGTGAGTATGAAACAAACAAACACTTTTTTAAAAGCAGAAGATGAAATGGAGGGATTTTTACATTTCCTTTCGTCAGACATTAGAACTGTGCAACCTAAAATCTCTTTATTTTTTTCCCTACTTCATGGCTTCCGAGAAGCTATGAGATTATTTTTATATTCTACCAGAGTAACTAAATCGCCTTCGGTGCTTGAGGTTTGCCTATCTTCTTTAAATAATTTTGTTGTGTTCTAAAATTTTTTCAGTTTGTTTGGGTTTATAAGCTCCTTTACATTCCGCATAAACCCTTCATAAATGAGGACATCCAGAAACCTGGAAAACCCCATGTTTAGCAGTAAGTAGCGGGGGAAGGTGAGCATTCTTGGAAGGCAGGCAGTCATGTCTAGTATTATTTACTCATCTATGTTTTCTGACTCTGTGTGTTTCACAGCATTTATTGATTTATAGAATGTCAATAAAATTATTCCAGTCATATATTTTCCTTCTAGGTAAGACCATATATAATTTAAAATGTTGGCTGTTCTGTTTTTATAGCCAAAAGAGAGGTTTGCAACTTGATTATACAAGGTAGAGATCAAAGCTTTTTGTTTCTAATCTACAGGAGTATTTTCCATATGTCTTGACTTCAGGAACAGGAGGATTCTCTGTAGGAAGTTCAGTGAAATCTGTCACTCTCAGATTTTCTAAGAATGGAAGTGTTTAGATAAATAATATGAGCTAACCCTTATTGAGACCGTACAATATGTCCAACCTCTCTTTAAAGCACTGTTTGTCCATTAATTTATCGAATCTTCATGACAGCCCTATGCAGTAAATGCTATTAGTGTGTCCATTTTATAGATAAGAAAATTAAAGCAGAGAAAAATTCAGTAACCTGTCTAGCTCTCATTGCTTAATAACAAAGCAGATTTTAAACCAAGTCAATCTGACTTTAGAGTTTATGGTCTTAACCACAGCAATATGATGCTTATTAGAATTACTAGAAGTCTTAGACAGATATAGTTGTCTTCAGTAGAGATAAATATTTGCAGAGAGAATAAGACTGACACATTCATAATAGCATGCCAATTTAGATCAAATTGATCAATTATAAGATAGACCATAAAGAAAAAAAAACAGTAAATGGAATTATTTTCACGTGATGAAATGAGAGAGCTGAGGCTCAGAGACATTTAGGGGTCTGCCTCAGGTCACACAGCTATTTAGTAGAAGGCTCAAGACCAGAGCCCTATAACCTAGCACTTAGGACTCAGCTCATTGGAGACACCTGTAAATTAAGAGCCATGATGCAACAGACAAGTTAACTGTCTTGACTGTTAATCCCGAGCTCTTTCTGCTCTCCTTACACTTTCCTGCTTTGCATACAAAACATCACCTGCCTGAGCCAATGGAATGTCCCTTCTGAATAAAAAAATGTAATTTGTGTTTTTTGCGTATGTATATAATGCCTATATATTTCCCTTACAACGAAGCACATAGCTGGTGTTAAAGAGTTAAACACACACACAAAAAGGCATGAAGTTAAAAAAAAAAAAACAACAAAAAAAACCCAACATCCATATAGGGCCTTCTCATTGCTATAATGATATCAGTTGCAACAAGTCCAAGGCCCGACCTCATTACAAGGGTTTAATTGCATTGTTACACAGTCTCACTTCTCCTCTCTGGCCTCTTTCTCTTTATGACAGCTTTAGAAAGGAATTTCAGCTTGAGGTCAAAGGAAATTAATTACTGCTTTCTTAATCTGTGCTCATCTACATTTAGAAAACTTTGGGCTTTCCACCAGCATATTCTTGTCGCCTATTTGTATAAGACCCAAACTTATAAAAGTAACACCTCGGACCTTTGTTTAAAAAAAAAAAAAGGTGCGCAAAAGCACTTCGACAGCACATATTGAATATGTGTGGATCGCATCCCAAGAAAGCACCAGTCATAGAAAAGAAATTCCTGCCATTTAACAAAGATAGTAATGCGTTAAAAGTTGAGCATTATCTTACGTAGAAAATTGTATTTAATAATTAGACTGAAGGCTATTAAACTGAAGTGTTAATAATGTAAATCTAGTAATGCCAGTAAATAAAAGTGATCTAAGACAAAGGCCCATGAGTAGGTATATTGATTAACAACAGGATGACATAGCTAGAGATTTAAACATGGCTTTGTGTGTAGCATCTCCATCTGCAATTGGTTTAAGCTTTAGGAGGACATGTTTGTTTCATTATTGCATTAACATTTTATTTCATTTATTTTTTGAGAGGGAGTCTCGCTCTGTCGCGGAGGCTGGAGTGCAGTGGTGTAATCTTGGCTCACTGCAACCTCCGCCTCCCAGGTTCAAGCAATTCTCCTGCCTCAGCCTCCCAAGTAGCTGGGATTACAGACATCCAGCATCATGCCTTGCTATTTTGTTTGTTTGTTTGTTTGTTTTTTGTATTTTTGTAGAGACGGGGTTTCACCTTGTTGGTCAGGCTGGTCTTGAACTCCTGACCTCAGGTGATCCGCCTGCCTCTACCTCCCAAAGTGTTGGGATTACAGGCGTGAACCACCTCAACTGACCTGCATTAACGTTTTGAAATGTCCCTTCTCTTTCTCATTTCTCCATGGGTCAGGGAGACATCAAGTCAATGGATGTAAAGATGGAAGGATTGGAAGTCCAGGTTCTAAAGGTCATCAATAAATATTAATTTAAAATCAATAACAAATGACTCCAAAGACCCTCCCTGTGTCCATGTGTTCTAATTGTTCAGCTCCCACTTACGAGTGAGAACATGCTGTGTTTGGTTTTCTATTCCTGTGTTAGTTTGCTGAGGATGATGGGGAAACCTAACTCTTTTGCCTTCTGCTCAGTTCTCTAGGTCTACCTTTATTTTCTCAATACATATGTATTTGAATTTCCAAAAAATTATGTAGCTGGTTGCCAAATATCCTTAATTAATGTGATTAGAACAAATGATGTACAGTTGTGTTAAGATTCAGTTTCAGAAGTTAGTGGTTATTACTATGAGTGTGTAGCTTTGTTGTGCACTTTCAGTAGGGATACAGGGTGGGTACTTAGATACTTTATAATGTTGTATAGGATGTTGAGTATGGTTTATAATGTTATCTCAAAATGGTGGTTAAGGGCAAAATTTGAGGGAGGGAGAGTTGTTCTCAATCCTAAGCCTCACCACTACCTGCCCCAGGCATACTGAGAGGCTGTTTACAGAACCAGGCTGATCATCCACCTGTTGGGTAAAGATCGGGATGCCTGAAAGAATGAGGGTGGCTGGGAGAGGCTGGTATTTTACTTCTCAGTTGGGTAGCCCATTAGCCAGGAGGATTACTGATTTATCCTTGGATTCCAGGACAAAGAATAGAGGAATTGAAGAGATAGCCATGTTGAGAGTAGGGTGGAGACGAAGCTGCTTGCACATATACCTTCAACGTGACAAGAAAGTTTGAGTTTGATTAAATTGATGAAACATATGGAAGGTAGCTGGCTTTTCTATCCTGCTGACAGCCCACTTCAGAGAGCTGCCCAGCAGTGAGAAACAGAGAAATGACCCAGATTTGGCAGAAGCGGGGGAGGAATTTGGGAAAGACTGACAGGAAGGTTGTATCTCTTCTGAGATCTTTTCAAAACAAGCTGCCATGGTGCCTCTCACTTGAGCTTCCCTGTCCATGAGGAAGTGAGCATTTGGGTTCCTGCCATGCAGCCAGTCTAGTGGGAAGAGGCAGTGACACTCATCAAAGGGTGGATTGCAGTCTTGGCTAGTAAACTCGGGTCTATAGTCCCCTCTCTCTTTTTTTTTTTGACCCACAAACTGAAGGAACAGAGGGAAGGAGGGGTGTCAGGACTGGGTCACATATCACCACTCTCCATTCCAAACTCAAGATGTGCTTGAGTTGTGGGTGGAGATGGGAGAGGACATCTTTGAATTAAGTTTGAGATTGAGTAGCTTTGAGTCTTAAAAATCCAAAAGAGAACAATTTAATACATTAAACAGGCTGAAGAATATGGAATCTGCACATGTGTACTGTTTTCTGCTAAGTATTCTGGGGAGCGTTAAGTCATCCATGGATCCTCTCCCCAAAAAGTTGAGGTATGGTAGGAAAGGAAACATTAAATCTATTTACACAAGTAAGTGGAAAACAATAAAGCAGAGAGAAAGTCATGAGAAAAAAAACAAATGAAGTTTTAAGACTGTTTAGGGAATGAAGAGATTCTGTATTATTTCAGGGATCAGAGTAAGTTTCACAGAAGAGGCAGAATTTGAGTTTAGGAGGATGGTAAAAATTTAAACACTTAGAACCTGGTAGGGATGATGTTCAGGCAAAGGATGAATCCAAGTGCAGCAGCAGAAGGACATGCTTATGGCCTGGGAGGAAGTGGTTTGGGTGGAACCACTTGAAAGTAAGAGATAAAAGAATATTTGGTCAGATGATAGAAAGCCTTGAGTGTCATTCTAGGCAGAGTAGATTATAATTTGGGCAATGAAAAGTCTTTGGAGTTTCTAACCTGGGCATTATTATGAAATAGATGAGGCAGCTTTTGTCAGAGGCAAATAGTCTGGAAGCTGCCAGTCGCTGACCTTCAAAGCCTGAGAGTTGTGGAGATGAATATCTCAATATACGTGTAGCAAACCTAGCCCACTGTGCCCACTCTGTGTCAGGCACAGTTTAATTGTTGGAATACAAAAATGAGCTGAAGATAAAATTCCCTGCTCTTCCATTCTAATATGGGAAGTAGAAAATGAAAGAACACCTTTATATGATAATGCCGGGAGTGATGAGTGCTAGGTAGAATAAAGGAAAGAGTGTGGTGGTAGGCAGTGTTCCTCCCCAGAAGTGTGACACTCATGGTGGCCTGAGTGAAGTCGTGAGATAAAGATCAAGAGGATTCTAGTAACACAGGTTTGAACTGTTTGAGGAACCACAAGAAGAGCCATGAGGCTGTACGAGAGAGTGAAGCAGAGAATGGTAGGAGATAAAGTTGCAGTTGTAATCAAGGTCAGAGCATGTGGAGTTTGGCAGCTTATAATAAAATGTTTATTTTGCATGCAATGGAAAGGCAGTGAAGATGTTTGAACAGTAGAGTGACATGGGCGAATTTATGTTTTCCAAAGATCATCTGCTGTGGGAGAATAGACTGTATTGGGCAAGAGAAGAAGAAAGGGGACACTTTAGGGGGTCTGTGACCATGGTCCAGGTTTGCGCCAGGCTGTTAGCAATCGCAGTGGAGAGAAGTGGCTGGATTTAAGAAATGCTTTGAAAGTGAGAATAAAAGGAATTGAGAGAAACTAGAGTTGGAATATGAGAAGAAGAGAGACATCTGACTGATTTTTACATTTTTTGTCTTGAAAATGAAATGAATACTTGCTGAGATGTGGAAGTTTAAGGACAAAGTGCATTTGGAGTAAGGGTTTGAGGTACTTTTTAAACATTCAAATGGAAATATCGGGCCAGAAATTGGATATGCAGATCTGAGAGAGTGGAGAGGACAGGAATGGAGTTGTGAATTTTGGAACCTACCTTCCTACAGTATTTAAACCAGAGACTAGAATGAAAGAATTTAATATAAAGTGAAGATAAAAAATAAAAGAAAGAGGAACTAATATTTGTTTTAATCCTGCTAATTGTCAAGCTTTATACTAGTAAAGATGCTTTTACTACATAGTATCATAAGGTAGATATTATTAGTCCCCATTTAATGTTGAGGAAATTGGGGTCTTAAAGATGTTAAGTAGCTCAAAAATTATGTAGCATGAAAGTGAAATAACTGGGATTCTGTTCCAGATCTTCTTGATGCCTATATTAGTCTGTTCTCATATTGCTAATAAAGGCATACCCCAAACTGGGTAATTTATAAAGGAAAGAGGTTTAATTGACTCACAGTTCCACATGGCTAGGTAGGCCTCACAGTCATGGCGGAAGGCAAATGAGGAGCAAAGTCACGTCTTACACGGCAGCAGGCAAGAGAGCTTGTGCAGGGGAACTCCCATTTATAAAACCATCAAATCTCATGAGACTTATTTACTACCAACCATCAGAATAGTATGAGGGAATCTGCCCCCAAGATTCAATAATCTCCACCTGGCCCCACCCTTCACACATGGGGATTATTACAATTCAAGGTGAGATTTGGGTGGGGACACAGCCAAGCCATATCATTGCCTACTTAGGCCACAGGTGACACAACTTTAGACCAGTAGCGATGAGTGCAGGAGATGGGGAAAAACCACGTTATGCAAGCAGTTAAAGATAACAGAGATTTGAAGCTTAAGCAAGTGACAAAATAGTGAACACTCTCTAGAATCAGAAAATTCTATGTTTTTCCTGAAGTCAGAGTCTCCTTTTCCATGTTTTGCTTTGAACCACCTTGTGGAGCTATGAACTGATGTATTCGTGGGAAGGGAGTTCATGCTGCATATGCCATGTCCACATGGTGGTGATGTGCCATGCCAGTGACTTAAAACTTGCCAATAATTGATGTGTGGCTTTACAAATAATCAGCTCATAAATGATCCTTGATATTGCCCACTCTAAAGGTAGGGGCTAAATTCCTCCAGTAAAAGAGAGTCTCCCATTGCTCAGTGGCAGTTTCTTAAGATTTATGTGGAGTTCTGAAAACTTTGAAGAAAATTCCTTCCAGATTGTCTTCAGAGAATGTTTCTGACGTTTCAGAGTAGTCCTGGTAACATCTGGGTAAAACGAGTCACTTATTCATATCTTACACTTTCTGTGTTAGCATAAGGTTGCCTTAATACACAACCACACTGTGATCCACTACATTCTGTTCTTCTACTCAATTTCTGATGCCTACATCTCATTTAATCCCTTGGTGGCACCTAAGTTTAATGACATTGCATCTTATTAATGATGTCTTTCCAGCTGACATTGTAAACTAAAATTTTTGTATAATTTCTTGAGAATTTAAACCTGGGCTTTGTAGTGTGTTAGCCCTTAGCCACGTGTGGTTATTTATACTTAATTAAAGTTAAATGAAATGTAAAATGCTGACCCTTGGTCACACCATCCCCATTTCTAGTACTCAACAGGAACATATGGCTAGTGTCTACTCTTTTGGACAGACAGGAAGTAGAATATTTTGACCATCAGAGAAAATTTCTATTGAACAGGACTGTTTTTAAAAAGCCCCAATGTTCTGCTCATTTACCTCACACGTTCCCTGTTTTGTAAATAAGTCAACTCTATAAGAACTTGGTTCTTTGTGGCAATTGATCCAAATTCCCCTTCCGTATCTCAGACACACACACCTGTCCCAATATGACCAAAGTTCTGTTAATATCATTCAGAACAACCAGAAATAGAAAGGTAGCAGCCAATGGTAACCCACAATGGCTGATGGCTGAGCAAGGGGAACATGACTCACAAGTGGAATGTTGCAGCTAAAAGGGCACACAAAGGTGGAGTAGTAGTACAGGAAGGAGGAATGCAATTAGGAGGTAATCATTACCTTGGTAGAAGCTGTAGATTCTTAGATTCTAATCTTAACTGAATAGCTTGAATGAGATGGAGAAAATGTGAAATTGGCACAGAAGCGTGCAAAGGAGTCATTTAAATACTTAGAATTCAGGAGTGGTTCACATAGGTCAATGCGTTTAAAGCTGATTTGCCTGGAAGAGAGACTCAAACTCTGTAGCACCACTGTTACCCCTCACTCCCCTGGCCTTTCTACCGATGTCAGTGCTGTCTTAACAAACATCTGGATGCCAGTCCTTAGGAACCCTGCTCTTTCTTATACTCTAAGCACATCAGCTGCATAATGATATTAATCTAAAACATTGCTTGAAAGTCTCAGCCCCAGTCAAATTCTCGCAAATTTGAAGTCAATTATATGCCACCCTAAACCACCAGTGTAAACTTAGCACCTTGAGATTCTTATCCACAGAAGAACCAAAATATGAATCAAGATTGATTGATTTAGAAGTTGAGTTTTATAGTAGTGAATGGAGAATTCTTAAGTAACTGTTTTGCAAAAAAAAAAAAGTTTCTACAATGAATTTAGTATATTCTGAGAGAGGAGATTATTTTAAAACCATAAATTTTGCATAAAAATTTCCTTTGGGACAACACTTTAGCTGGGCTTATCACATTACTTATAATTGTGGAATCATGCTTTCTTAGCTACTGTTATTATTATTACTGTTGTTAGAACTTATTTTCACCTATTCAGTCCCAGATGAGGAACCTGAAGCCCAGGGAAGTCATCCCACCAAAGTCACACCCCCAGTAAGTGGCACAGCTGGGATTGATGGAGGCAGCTTTCTGTCTCTCTGATAGAATATTTTTCTTTATCGTGTAAAAATTTAAAATTAGACTAAAGAATGGACTGATCTGAAGATAACTCAGAGAAGTTCACATTTATGAACATGAAAGTTGATGTGTTATGATGAAATTATTAGAGTGTCATGAGAGAAGTAAAATGATAAAGCAAGCTATTATTTCCTGTACCTATCAGAAAGCAAAACACTCCTATCAAAAATATCTTAACATATTTTAATAGAAAGTACAAGTCTTTTAGAAATGGGTGCTTAGCTAGATATCCTTTCAACCTTCCTTTTTTCTGGTGTTCTAAAGTCATAACCAAAGAAATTTGTATTGCTTACACTGAGCATTAGCATACTGATAATGCAGTAACAGGAAATAGTCAGGAAAGGAGAGGAAAGCATAAATAGTTCAAACTTACAAGAGTGGGAGTTGCATAGCCTTTTCGTTGTATTTTTCCTAACATTGCCTGTCTGCCATTGCTCCCCGTCCAGGCAAGGTCCATTCCCCACCCAATAAATAGTTTCCCAGTCCCTCACGTTGCCTTCTCTAGGAGCTCTCACCACATCGTCTTACCATTTTCCCTCCTAAACAGCCACCAGTCACCTCTGAACTCCTCGATGACATCCTTATGTCTCTAACATGTTCTGTTGTGCCAGACACATAGTAGGATCTCAGTAATTACTTCATAAGCAAATGGATAATTCAACATCACTTATTATCCATAGCTATGGATAAGTAACCCTCTCAAAAGGTGTTTTTGATCATATGGGTAACCATAGATCATCGGACTCACCAAAGAAATATGAAAATTTCCTACCCGTTGAAGTGAGTGTCTGATATTTGGAATCGCTGCTTGGAGGCATTTTTCTTCTGGTGCATGAGAGGCAGGGAGCAAGTCTCTTTGCAAGACTTAGTTAACAAACATTTCCCAAGGATGTCAGAATTACATTGTAATAATACATAACTAAATACTATTGCACAGCCTCTCTCTCTGGACCTTCCTTTCTAAACAGAGTTTTATATTTTATCTGAAAGGTCCTTTGTACAAAATGAAAAACTATTCATCAAACAAGGGTCTGTCCAGGTTAGACACTTTGGTCAAGCAATGTAATTCCAACCACCTGCAGTGTAATTTTATAGCAGAAGTAATGCTACAACATGCAAGGCCATTGTCACATGAAAGTAATTGTTAACCTAAAGAAAAAGCAGATTTTCCTTTTTGCTAACATGACAAGATTAAAACCTTTTTACATGTGAGGTTTACATATAATTTGCTCTGATCATTGAACAAAGAATCTTGAACACACTTGGCTGTACTTTTCAATCATTGGCCAAGTTTACAAAGACTTAATTTTTTTTTTTTAAAAAAAGGAAAGATACTTTATTTAAAAGTCTTTTTGACTTTTGGGAACTGAATAACATGAAACTGGTAACTTTCTAAAGGAAAGCTACTAAGTTTTGCAATAAGTGTCTCTTACTTTGTTTCTCTACTATATAAAAATAATTATTTTGATAATCACCATTAATCTTGGCACTCAGATTATTTCTTAGTTCAGACAGGACACATTTCAAGTGTATTCTATTTTGAGATAGGCTCTAACTACCTTTCATTTTAAAGAAGTCTCAGATTCTCCTTGTCACCAAAGTTCTTGACTTTTTAGCCATTTCTGATTGCTACTTAAGTCTTCATCTCCATCCATTCGTCCCTATTCCTGGTGTCCTTGAGATATTCCTGAGGCCTTCTTTGTATACTCTCCAGCTGTATTGGCTTCAGGAGATAGATCAAGATAAGAAGAAATATCATCCTCAATGCCCTCTGCCTGGTGGGCTTCCGCTCAGCTCCTTCCTTTTGTTTAAATCCTTACTTAAAAGCACCATTTTCAATGAATCTTTTCCTCACCAACTCTTACTCCATGTCTACACTCTTAACAAAATTTGACTCTGAGATTAGGAAATAGTGATATACAAGCATATATACACACATATAAATTATATGTATAAAATCTGTAATATATATTATGTACATATAGACTGTTATATTTGTATCACACTGGAATCTATCTATGGATTCCATATATAGCAATTCTCTCTCTATATATATTCTATATATTCCATATATAAAATCTATATGTGGAATTTATATATATAGATTCCAGTGTGCTACAAATATAACAATCTATATATATATATATATGTAGATTCCAGTGTGATACAAATATAACAATGTTGAGTAGAAGAAGCCACATACTAAAGACTACATAATATATAAGTCCATTTACAAAAAGTACAAAATTATGCAAAGCTAATCTACACGTTAAAAATCAAGACAGTGTTCTTGGGGAGGGTACTGATTACAAGTGGTAAAGGTGAGCTTATTGGGGTGCCGTTAGTATTTTTGTTTAAATGGGTGGCGGTTACATGGGTATATTCAGTTTATGAATATTCATTGATACACTTTTCTATATGCATATTATATTTCAATACAATTCAAAATGGAAAAGAAAATGACCATATTTACATAGTAAACTTTTGGGAAAGTGAAAATACAAATGGCTGGTAACCATATAAAAATGTTTAATCTCATTAGTAAGCAGGAAAACCCAAATTAAAAAAAAAATCAAAATGCTGTTATATACCCCTAAGAAAACAAAAAATTGACGATGGGTGATATCCTGTGTTATGGAATAAGGAAGCAGACACTTTTAGAATTGATGGGAAGTTGAATTGGTACTGTTCTTTTAGAGGATACTTTAGAAATGTCTATTAACACTTTAAATACATACACTTTATGAATAGGAATTCTATTCCTAGCCATTCATCCTAAAGAAATACTCACGCATATGCACAAATGTGTAGATATCAAGGGTTTGCATAATAATATTGTTTGTTAAAAATGTTGTTCGTAAGAAATGGAAACAAGTCCCTTGTGTATGACAACATCTAAGATGCCCTCAGTGAAGGCTGCCCCCTGGTATTCACATCCTTGTCAAATCCCCTTTCCTTGATTGTGAATGGGACCTAGGGACTAGCTTTCAACTAACAGAATATGGCAAAAATAATAGAATGGCACTTCCTAGATTAGATTTCAAAATGACTGGCTTCATGTTTTGCTTGCTAGTTCTCCAGCTCTCTTTTTTGCTTGCTCTAAGGGAAGTCAGCTGCCATGTTTTGAGCTGCCCTCTGGAAAGACCCTCGTGGTGAGGAACTGGTGGCTCTGGCCAACATCCAGCGAGGACCTGAGATCTGCCAGCTGCCACATGAGTGAGCTGGGAAGTGGATCTTCTCCTAGCCTTGAGATAACTGCAATTCTGGTCAATTTGATCATTGCTCTGCAGGACACCCAGAGGTGTCAGCTGAGTCACAAATGGATTTCTGACCCACAGAAACTGAGGTAATAAATATTTGTTGTTTTAAGCTGATAAATTTTGGGTTAATTTGTTACTTAACCACAGGTAATATATCAACCAATAGAATATTTGCTTAAATAAATTATGGTAATTCTATATTCTATATATATTCTATTCATTGCCATTTTAAAAGAATACAGTATCTCTGCAAGTGTTGACATAGGAAGATTCTCAAGGTGTGTTATGAAGTAAAAATAAGAGTATCAAAACCATATGTATTATAGGATTCCACATGAGAAAATAAACCTCTGTATATTTATAGATAATAATATATGCTTCAAAATTTACAAAAAATGTTTTGAAAGGAAAAGGATCACGTTTATTTGGAAAAATAACTTTTTACATCATACTCTATTGCATGTAATCACTTGAAGTTTGTAAAGCAAAAATGTATTATTACTGTTACTTATACTGTATACAAATTATTTTAAAGTATATTTGGAAATGGTTGTCAAAAAAAATTAAAGCCTGAAAAACAAGCTGCCCGCCCATCATCCAGTTATAACCCTTTCTACTTTCTTTCTTGTTTTCTATTTCCCTCTGTTCCCATGAAGATATAAATGTAAATATAGATATAAAATGTTTTAACAACATTGAGATCAAACTGTACATGTTATTTTGTATCCTTTTAAACTTAATATATACTAAATATTTTTTATGTCACTAAATATTTTCCAACAACATTCAAGTTTAATATCCACTGATTATTTTGATGTATGGTTGTACCTTCAGTTACTTAATTATTATATCCATTATTGTATATTTGGGCCATTTTCAATTTTTCCCTATTGCAAATAATACTGAGATTAATATCTTTCTAGCTTGAGCTTTGTGTAGTCCATGTTTATTGCCTGTGCAGTATTTGTATAAGGGAAACTGTTGGATCAAAAAAATATGTCATCAAAATTTTAGAGTTTTTATACACTTTGCAAAAAGATCACAGTGACAGCAGTCGTAGAATAGAAAAGGAAAGAATAAAACCAATGGTTTCAACCAATGTTGCCCTACTTAAATATTGGCCCTTTTCTTTAATGCTATGTGTCTGCTGCGTAACATGTTTCTTTAACACTGTGTGTTTGCTGCATAACATGATCATGATATTATTTATTCAGCAGGCCAGTATAAAAAGTATCCAAAGAAGGGGAAAAAATAGAGTATAACCTAACCACTCTTGCTCCTTAAAGTCAATCTAAACAATATTTTGAAAGAACTCTGTCAATGAATGACTTTATATATTTACTTATTTTTAAAAATTGTTTAAAAATAAATTTAAGGTATATGACATGATGTTTTGATGCTCATATCCACAGTGAAATAATCACTACAGGTAAGCAATGATATGAATGGTGAATGCTGACGCTGTGGGATTGCTGGGTGTCCTGAGGAAGACCACGTGGAAAGGGAACTCAGAGCTAATACCTACAAATAAATACATCAAACTGCCATGATTAACACAAAGAAAGAAAGAGAAGATAGGCTTTTCAACACCGAATATATTACGCTATTGGGCATTAAAAATATGAAAAGTCTGGAAACCTGGAAATTAATTGAGAGAGGACAAAAAGAACAGAAAGAACCACCTTTCAAGGAATTTCTGAAGTTAAAACCCAAAGAGTTATTTTTCTTTTTAACATATGAATATCTTTGAGATCAGGATGTATCTTAAAATTTTAAAATTAATTACCAGTATATTTTCTTTTGTAGTGGTAGATAAAATAATGGCTCATCTTATAATCAGTGATCTCTTTGATTCCCTGAAATAAACATTTTTGTTTTTTGGTTTTACATATGAAAGGAAGGAAGCCATAGTCTATTATAAAGTCTGGATTTGGGGAAAAAAAAGAAAATAGAGAAAAAAGCATATAGAATTTTTTACTTGACAATTGGAAAATATACATTCTTCTTAAAGACTACAAAGCATATTTACAAAAATTGTCCATATTCTGGGCTAGACAGAAAGTATCAGCAAGTAGTATGTAATATTTCAAAAAACATGTTCTCTGACCACAATGCTATAAAATTAGAGATAAGTCCAAAAAAGGATAGTCAAAGAGCCCTGCACCTTTGAATGTGTAAAACACTCTTTAATAACTGATAGGACAAATAAAAAACATACAATTAAAATACATATTTAGATGTGAACACTACTTAAAATATTAAAGAGCAAATTAAATGGGTTATGGGTAAGACAGTACCTTAGAGGAAAATGTATTGCCCTAAATATTAAATCCTAAAAAGGCAAATACTGAAAAATATTTAGCTAAGCATTCAGCTTAAGAAGCTAGAAAAAGCACAATAAAACAAGGAAGTAAAAAGAAAGAATCAGAAACTAATAAAATTAATTTGATAACCCAGTTTAATTAATTTGTTAACCTGGTTTGCTAACTAGAAAGAATTAAAAAAATAAACTTTAGGTATTTTGATTGAGGGCAAAAAAAAGTGTGAACCTGTAACGAAAAAGGCAGTATATTATCAGTGTAGAGATGGAAAAAAAACAAAAAACAAAAAACGAAACCAACAGTATAGGATGTTTAGCTAAACAAGAGGCTTACACATGTATGAAAATATATAAACATATAAGAAAGGTCACATTGTAGGTCAGTTGAGGAAAAAAGGGTAATTCAATAAGCAGTATTGGATCAACTGGTTATCCCTATGAAAAATGTTAGACAGAATTCTCTCCTTATAGACACAAAATCAATTCTAGGTAGGTTAAGGACCTAAATCTGAAAAGCAAAGCTTTCATGTATTTGGAAGAAAATATAAATATCTTAAAGAAATTTAGATAGGAAAGTCTTTCTTTAATGACAAGATTAAAAGATCAAGGAAAATATTGATAAACTTGACTACATTAAAATTTTAAAAAAGACTTCTATGAGATGAAAAGCACAAAAAAGTAAAAGGACATGTTCCATACTGGGAGAAGAGTTCTGCAATTTATATCACCAAACAAAGACTTAAATATCTAAAATGATCAAAAATCCCTGCAAATCAATAAAAGATCAACAACTTGATAGAAAAATTGATTAAAGATGTATAAGAAAACATAAATGGCTAATAAACACTTATGAAAAGATGCTTAAAAATGCTTAAAAGATACCTACTGATCAAGGAAATGTAAATTAAAATCACCAGGAGATAATGATTGTGCAACAAGCTGATGGGGAAAACTTAAAGTTGGTACAAAGTTTTGATAAGGACAAGTTCTCTCGAGAATAACTAAGCAATACTTCATAAAGTTAAATACATACATACTTTCCATCTAGGCACTTCCAGCTCTGGGTTTACAGCAGTAGTTCTCGAATTTTACCCTGTACCATAATCACTTGAAGGACTTGTGAAGACCTGGGGTTCGGCCTTAGGATTTACATGGCCAGTAAGTTCCCAGGTAATGCTAATGCAGCTGGGAAACCAACCTGGGAATCATTGCCCTAGAGAACCAATCTTGACTGTGCCCAGGGAGACGTGCCCAACATTCACTGTGCTGATCGTAATAGCAAGAAATTGGAAGCAACCTAAATATCCAACATTACAAGGATTGAGAGGGAATTAAATTGTGAGAAACACTAAACAGCAGTTATAATTAATAAGCCCAAATGAAAGAAATGTTGATTAAAAAGAGGAAAATAAATAAAATATATACAATTTTAATAAAGTTTAAATGCATGTAAAATCATCCTGCATATTGTTTATAGATGTATGCATATGTTTAAAGTACTAGTAAAATAGGCCGGGCGTGGTGGCTGATGCCTGTAATCCCATCACTTTGAGAGGCCAAGGTAGGTGGATCACCCGAGGTCAGGATTTCAAGGCCAGCCACCCAGCATGGCGAAAACTCATCTCTACTAATATATATATATATATATATATATATATAATTAGCCAGGCATGGTGGCAGACACCTGTAGTCTCAGGTACTCGGGAGGCTGAGGCAGAAGAATCACTTGAACCTGGGAGGCAGAGGTTGCAGTGAGCCGAGACTGCACCACTGCACTCCAGCCTGGGTGAAAGACTGAGACTCTGTCTCAAAAAAAAAAAAAAAAAAAAAAAAAAGTACAAGTTAATTAGAAAAGTAGAGTAGGAAAAATATAAAAATTTGCATGGGATTAAGAGACACCAACTTCAGGACGGTGGTTATCTCTTGGCAGGCAAGAGACAGCAGTGGAATCCAGGAGAAGCACTCAAGGGACCTCAGCTATACTTGTGTTTTATTTATTTTTATTGAAGAAAAGATCTGATCCAAAATGGAAAAGTGATGAGACTTGGTGAGTACATGAATGTATGATACATTATATTGTTTTCTTGGTTGCACTTTTTAGGTCTGTTTGAAATATTTCATAACAATACTCATTTAAACAGAGATAGAGAAACTAACTGAACTCAGAAGCCTGTTAAGTCTATTACAGAGAGAATACCAGGCTGGATGTTTTTTTCATCTAACTTGATACTGAGTTTTTAAAATCCTAAAATGTGGAGCCAAAAAGCCAGAAAAATAACAAAACTAGGCATTTCAGAGAATAACTGGGCATCTAGTCATTCAGAGTGCATAATGGTAACAAATACTTTTATATTTAAATAATACTCTGCATGTGTAGTCTACTTTTATATAACATATTTCAGCTCATTTACCCCTCTCAACAATTCTGAGAATGAAGCAGGAAGGAAGTTATCATTCCCATTGTACATATGAGGAAACAGGCTCAGGGAGGTTAAAGAATCAGAGAGTGGAGTAAATGCCCAAGCTGGAGCTGCCTCCTGTAGGTTACCGTAGGTCCTTCTCTGTACATGTAGGCATCCAGGGGCTGCAGGATGCTGTCAGCTGATGTCCTAGTGAATCTTATTCCAACTTAGTTGGGGCTGAAAATTCTTCCTTCAAATTTATTTTGACTGTGACTAATAAAAACTCAGGGGGTACCTTGCTTTCTAACTTACTCTCACTCAGTGAGTTGTTCTGCAATCAAAAAGCGGTTAGGTTTTCTAGTAGTAGCTGTTAGGTTTTCTAGCAGTAGCTGTTAGGTTTTCCAGTAGTAGCTGTTGGGTTTTCTAGTAGTAGCTCCTGGAGGTGGCGATGTGGTTGCTGGGTGAAGCTCGGGTTTTGAAGCTTGTGTGGCTTATATTGAAGTCCCCGTTTCATCACTCACTAGCTTTGTGAATCTGACAATTAAATCAGCATTGAGGAGCCTCACTTTCATAATCTGTAAAGTGGGATCACCTCACTAGCAGGGTTGCAGAGGCTAATCTATGTGCAGGGTGTGATCAAGTGTCTGGCATGTGGTAACAGCTCAGTAAGTGCAATGTATTTAATAATTATTACTTTTATTTGTTGAGATGCAGATGACCTATTAAAGTTATTCTCTTTCTCTCTCCCTTTCTCCCTAATGAGATCTAACTCAAAATCAATATTGAATGCAGAGAAATGTAAACATGCATATCTCTGTCTCCCTGGTCACCTTCTGTCAATTCAGAATGGAGATAGGTGGGTACAGAAGGCATGAGGAGATCGGGGAGAGTAGACAGGGAGGGAGAAGGAGAAAGCAAAATGTAATTCTGAAATTTCTGTAAATTTTGAATTCAGCAAAATACATGAACAACTACAAAGTAAAAGAAGCTGAACAACATGAAGGCAGCCTGGTCTCACAAATACATATTGAAAAATAGGACCTAGGTTTCGACTACTTCTTCAGAAACAACACTGTATCGAAAAGAACCAGCTTGGTGTGTATTTTTGTGTAATCATCAGAGTGATTTTGGTGTAATATACACATTACTAGCAAATTTGTAACATATCACAAACAGTAGGAATTTCCTTTGCCTTAAGTGTTGGTATTTTATACTAAAAATGTCATATCGGTAAGAACATTTGAGAAGGTAGAGCTTCTAGAAAGTGTCAGTAAACATGGTGGTTGTACCAATTCACTGAATTTGTTGCTTAAGAGTTTTCCTGGAAATAATAAGTTTGGGAAGAGATGTGGCAGTGAATAATATCTAGATTTAATTTGAAGCATCACTACAATAGTATTTAATAATGAGCCTTGGGTATTGATGCCATGAACTGAAGCAACTTGTTCCCCAGGGACTTTTGTAAAGGAGCTGCAAGGAGGTGTGTGGTGTATGATTGATATTCCAATCTTCTTTTAGTTTTAGGATAGTTTTTGAGCATTGATCTACTCATACTCTATCTAAATGTATGGACCCCTGCTTTACTGCTGGTTCATGTCCCCGGATGTCTGCTTGTGCTGTTTCTTCTGCCTGGCATGCTCTCCCCTGAGACTCCCACCCTTCCACTTGGACAATCGAACTCGACAGTTAAAGAACCAACTCAGGTATTTCTTGAACAAACTCCAGTTGCCAGTAGAACGGGTGAGTCTCCACTCTGTTCTAATAATAATGATGATGCAATGACAAAGTTTATTAAATATTTGTATATGCCAAACACTGGTGTAAGTACTTTATATTACTTAGCTCATTTAGGCTTCACAGTAGCCCTAGAGGAGGGCACTATTATTAAAAGTGTCAGCGCGTGACATCGGACTGTCTATCTATGACTTATTTACTATATTCCATCGGACTGTCTATCTATGACTTATTTACTATATTCATACTCATCATCATCTCTCCAAAGCAGGGTGTCTCCAACCATATCCAGTAGGATACTGTTTCCCAAGATGTCAACAGTCAAACCTGAAAAACAAAAAGGCAAATAGATAGCTTTATTTTTATTTTTTGCAAATACGCTTTTAAAAATTCACAATACATAGTCACAATTTCAAGGCCCTGAGAAGTCCTAAAATAAGAAAACATGGTGGCCGGGTGCAGTGGCTCACATCTGTCATCCTAGCACTTTGGGAGGTCGAGGCGGGTGGATCACCTGAGGTCGGGAGTTCAAGAACAGCCTGGCCAACATGGTGAAACCCCATCTCTGCTAGAAATACAAAAATCAGCTGGGTGTGGTGGTGGGCGCCTACTATAATCCTAGCTACTCAGGAGGCTGAGGCAGGAGAATCACTTGAACCCAGGAGGCGGAGGTTGCAGTGAGCCAATATCGCGCCACTGCAGTCCAGCCTGGGCGACAGAGTGAGACTCCGTCTCAAAAACAACAACAACAACAAAACAAACAAACAAACAAAAACATGCTTAATTTTGCTTCTCCCAGCATTTCCCAAAGGAACCATGCTCACATTTATACTTTGTTCTTCTTTCTCCCCGTCTCCTACTCTTGCATCCCCCTTCCAACATATGCTAGGTAAATATGTTCAAATGCCCACACATAGTTTCATACTTATCAATCTATAGTGAAATTGTTTATTTCTACACGGAATTCTGTTATTGGACTATGGACTTATTGAGGGGTAAACTGTGTCTGATTCATTGTTATGTTCCTAGCTTCATTTGCTGTGACATGAAAGTTGTATGTAGGTTTCTTGTTTGGCTATGTTCAGGGATGCTTCTGAGATGCTGCTTCATCTGAGAAAGGAGAAGACATCACGATAATTGACATTCTGGACCTTGATGCTTGATCGATCAGTTGTGCCCCCACCAAGCCAACACTGTGAAAGACAACAAGGCAGTCTGCCCAACACCAAGATGCTGACAGTTAGCATGGGAGCTCTCCATCACAAATATGTCCAGCTTCATTCATGAAAATCTAGAGAGAGGTTTCTCTGAGGTTGAGGTTTTTATTTTCTCCCTAAAGATGAATTCTGAAGCTCAGAAAATGTAGATGTAGATAACTCCCTGGATATAATCCTCTCAGTCAATAATTTTATTTTACATATGAGATAGTCGAGGCCCAAAAATGGGAAGTAAGTGGTGTAATGACACCGGTCAATGGCAGAGTTAAACCAGAATAACTTATCTGTCCTTCTAGAAAAAAACAAAAACAAAAACTCTTTGGAACTCTGGCCATGAAATAAACCCATAGAGGATGGATGCTTCTCTTTATGAAAGACAGCAGAAGCCAACACAGATGCCTAAGAGAACCATATGGCTCAGGAAAAAGCTTGGCTGAAACAGCCATTGATTGGCTGGTCTACAGAGCACCCGTTTGGCAATCTAAAGGTAAAAGGACTTTTGGCAGTGGAGTAGCTTATGATGCAGAACTGGATGCAGTGGGAGCGGCCCAAGCAGTGACCCGGGACTGGAAACCCCTTGAGCCCAGGGAATTAGAAGCCTACATGATGAAATTTGCTGGAAGAAGTTCTTCCAAAAATAAACTTGTGTGGAAAGGCAGTGCAGTAGCCTGTGTTGAAATGGCTTTGATTGGAGAAGATACACCTGAGAGACTTTTATTATCTCTTACTCAAGGACTGCAAGTGAAACTGGAAATGTCTATTGTAAATTAAAGCCATATGTTCCAGAATATGAACTAAACATCAACATTTGTTGAGCCGGTTCCATGTTCTAAGTGCTTTACTTATTAACTTGCTGTATCTACACAGTAACTTAATGAGGTAGCTATGATTAGTCCAGTTTTACAGATGAGAAAAACTGAGGCATAGAGAACTAAGTAACCAGCTCAAAGTCCTACAGCTGGTAGTTAATGGGTCCAGGATGAAATAATTACTGGTTTGTTTCTATCATTTATTTCATGTTTCCCACACTATAATAACATTCTATATAGTGAACAAAGTTTTAGCAGTTTATGGCTAGATTTCTGTAAGTAATTTGAGATTGTCATACTGTTCTGAATAGAAATCTGTGCAATAAAATGGTAACGTTGGTGAAGAGAGACTAGGAGATTTACAGCCATGGTATAATTAATGTAAATGTTAGAAAAGCACACATAGGTTTTGAATGAACAGGAAGAGAAATTCTACACATCTTTTTGTACTTGTAAATCTTGTTTCTTATGGAGTGGGACAGTGTCATACAGGATTTGGAGTTTCAGAATATTTTTTAAAAAGGAAAAAAAGACAATGGAATATATGAGATGATGGTAGCTCATTTTTTTCAGCATGGTTTGTCCCCTCACCTTTCAGAAAGCACTTACTAGGTGCAAAGTGCATGCAAGTCTTGAGGAATGTGAATTGGCATCAGTTCATTCCTGATGGTTTATTATCCACTAGTCCATGCACGCATAAAGGCACAGAAGTAGCAAAACATGTTAAAGGAGTTCTAATAAATGGGACTTCATATCTTAGGGATTTGAGGACTGGTCATAAATTGTTTTGGCTGGAATTTGAGGAGCAGGAACTTTGGTTTGTAGATTGAGAGCAAAGGATTTTCTTATATCCTAAGAAGAGTGAACCAAGGTTCGGGAGTCAACAAGCAATTCAATAATTAAAGAATGAGGAGTGGTCCTGTTCAGAGACAGAGCTGGAGAATGGATGGAGAAGTGGGGAGGTCTCTGAGATGTCTGTCTGGACAAAAGACATTGACTTCCTGAGCAAAGACCCCAGGAAGCCACATTTAAAGCAATTTTTAACATCTTTCTGAGGCAGATTTCAAATGCCTGAGACATAGTAGGTACTCAATTAATATTTGTTGACTGAGTGAACTGCACAATGAAAAAAGATAAAGTAATTGCATAGCATTTCAGAGTTGCCCACGAATCCATTTGCCTGCCGTCTAAAATAGTAAGCACAGCTATAGAACGCATTAGCCCTCAATCCCTGGCCCAAATTTTAGGCATTAAAATGCTGGCCTTACTCTTTGGGAGTGTACAAAGATGACCTGGGCACTGGCAGCATGCTGTCTTATGTGTAGCCTAAATCCACTGATGTGAACTCTTTGTTTGTGCTAGTTCTTTTCTTGTTTAAAACAACAGTGAGAACTACAAACCCCAGCACCTTAGAGTTATCCACATATCCATAAAAGCCTAGCAACCAAAGGTATTATCTTTATTCAGAAGAAGTAGAACACGATTAAGGTTCAGATATACATATATATATATATATATATATATATATATATATATATATATATATACACACACACACACACACATATATATATATGAATTGGGTTCTGAAATGGTCATTTTTTTCCCCCTCGGCTCTGCTATTATAGTGATCAGCCAAGCTTCGGCAAGGTAAATACTTTTGGAAAATAAGTGGAAATTTGCTGCAAATCAGTCCCTTTTGTGCATGGCCGCGGGAGCATGTTGAAATGTTTGGACACTAATACCCATTCATTTTCTTGGCTCCATAAATAAAAGCCGCCAGCTCTGTGGCGGCCGTGAAATGGTATTCTTCAGGGCCCAGCAGGAACCCCCATCCTTATTACCACTGCAGGGGGCAGGACAGGCCCAAAATAGCAAGACAACTAAATCAAGACATTTTCAATGTCTAACAAAATGACTGTGTTTTAGAAGGAAGCAAAAGGTTGGAAAAAATTGGACAGCTGTTGTACTTAGTGAAATACCTTTGTTAAAAGAGTTCAGATGGGAAAAAAGAATCTTTTAAAAATGCATAAGCATATTTCTGAATATCATTTAAAATCTCCAAAGATCTTATGAAACTGTAAATCGAATGCATTGATGTAGTCATCAGAGGACTTCAAGCTGAAGGTATATTCCGTTTGCAGACCCCGGACCGCAGATTATGATGTGGGTCGTCAGAAATATTCTGCGGGCCTTATTATGCCTGTAGGTTTGATGGGAGAGTAGCTTCAGAAGGAGGTCAGGGAAGCTTTTGAAGGAACCTGAGCAGCTATTTTGGCCTTCAAATCTTTCTCAAATTAAGATTTTTTTTTTCTAAATAAGTTCGTAGACCTGAGCAGGTTTTAGCTATTGCTATTTCTTTTATCCAAGAGAAAAATTAGCTGAAGTATTTCTTAAGAGTCATAAAGGCATGGCAGTAACTTGACAGGGAGGAAGGCATTGAAAGAAAGTGTTCAGAAGGTATTTTTGGATTTTTGTTTCTCTTTCACTGCCACCCCACCCTGACAGTTATGAAGTGCTGTTCGCCCATTTTGAATAAACAATAAATTCCTTCTGTTGTCATAATATATCCCATAAGTTAGTATCCAGTCCAATAACAATTAGTACTGATTTTTTTTTGCATGGTGCAGTGCTCCATGGCTGACATTATTATAATTAAGCATGTAAATGTAACATCATTCTGACACAAACCAGTCATTTTATGTAGTACAACTCAAAAGGTTTCCTCAAAATGTAAACACTTAGAAGAATCTTGCCAAATCCCACAAAGTTAACATGCCACTCAAGTCTGAAACACAGGACTTTTGGATTTTTGAAAGTTAATAAACAAAGAGGAAACTATTCTCTCCCCCACTTCCCACCAATCTCCTCTTCAGTCTTTTATGACTCAGATTTTAATGAGAGCCATAAACATTACCTTGCCTAATAAAAATTCCAGTATTTCAGAGCTGGCTCAGAGAATGTGAACCACATCTGGTGACAACTGGAGCTAATTAATATCTTTATAGGTGTCTTCCATCCGCTAGAGTTTAAACAGAAATAGTCAGGGGTGCTTACATCAAAGCCCGAGGCAACGGAGGGCTGTTGCTTGCTTTCCAGTCTGAACTGATAACAAGTAGACCAATTTTTATAGGATTGTAAAAGCTAAGTGTGGAGATGGTTCACGCAGAGAAGCACTTTGCTCCACTCTTCCTGCCATTCTGTGCTCATGTCCCTGGTTTTCTCTGCTGTAGACTAGTCTGGCTAGTTAGTTAGACATGTGGACAGGCAACAGGGAAAAAAAAAATGCTAAAAGAGGGCAGGGGAGACTAACAAATAGCTGTGCTTAGATTTAGACAAAGCACACAGTGACCCAGACATACCAGATCTTCTTGCAAAGATCTTTAAAAATCTGCTGTGTCAAGCATTTACTTGTGGCCCAGAGAAGGTTTATCTAACAGGCCCAAGTGAAAATTAACAAGCAAGATGCACTAGCACCAGTGGTGCTAATGCGTGTTTTGAAGCGTACCAATCGGCCTAGTGCAATGTCACAGCTCCAGGCTAAACATGCAGGTGGTTGAGGGGCTTCTTTTTCAGAGGTTACCCTACAAAGAGCATGGCAGCCTTTCTCTGTCAGTATGGGCCAGTACCCCAGGAGCTCCCGGACAATCAGAAAATAATGCCATCAACCTGACCATGGTTAAGTACATAACATGCTGAAGGTTCACGGGTTTGTAGTCTGGAACAATAAAGAAAAAATAAAGACGCTTGCTCGGCAGGCCCCAGCTGTTATTAGCCATGCTGAGAGATCAAGGAAAGGTATGATATGGACTGCCATTTCAATTGGGACCAGGTTAATCTTTCAATTGGAGGAGAAGAAAAACAACAACAGAAAAGCAGTCCTTAGAATGAACCAAGGGGACAAATGACAATGTCATTACTTTCATAAGCTGTGCTTAACTCTTTACTAATAGAGACCACGTATCCTTCAAATAAGCTTAATTTTCTTCAGAATGGTGGGCAGAGAACTCTAACACCTCAAAGTTCAGCCAATGAACATACTATCTAATCTTCATTAATTGTGCATCGTTGAGACTTATGACTTAGAGGAGAATCTCTCTACCCACGTAGATTAAAAATAACTAGTATCTCTTAACGGAAACATCATTGGAGTTTATTCTGGCCTGGACTCCATGGCTGATTTGTGATCTTCAGAAAGTGGCTTAATCACACTGAATCTTAGCTTACTTGCTTGGAGAATGGATTAGGATGAAGTCAGAGAGTTGGGAATGAAGTCATTCTTGCAACACCAATATTGTTTGAGAAGTTTGTTTAAAAACACCAAGAACCATCTGTATGCTATTAAAGGAAAAGCTAAATTGCTGATTGCACACCCAAATATCCAGATGATTCTGTGTGAGTGGGTGTGGGAGGGTGTGCACTCTAGAAGGTGGGAGAGATCATGGGAATGTCAGCAGCAAAGAGCTCTGCAAACTGAAAGCTTGCAAGCAAGTAGGAAGTAGAACTAGAATTTCTATTTTTTTACCTTCCAAATGAAATATGAGAACAAGGAATTCTGCAAGTCTAAAATATAATCATTCATACTATTCCCTAGAAAAGGAAGCCAACAAATGAAGATATCCCCAGCTTGTTTCTCATTCAGAAAAGGAGCCCATTGTTAGGTTCCAAGGCTATTGTTCCTTTGGTTCATTGATTTTGGTGTTATCTTGGACATACAAAGAGGTGAGGGGTGAGGACAGGTGGACATATAGGGTGTTTCATTCTTAGATCATTAACTGTGCTCCCATCTCCACAAATAAATGGTTGTGAGCAACCATTGTGAAAAATACTTTTTTCCTTCATTTATTTACTATTTTCATAAAATTATAAAAACATGATGGAGGAAAGTACATTAAAAGTAGACAAAATTCACACAATCTTAGCTTCCTGCTCAAACAACGTGATCTTGTGTGGCCCAGTCCATTTCCTTCTGATTATGTTTGCATTTTTCTTCCTTATAGAGTCAAGATAATGTCATAATACATAAATTGGATTACGTTATGTTTTTCCTCAGGCAATATCATTGCATGTGACTGGAATCTTTATAAACATACTTTTCTTCTTCTTCTTTTTTTTTTTTGAGACGGAGTCTTGCTCTGTCACCCAGGCTCGAGTGGTACAGTGGCTCTATCTCGGCTCACTGCAAGCTCCGCCTCCTGGATTCACGCTATTCTCTTTCCTCAGCCTCCCGAGTAACTGGGACTACATCGCCCGCCACCATGACCGGCTAAATTTTTTTTGTATTTTTAGTAGAGATGGGGTTTCACTATGTTAGCCAGGATGGTCTCGATCTCCTGACCTCGTGATCTGCCCTCCTCGGCCTCCCAAAGTGCTGGGATTACAGGCGTGAGCCACCGCGCCTGGCCATAAACATAATTTTTATTTGGGTTGCATGACACTTTGTCTTCTGAGTTGAACATTTGGGTTATAGCAAATGTTTTATTTAATACAAAATAATACTAATAAGAAAAGATGCAATTAAATCATTTTTAAGGCTTCCTCTCATTTAAGATTGTTTTCTTAAGTAAACTCCTGCTAGAAGAACAGAGCAAACTTTTTTAAAGCAACAAGTTCAGTTAAAGAACTTCTATAAATTCTATTTTAAAAATCACCTGAGTATTTTTAGCTCCGGTTCCTAGAATAGAAAGGAAAATATTGTTAAGGTTTTGAAGACACATGTACAGATCTTTCATGCATAGTAGTTAGAATGGGCAGTATATTATATGCAGATAGAAATAAGCATGTGCCAGACCTCTTCGTCTTATTATTAGAAACAATGCTACCAAAACTGCTAGCATCCTCCAGTCTCTAGACATTAGTTTCTTGGCACAATTGACTTAGTATTTAATCAAGCTTGCAGGATAGGCCTCTCTTCTACTATGCGCACGGTTAGATATGTCTCAGAAAACATCTGGGATTGTGAGAGGCTTTATGTTTCATGACTAGCCCAATGAATCATCTATCTAGAGTATATTTGGTTTTGATCTCATGATGGTGGCTGAGAATGTAATGGATGAGGCTTTCTGTTTCTCTCCTTCAGGCTTTACTCTGGATTAGCAAGTACTGTCCTGCTAAGGTTTCATGGCCAGAATGCTTCCAATGAATGAAAACTAACACTGTATTACACACACAGCCTAGGCCATTACAAATTGCATAAATACTAGGTAACTGCAACCTTACACTAAGATTTTATTGATAAACTGGTGGCATCTTTCATAAGAAAGGTGGCATAATTGTGAAAAGTCATGCACAACACTTTTGTACTCAATTTCATTATTGCCAAAATTACACACTCATTGAACATTTGGCAAGTTTATTCAAGATGGAAGTGGATTGCAAGCCACGAGAGTTATGGATATCAAAAAACAAAAAGAAGGGATCCCAGGGATCATAACATTCAATATAATGGGCAAATAACCCACAAAGAGCACATTTTTCTTTAAACAAAAGAACCCAGGCTCATCTATTTGAATAGTTTCCATTAAAGCTCCTTTTTACCAGTACCTGATAGTAGATTAAAATGTCACAGATGAGATCAAAGAAATGAGTGGAGAGAAAAACTAGGAAGTGGAGAATCAGAAGTACCCTCACCTCTTTTACAGGCTAAAATGCAAACCCCTACAAATTATGGGTTTGTTCAAGGAATAATTTGAAGCATGAAAGATTAAGTTCTAGACAATTTGCCTAAGGGTTTAAGAAAGAAAAACACATTGGAAGAACATGGTAGAAACATCTCTCATTAATCAGACTCTCCATTTCTTTAATTAAAGAATAAATGACTAGCATTTTGCTTCTGCCCTCGGTGAAGGACTCATAGAAAACCAAATGCCCCCTTTCTGAGTTGGTTGGCCAAGGCTCCTGTTAGTGTTAAGTGTTCACATTGATAACTACAGAATCAGTTCCTTGGGGGGGAACCTAAAGACCAATCTTCAGCACAGTTTAGCACTAATCAAGGATTAGTCAATAAATGCATTCTCATATGACTTAAGAGAAGCCTGCATTATTTCGCATGGGACTATTATTTTGTAGAACTACCATTAAGTCTTCTTATTAAAAATGGCAATCACCCTGAATTAGAAAACACTTTATATTATGAAGAACCTAAAATAAATCACATAAGTTGAAATATCCTCTCTCAGCCTTCTCCTATCTGGTTTGTCTCCAGCCTTCATGTGTCAATATGCTATCTATTTAAATGGGAAATCAGCTAAAGTTTTGTCCTTGTGCCATCATTTTGTTTTCCTGGCAAATAAATTAGTTTTGGAAATACATTAAATCCTATCTTATTTCATGAAAAACTTATATAAAACCACAGTTTGCTGTTGAGTGATAGCTAGACCTCATAGCATCCAGAGAAGTGTGTAGGAATCCAGGTCATTCTGTTCTGGAAATTTCACAAACATGTTTCATCACAAAGCCGCTAGTATAATATATATTATATTATACATACATATGTATATAAAATAAATGTCTTCTATAATTATACACATAGTTAAAACTGCCAGCTCCTTTTGAGTCTGAGTGGGAAGGAGGGGGGATTGATATTAAGTAATATTGGCAACTCATATTCCCACCGCATCGTTCCTTTATTAGTATTATTCCAGTTAAAATGTTAAAACATTGATTAACATTTTTTTCTTATTAATTTATTCTTCCCTCAGATACTATATAGGGGAGTACTTTTTTGTTAAGCACTGCATTAATAAAACAAAAGTAATTATGCTGCTGTATCTTCTAATATCTAAGCAGGGATTTTTCTTCATTACCTAAATGAAGAGGTGGGATTAGAGGTCAACAAAGATAAAAAGAGGATCAGAGGGTGGATTAACATTTATTGAGTGCATATTCCATTTTAGACACTTTAAATGCATTGTCATATAATTCACACAATAGCACGTATGCATTTGTATTACCTTCCCATTTTAGAGATGAAGAAACAGATACCCAGAAAGCTGAAGTCGCTTGCCAGAGATCAGAGTTCAGTGGTCGGGCTGGGATCCACATATGTCTGCCTGACTTCAAAGTCCTTCTTACCATGAATGTATTACCTATCAAGAAATTACTTTGAGACCATTTGGGTTTTAGGGAATATTAAAGCCAAATACATACTCTTTCTTTTCTGCTGACAAAATTGTTAAGGCTTGAGTTATCTTTCCACTTGGATTAACAATGACCTTCAATATGGCAAATACTGATTGCCCTTCTGTATACAGACGCCACCCCAAAACTTTCTTCCATTGCCTTTATCTTGAACTAGGAAACATGTGTTCCCTGCTATCCCCACAACATGAACTCTGCCTTTTCAGAAAAACATTTCCAAAGTTAACACGCTCCAACATAAAGGCCTAGAAGAGCCTCCTAAAAGCCAAGGAGTTTGTCGTCATGTAAAGACTCTTCTCTAGTTTCTTCATAGTTACCTGCAGATCTCTGTGGATGGGAGGTTAATACAAATGTTAAGAAGGAACTGAAGCGTACTTTTTTATCATTTGGTTTTTCATGTAGGCAGACTTCTATCTAAACACAACTTTTATGATTTTTAAACAGAAAGGTATAAAGAAAACAAAGACAATAGATTTATTTATTGCTTTCCATTTAAATCATCATTTGCAATAGACTTTCTTTTCTTTTGAAAGGAAAAAATGGAGAGTTTATCCCTGGTTTCAACAGGTTCTGGAAAACCTAATGAAAAGAGTGGAAGCAAGCACACTGAGAATAGAAAAGTCTTTGTTTATCCCAGGAGCCCTGCATCTGTGAGATTCCACAGCTCCCTGGACAATCCCCTCACAGGAGGCCACCTGTAGGAGCACAAGCCCTTCAGCCCTGGGGGCTATTTTGCCTCTATCCTCTGCAGTCAAACCACCAGCATGCATTCTGTGCTATGCTAAATCTGGTAATGGCTTTTCTGAAACACACACCTGTCCATTAAGAATGGCAACGAGACTCCCAACTCATTTTACATAGGCTACTGCACAGCAGTGGATGTTAATGACTTTGGAGTGTTTTGTCTTTGACAATAAGCCGGAATCTTGACTATGCAATTGACTGCAACTACATAAATTGCTATTTGGAATGAATCTTAATATATACACTTGTGTATATGAATACAGCTAGCTGCACTTTCCCCATACGATCATGGTTGTTAACATTCTACCCATTTTAAGTGAGCAAATTTGAATAAAATGGCTGCGTAATACATTCTGTGTTAACATCAGCTATTTAAAAAGCCCAAGGATTAAAAGTTAATTCCATCCTTTTAATTCAAGGGACATATAAATGGCATTATGGGTAGAGCCAACTCCTCTTTTATCAGTCCTTTCATGCTGCCTCCTCACTAATTCTTGGTTGTTCAAATGCTACCTACATAATAAAAGCCTTGAGTTAATTTACTAAGATTTTACACCAGTGCAAATGAAAGAAAGGAAAGTGCTAAACAAGGCAATTAGCACTCTGTTTAGTGCACTCCCAAAATAAATGTAGGCAATTTACAATTTGGCAAATGGCACTCAATCCAGATCCAACTCATTTATGCCTAAGGGGGTGGTACAGTTCATTAGGGGGAAAAAGTGTTTATATATATTATGCTATTGAGGCCCAACCCATTTTGTACTACAGCAACAGATGTGACTCCTCCTGAGGTTTATTAGCGTTTCTTGCAGAAAAACGCCAAACTATTATGCTTTCAAATAAATGGTCCAAAAAGAATGCCTTTTACTATTGAGTATTAGTAGCTAGCTTTACAAGATGGGGTGGGGGTGGGTATAAGTGTGTTTGAGAGATGGTTTGCAAAACTTATAGTCGTGGATCGGAGCCTTTTTTGTGGCTGGAAGCATGCATTTCCTACATGGACTGCAGTTGCTGAGATCTGCAGAAAGTGTTCGCTTGAAGTATTACTGACTTTCTTAATTGACAGGAAGGTTGTTTCAAGCCTTTCATGTTTATTCTTGTAAGCCTCTTATTAGTGCAAAAATAATAGATGTTGTTAATGCAGAATCACAACCAACATTAATATTTAAGATGCTAGAATGAAAAAGGTTAAATGTGTGTTTAGATTGCTTTTGAACAAAGAGCTTTACGAAATAGTTCAGAAACGTAACAATGGACCAAACTTGGACCAATTTTGCCTGACTTTGAGTCTCTCATTCTTTGGGGGTTTATTCTTTATTTTAGGAAGATGAAGTTCTTATACACTTTCACATATTCCTGCCATTTGGAATTTGTATCCCTGCTGGAATGAAAATATGAAAATTGACATCTGAGGAAGGAAGGTGCGAGGAAATCCACCAACCTCCCCAGTATTTTTGTTTATTTCTAAGTCTATATAGTTCCAGTGAGTGATTAAAAAGAAAAAAAAAAAAAAGACAAGGCAAGGTAAAAGCATTCTTTTGTGCCCTCTAGCTGCTAGAAGCACAAATGAAAAATAAAATTCTCTGATGATTAAATTCACCTAATCTGGCTTAGGGACTGGGATAGAGGGGAGGGGACCACAATTCCTATGAGCAAAAGTGTTTTTTTTTCTTTATAAAAGACATCAGGATAAATAAAAGTTTACCATCTTGTATTAACTGCACGCTCATTTTCAAAAGACAAAGCAGAGAAATAATTCATGAGGGACTCTCAGAAAATTAAACTGGGATATCACTTCTCTCAAACAGCTAATTAATATGACACACATATTTTGGACTATGCATTGCTTCGAGTATTGATCACTATTTTAATTCTATTTCTAATGGAAGTTGAGTAGAGATTGCAGTCTAGAATGATTTTTGTTTGTTTGTTTTAGGAATAATGTAATTGCTTTTAGAATTGCTGACCAAGCTAGAATGCATACGTAAGTTTATGAAAATGAATGGGGTGTGTGTGCTTTATTTATATGTAACCTTCTGCTTTAGGGTCACTGTTTGCATGATAATTTTATCTAAATCAGTCCTTAAGGAAATGTGGAATTTGTGGATAGAAGTCCTGATAGCAGTTTGGAGTTTGGGTTATAGCCCTTTAAATCCAGGGTGCATTTTGAATGTAAAAATCAGCACCCTGTGTGATCCCTTGCTGCTGAAGTGGGGAATGTTCTGTGAAGGTGGAGTAAGTGGCTTACTTGTGAGATAGCTTCACAAGGGAAAGATCCAAATGCCCAATTTACTGCACGATTCATTTAGGAGGAGAAAAAGTCTTGCAGCTTGGCACACGCCTACTGCCCAGAATTCTGAAAAAGAAACAAAGAAATAGTTTGAAATTTGCAGAATTTAAAACAACGACAACAACAACAAAAGCCCTATCCAAGTTTCCTAAGAAAACAGCTCCATTACTGCCCTACATTTTTCTGTGTATCCTGGAGAGTGTGTGGGTATGGGGGAGGGGCGGATGGGGTGGGAAGGGAGTTGAGCTCTTTAATGATTCAAGGAAATATACGAGAACCCCTTTTTATATTTTTCCCTGAAGTGAATACACAGTTCAGAGGACTCAGTTGAGTCTCACAGCCATTCCCAGCAATTCCCGATACAGTGGAGAGTTCAGCAGAAAGGGCTCAGTCTCAACAGATGTTCTAAGTGGCGCCTCCTGAGTTGCTCTTGTGTGGTGGAGAAATACAGAAATCAAGCTAAATCAAATTAGGCAGCAGAATAAGAAAATAAAGGTCAGGTCCACCAGCATCTGAGTAAACAGCCTATGCCAATGTGGCCATCTACAGTCAGGAACTAATTAAGGGCTGATTGTCCTTCTCAGTGAAACCTCAAAAATGCATGGTAGTGAATTATTAAAAACAACAACAACAAAAATAATACAAAACCCCCACACTCTGCAGTGTGCCAGATGAAAGATAGGGAACCATAATATCCCGCGGAATTGTGTCTCTTGGATAGAGATAGTCCCTAAATCCCCAGCTCTCTTTGTTTTGATGACAATTTTTCTTCCTTTAAGGAAGCAGAAACTATGCTCTAAGCCTGTCTTGTGTTACAGCTCCTTTTACCTTTGTCTGCCTATCTCAGCTGGTATTTAATTGGTCAGCAATAGGAGGGAAGTCTCCTTTGAGGTAATGAATATTGACTGTTTATGTTGAAATGTCACTGTGAAAAGAAAGCCCAGCACCAAAGAGGGAGAACCCAGTGTGAGAGTCTCAGACACAAAGGAGACACCAGTGAAACGGAGGCATTGAAAAGCAAAGCAGCTGAAATTCAAAGAGCAGATGAAACAGAAATGGCCTACATGTGTGGGAATTTTAAGCTAGCAATTGACAGGTGAAAAAGTCATTATTTTACCTGTTATAACCAAGTGTAATTGCGTGTTTTTCCTAAAATGGCATGGGGGCCATGGTTCATATAACTATTTCCATTGAGAAACCATCCTCATCTTTTAATGAATAATTTTTGTTTCATAAAGGTGATGGGTAAACCTGTTTCTAATTATATGGATTTGAAAAGTTAGAAAAAAAAGAAAGGGAGGAGCTACTTTGCTAGGATGGCCCTCTCTTAAAATGGTTAGATCTTGCATTTCTCAAATGAACCTGCTGGGTCTGAAAAGTTTTGCCTGTTGCAATTATAGATTTTAAGGCAAAAAAAAGGGAAAGGCAAAATGCTGTCACAAGCCAAGTACAGTCTGCTAATTAGTTTAGCTTGGTTGGAAATATTATCATTTAATAATATGGGACATTATTTACTGCATATCTTGGTCATTTGATGGTGACCGTGAGCTGACAGCTGAGACAGTGTCTCTTTAACCCTCTCTGTGCTGGTCAAGCACTTCCCCATTTAAGTCTGGTTTTGCTGGGGAGCTATGGCTTAATTCACCCACAATGGATTTTATGTCACTGTGTGAATTGGATTTTCCCTTCTTATATTTCCCCCAAATGGTGACCAGCCAGATAAGTAAAATCGGAAAAAGGACAGCAAATAGAGAATTTCTATATGATTTCAATGTGTAGGAAGTTCTAACGTTGCCAAGTTTTTAAGTCTGAGAGGAGTCTCCCCATCCTTCTTTGGGCTTCATGACCATTTTGCAAGTTAATGATAACTACAAGTATTGTTTTTCTTGCCTTTTTATTGTGGAAAAGAAGGCAAATGAAACAAAGGGATTACTATGTAACTACTGAGTCACACTCGTGGGAAAAATAAAATCACTGTGGAGTTAAGATAAACAAAAAACTTCAGTTTCTGGTCCCCATGAATAAGGCGGCTGTATTTACAGTGTGGTTTTACTGTTCACATATTTAAAGTTCACATATTTAAACTTTATCATAATTGGGACCCCATCATCACACATTTTTAAGGCAAGAGCTCATTAGCTTTCTCTTTGGATCCCAAATGCAGAAAGGATTCCGTTTTTGTTGCCCAGCCATTCAATTATGTTTTCCAAAACCCGGAAAAATAAAAGATGACATCTTTAGTCACACCCCACGTCATGCTTGAACCCTGACCTGTGACACTCACCTAACTTGAACTAACAAGCTGCATGCCCCACGAAGAGTGATACTTCTTCATTAGCAAGATCCATTTCACCTTTAAAAACCCTTGGTTTTCCGTTTGCATTAAGTGAGATTGAGACGTCTTGGGTCTCTCAATGACATTTAGGAATCTTCCAAGACAAAAAAGGAAGTCGTTACATCTCCAGTTCACCTGCAAAGAAGATGTCATTAAAAGAGGAAGCAAAATGAAACCCTGTCAACTTGTTAGGGCCCAAAAGGTAATTCTGCCATCAAATATGGAGTCGGGGAATGATACAGAATCCTTTTATTACTGACACGAAAGAACCTGCTGGTGTCAAAGGTGTCTCCTGCCAGAAAAGTTCAGGTGTTGCTAAATTCATTAATGTGTCAGTTTGAAAAGATGTGGTCATTCCTGTTGTCTGTAGGGATGAAAGCTGGAATCTGCCTGCTCCTGTCAACACACTATCATCTTAATTTCGTTTGCTCTGCACCTTATTTGCCATCTGTAAGGGGTTAAGGGCCATGGGCGATGGCTTCTTAAAAGACTACTAATATTTGACATATATCATTTCAATCTGCCCTTTCACCACCACCCCCTACCATCAAAAAAAAAAAGTTGTTAAATAATATTACTCGTGATAGTTTGCTTGCCAGATGTTTGCTAATGAGGGTAGTAGAGAGACAGTGAATCTCTTCTGGTCTTTTATTTATTTTTATTATGTGAGATAAAAGATAAGGGTACCTAGTCTTTATAAGGCTATGTGCTTTCATATAACCATGATACATTTTTATAGGAATTTGATGCTTAAATATTCAGACATTGGAGAGGTTCTCTCTTTCATTTAAGGATCCTTTCTTCGAATTTTATCTCAATAGGATCTTTTGAAAATGTACAGGATTTTGTAAAAGATGTCTCGATAAACAAGATCTAAATGAATGTTATACGTGTGATATGATAAAGAATGTTGATTTGGCAACTTATAGATCAATTTGTATCGGAAAGTATTAAAGTGATTATAGTATGGAGAACAAAATATCAAATAAAATACATCACTTGCAAATAAAACAAAGCACAAGTAATATTAATGTAACACCAGAAAATATAACAGTCACTTTTCTAAAGATATGTGTTATAGATGATGGTTTTAAAGACAAACCACACTGCAATAATTTAAATTTTTAAATTTCAAATTTGAAATATCATACTAGTGTAATCAAATTTCAGTTATTGTATGGATTATGTCAAAAAAGCTAAATCACCAATTTTTATACCTTGGTTCAAGGCAATATTTGTTTGCTTAATGTTTTTCAAAGAATGAGGTGAAGTTTTTTGCAATTTTCTTCTAGAAACTTTCAATAATCAAATGATAATGAGGAAATGACAAATGCCCTTTCTAGCTAAGATTACAGTCTAATAGTGATTAAAATAACTTGAGTTTTCGACCAATTTGGGTTCCTATCATTATTATTTATTTTGCTTATATAGATGTAGAACTCAGAAAGAGTGCCATATTATGACTCTCATATTCTTGCCAACAATAAACAACATTAATTTGCATGTGGGAAAGTAATGTCGTCACTCTTTAATAAGTTTGTAGGTCCGTATTTTGGAGCCTGGCTACTCTACTTCATGTGTGTTCAGATTATATGTCTGAATTTCCCCACCTACCTCCTCTACCCTGTCTTAGTTCTCAATCTTTCTTGCATAAAACAGAAAGTACTTTCTTAAAGTACAGAAAATAGTCTATTACAAACAGATATATTGTTGATACTCATCAATGTTGCCTTTTCCCGATCTCTGTTTTAATTAAAAATTCAAATATTTTCCTGAAATTATCAAGCTTGCTTTAAAAGGGGACTTTTCTAGTTCTAAAATACAAGACAAAACAAAATAAAAAATTCTCTTATTTTTAAGCAACTCATTTATATGTTAACTCAGTTTGAGCATTTAAAATGACCCCAAATATGTGTAAAGCACACATATATATGACCACATTAATGATTTCCTAATCAATCAAGCAAAGCACCTTATTTTTACTTCAGCCCTGGACCAAGATGTATGTGATTTTCAGGCCCCAGTTTCAAGATTGCATCCTGAATGTTCATGCATGCACTGAGATGCTGTGTGTAGATTTTCTATGTAGGAGCGTTACAAAACTTCAGCTAAAGATAACCACAGTGTGCAGCTCTGGTGGGAACTGGGGTGAGTGGGTCTTGCCTTCATTGATATATGGAGCACTTAACCTAGTGAGAAGCGCAGAGGTGGTTGGAGGGCCCCCCCCGATGAGTTTTTCAAGTTGATCTGGTGGTTGTATTGTCGGTCTCTCAGGATAGTATGCAGGGGGCACACATTCTGGACTTTCACTCGCAGGGAGAAAGAAAATCAATCTTCGTGCCCCAGAGATGGAATTGCTGATGCAGAAAGTCACTGAGGCATTGGAGTCTTGTAAGAAAGACTCTGAGGAAATGGCTTCGGGCTTCAAGTAAGATCTTGGACTGCATCAGAGCTCTCTGGAGATGCAGGGCAGTTCAAATATAAATAGAAAGGGTGTTTACTGGCGTTGGCCCCAAGTTGGTGTGCTTTTTGATCAAGAAAGAGAAAAAAATCAGCTGCAATTGGGGACATATCTGTGGATTAGAAAAAATAAGTATAGCTGAAATGCTTTATTCTTCACTAGAGCGTGGCCTGTGCCCCACTAAGGAAAAGTCATCCTCGGATTACCATCAGTCATTTTCCATAAGAGCTGCTGTAACTTTTTGATAAGCATCCAAGTTTGCAGATAGCACTTTTTGTCTGAAGGTAATATTTGATATTAATGATTGCTCCTAGTGATGTAATACCTTTCAACCTGAAGACTCCCAAGGCATTTTGCAGCTAAAATCATTTTGAAAATATTCTAGATTACACACTCTAATGTAGTCAGTGACTGAATGGCTGTTACTACTTGGGAAGGCAATGCATTCATTGAAAAGAACCATTTTAATGAAGTGATCATTTTAAGATCAAGAATGAAGGGCGCAAGAGCTTTTCATGGTAGCATTCAATGTAAACCGACACTGGCTGTGTTGCTGAATTATCTTGCCCTTTGAAAGCCCCACTATTGTTCTGAGAGCACCCATTTGTGACACAGAAAAACCAAGAGTTGCAAGGCCCAGATGAGGGTACCTGGTTGAGATCTCGATTTTGATAATTAGACTTTATTTTTTTATTCCTACAAAGCCATTAACAAATACACCATTTCACTGGCTCCCCTTCTTCAATGTAATAAAAAGCAAAATTGTTTGTGCAGTCAATAAAACTAACTGTGATGACCTCTTTGATTTTTTATTATACTTAGAATTTACAAATTCTCTCACTTATCCCATTGCTTCACATTAAGAAGGGCAACTAATGTTTAAAAATTCAGTTTTCATATTGTAGTTTAATAGTTTTAAACTATTTCTACTGTCCTAATTAGGAAGGTGCAAATAAAACATTTTTTCTGATGGTGCAAAGAGACTTTTTTTTTTTTTTTTGCTTCTTAAACAGGGTAGGTGAATTCACTGTGGCAGCTTTTAAACCTCTTTTTCTCTCACTGTAACAATGCTCCTGGTAGAGGGCCTGAGAAGACAGCCCTGTGGGTGCTGATATTTTTTTCATGGTAGAGAAATCTGAATTCTTGGGGGCATCAAAGGAGTGAAGCAGGTAATATTTGATTGGCAGGACATTCTCTGATTTACACCCCTCTATCTTCTAAGCCTCATCTTCAGGCTTGTCCCCAGCAGACCATAGGCAAGAAGCCATTCTCCAGAAAGCTGTGAGATGTTACCAGGTCTCCCCCAACCCATATTTTCTAGGAACCTTTATTGCTCACTTAATGTGAGTTGATGGGATTGAATGCAAAAATCATTGCCCCAAATTCCTCAATGGAGAGTCATCATAGTGGCCACATCTCTGTTCTCATTCAATGGGAAGAGATGACCAGTGTCTTTGTTTATTTGTTCCTATAAAATGCAACCACTTGGCAGAATGTAGTAGGTCAGTAATGGAGTGTTTTGGTAGAATGGTGGCAGAAACCCACAGTGTTTCAAGCTGCCCTGATGCTAAAGGATGGAAAAAATAGGGCATGCACCTCAAGTGTTCATTTATTGTCAGCGCTAAGCTGTGCTTCTGACATTGGCTTTGAGAAGGAAATTATGACATTTAAAAGAATCTCCCAAGCTTTATAAAAAGCCTGTGAATATCTATAAATATTGATCCAAAATGAGTGCAATGAATAATTTATAGTGAAATATACTTTCTTTGTCTTTCAGTTTTTAAAGCAGCTTGGGTTTTTTTTCTCTAAAAAAATTACGGTTAGACAAGCATATTTTTCCTCTACGTTTTAGAGCCATTTCTTATTTTTAGAAAAAAATGTGTTATTTGCAAAGGATGTTGGAAGTTCGGGGAAAAAAAGCAACAACAATGCACACATTACCAAAATGGAAACATATTGTAGATGTTCTAGTTTCAGGGAAAAATATAACAAGATTTTTTAAAAAGTTTACATAATTTGTTGTCATAATTTTGTTGTCTTTGGTGCATGTCCTCAATTTGCAGAATCATTTAAACATTTCTATGTTTACTTGAATAAAAATAGGAATTTCATTTGTTGGAGCTAATGATTCCAACCCAAAATATACTCTTGTGTAATCAGAGCAAAATAAACAGGTGCGTCCAGCATCACTCACCGTATGCCTGAGAACGGGCAGCCCATTTGTAAGACGAGCTAAATATTCTCCAACCTAACCAGGAGCTGGGCTCTAATTGATTACCTTTCTGGGTCATTTTTGAAATGTCCATTAAATTTTCACAAGAGGCCAGAGTACCCCAAAGTGTCCTACTCTTTTTCCCTTTCGCTCTATGCCCCTAGACAGAAATACATAGAAATGAATGCCTCCCAGTTTTCTTGAAGAAGCCATTGGTTGTTAAGTTCATGGCTCTAAATGTGCTTAGATGAAAGGTTTTCTTGTTTTTCTTTTCCGTTCTGTTCAGGTTGCCGTATCAGATACATTGAATTTTGTTGTTGTTGCTTCAAAATCTTATCAGTTTTTTGTTTGATTCATGTAATGGAAATGAAGACAAGAAAGAAGGAATTAACTATTGAGTCTGAAAGTTGCCATTTTAAAAAACTTTGACCTTCATGTGTTTTCATACCTCATCCCAGAACTTTTGGTTCATTTACTTCCTTGGGCTCACCAGAGATCTTGCATATACCCGTGATTTGTGAAGTTTTGTTCAGAAGCACGTTGAATTCAAATATCCCATAAAATCAAGTGATTGTGCTCTGCTATTTTTCTGAAGCCTCCTTATAGGGGCTAAGTAAACTTTATTTCCTCAAAAAGAAATCGTACATTTCTTCTATTGAATTTGATAGAGCACAAAACAGATGTGTTATGTAGTGTTTGCCTGAAATAATGAAACAGGGATTCTATTTAGATACCTCAAAATGTGTGCTGGCGCTAAGTTCTACCTATGTTCCAGAGAGAGAGTGCAATGTTATACCAGAATGTGCAAGCGTTTTGGAATCATAGCAGAAATGGATTCAAACTTAGGTTCTGCACTGGTTGACTATGAACCCAGGCAAGTAACTTAATCTCCTTAATACTGTTTGTCTATTTGTAAAAGAATTACAGGAATAATAACGATGATGATGATGATGATGATGATACCTGCCTCATAAACTTGTTCTGAATATTAAATGAGATAGCATATTTGACAAACCTAGTACTGTAAAACTGCTAAATAAATGCCTTTGGCTTCTCTCCCTAGCCTGGACAGTAGCCTCCTAAACATTCTCTAATAGTTCCTTCTCAAATACATATATATTTGAAAGCAATATCTCCCTGAAACAGATATCTGACTCTTAGACTCCCAGTTCCTTATAGCACAGGTCTAAATACCTTAATCAATGTTTGGAGTTCCCACGACATAGCCCAGTCTTGGTGACCTGGCACATCTCCCTCTCCTTCACATACCTTGTATTGCAGTCCAATCAATGTGCTTCCTTCTAAGCCCTACTTTCTTTTTACTGCTCCAGCTCCTTGGTGAATTACCCTGATTGGGATTAATTTCTCTTTTCTCTCTAAAGCACTTTACATTCGGAACATTCTGACTTGGGGTAGGTCCCATCTCTGCCATATACTATACTGTAAATTCCTTAGGTCCGTGGCAGAATCTCTGCCCTCTTTGTATCGAGCCAGCCAGCACTTAGCCTGTATGCCACTGCTTTTACACCATGATGTACTCAAGCATACTTTTAGGTAGAGTGGCCACGTAATTTATCATCTAAATTGGGACGCCTGTTCAAGAAAGATACTGGACTTAATAAATGCTAATACCACAGTCCCACAGTCCTGCTAATGGCATATTAAAGAAAACCTGCTTCCCAACAGTGGGTTGAGCTTAATTCTGTGTTTGAGGATGGAATAGCCATTTTAAGTGTTAAAAAAGCTGGGTTAGTATCAACAGGATGTTCATAGCTAATTTAAATCCGAGCATATTCAGTCTAGATAGCTATAGGGAGGGGGCTGACTTAGAAAAGCGTAGGGTAACATATTTGATAAATGAATTTTAGAAATAATTATAACACATGCAGAAGATACTTATAAATGCTCATTGGTCCCAGAAGGTTTCATTGTATGACACAGCTACCACTTGGTGGATGCTTCCACACTCACTTTAACAATGTTCACAGAAGCACAGTAAGCTCTCTTTGCCCACACTACGTGAATCTTGACAATACATTTGGAGTTGACTAATTGATGGAATGATTTGTATGTTAAGCAAAATTATGTTTGAGATCTTAGCATTAGGCTTTCTTAAAATGTGTTGTCTTCCCCATGTTAATTCTGCATTTACTGAGAAAGAAATATTCTAACATCACGTGTTAATTCCATTATCTTTAATGAATTGATTATTTCTAAACGTGGGGAGGGAACAAATCTTACATTAAGAATCTCTGTTACTTGGATACACTCCTTGCAGAATGACAGTGTGACAATTCAACAATGCTATTTGCACCATATTTGTATAACGTCTACACCCCATGCATGGGTGTATTGTTTGTCTGGAAAGTTTGAACATCAACCAACATTAACATTTTTTCTTAGCTGTCTGCTCTAACAGAGGCAAGCCTAAAGGACATAAATGCCACATCCCTCAGACAATTGTGTGAATAATTCTCCCTGGGTCCATTGCTTCTGGGTTTTGGCCTTGGCTCCTGGTGTTCACAGCATTAAGAGGGTTAAAGGTTCTGGCATGGTGAATTTATTGTTGACATCTCACAGTCCTTAAAGGCAGGATCACTAATGGGTGACCTTGGGGTTCGACCGTTCCAGACCCAAGAAGATCAAGTCTCACCCCCCTCCTGCAAGTGCGATGACCCCTCTATTCTCACTCTCCCTGGCCTAACCTTTAACTCACTGATCTTTGACCAAAGTATTAAACAAACACCTGCTTGGGTCTGTGGTCAAAGACTGTGGACTTGAAGATCTACCATCATTTCATGTGAATAAGCTGTGGTAATAATAATGAAATATAGAGCAGATCTCTGGACACGCTTACAGTAAGTAATTATATTGTTACTGACCACATACAACATAGATTTTCTAACAACCCATGTATACGGTGAATCAATGTTAATCAAGCTGACCAGAGTATTCATGGGTTGTCAGTGGATACACCAAGGCTTCTATTATTTGCATTAACACCTGACAATAGTGCAGCAATGTTTATTCCCTGTTACTAAAAGAGACCGAACCTAAAATTAAGTTTAGAATACCTTAGATTTGCTATTGACAGTAAGTAATGCAAAATGCATTGATGCTTAACAGAGGTACCGAGGATCATTGAAATGATTAGATGAAAAGAATATTTGGTGAAATCAAGTGACATAAATTTTGTGCTTTGTGGGAAAGAGGGAGAAATGGTACATTGACAGTGTACTCTGAATACTTAAATTAAAAAAAATCAGACTTCTTTTTGTTGCTCTAAATTGTTTCACTGATGCTTTGTAAAAACAGCCTCACTTGATATGGTGAAACCTCCTAAAATATAAAATCACACCAGGAAAAGTTTTTACAAAAGACTAGGGGAGTCTCTCACTATGAATAGTAAAGTGTTATTCAAAAAAGACCTACTTTGCTGTTTTTCATTAGTCTAGTGTAAATTGTTAGGGCTCATCTTTATAAATCAAAATCAAATTAGATACATTTAATAAACCAATTACACCAAAGAGTTAAGATTTAACGACTACTTTATCTAAATATTTTATAAATAAATGACATATTTCTGTCGCATAACCTTTACTCTACTTAGAAAGCTTTAATGAATTTACAGTTCTGTTTTAGCAAGTGAATAATACACTCCCGCTTTCTGAGAGCACCGACTTCACAAATGCTCAACACCAAAATGAAATTGTATGATATACAGAAGAAACTTCATACTTCATTACATATCTGCAGCCTTTTTCATGATACTATAATGTTCACAACTTTGAATGAAATAATTAATAGCACTGCAGAATACCACGCCATCAAATCCAGATTTTTTTCTCTACGCTAAAATTGATAGTGCTTTTATTGGTATATATAGAACTCTATTTTTTCTTATTTCCCCTTTCATTTGGGGAGAGTTGCTTACTTTTTTTTCTGATCTTAAGTAGGTCTCATAAAGTAGAGCCAATATTACCACCCCCCACTCTTATCCATACTCTACTCTTTTATATGCCTTTATTGTAGTTTTATTTATTCATATATATTTCGGATGCCTACTCAGTGCTGGGCACTATGCTAAGTGACTGGAAAAGGTGAAGATAAGTGAAGCTTCATTTTTGCATTTCTATGAGTTTTGGACAAGGAAACCCCCACATTTCATTAAGGGAGACACTTTTTATTAACTACATTTCTTCTATAAACCCAGACATCAAAATAACGTGGAAAGACACTTAACCACACATTATTGAGTAAGAAATACCTATTTTTATAATTTACATACACTTCTATTGTAGTTTTATTTATTCATATATATTTAGATGCCTGCTCAGTGACAGGCACTATGGTAAGTGGTTGGAGAAGGGTGGAAACTATTTGCAACTCCCATTCACAGACTAGGAAACTTCAGTTTCCCAATGTTAATCATGTATGTTTAAGCGTCTGTCCAGATTAGGAAACTTCAGTTTCCCAATGTTAATCATGTAGGTTAAGTATCTGTCCAGACTAGGAAACTTCAGTTTCCTAGTTACCCATCTAGTAACTGGTGGAGCTGAGATTTAAATTCAGACAATCTGACCCTAAAGCTTTTCTTGTAACCACTATTTCAACTACCTCGCAACCTGAGCAATAAATCCATTTAGAAGGCCATGCACCTTGGTTTCTACCTCTCCCATGCTGCCTTATTTGACATTGCCATAGATTCAGCTGGGCTTATGTCAGTTTCCTCTGTAATTTCCTGAGATGAAAAACTAAGCTTCACTTATCTTCACTTTCCCCAACCACTTAGCATAGTGCCTGGCACGGAGCAGGCATCTAAAATATATATTAATAAATAAAACTAAAACAAAAGTATATATAAATTGTAAAAATAGATATTTCTGTCCCAATGTTAATCATTTATGGTTAAGTATCTGTCCACATTATTTTGACATCTGGGTTTATAGAAGAAATTTAGTTAATAAAATGTCTCTCCCTTAATGAAACATCAGGGCTTCCTTGATCAAAACTCACAGAAATGCAAAATCTCGGTCTTGATTAATTTGGGCAGATCCTTTGGGCATGTGTGTGTTTTCTCTTCTGGCAAAGATATTGTCTAACACAACCTGGATAAAGATGTTTCTATGGATCTTTCTGCTTTTGAATTACATGGCCTGAAAATGAAGTAATCTGAAAGCTAGGAGTTCTCATGCATAAAACATAAATGCCAAATAAGTTAACTTGCTTAATTAAAAAGAGAATGCACGTGGGTGTGATTAGATGGCCCAGCTAAGAATGGTTTTCTAATACATTTTAAGAAAACTCTTGGAACACAGTTTCACCTTTCTCACTTTATTTCATAAGCTCAACCGAGTTTCACGATAAAAAATAATTGACATGGGAATTATTGAAGGCTTGAGCAAGAGGAGAAAAATAGGGAGACCAAGAAAAAGTCATATCCATGCATTTCCCTTTGTTGAAGGTGGTAGTTAAACCACGGTGTCTGTTTCATCACAGCAACTTATTGTAAACCCATGGCTGGCAAAATCGAGACCCTGAAGAGGGACCTTTGAGTTACGTGCTGAAGTACTTGTTCTTAAACTCTGCCATGTTTCCCTCCATGAGAAAAATTTCATAAAGCAAATTTCTACACCAGGATTATGTAGTGATTCCTGTTTTCCCCAAATGTGTTGATTAGCAAAATGATAAGCTACTTTAAAAAAAAACAAAGTAAATGAAATTGTCTGCCACCATCACCATAGCAGGAGCCTGAACAATCTTTAGCTCAATTTCATCATGGTTAGACAGAAATACATGACTTCTTCTCTGGAAGGAAAGGACTTTAGCTATAGAATTATGGATGGGAGAAAGAATATAGAGAGTCATTGTTTATCACAAGTGGCTTTGGAAGCACAAAGCATTCTGAATTTTCAAATTAGAAATTATTAAAAGAAACCAAAAATGAAAAGCTTTCTTGATGGCTATTTATGTGTATGCCTATGTAGACATACACATGCAAATCTTTTAAAGAATTGTAGCATAGAGTTTTCAAAGAGAAATTCAAAGGTATATGAGTGATACGAAAAGAGCATTCCTGAATGAAAAATGTGCATCAGTCAAAAGCATCAATAAATATGTCTTTTTCATATGCAAATGACAATTTCTAACGTAGAGGAGGCATTGTTTTATAAATAGTGAGATAATATTCTTGAAAAAGGTTACCAGTGATTATATAAGTTATCTCTTTCATAAAGAAATTTAGAGCTCACAGTTGCTCTTTTCATTAAAATGGGCTTCACATCCAGACTCATGCTGAAAGCCAAACTCTGAATTTTAATTAGAGATAATAAATAATTACATCACTTAGGAAACTGAAACTATTAAAGGCTGCTAATACCAACTACTGTATTTGAAGGGTGGGTAGCGATATACAAATCACATTAAAGGCAGTAAGTGGTAGGTGGAAAATTGGCTATAAATGTGGATAAATTCTAAAGCTAACCAGATAAAAAAGGAAACATGCATTGGGCCAGTTATTATCTTCGGTCCATGAGAGCTGAACTCCTTACTTTGAGATGATTATAACATTCTCCATTCCCCAAATAAGGTGAATACTGTTTTTATTCTTGATAAGGGGAAGGAAGAGAGGGCAGGGTGAGCTGTAATTCATATTTCCTCCAATGAGAAAAACAAACTTTTTTTTTCTTCCTCTTCTTTCTGTCTCTCCACCTCCCGCCCCTGTTTTTTTCTAAAGAAGGCACATTGACATTTCCAGAGAAATTACTACCCCAGAGTCAAGGGCAGAAAAAAATGCAGAGACAGACTTCCCCAACCTACACAGCCCAGAGGGACCAGCTGACGCGTAGAAAGCAGAGACTCAAGCCATTAGAGCCGGGACTGGGGCTGACACTGACCTGAGCCGCCACCCGGCATTGTCCCACCATCTGCACAAATGTGAACTTTGCCTTCAAAACTTGGCTTCTCAATTAACATGTCCAGCTGGGGGAGAATTCCATCATTTCCCTAATATCCTTATTGCTACTGGCCTGACATATTAATATTAAAAATATATGTGCACAGATCAAGGATTTTCTTAAGCACTTCTGTTTTTATTGCAGATAATAGGCAGGAGGTGAAAGCAGACACAATATAATTTGAAAAGCATAACCCTGATTAGGCACTGATTGGAACGCTGTTATACCTTACATTTAAAACCTTTTTATTATTAGAACTAGCTGTCAAAACCAGGCACTGAATCTCCCATGAAATAGACGCAAGGGCATGTGATGCTTCCCTACTTCAGTGCAAATAAATTTATAGTTCAAAGTGCCATTTTCTTTGAATATGTCCTTAAGTATCAGAGAATTGTCATGTGCATGGCTGAGGTGTTTGTAAAGATGTGTCGTCTGGCTTTAATTTGTTCTCTTTTAATAGAGGCTCATCATCATTCTCAGTTATTGTTCATTTTAATGTGTTGTACAGTGACATGGTAAAGAAATAAAACCCTAGCATCACTATTTGATGAAAAATGGACAATATTTGTGAGGGTAGAGAGGTGGAGAAGCTATTAACCCTAATCTTAGGAAATAAGATCATGAAAGGAATGGAGGCTTTCATATAATCTCAAAGTTAGCAGGAGTCGTCGAAAGTCTCTTGGATAAATGTTTAGTTTCTGTAGTCCTACTTTCTGGGTTTAAATCTGAACTCTTCTCAATTCGGTATGATCTTGAGCAAATCATTTAATCCTTTCAGCTGTATGTTTTCTCAAAAGGGGTACTGTTCCCACCCCAGGGTGTCTTTGGGAAGATTCACTGAGAAGATGCATGGAAAGTGTTCCGAAGGATACGTGGCAAATAGTAGCCACTCAGACACTCTCGCTATCATTTTGTCATGTAGCTGCATTCTAACAAATCACTAAGTGATTTTCAAAGCCTCTGCTTGCAATACATGTCATGACAAGGCCCCCTCCCAGCTCCTCTGGCCAACATTTGGCACAGTCTTCCCAGCTGGAAGCCTCCTTGTAGTATTCTTACATGTCTCACGTCTATTTCCCCCTTTCACCTCATTCTGTCCCGTATATCACAGAGAACCAAGCTAAGGCTGCTCCTGCCCCACTCCCCTTAAAGCATTCACTGATGGTTACCCAATCTGCTCCTTTCAATACTCTCTTCTTTAGGCCAGTTTCCCAGATTCCTCAGTTTCTCATATCACCTGGATTCAAGTCTCCCACCATTCAGAACTGCCCAGTCCAACCTTGCTCTTCAGTGTCCCAGATTGTTCTACAAACTGAGCTGCCTTTAGCAGAAGCGCCTGGACCATGGAGTGGTGATGGCTGGGCCTTTGCAGCCAGTTAGAGCTGGGCTCAAGTCTGGTCTCTACCACTTCGTCTGTGTGACTTAGGCACAGGGGTTGACTTTCTGAGCTTCAGTTTCATTATCTATATAAAGTGAGAATTAGGTTCCTGCCCTTGCTGTCTTGCCAGGAGGATGGAAGATGGAATACCCAAGAAAGGCAGAGGAGATCAACTCATGAGAGCTATTTCTCAGAGTCATATGTTTGTCAGTATCTAGGGCTAGATTCCCTTCTCCATCACTTCTGAACAACGACACAGTTTTGTGTGTGTGTGTGTCTCAGTGTTAACAGGACACATCTAGTGTAAATTAGCTCTTAGCTAGAAAAGAGATGTTGACCTTCAAATGCAGCACGTGGTGAAACAGTAAGAAAGAACAGGAGAAACTCTAGTAGAAGGATGTTCACTTGTACAGGGATTCTACACAATGCATCCTAGACCTGACCAAAATAACAGTGGACAGCATCCTAGGGATGCTGACTGAGGCCATACAAAGGCAGTGTTTTCCAGAGACAAGGAAATCAAAGCTAGGTAGCCTGCCCAGTTAAATTGGCAGCCAAAGACCTGGAAATCTAGTATGAGTGACCCAGCAGGAGAGGAACCTGGAAAAGCAGGGTCTACTGGGCAGGTGTGAGGCCAGGAGAAGAATCTAGAGGCTAGAGAACACTTTTTGAGCTTAGGAGACCTACTGTAGATGTCATTTATAGGTAGCCCCAGCAGGAAGGGGAGAGAAAGCTGCTGGAGTCACTGATCAGGATGCCCTGTCATGAGAATCATCACAGGCATGTCTGGGCCTCCTCTCATTCTCTGTTGATTGACTGATCCACCCCCCTCCCCCTGCATCCCCAAGAGGAACAGGATGCAGGAAAATAAAACTAGTGAAAACTAGTGAAAAAGACAAACAACCTTGAGCTGAGTCCTGACTTCCATCCAACCCATTTCACCTGTCTCAGTTTCTTGGCCACTTCTCTGGTTGGAATATTTGGATAGCCTATAGATTTCTATTTCAATATGCAGGAAAACTAACTATAATACCATTCTTTGGTTCAAAAAATAACCACAAGATGAAACCCTGAAGAGCATTGTATTTTGTATGGATTTGGATTCCGTGGGATTCTGTTATATTAGAGCGGTTATTATTATTGTTGTAATTGTGTTCCTAATGGTGTTTGTAGGGTATTTGTTTCATTACCTGAGATAATTTGTGTTGTTCCTGTTAGTTTATATTGAGTTATTGATAAAGGTTACATCTTAGTACTTAACTTTACCATTGTTTGTTGGTGAGCAAACACCATTTGCATATATAAATACATTGATCAAGCATAACACATTTGCACACATTTATTTACATGCATACCTATTAAATTTTCCACCTATGCCCATCTATCTACTTTTCTATCATCGTCATTTGTACAGAATTTAAGACAAACAGAAATTCTGTTATTCACCTTTCGGGATCAGCTATGGGAGATAGAGACAAGTTCTGTACAAATGCTAGAATCTGTTTGTAATATAGTCAAGGAAAAGGAAAGAAAGGGTAGGAAACAAATATTGGTCAAACACCTACTGTGTGCCATATATCACGGCAGACAATTTTATATATAATATAGATAATATAATTTCTATTTAATTCTTATAACAATTTGAAAATGCAGATATTATTACCCCTACTGTGTGCCATGTATCATGGCAGACAATTCTATATATATTACTTCTATTTAACTCATAACTATTTTAAGATGGAGATATTATTATCCTCAGTATAGCAATGAGGGGGCAGGCTTTTGGAGTTAAGTAATTCACCAAAAGTTGTACAGTTCGATCATGGCAGAGTTAGCCTTTGATCTCAAGCCTGTCTGATTCCAAAGCTTATTGGCATTCCACTACAGCCCACTCCACTGCTTGCTAAGAAAACAAAACAACTGTCCAGGGACATACAAAAACCCCAGCACACAGTAATGAACCCTAACTCACTCCATAGCAGTTAGCATAGTTTTACATATATATATATATATATATATATATGTGTATATATATATATATGTATATATATATATGTATATATATATATATATATATATATATATATATATATATATATATATCTCCTGATGTGAGGTTAGTCAGGGTTATATTTACACATATAATCTCTAGCTCATACTGTCTTTATCCAGAGAAGTGACCCTGAGCAGGTTGCTGCCCTTGCTAAGACCCAGTTTCACTGTCTGTAAAATGTGGGGTTTGGGCTAAATTATCTCTAATGTCTCTTCATCTCTAATCCTCCACAGTTTTTCTATTACGTCTTGCAGTTCCAGCCCTGGTGTGTGCGGCCCTTGCTCCCAGGAAATTTCTGAACATGCTGTGTGGGTTTGCCTGTGTGACATGCAGTGTCCTAAAAGTAAACCTGACTGAGTTAGCAATACACACACAGTTTCATTCCTACAATGGTCACTAATGATCCCTAATCAAGACACAATCTGAAAGGTAAACAAACCAACAGCTCTTTTGTTTTTGTGAAGTGAGAACTAAGGGTTATTGATTATTCTTCTGACCCAGGACGGATCTGTATAGATCTGGGGAAGATTGATGGCTCTTTTGATCTGAGGATAAGCCAAGCCTGACAACACAATACCACATTAGAACTGTACTGTCAGTCCGGCACCTGACCGGGCTTGGCAAGGTTCCTCTTATGCTTCTCCTTTCCCTTTGAAAAACTCTGGTCAATTATATTCACATCGTTGCAAAGTATGTCGTAATGAAGAGCTCTGCGTCGGCTTGTGGTTTTTAGATTGGGCTCCTCTGACCGTTAGAGATTGAAAAAGTAACAACAAAGGTACTTTTCAAGTTGTATAATACATATTTTCAAAGCATCATGGGAATTGTATATTTATTCATAATAATGCAATCCAGGCTATTTGCTTAATTATGTTCAACTTGTCTGTATCACATAAAAACAACAAAAAACAAATTTGGGATAATATAGTGTGTGCTGCATATTTCAGTGACTCTGGGCTTAATGCAAAACCTTACCATTTCCTCTGTTCAGCTGCTGGGCATGCTGACACCATTTACAACATGGACCCATAACTGTCATTGTAAGTTTAAGGCAGGTCCTGGGTATTGTGGCCAGATCTCAGTGGCACTGGAGGCGTCTAAAAGGACTGCTTATTGCCTCATTGGCCCTGGGGCTTATTGCCCTCGTCAAAGAGCTTCACAGCTCCATCTTTAGCCAAGCAAGAGTCTTAAGGCCCACAAAACATCTGCATGGAGGAGACTCATGTGTAAACAGAAGGGTTTGGAAAAGGGACACAAGTCATTACAAAAATGTAAATGCGAAGTCCTGTGCATTTACCTGGAGAAGCAAAGATGTTGGAAGCTAAGGACATTAGTCACCTGTTTGTATAAAGTGTGTTATTTTGCCCAACTATTAAATATTTAAGCAAACATTTGTGTATTGATATTGGTAACTATATGTACCTTTCTGCAGTTTTTAATAAACATTCTGGTGTATTTATCCACAGTTTCCCCCTAGTGAGGTCATACTTGCCTAATAAAAAAGTATTACATTGCAATATTTGATTATCTCAAAGAATCAAGTACAAGGTAGTTCAGCTGTGCCACTGTGCCACTAGGATTTGCAAGAAGTGGGAGGCAGGGATGGAGAGGGAACGGGGTTGAGAGTGGTTCACTCACTTGGGAAATATTCCTCTACTGCTGAGTGGGTTTTTTTTTGGAAGGGGGTTGTTAAAGGTTTTTTTTGTTGTTGTTGTTTGTTTGTTTTGTTTTTTTGTGTGTGTTTTGAGATGGAGTTTCGCTCTTGTTGCCCAGGCTGGAGTACAATGGCACGAACTCGGCTCACTCAAACCTCCGCCTCCCGGGTTCAAACCATTCTCCTGCCTCAGCCTCCTGAGTAGCTGGGATTACAGGCATGCACCACCACACCCGGCTAATTTTGTATTTTTAGTAGAGATGGGGTTTCTCCACGTTGGTCAGGCTGATCTCAAACTCCTGACCTCAGGTGATCCACCCACCTTGGCCTCCCAAAGTGCTGGGATTACAGGCGTGAGCCACCGTGCCTGGCCTGTTAAAGGTTTTATTTTTTTTTTTTAATGATTTTTGATTCTATAGTGATAGAATCAATGACCGTGTTATAGACAGAGGCCATGCTAGATAAGGTTCAGCTTCCAACACACTGTGTCTCTACCCAGCCTGCTGTGCTGCCTCTGAGGCCTTGAGACAGTTTAGAAAGGGGCAGCTCCGTTGCTTTTGTGTTGGGAGCATTCAATATCCAAAAATGATAAGTGTTTGGGGTGATGGATATACTGATTACCCTGATCTGATCACTATGCATTCTATGTATCAAAACATCACTCTGTACCTTACACATAGGTATGAATATTATGTACTAATTAAAAATAAATAGGCCAGGCACAGTTGCTCACACCTGTAATCCCAGCACTTTGGGAGGCCAAGGCTGGAGGATTGCTTGAAGCTAGGAGTTCAAGACCAGTCTGGGCAACATAGGGAGATCCTGTCTCTACAAAAAATTTTTAGAAACTTAGCAGGGCATGATGGTATGTGCCTGTAGTCTCAGCTACTCAGGAGGCTGAGGTGGGAGGACCACTTAAGCCCAGGAATTTGAGGCTGCAAGTGAGCTATGATTGTGCCACTGCACTTCAGCCTGGGAAACAGAGCAAAATCCTATTTCTAAATAAATAAATAAATAAAAATAAAATGTAAATAAATAATAAAAACCTCTGAGAGTTCTAACAATTGCCCAGTAGCCTTTCCCAGGGGCCAGGAGGGTGGGCCTTAGTTGCTTGTCAACCAGGAAAACTGCTTTGATGTCTCTGTGTATAAGTTAGATAGAGGTGATCTGAGCAGTTATCATGAGTGAGGTTAAAAAAAAAAAATGTTCTTCACCAGTGCACCAGAATACTTTTTGTCTATATCTATTTCACATAGATTTTGCCTGTATCTATTTCATGGTCTTAAAATGTAAAAGTAAGATTGTCAAGAATATGTGAAATTGGAGCACGCACACGCACACACACACACACAGAGAGAGAGAGGGACGGAGAGAGAGAGAGAGAGAAGAAAAAGAAGGGTACCCTTGTGTTGAGGGCATTGTTCAGATACGCCAGCCATAGTTCCTGATGTTGTGAGGTTCCCCTGCCCTGCTCCCAACTCATTGGCTGTCAGCAAAAGGTTATCAGCGTTTGTTTTATGACCCCAGGGAGCAGCAAGCCTATGTCTCCAGTCTACTGGTAGGATTCTCCACTGATGTTTATAGCAGCAGCTTCTCAACAGAAGCCCACCCATACAGGTCAGGCTGCCCCGTGAAGGTCAGATGTGATCACCCAGCGGCTGTCAGGAGTTGCCAGAGTTAGATCACTTACAAACATATAATGTGATACACCTTGCATAAGTCATCTAGGCTGACAGACTGTTTTGCCTGTCAGGCAATTGTAGGGAAATGTTTTCAACCTTGCAACATGTCCAAATATACTAGTCTGAAGCATATGTTTGACTGACCTGGTTTACAAAGTGGCTCCATTTTCACCAGGGAGGAAAAGCACTCTTCTTTCTTCTGAAATATTTCTCATGTACTTCTCTTCTGTCTATATTTTACTCTTCACTACTTTCCAAAAAGTTTAGAGATGACTACAGAGAACATAACAGAAAGGTGATAAACCACAAATACCAAATTAAGGAAAATATCTCAAGTCAAAAGGAAAAGAAGAGAATGTGTTGTCAAAGCTGAGGAAAGCTACCGTGGTAGGGCACAAAACTTCTCTGTGAGTTTCCTGATGGCTAAAGCAAAGAGAGAAGCTTGATTGTCTCTCTTCAATGAAAGAAAACCTGTCCTCTCATAACGAGAGAAATTCTACTACCCTGGCTCTGTTCTGCCAAAAAAATAAAATAAAATAACAATAGCAGAAGGCGGGGAACAAATTATATAACGGACCTTAGGCAATTCGTGTCTTCAATATAACCTAGATAATTGCTACTAGAAACTGACTGCGTCCATTGGCACCCCAGTTATTCAGGAACAACTTCTCTGATGAGAACAATTAGCTCTCTGCGGTATGGATTCATGGGGGTTGAGAATCCTCTTTGCTTCCCTCCCCTGGCCAGTTTATTTGATTAAAGTCAAGACAGTATCAGCAAACTATGGACTCCAGGCCAAATTCAGCCAGCTTCTTGTTTTTGTACATAAAGTCTTCATTGGGACACGGCTTGCTTATTTATTTACCTATGATCCATGGTTGCTTTCAAGCTACCATGGCAGATTCAAGCAACAGACACTGTATGGCCTGCAAAGTCTAAGATATTTACAATCGGGTCCTTTACAGAAAAAAATTGTCCATTCCTGATCTACAGAAGGACCTGAAAAAAAAAATCGGTCATCAGAACGATACTACCTGCTTAAATTCAGTTACCCTTCGAGAGATCACCCACTAAGTCATTATTGGCCATTAAGAACTTCATGTAAATTAATCTTTGTCTAAATAACCAATTTTGCCGGCTACCTGAGTGAGGAGAAAAAGGAAATGGGAGCCAGGGCAGGTAAGTTTTGTTTAGGAGCATGGTAAAAAGAAATGATTGAGAGCCTGAGGCGTTTGCAGGGTGGATGAGCCTGGTTGAGGTGTTGTAGTGGAGGGTTCCGGAAGACTGACAGGCAAAATGATGGCTGTAGATGGCATTGGGGTGAAGGGCGTGAGGTTGGGGGAAGCCATGGCGGGGGTAAAAGCACACGTGAAAGGGAAGTCAGGGATGCCCTTCCTTTCTGAATTTTACCTAAGACCAGCTCTATGGAGGTGCAGAATGTGGACCTGTACCGCTTTCACCGGTTTTCCAAGTGGCATAGGATGGTGCAGTCACTGTCCACTTAAAGGAAGCTGCCCAAAGAGAGAGGAGCTGAACTACCAAACATAGGAAGCTATTAATGAATATGGCAGCTTTAGGGTTCAACATGGGCTTGCAGATAACCTTCTGCTTATTTCTAAAACACATATATGGAATGTACCTACAAATGTCAGTAGAACTAGAAGGATGGTTTTATCCATTTGTACTCCACGTTAGGTCTAGCCCTCTTACCTGTGCTTTATTTGTAAAATTAACTAAAGATGCAAATTAAATTGAAAAATATAAAATGCAATTAAAAGAACTTTTCTACTAACATTTGAATGTACCATAAACTTTGAAAATTTTGGTTTGATGTTTTTCTTCTTAAAAATCAGGTAGAAAAGTTTATAATATTTAAAATATACATATATATATCTAACATTTCAACTGGAACTCTGTCTCTCTATCCGAGACCTTTTCGGCCTCCATACTCAGTGGGTTTAAAATGTGTGAAATATGCGGCATCACTTTCTGCAGTTAATCAGGGAGGGAGAAGAGTTGTATTTCCATGTATATATAGAATATCATGGGCATATTATGTTTTTTTGCTAAACAAAACTTCCCACTGAAATAGATTTTTTTAATATGAAAATCATTACTTTTAAAAATTATCATCTTTATAAAAAGTACCTATTATCGAAAATCCTTTTTCAATTTTAGTAAACCTAAAATTGAGTAATAAAAAAAGTAAAGACCCTGTTATAGAACTTAGTTGAAAATTAATGTGTTTATTGAGCTCTTCCTGTGCTGTCTGCCTTGCTAGCTGCTGGAGGAGATAAAAGTATAAGAAATTAGTCCTTCTCCCAGGGTCTTTCAAAATAGTAAGGGAAATCAGGCCAATGGAACTAAAACTAGAAAGGCAGTGATTACTAAATTGTGTAACACCTACTGTAAATTCAGTAGAAAACCAAGAGGATAACAATAGATTTGGGATAAAGCAGTTGGAAAAAATTATGTAGGACCCCAGACTAAGCATCATAATGAATAATAGAAACACACTAATAAACGGTGATTATTAATGATTCATATAATCTACCCATTGTAGGAAAATGAATGAAATAGTTTAGAAATAAATAAATACTTTTCTCAAAAATGTTTTATTACTGAAAACAATTCTAAAACATAGTAAAGTGCAAAATACTGAATATTCTTTCTACATATTCAATTCTTAAACAAAAGAGATGGTATTTTCGACTCTCAGAAATACATTGAACTTAAGATGACATGAAAAACAAGATAATTTCTTAGTCAATAAGCTAAGATAATGCCATGCTAACATGGGTAATCTCTTTTTATCATGTTACTAATTCTGCAGCTTGAGGACAGGGATTTTGTTGTTTTGTTTTGTTAATTTCCATACACCGAGGAGCCTGGAACAGTCTCTGGCACAAAGTGGAAATGGTAAATATTTATTCATTTAATCAAGACAGGAGGGCATGTAAGAAGACAGGTCTATGAAACATAAGGCGCCCTAGAAATCCAGAATGAAAACGAAGGCAGATGAGCTGTCTTTTTCCTTCGATGAAACATTCTTTGTTCCAATTATCTCATTTTTTTCCAGATAAGTAGCATATATTGGTGTAGACTAGAGAAGGTATTACCATCCCCCTTCTAAACATTTAATACAGCGGGCTGATGAACACAAATCACCTGTTTCTCATTTGATGCTTAATACAGAGTTCTATATATTATTCAACCCAATAGCTGTATTGAAGTATGAATTTTTGCATTCAAAAAGACAATCCATTTTTGGAAATCTAAGAGTTGTTTGACTATCCTTAACCATGAAAAGTATTAGTAAGACTAAGCTTTGAAATTGCATTATTATTTTTTTAAAATCTCCATTTACAAAGATATTAAATAAAAGCTTTCAACCTTCACTTTTGAACAGGAGACTAAGACTTATTGTTTGGAAGGAGTGTCAAAGATTATACTTATGACCAATAGGAAATTGATGAACCAAAGAGGAAAAATATGGCACTGCAAAATGCCTTGCACGATTCCGAAGGGAGAACAGAGCCCAAAGTTGAGAATGTGTCGAAGGGAAAGACCACAGCACAGTCAGTGCATCCCACTGATACAACCCCTGCTGACCTAGGGGCAGGTTTTAATCTTTACATCTAGTAGCATAAAGGAATAAAAGGCATTCACACATAGCAACTATTACTAGGAATGAAAGGACTGGAAAAGCAACTTGGATGCCCACATGTTACTTATACCATGTTGTGATTTTATTTTACTTCATTTTAATTTTTATTTTTTTATTATTATTATTTGAGATGGAGTTTTTCTCTTGTTGCGCAGGCTGGAGTGCAACGGTGCAATCTCGGCTCACAGCAATCTCTGCCTCCCAGGTTCAAGGGATTCTCCTGCCTCAGCCTCCCAAGTAGCTGGGGGTACAGGTGCCCATCAACACATCTGGTTAATTTTTATATTTTTAGTTGAGATGGCGTTTCACCATGTTGGCCAGGCTGGTGTTGAACTCCTGACCTCAGGTTATCCACCCACTTTGGCATCCCAAAGTGCTGGGATCACAGGCATGAGCCACTGCGCCTGGACTGATTTTATTTTTTTAATGCATTTCTTTATAAAATGGAGAAACTGATTTCTCACTGTTTAAGGTCTATGAAACCAAAGCCTTCTTCCTAGAAATATATTCCTCAGTGCAAGCAAAATAGAGAGTAATAGTTATTGTAAAGAAAAAATATTTTACATAGACTATTTTCATTTTAATGATAAATTATACATTTAAAAATAACCAGCAAATGGAATAGTGAGTAAGATAGAATTAATGAGTTAAAAAGATTTTGGAATTTTCTTAGTTATTTGTAATACACAAGATTGTCAAAAGTTATTTACTTATCCTGTATTATAGAAAAAGCTTAGCCTCATGGAAAGTCATCTGATTAAGAAACGTGCATCTTTTACTAGATCCAATGTTCTCAGAAGTAAACCATGATTCTTGCCACAAACTCCCAAGTGTGTTCGAGTCAAAGATTTCTATTTTATGAAAAGTGTACAAAACTGGATTTCAAAAAATTCATGTCAATTGAGTGCAGTAAAAGCTGTATGTTATGCCACAGACATTCTATTAAAATGTCTAAATAGGACCATTTCTTAATATTTGTTTATTCCTATTTTAGTACGAGAAGATTCAATTAGTGCATTCCACTAATTTACAAAGAACTTGGAAATTTCAACAGCTTCAGCTTCTTCCTTTATTTTTTCTACAAAGTTTTATCTTTTTTTTCCTTCTTAAGCAAAGTGTTATGTGACCAAAACAAGAAGGCTTCCATGAACTTTGTCTAGAGATATTAACCAGCTGAAACAGCTATCTGACCAAGTTAGAAATATGCAGATAATGAAGATGTCACTTAAAATATACACACATTTGGGATATGCAAAGAAAAGTAGTATGCGTATAGCAATGATATCTTTGATCACGGAAAGAACTCAGAAATACAGGAACTGTGTCGAGGGTGGTTATCATCAGCCCATTTTCTATTCCCATGCACAAATCATTTCATGCATTCTACAACCCAAGCCCCGATGTTGGGCTTCAAAAGCAATTTCAGCAGCAAAATAAGGTGCTTTTCTTCAATTTTCAAGCCATTTGTATGAGGTTAGTGTTGTTTACCCACCTGGTACACTGATATTTACATACCCCTTTAAAGAAAATTGGTAGGTATGATTTATGGAGTACTGTAAGAGCACAATTTTCCATGTAGTGCACCTAATCTGAAAGGGCACTTGCAAAGGTCATTCTGGCCATACAAATACCAAGTCTTCTCTTTGGAATAAGTTAGGATATTCATTTTTCTTGGAAAATGTCAGCAGTACCCTACTCCAGGGGCTAGTTTATGCAGATAAATGCGTAAGCCTTTAATCTTAGAGCAAAAATACTCTACACAAATGTAAAAGCAGTCCATCTATCACTGTTAAGAACTGTAATTTGTTTTTATTTAAATCTCAAGCCAGGGCAGAGTGGGCAACAGGACCGTCAACATGGTATCTCACACATAAGCTGAGATCAAGTCACGTAAACACGCTGAGACGCTCAACCCAGGTGGCTGGCACAGCGTGGGGCTCACCCAGCCAGGACTGCTCTTTCTGGCTGCCTCTGCTTGCTCCTTTTGCAGCTAGAGGCTTCCTGTTCAACCCAGTGCATGGGAAATTGCCCAATAAGTTGACTCTCCCAACTGGCGTTTTCTCTGCCAGTGAAAAGCATTAGTCAAAATTGAGGTACATAAAACATTATTACTTACTGTTATTATTATTATTAACTTGAGGGTTCACTTCAATCCAAGGAGAGAAAAACCAACAAATTATGCCCTTTGTGAATTTACTTTCTTTTCCCAGAAGAACAACCCTGTTTAGAGATAATCTCTCACAAGTAGTCATACTTCCCATAAGTAGATACTTCCCATAAGTAGTCATCCCCAATCCTGAGATCTTTACCTTTGCAACTGACTAGAGAAAGAATGTGCAGTCAGTTGTGTTTAATACAAAGCTGCCTGTTGCATATTCTTGCCTTCTTTTCCTGCTGTACATAAGCTATTCTTGGAACTTGAGCTTCATCCCAAATCGTGGTTCTTTGAAAAACATTTTCTAATATTACATTTAGGAGATGTGAATAAGAGGTAAAATATGATTATAAAATGTTTGCCTGTATGTCTACAGAGGAGAGAAGGTGGGAATGCAGGAAAAGATAATGTGTCTGTTTACCCAGATGAGATTTCGTAAATGACCATTTGGAGTTTGCTGCCTAGTGGCTGGCCCTCAAAGGGTTTGTGTTTGAGTTAGTTCCAACAGCTGACATTGATTTCACCATATCTATATTGTCAGAGTAAAAGGAAATTACAACCATCTATGCAAAAGACGCCCTTTTGAAAATGTGGATGTCAGTGTGGAGATACAATGCAATATGATAATAACAGCTGACACTATTTTATGTTTCTCTAGGAGGGAACGTGAAACAATGTACCACCTGAATTGGATTTGGGCATTATGCCAAAAATATGTATTCTTCTGATTTTTAAGGATTTAAATAGGAGGATGATTTGATCAATGTATGTAGTACTATTTGTGCAAAGCTGAGCACAGTGATAGTAAATAAAATTTAAATATAGATTTAAAAATGAGGCTGGTGTAGTGGTTAACGCCTGTGATCCCAGCACTTTGGGAGGGTGAGGCGGGCGGATCACTTGAGGTCAGGAGTTGGAGACCAGCCTGACTAACTTGGTGAAATTCCATCTCTACTAAAAATACAAAATTACCCAGCATGGTGGCACACACCTATAATCCCAGCTACTTGGGAGGCTGAGGCAGGAGAATAGCTTGAATCCAAGAGGTGGAGGTTGCAGTGAGTGGAGATCATGCCATTGCACTCCAGCCTGGGTGACAGGAGAAGACTCTGTCTCAAGAAAACAACAACAACAACAAAAAATGACCAGTGCTGAATTTAGTCACCTAGGGGAAAATTATAATGTGTCAATAGCAAAGAATCTCTAATTTCTGGGTGATAAAATTAAGCACAAATTCTCCAGCTCATCATGTCAAGCATTTTGGTAAAGGCAGTACCCCTTGTAGTAAAGGCAAAAGATTTAGTACAGCCACTATCCCTGAACCCACAGCACATGCTATACTTCTGCACTTCCAACTCCTATCTCTAACTGCCTCTTTGGCACCCCTGCTTTAATGTTTAATAAGCAACTCAAACTTGTCACATCCAAAAACAAACTCAGTCTTTGGCCCACCACTTCCAAATTTGCTCCGGCCACTCTCTTCCCCACCTCAGTGATTGCCCACTCACCATCCCTCCTGTTGCTCAGACCAAGAGCCTGTGAGCCAGCCTTATCTCTTTTCTTCCTCTCATGCTCCACAATCCCATTAATCAGCAAATCCTGTTGGCTTGTATTTCAGTCTGATTGCTTCTAGAAATTCTGTGGTTTCAGGCAGCGTAGATGGAATTAGAGAATACTAAGCTAGGTGAAATAAGCCAGGCACAGGAAGTCAAACACTGCATGTCCTCCCTTACACGTGGATTTGAAGACAATCAAACCCAGAGAAGCAGAGGGTAGAGGGCAGGTGACAGAGTCCCGGGGTTGTAAAAAGCAGATGATGCTCAAAGGGCACAAAATCCCAGACAGGAGGAATATGTGGGATTTCTTTTTTTAATTTAATTGAACAGCCTAGTCAATACAGTTAATAAATAGAGTATGGTACATTTCAAAATTTTGAAGAGAGTAAATTTCAAATGTTCTCAGCCCACAAAAATGTTAAGTATATGAGGTGATGGATATGTTAACTAGCTTTATTTAATGCTTCCATATTGTATTCATCATTCCATACTCCATAAACGTATACAATCATAAATAGTCAATTTTATAATAAAACAATGACTTAAAAAACCTGCTCCCTGGTAACCGTCATTATAGCTGCCATCCTGGTCCAAGTCCCACCTAGGCTCCCTAAATAATTTTCAGTAATTTCTACCTTTGTTCTCTACAATTTCTTATTATCACAGCTACAGGAGGGAGTCTTTTGCATTGTCCATGAGATGAGATGAGGCCACTCCTTTGCTCTAAATTCTTCAGTGGTTTCCTCAAAAATTTCCACAGGGCTCCAGATCTCTAAACGCTCTGACTGCCCCTCCCCACCTCTCCCCATCTCAACTCCCGGCCGTCAGCTCCTTGCCCACTTTATCCAAATCACCCCATCTCCTGGCACTTCCCCAAAGGTGCCTCAGGACTTTCCCCTGGCTGTTTCTTCTGCCTACAATCCCCTCTCCCTGGATGAAAACATAAGCGGGGCCTCATCTCCTTCAGGTCTTTCCTCAAAACTCTCTGCCTGGGTCCCTGTCTGTGGCTCCCCAGTCCCCCTACCCTTCTGCTATCCCCATCGCCCTTCTCCACGTATTTTATTCCCACAGCACTCATCACCATCTGACACAGCATATGTTTTACTCACTTTATTGTTTACTGCCTATCTCCCCCCCGGGAAAATATAAATCCCCAAGACCCGGGATTTCTGCCTATTTTGCTTACTGCTGCAACCTCAGTGCCTAGACAAATGTTTAGCACGAGGTAGGACTTCAAATGTAAATATTTGGCAGTTGAACAGACAAACGTCTTTAACTATCTGTGAGTTGCCAATAATTTTATAGCTTGTGATCTTTTTTACCTACAGAGCTTCCCCTGGAATGTAGACGCTTCAGGCCCACACAGTGGTCTCTACATATTCATATCTCCTTAATGAAACTTATGAACTATGTGGGAAATGAGAGGCCAGGAATAGCCTCATATTAATTTGTTCAGGCCAAGTTGGGTTACAGTCATAACTGATTGAGGTCTTGACCTTGAGTGAGAAAGACCCTGAGGGTTAAGAACCCAGAGGAGAGAGAGAGCAGGAAAATGTGGGTTTAAATCCCACCTCTGCTGTTTACAGTTGTATAGTCTCATGGGAATAAGTGAGTTTTTGGCCCTCAGCTTTCCAATCCATGACATGGAGGTGGCAACAATAGTACCCTCTCACAGATCTGTAGTGCAGATGACATCAGATAATGTTGAAATCTGTATAAATTCAGTAGGTTGTGCTGTCACGGTTTCCACTGAAATCATAGTAGGCCACATGTTGTCTTTCGCGTCATGTACGATTTGGAAAATGTACACATGGCATTGCATGGTTCCTGCCATGTTGTAGGCAGCAGATCCGTAGTGACCACGATTACTGCACATATTTGAATTTTGCCTGAATCCCTGGCTCAAAGAAACATCATCTCCATCCAGAGTATTTAGAATAATAAAATTAAATTCCCCTCTCATTACACGTGCTGTAGTTTTAAATGTATCACACGTGCTGTAGTTTATAACCACCCAGGTTATAAAATTAGACACAAAAGGATTCCACTGGATCATTTCAGTCTAAGGCAGGGGTCAGCAATTATGGGCCACAGCCAAATACCACCCACCACCTGTTTGCCTACAGCCTGAGAGCAATACATGTCAGAAAAAATAAAAATAAAAAAGATACAATTTTGTGACATGTAAACATTATATGCCATAGAAATTCCAGTGTCCATTAATAAACATTTATCAGAACACAGCCATGCTGAGTCCTTCACATATTGTCCCTGGCTCCTTTTGTGCTACTTGGGTAGAGTTGAGTAGTCGAGACAGATGACTCATGGCTCACAAAGACCAACATATTTACTGAAAAAGCTGGCCAACTCCTGGCCTAAGAAACCTACTACCTCAATTTAATGATAAACCTGGGTTGGTTTCTATTGATTGAGTAGCCAAAAGCAGTTGATGTGGGCAAAGTCCTACACGTGGGACGGCCACTGCTTGGAATTACTGCTAAGTAGGTTACATGTGTGTCCAGGCAGAAAGATATTCACAGAAACATGGCTTCACCGTGTTTTGGATGTTCTTTATTTCTCCTTCGCCTCCTGAATAAAATGGTAGACTACATTTTATGTCTTCTGTAAAGAAAGCCTACTGTGGGCTCAACAGCTTACTCTTTATCTCACATTGCCTTTAAGCAAGGTCCTGTGTTCCATGTCAAGATAGAATTTGGCCTAAACACTTAGTGCTTTCCCTGAATGCTTTATTTGAATTAGTTTCCCCTTCCTTCGGAATTGTGCCTACTTTCCCACGAGCATGCTTTTCCTGAGATGTCAAGGTCTACTAAATTTGGGCTCTACAAAGCCTTACTTTGACTAAATCTTTTTCTTTTCTTCTTTTCCCTTCATTGCCCTGACTAATTTGAAGCTACCATTTCCCTTCAATTGACAATTCATTAAAACAGAAGATCACAGTGCTTTTGTTTGTGCAAAGGGTGTGGGTGTGTGCAAGACAGCTTTTGGGAGAGCACTGGGAACTTCAACACATGTGCAGGTCTGACTTCAGAGCCCTTAACTGTGCGACATCTTTCTCTTGACCTTCGGTGGGGGGCTTCCCATGGATACAGCTGCTGGGCTTCAGGCCCGGAGTCCACTCCTCTGCTGAAAGGCTCTTGATTGGGTGATGAGAAAATGGCTGAGGACCCACGAAGTTTGCTTTCCTCTATTGTGAGTCCTGTGACAGCAAGGAAATACCAGCTCCACTTTCCCAGCTTCTTCTTGAAAAGGGCCCTTGCAGCCGGAGGACTGGCATTTCCCTGCATTTCTAGTTTAATTAATGTCCAGGAGATGAACTTTGATTCCACCCACAGCAGCGTAAATTAGATGGAATGAAACGCAGTACTCCTTTTCATTTCTGCTATTTTTACTACATGGCCATCCTTTTCTCCCTCACATAATACAAACATGTAGTGGAATTCTAGACTGTATCCAAGCATGAAACATAGGACCACATAAAAATCTGCAATCTGATGCCAGTCCTCTGAAATCTGGCCTCCTCCGTGTTCCTAGACATCCCTATCACTGTCTGTGTTAGGAGACTGCTCCATGAAGTATAGACCATTAGAAGCTTGAAGGCGGGGCGCTACGGTGTTTTGTGCTGGGCAATTCAAGTTTGGGGAGCAGTGCTATGGTCCTGGTTAAAGACTGCTGGCCTTGGGATATACAAAGGCAGTAGATACATGGGTGTAGTCTCCTGCTGACAGCAGAGGGCAGCTCCTTGATTCTCCCTAACCTGTCTCACTTCTAATTCCCTGCCATTGCAAGGGAGAGGGTATCCTCTGAGGCTTCAGTGCCATCACCCTAGGGGTTGGCTCCTTCCTCCAGTTCAGTAAGAAAACATACATGTGAAAGAAGAGAAATGATGAGTCCGAGGCCACATACAGGTTCTGAGCTTCTGCTGGGGAGGCTGTTTTCTGCACTGGTTCATGGGAGTGCTTGAGTCAGACTCACCATTTATCAGCTCTGTGATTTTAGGCAACTTACTTAACCTCTCTGAGTCTCACTTTTCCTCAACTATGGAAGGGGGATGATAATTGTCCCTACTTCATAGGCCCTTGGTAAAGACTCAATGAGACAGACCATGTAAACAGCCTTAAATAGCCACAGATCTTAGCTACTGAGTAGCAAATCTAATTGCTCAATAAGGATTGGATTTGGCTGTTGCTGCTGTGATGATGATGAATACAGGCCAGCACTTCATGTCCTTGACAAAGAAGAGTCTCCTCACCTCCAAGGACCTCTTAAGAATTTAGTCTTTAGCATCATAAAAAAAATGAGAATAAAAGTAGTGAATCAACTGATTTTAGGTGGGGAGTAAGGCTGATTGTGAATTTCTTAAGTGCCAACAAGGATGTTCCTGCTGTTAAATTTGCCAAAGTGCTCTGAGGTTGTTTTCACAGAATCATGACATTCAGAGTCCCAGAAGCAGCAGTGCCACTGAGACTGTCCAGTCTGGTCCTGGGGCAGTTCTAAGTGTTTTAAAATGGCTGCTGACCAATTAGGGAATGACCAGAGAAAGTTGACAGGAAATCAAGGAGGCATTGAGGAGCTACATCTAATGGGAAGCGAAGGACTGAATGGGACTCTGTTTCCCCTGGGCCAAGAAGACTAAGTGACAAGTGGTTGCCGTCAGGAAAAGGGCCAATGGTTTGCACTTTGTCTACCTTCAGAACAGCCTAGCACCACTCAGGAGAGATTTCAAAGAGAAAGTTTTGAGCCCAGATTTAGAATTAATTTTTGAATCAATGGGTTTGCCTCTTAGTAAAATTTCCCTTGGTGTGGACTAGTAGAATTCTCCTCATTGGAAGGCCTGTCTTTCTGGGAGGTCTTTGGAGGCCATCCTTGGCAACTGGGAGGTTAGACTAACTGGTTTCTGAGATCCTTCCCTGATCTAAATTCTGAGAAGGATTTTTTTTTTTCTTGTTTCAGGGAGAGGCTTATGTATATAGGCTTTGTGCATTAAACTATTCTCTCTTTTCTATAGTGTCTAGATTTACTCGGTGGGCCTGAAATATAGATTTCTGTGCCATGCCTATCAAAGAAGCAGCTTTTCCACTAGGGGATGTTCTTTGGAGAATTAGAAGCATTAACAATGCATATTCCCCCATCTAAGAAAAAAAAAAAATCCCTATGTACTTCAAAAGCAAAATAAGGGAAAGGATTCATATGGAAATCCCAGTCTTTGAAAGTGAAGTGTGACAGCCACTTCACATTGTTGCCACATAGTCACCCAAAGTAGTGCAAACTGGATGAGCTTCCAAACAGGCGGTTAGTTTGCCATTGAAGCATGACCAATGCCTCAGCTAAAACAAGCAAACAAGCGGCTGAACATGTTAACATAATTTTCTATCATTTCCATTTGATGTGGATTGGGTGGAAAATCTGGGATGCAAGCCATGATGTAGATTTTCAAAATTGATTAGCATTTTTTGGACATTGGCAGCCATATCTGCAGCATTTCAACATGAGTTGAAGTTGATTAGTGCTTTTAAAAAAATGTGTACCAAGTTGCTGTGCAAATTGAGGTAGTTCCAAGCATAGGATGATGACAGGCTAAAGGCATATGATAGAATATGAGATCTATGTGCTGAAGGCCACTCTAGTGAGATGAGCTCTTGGAGAGAGGGTGTAAATGGTTCTGTGCAGTTTTAGATTAGCTGCTGGTACTTGTCCAACACTCAGACTCTACTTGTGACAATGTGTAAAATGGGTTGCATGCTCGTAGTAGAAAGGTTGTTTGGTTCTTTGTCATAACATTAATCACAGATAAACTCATTTCAGTTGTTAATGTAGAGTCACTATGTAATTTTGCAGAAATTCCATTGTAAACTTCTTGATGTCCACTCTCTCTGAAGTTTCAGTGGCTTTAAGAATTGTCATGGCAAATATTCAACCAATCTCAAATGACTCCTAGTAGGAATGATAAATGGATTGCAGTTTTGCAATTTCTTGATTCCCTTCTGGTTTGTCATACAAAAACACAATTCTCAGAGCCACTGTGTTCCTTTTCTGTTATCAAACACAGACAGAAAGTTAAAAAGTGAGTCATAGCAGGGCGCATCTCAGAATGAGGACCTTCAAAGGTCAGCTTTTCTTGCTTGTCAATAGTTGACATTTAAGCATTTATTTCAGACATTGCTGATAATGTTTTTTGAGATAGTCAAGAAGAATTGCTGTGTTGGTATGCAATTATGTTCATAATGAGATGCAAAAATGCAAATATGGTGGTACGTGCCAGTTCTTTGGAGTGCCTTTTGTCAGAACTGCAGGCACCATGAGACTTTGATAGATACCATGTCACTAGGCAGAGTTAGAGAGCTGATAGCTCTTAAAGAAGCATCTATAACATGATATCTCTAGATGCTAATTAGCAAGAACCTTGAGCGGTGATGAATGTAGAGGTCATTTGTTTTTTCTTGCTAAATTCTGACAACTTCATTGAACCAATTGTATCAATAGGATTTTGTCGGTAGATGCAGCAAGCATCTTTATCCTTTCTTATTTAATGTGCCATATTAAATACATTGTATATTCATAAGTGCCGCTATTAGAAGGCTACCTTGCATGATTGATGTTTTAAAGTTCATTTGAAATGTAAATAAACCCATTAACTGACTTCATCAAGAACTTAAAAACTGTATAACATATTTCAATATATTATTTCCATCTTTGCATTTTATGGTTTTGTAAATAAAAAGAAAATAAAAAGGTTATGTCAATGATGGTTTGAAACTTATCACAAATTATGAGCTATTCTGTTTGTTAATCCATTATGATTTTCAAAAAAACCACAATGTAATTATAGCCATCAAAATGGGATAATGAAGAGGAAAAAGCAAACTTTCGTTTCTAGAACTTCCTTTTCCACAAGCAAAGTATTTATCCTGAATTCCTACAATGGCCACAGGAAGTGATAGCATGGAGAAATGAAGGACCTTGACTATTTAGAGAGAGATGAGAGCCAAGGCACGTGTTCAGCAAACATTCCGCGAATGTCTGCTGGGGCCATGCTCTAGTTAGATATGGGTGAATGCAGCACAGCACTTCCCTCAAGAGCCTGAGTGTGTAACAGGGCACTCATAGGAAAATGAACAGTTACAAAATGAGGAACACCACATAGAAATATATGCAAGGGGCGGGGCGCCGTGGCTCATGCTGGTAACCCCAGAACTTTGGGAGGCCAAGGCAGGCAGATCACAAGGTCAGGAGATAGAGACCCTGCTGGCCAACATGGTGAAATCCTGTCTCTACTAAAAATATAAAAAAATTAGCCGGGTGTGGTGGCATGCACCTGTAGTCCTAGCTACTCAGGAGGCTGAGGCAGGAGAATTGCTTGAACCCGGGAGGTGGACGTTGCAGTGAGCTAAGATCAACCCACTGCCCTCCAGCCTGGTTGACAGAGCGAGACTCTGTCTCAAAAAAAAAAAAAAAAAAAAAAAAAAAAAAAGAGAAATACATGCAAGGAGGCAAGGAGGCAAGGAGTGAGCTGAGATCGCGCCATTGCACTCCAGCCTGGGTGACAGAGCGAGACTCCATCTCAAAAAAAAAAAAAGAAAAAGAAAAAAAGAAATACTTGCAAGGTGCCGTGAAGTGCAGAGGAAGGGGTTTCACTCCCCAGGTGGTCTTGCTTTCTTGAAAAAAGTCTCTACCCATGAGCAGTATACTCTTTTGTCAGTTTCCTACTTCCTGCCTCACTCATTGACTCTAGAAAAGGGGGACAGTTTTCTACTTTCTGTCTGCATGATAGTAAGGCGACCAAGCAGCTTGTACAAGTGCTCCATTCTTCCCTCTTTGGCCTGAGGTGGATCCATAGAAGGCTAGTCTGGGGTCAGACTCAGATTTGCTTTAGGGGCAAGAAATCCTGCTGAATCCAGGACCTCAGTGCCATTCTCCAATCAGAAGCCCTTCATTTGAAGAGGGATAGGGACCTGTCTGTATTTATGAAGTGAAACTTACCTCACTTTGCATTCCCCTTTGTTCAGAATACTTAAAGGAAAGGGGTAAGAGGCATCCTGAACTCCTTACACATACGATATGTAACATCAATCATAAAGAAACGAACACAAGGTACTTAACTGATTTGGAGAAACGTGCTCCACCTATTGGGATGATTCCAAAGGACGGTTCCTTTGGGCTTCTGGGAACGTCTGTGGCAAGGAGCCTCCCCATAAAACATATTCACACCAGGGTGGTGAAGCGATGCATGCAGTTGGGAGAGTCACATGACAGGGAAACTGACAGGCGAGGAGCAGAGGTAGATGTTGACAGTGGCACCAGTGGTGCAGGGGAGATAGGTGGAAAGGGGTTAAAGAGTTTCACGTGTGTGGGGAATTGACAGAGTAACCTCCAATTCCTTCCATGTCCACAGGTTCAGGGCCTCTCATTATGACAGCAATACCCTCATGGAAAAACTAGGCCAGGAGGGGGTCACAGCTCTTCCGAAGGAGCAGCTTCTCTCTCCAGTCTTTCATTACTCCCAGGACAGGGAGACCAAACTGCCAGGGAATTGGTCTGGGTTGATGACCTAACTAAAAATGACAGTTCCATAAGGGCAGGGACTATGTTTTGTCATCGGCCATAATCCTAGCGCCCGATCTAACACAGAGCTGTGTTAAAAGGTAAACTGAGTCACAGTAAAATTTTAGAGTTTATTTGAACAAATAGAGATTTATGAACTACACGGCTACAAATCAGAAGTGGTTCAAGTTCTGTACCAAGAGAATGCAAAAGGAAGGCTTTTATGGGGTGAACACGGGAGTGAAGCAAAGAAATATTTGATTGGTTACAGTCATACTGTTGCCTTATTTTGTCTGTCCTCCTGGAAACTCTCTACTTATAAAACTTGAAGTTAGTTGGCAGCTTCTGACTGATAAGTCTTAAGTTTCATTTTTCTTTAACATGGGCATTTATAAGAAATAGCCCAAATTAAGTTTGCTTGTGTTTGCAATTCAAGCAAAGTTAAGGTCACTTATGAAGCCTAACTAGCTCTATCTTTGCAGAGATTCTTCATGCCTGGTCTCCATTTTAATTTATTTCAACAGCCCACACGGAATAAATGTTAAACAAATAGAGGTTAAGTGGATGAATAAACAAAATACTGTTGAATATTTTGATTTGTATAACTCGTTTGGCTCAGCAGCAAAAAAAGGAGAGATATAAACACAAATTATTTTTAAGGAGTAGAAGTGAAGTCAGAAAAACTCCAGTCTAAGATAGCTCCCCAATTTACTGAGTAAGCAGTGGCTTGCACAAGGCTCACAGCTAGTTAGTACTAGATCTGAGATTATGAACTTCTTTCCATGGGGAGTTATGCTGTCAAGCAAAGGCCAAGAAGCCACATTATATGTAGAGCAAGTGAAAAAAATGGATATTTAACCAGGAACAAAAAAGTCATTGAAGATCTTAAGTGCTGTCTGTTTCTGTTTGAAGAAAGGCTACAGAGATGTCATACAGATAAGAAATTAATTTTGTTTTGGATGTCCTCATAATTTAGGTTTAGGCCAATGGATGTAAACCTAAAAGGGATAGATTCAGTATTGGAAAAATATTTGTAAGTTTCCCTATTATAGGAGGTACAGAACTGCAACATGGATAACGCTTTGTTGATCTGTCACATAGGGGATTCAGGCACTAGCTAGGTGGCTGGAATCACTAGCTGAACTGCAAGTTCTGTCTCAACCTACAACTGAAAACAGATGATATTAAGTTTGCAACTGGGCACACTGGTAACTTTAATTCTATTCTTCCAAGAGCAATGCCTAGTAGGAATCATACCTAGGACAAGTTAACTACTTAATCAGTTCCAGTCAATTACTCAAGAAACAAATTCATTGTAAATGGCATAAATTTGCCTATACTTCATAGACTAGTCAGCTGGAACTAAGAGATTGCAAAGCTTCAAATACAGTCATGTCTTTTGGCCAGGTCTTGGCCATCGGAGTTCTGGAGAGGGGTGCTTTTCCTCCTTCCACACCCTTCTACTCCATTCCCTCCCCTAACATCATCCCTTTAAACTTCCAGTGTTGTTACTGCAGACACATGCTACTCACTTGAACATCTGCTTTCATCTTAGGGAAAAGACGATGGATCTTAAGTATCTCAACTGGTGGTTCTGAGCTCTTGGATTTAAAACCCGTTAGGAGCTCTGCTCCCTTCAGATGTTAGCTGGAGTTTCATTCATGCCATGGCGGTCTGTTTTGGTAATGTGCCAGCATGCCGGAGAGTATTCAGTCAGCAAATGTGGAATGGAGAACAAATGTGCATTCATTAAATTTCATTAAAAAATGACTTATTCCTGTACTTCATGATCAAGATCAAGATGGTAGAAGGGGCAAAAATTGGCATCCATGATATGAATAATGTTGGTGATAGGAGGAAAATAGTAATCTTATGAAAAACAATAGAGATTGCATCTGTTTTTTTTTTTTCCTTTTTAAAATGATCTAAGTTTCACTGTAATTATGAACCAGTTTTCACATTGTGGACACACATCTTTTTGACTGGCTGTCAGGGATTCTATAGCAATAAATTGTATGCTTAAGTCTCTAATTCGATATAAGATTTCCATTTCAGAAAAAAAAGAGACCTCAGACACAGCATTTCAGGGTGATAATTGCACTTCTCAGGTGGTTAAGAAAAAGATGATCTACAAATAATAATTAAAAAGTTGTGCCCCAAGGGAATGGGAATGTCAGATATGAAAGTCAAACATATGAAATGTTAGACTTACGGCTTGACCTTGTTCCACTGTATTCAGTACTATAAATTCCAAGCGCATTTATGTTTCAATATTTGGAGGTGACAATTTGAGGGTGCATTAGGTAGAGAAAAGATAATGTTTATACTAGTATATTAAACTGCCCCCTTGATGACATAACTTCCTCTCAACACTGATGCTTTAAAAGCATCAGGCTATTAACACTCATAATTAATCAGCTACACTCGCCTCTGCACTTTTAGAGGTATCTGGTTAGGGGTGAGGAAGACTTAGCCTTTCCTGCAATATGACGAGAAGAGGTTAGGTAAAGTCGGGTTCAAATCTGGCAATTTCTTGGTTATATCTTACTCACAGATTTGTTATGCTTCTTGTAAACATTATCTTAGAGGTTTTAAGGTTAGTTTCTCTCACTTAAAAGTTGGAAAAAATTTAAACAAAAATGTGGATTTCTGGAGTGTCTCAGTGGAGTGATGGTGGGAGTAGATGGGAATCAAAAGACCTGACTGTACTGACCCCACAGCCCTGCCTGGCCCTGACTGGCTGGAGCTGAGTGCTGCCCCTTCGCTGGAACCAGGTCATGAGTGCTTCAGCTTATCAAAGTCTCCACTGAGTGCACATTATTCATTTCTTTTCTGCTACTCACTTGGCCCCTGGATGTATCTGAGTTTCTGTTTGACTTTGATTCTGAAGGAAGTCCTAGCTCTGCCTGTGTTTCATAGGTCTAAATAAATCCAAAGTTCGCAAAAGGAGGGTAGAATATCTACTACCTTTCACATACTCCACTAAGGACCAGGACAAAGGTTACAAAGATGTGACCCTTTTCTCAGGAGAATCAGAGCAAATTGAGAATCACATCTACAGATAAATCAGGATGGAGTAGCCAAAGCTGTGCTACAAAAGAAGCATGCACACATGCTCTGGGGACCAAAGGAGGGGTGACTCACTGTGCTGAAAGACAAGGTAGCATCCCAGCACGGCCTGGAAGGCCAAACAGAAGTTTCCTATGTAGAAGAAGAAGGAATGGCATTCCAGGGAGAAGAAATATTGTGAGCAGAAGCATAGTGGGGCACAAGAGAACAACGTGTTTGGGGATTGACAAGCAGCTCCCTACAGAGGGTGGGTAGGGAGATGACTCATGCATTGGTTCATACCATGGAGTTCAGTCTTTCACATTTATGAAACAGGGGAGCCTTGAAGACATTAAACAGAGAAGTTACCCATCAGTTTGCCTTTAGAGAGGAGCCTTTCCACAACTGTTGAAATGTAGGGCCCTCCAAAGGCAAGCTGTGCTAAAGACATGAAGGAAATCTTGTCTCTGATTTAGCAGTCAAGCATCAGCACAGTGCATGTCTTATGACTTAGGAGGGTTTGGTTACATATAGCAGGGGCATGTGTTGTGTTTCTGATAGCTGAGGCATTCAGTGTCCCACGGTGCTCCTGTGTGCAGCTATCAGAGTGTACCATACGACTGCCAGCGACGGTAAGTCACATCGGTACATAGGTGTGCTCTCTCCCATCGCCATATGCTGCCACTTGGACAATAGGAATAAACAGATTATGTGGAGTTCCTGTGCTGCTGTCCACAGAATCAGTTGGGCTCCAAAGAGTGCCCGGGAATATCGTTACTGTTACTAGAGCACTTTGAAATTCAGTGTGAGCTGTCTGTTTCAAATCAAAGATCACACCAACAGTGACGGCAGCAGGACAGGTGAGCGCTGTCTAGAAGCACAGGGATCCCGAGACATGGTAGCTGGTTGGTGGAACAATCCCATGGTTGGGATGAGCTGGAGGTGGTGGAATAGCCATTTCCATGTGGAAAGGGAGTGCCAAGCTGCTGGTTAGTTGTGCTGTGGAGACAGACTTGCCTGGGTGATGCAAAGAGGAAGGAACAGCACATATTGTCTAACTCTGGGCCAGTCTGGGGGTGTAGGCACTCACACTCTGGCTGGAGGCAGATGGCAAACTGCACCTGGAAATGGCCCTGAGCAGTAATACGATGTTTAGAACTAAGTGTCTTACGTGCAACTTTCTGAAATGATGTGGTATATATTCATTATAGATCAAAGACCTTCCTTAGCTTGTCAGCTTCAACGTCTCTGGGAAGTGCTCGGTTAGGCCATTTATCCTAATTGTGTGACAAAACTATATGGCAAGAGTGCAGCACTTGTCACCATCCCAAAGGCTCCAAGTGTGCTGCTTTCATAACTATTATCATGCTATACTGTTGCTTCTCCATTTGTCATCCCTACTAGACTATGGGATTTGAGGGTGGTCATCTTACTTTCCATCTCTTTCCCAAGAACATACTTCTCAAATTGGGGTTCAGCAAGTCTAGCGATGTGTGGTGCCAAGTTGTATAGCAAAGTGAGAGCACTATTTTATGCAAATATTTTGGAAACCAAGCATTTTTCTATTAAAATGGATGAATATATTAAAAAGCACCATGTGATATTTAATGGCATGCTAAGGTGAAGTTGGCACTTCTGAAAAATTTAAGCTTGGGCTGGGCTGCTTTGGACTAAAAATCTTTAAACCTAGCTGGGGAATGGGAGGTCTCCATTCATGCCATTTGTTATTAGGAGTTCTTCCATAGCTCTGGGAGCAGAAATTGGTTGCTTACTACTTGCTTGTGGAAGGGATGGAGGAAGGAGAGAAGAGAATGATCACACTGGGTGCTTTTTGTGCAGTCATTACTACATTATATATGGAACACATGGCTAGTTAGGAAAAACCTGTCATCCAGGCAATGTCTAGATGGACCACTTGTCTAGTATGTTCCGTGTTAGAAATTCCTTCCTAATGCTGGCAAGCTGACTCCAAATACATTGCCCCCAAATGGGGCTGGGTGCGAATCATGGGTGGAAAAGCAAAAATTTATCTCTCCAATGGGTAAGCAAATCCAGAAGCGTGCTATTGGAAGTCCCATTGTCTCTCAAATAACAGGGATCAAATACCATTTAATGAATACCTTGGGAATGGTTTGATTCATTATATACACTTCCTGGCTGAAAAAAAATGACGCTTCTCTACCTTCTCACATGATTAAATTCCTCTCTAGGGCTTCCCCTTCTAGTGTAGACCTTTCACTTTTTCCTTAGAAACAGCAAATCCCTGGCCATCCACCACCACTCATCCTGCCACCTCCTATGGAGACAGCCAAGAAACTGTCTACAGTGCACTTTTATTACTGATCTTAATTTCTTCCTGGTCTAAATCCACACTTTAAGGCCAAAGGCATATAGATATGGTTGCTGAGCCTTTTGTGTGTCAACTGATTCATTTAATAAAGATGTATTGAGCAACAATTATATGCTAACCAATAGGTACACAAAGAGAATCTTGAAAATTTAGATGACTCAAGAGTGGCAGAAAAAGTGCATAACTCAGCATGACAATTTTCTCTTTTTGCACATCTATTCTGCATTATTCTCTAGAGATGGACTGAGTAGCTCCTTACTGGTGAACGTGATCCTTTCATTCACCCATTCTCATCTGTGAGGCTGTCACATGTTTTGAGAGGAGGAAACTACAGCACACAGAAGGAAAACTGCTTCATTTATGAAATGCTACCAGTTTTTCCACAGATGAGCTTTCCTCTTATTTTCTCTCTCACTCTCCTTTTTACCTGCCTCTTCATCCCTCAAAGTCAGGCCAGACCTGGTCATGACACATACTGACCACAAAGGAATAAAGATGAGTCTTGCAGGGTGGCAGTGGATATTACATGAGATAACGGAATGCATTTGCAAGTCCTCAGTCCAAGGTTTGCACAGAGGAAAGAGTTGCCAAAGATCAGTGTGCCACTCTCTTCCCCATGGAACTCCCTGTTCTGTGCTTGCCCCTGATCATCTCACCCAGGCTCCAGGTTTCAACCATGATGCTGGTGCAGACAACGCGAGACCTGTGTCCTGGGCCATGAGCACTGTTTAGAGCCCTAACTCTGCCTTCTGATCTACTGTGGACCAGAACAGCTACCATGGACACTATTTGTTTGAAAGAACACAGTCATCTTGTTCAGATCTGCCCTTCATCCCTCTCCCCTGAGCTGAGCCCTCCTTTTTAATGGCAACAATTCCCCTCTCTAACACCCTGGCTCAAAACCTGGAGCCATCTTCTATGCCTTCCTCTTCATCATTCACCATATCCAAGCAGAGGACAAGTCCTGTTAATTCCAACTATCCTTCCTTCTCTCCATCCCTCCTTTCCTAGCATACAACACTATCATTATGCGTTTGCTTGGGATACCAATAAAGCTATTTTACTGGTTTAGTTTTTTTCTCCTCATATAATTTCTCTCAGGTAGACCTTCTTAAAACATAGCTGTTACCCCCAAAACTTCCCATGCTGGATCCTCAGCCACAGGTTAAGTACAACCTCTTTGATGTGGCACTAAAGGCCCTTCATGCTCTGCCTCTAACCTGACTTTCTAATCATGTTTCCACAGCTTGGCCTCCCAAGGTAGACACTCCTTACATCTAAGCCAGTGTTCTTTTTACCATATTTTGCTCATGCTATTTGCTCCACATGAAATGCCTGTCCCTCTTCACTTCCCTAGGCATTCTGCCAGTCTTCAAAGACCCCTGAGATGTCACCTTCTTTACACATGGTCCCCGGAACCCCATCCTAGGCACACTCTTTATCTCCCCTCAATGAGCTTCAAGGGATACTTCGGAAATATTAGGTCAATGAATAAACAAGTGAATTAGTGAATGGACACATGAATAAGTGGAAGAATATCTCATCCTACATCATAGTCTATAAATATAATGAACATGCTATCATTTTAGATGTCTCCTGCTGGAAAAGCAGCACAGCAAACGGGAGTCCAGGAAGGGTAGTAAAAAATAAATCAACATTCAGTAACAACTGCAACAACAGTAACAAAAACCCATTTCCCTGATGTTTGTTTTTTTAGGCTGGAAATTCGTTCATGAAATTATTTTCTTTATTTTATGTAGAGATTTTATTCTGTTCCATTGGTCTGTATGTCTACAGTTATACCAACACGACACTGTCTTGATGACTGTGGCTTATGGTAAGTTTTGAAATCAGCTAGTGATTTGTTCTTTTTTGAAATCATTTTTGGCTTTCTGGTCATTGCTATTTATTTTAATTTGTAGTACTTGAATAAATCACACTGTTATCATGTGGGGATGATGGGTTAGCAATCTCAGTTGACTATTAGATGAACAGCCTGAGAAGGAGCCTCTAAATTCATGAGTTTGTCCACAAAAGCTGCTACTTTTCAATATTATGCTTTTATTGCATGTATGAATGTGTGTGTACGTTACATGCAAGTATATACTTTTAAGAAATGGAATTCTCTACCTCCCTGCAAATTGGTGGCAGTGCTCAGGATTCTGTGCAGAGGTTGTTTTGTCCCAACCCGGGCTGCTCTCTGTGAGCTGGCCCCCATCACTGCTGGTAGGTAACTATGTGATATATAACTTGCAAGCAGCCCTGCTGTTTGTTACTGGCAATTAATCTCTCTGGTGCCTTTCTTCCATTCAGACTAAGCCTTTATGTTCTAAATCCAGCTATTCTAACGCTCCCCACTTGTGCTGTGTAGAAAAGACTCAGACTGACAGATTATTGCAGGGCAGTTAAGCATGTAATTGCTCAAATGAGTTAAAATCCCTTCAAATATCTGTCTTTGTACCTCATCACACCACTTCACGGACTCAAATATTTGACAATTGATGAAGATAAACTAAAGGGGCCTTCATTAGCTACCAACCACCGTGACAAGCTTCTTTCAGCGAAAGGCTGGTGAATTTTGGAACTTATTATCTACTTAAAAACTGCAGGAAAGCAGAAAAATACTTCAGTGAACTTTAGAATAGAGAAAGCCAGAAGCTTTGCATGGAAGCTGGGGTCAGGAAAAAAAACCCATGGTTTGCTAATCTAAGGCTGCACTTGTTAAAAATGTAGGGAAAGACAGGCAGATGGACTTATCCAATAAAGGAAGGAAAATATTATCATATTCTCATAGGCACCATCATTAATGACCATGTGTTAAATTTAGAGGTAATTACAGAAATGGAGAGAGGGTGGAAGAAGTCCAGGGCTGTGCAGAGGCTGAGCTTAGTGTGGTTGCTGGGCTGCCAGGAGCGATAGCCCCTGCTCTAGGATAAAGTCAGGTGCTGCACCGAGCAAGTGTCTTGAGAAATGCATGGAACTTTGCTCTGGCATAAACCCCAGCAAGTCCTCTGACTTTCAGGGACCTCACTGCTCTATTAAGCTATGCAGACCTTGTGCCAAGGAAAACAGGTGCGAACATGACCAACGGGCATCAGGGAAGAGTAGGGAAGATGCAGATTTGAAGTATGATGGCCTGTGTCTAACTATGGTGAGATGTTGGGCAAATTGTAGCTTTGATTTCCTTATCTATGAAATGTAACTTACTAATTCATGTTGCATGTAATTTTTTTGTGAGGAATAAATGAGAGAAGCATTTGGTACAAATATTGATCATTATTTTATAAAACGGGTGTAGCAAGAATTTTGCTCTATATATTTCATACTTAATGTGAACCTAAAGCTCCATTTCTTATGTAATAGAAAGATAAAAACTCTAAAACAATAAACAAACAAATAGAAGAAAATGTTGAAGTGTTACATTTTCTTTTATGAGACTTTGGTTTCCATTAGCTTAGTGAGCATGGGTTGTCCTGACAGCCGTAATGGACCAAACACCCTCAGCTTCCAAACAGAGACCACGCAACATAGACTTACCCAGGCAGGCCCTTGACTACCTTGGCCCTGACCAGACATTACTTTCCTGTCTGGTTAAATAATGTGACTGGTTAAACAACAATGGTGAGCGGACATTTTTAAATGGGTCCTGAGTTTATCTGGGATCCTAGCGTTTTATTATTGTACATGATGTTGGGTTTTGTTTAGACATAATAACTCTAATTAAACATTTAAGCAAGATGTTCAAAGAAAACGACAACATTAAATCCTTACTAGCTTTAAGAGATGATGCAGTTTGTCTTTTAACCTACCTATCATCTATCTGCGGCCACATATATACACACATACAAACACACATGCATTTACATTAGGGCTGCTCAAATGTTCAGCCATGGTTCTGATATTCTGCCCATATTGACAATTTGGTTTTGTCTTGACCTGGGGCCTTTGGAAAGCTGAATGAATATCTGAGTGGTTACTTTCTGACCTTAGTGTGTAATCAGTGGTCAAATGATCATGTAGACTACTATGATATCGAACAACCATAACAGTGTCAATAATACAAACAAGATATATCTTTTGAACATGCTGCAATATCTTTTAATATTCACTTCTTGTAAGGATAAACATTCTGCATTATTTTGAACAAATGCTTTATTTTTTATTTTGTATTTTGTATGTTGATCTGCTACTGGTCACATATAAGATAGTAAGATATTTTTCCAGCTTTACTGAGGTATAATTAAGAAGTAAAAATTGTACATATTTAACGTATAAACCTGATATTTTGATATACATATACATTGTGAAATGATTACCACAATCAAGCTAATTAACATATCTCCTCATAGTTACAATTTTTTTGTGCATGATGAGACACAAAACACTTAAGATCAACTCTCAGCATATTTCAAGTGTGCAATACAGTATTATTAACTATAGTTTTTAAGTGGTGCAATAATTAATGATTATGAGTTATCTTTATGAGAAAAAGTAATTATTAAAAGCTTGCCCATGATTAATAAAATAGATTAACAGTTGTTATAAACATGACGAGTGGATTATTTAGTTAGACCATTTTTAGGCCAACAACTGTAAATTCTTTTGAAATGCAACAGAAACAATAAAAGCATATCATAACTTCAAACTTCATAAAATTCTTTTGTGCTAACATTTATAGTAGCCAAAATAACCCTTAGGAACTGTATTTACCTTTAGCTATTTAAATTCATTTAGAACAGGCATCCTCCAAATAAAAGTATATTTAGAGAATTTGTCACTTCTTATTAGGGTACATTAAAAGCAGAATGTCAAGTTTGCCCATTCAAAATTTCACAGGAAAGAAAAATCAAAATCAATGTCAAAATTATGTACAATAGCATCCATAATGAATCATGTAAATTCCAGACAGAAGAACATAGAGGAAGGAAAAAAGTTTAGAGAAATCAAGATACTGCCCCAAATATCTCTAATGACCTCAGGCGCAAAAGCCCGCACAGTATCGCCAGTATCCAGTGTCGTGGCCGCAGGTGTGATCTGGCTGCGGAGAATCCTGGAAATCACTGTCCCTACACAGTAAAGTCATACTTAAAATGTGACTTTAATAGTTTTTAATTACGAAATAAACATTCTAAAATAAATTTCCATAATTATTCTATAAGCCTTTAGTCTATTTTCTGTTGGTGACATCAACCTTCAGCCTTGACTTTGGCCAGCCTATATGTTAAATACATACATTTACACACACACACACACACACACACACACACACACAAACACACATACACATATAATATTGCCATGGAATATCTGATTTTTCCTTTTCTATCAAGTTTTATTTCTTTGTTTTAAATCGGAAAGAAATCTCAGTTGTTTTTCTTTTTTTTTTTTTTTTTGAGACAGAGTCTCACTCTGTTACCCAGGCTGGAGTGCAGTGGCATGATGATGTCGGCTCACTGCAAGCTTCGCCTCCTGGGTTCGAGCAATTCTCCTGCCTCAGCCTCCCTAGTAGCTAGGATTACAGGTGCGTGCCACCACGCCTGGCTAAATTTTTGTACTTTTAGTAGAGACGGGGTTTCACCATGTTAACCAGGATGGTCTCAATCTCCTGACCTCGTGATCCGCCTGCCTTGACCTCCCAAATTGCTGGGATTACAGGCGTGAGCCACCATGTCCGTTTCTTTTTGCATTTATTTAGGTCTTCATATAGTTTTTATCCTTTGATCTCTTAAGATACTCCTCAGGTCTATACTCTAGACTTGATTGCTCAGGGTTATTCTTTTTTAAATTTCATTTAATTTTATTATATTTTTAATTTGTATTGTTTTTATCATTATTTGTAAGACTGGTCCTTAATTTACTTTTCTGTGCCATTTTGTCAGTTATTTAAATCAAGGCCATTCTAGATTCAAAAAAATATATTGCTTTTCTTATATAGGTCTAGAAGAGTACAAAAAGTGTCATTTGCAAGAGGGCTTGTTACTGTTGCTTCCAAAAGTTGTTCACAATCCTTGCCAAATCCATACTGCGTACTCTGACTCTGCATTTTGGATCTTCAGTGCTGACAGAAGTCTCCATCTTCTCTTCCCCACCTCCTGTTGGCCACAGGCTCTCACTGCACAACTCTGTCTTTCATGGAAGCACCACTAAAGTCCAAATCTTATGCCGTTAATGTTGCTGCCTGTGCCTGGGAAACCTTTAACTTCAACGTCTATCTACTACAATTCCAGTTACTCTTTAATATCCAATTTAGACATTCCCTACCCTGTGCAGGTCTAATATCCCTAGTCCACCTGAGAAACTAGAGAGAGAAAATAATTAAGATGCTTTTGTAATACTACCCCACTTCTAGTGAGGCATGTTCTTAATATCTTAAGTGACAACCTAGTAGAAATTGCAAGTGGTGCCAGCATTTTGTACATCTGCCATTTATAAACCACAGAACAAAAGGGTAGAATGGAGTCTTTCTCAACATGATAACTACAAAAGAGCAAAGTCAGTGTTTATTGGTACACACTCGGTTCATTGCTATATTCTCTGTATATGGAACAAATGAACCACTTGAGGCAATATTTATTAAGTAAAAGAAGAGATATGAAATACACTGGTAAATGAATTAGTGAAGGAATGGGCATAGGTCTAAGCAGCCTATTTGTATGCGTGAGATCAGAGCTTATGGATGTCGTAGTGTCAACAAATGCATGCACTCCCCACCCCAACACACAAATACATATACACATACGGGTTTTTTTTTTAGTCTATATTAGCCAATTATGTTTCCCACTGTTATTTCTTTTAATATTTTTATGCTATGCATAACAGTCTAAATTGGCTTTTCAGAATATACGAGAACATAGGCATGAAAGCGTTTTTTGAATTAGATGTTATGTTTATTAAACAGAAACATATATTACTCATATAATTAAAAAACTACCAAGTTAAAAATTCTCTAAATTAATTATAAAACATAAAAGAAAATAAAGAAAAATGTAGGTGAATATCTGATCTTAGGTTAGAAGTAAGTCTTTGTAATAGCAGCAGGAAAAAAATCATGTTTTGACAACATTTAAAATTATAAAATTTTCTCTCATATATTAATATATTTATAAATATTATATATACAAGACAAATTAATGAAAGAGAATAGAGGGAGTAAAGATAAACCCACACAAACTTGCCCAACTTATTTTTGATAAAAGTCCGAAAGCAGTTCCATGGAGGGAAGAGAACCTTTACAACAAATGGTTCTGGAGAGAGTGAAAACTCATGAGCAAAAATGAAAATAAAAAAAAACAAGAAAAAAACCTTTCCTACCTGAGTCTTACACCTTCCTCAGAAATTAACTCAAAAGGGTTCACAGACTTAAATGTAAAATATATAATTATAAAACCTCTAGGGGAAAAAATATAGGAGAAAATCTTTGATATTTAAGGTTAGGCATTGGGATCTTAGAACTGACACAAAAAGCACAATCTATATAAGGAAAAAATGATAAATGGGGCTTCAAATAAAGACTTCTCTGCCAAAGATTTTATTAAGAGTCTGGAAAGACAAGCTATAAACTGGGAGTAAATATTTACCAAATATATATCTTATAGTGGGCTAGTATCTAGGATATATAAGGAACTCTCAAAACTTAACAGTAAAAAAAGCAAACTGCCCAATTAGAATATGGACAAAAGATACAAAGGGACTTTTCACTAAAGAGAATAGATACATATATGACAAATGAGTGCCTAAAAATGATGTTCAACATTAGTAGTTAGAGAACTATAAATTAAAACCTGAAACCACAATGAGATATCGCTATACTGCTATCTGAATGGCTAAAATAAAATATAGTCATAAGGCACCAAACATTTGCAAGGATGCAGAAAAACAGAATCACTCATACATTGATGGTGAGAATGTAAAATGGTATGGCCACTCTGGAAAACAGTTTGTCACTTTCTTAAAAATCTAGACATGCAACTACCACAAGACCTACTGACTGCACTCTTGGGCATTTGTTCCAGAGAAACGAAGATTATTTTCACACAAAAACCTGTAGCTGAATGTTTATGAAAGTTTTATTTGTAATAGCCCAAAACTGAGCAACCAAGGTTTCCTTCAATTGGCAAATGTTAAATGAACTGTTGTACATCTATACCACAGAATACGACTCAACAATCAAAAGGAACAAACTACTAATGAATGTGACAATCTGAATGAATCTTCAGAGAATTATTCTGAAGGGAGAAAGCCAATCTCACCTAGTTACATATATTGCTTCATTTATATAACATTCTTGAAATAATAAAATGATAGACATAGAAAACAGATTAGTGATTGTCAGGGGTTATGGAGGGGTTTGGTGCAGGAATATAAGTGGTTGTAGCTACAAAAAGGCAACACGAGGGATCGGTGTGGTGATGGAGGTCTTTTGACTGTATCAAGGTTGATATTCTGGTTAAAATTTTCTACTATACTTTTGCAATATGCTACCAATGGGAGAAACTGTAATGTGTACACACACATGATCTTTATTATTTCTTACAACTGTATCTAAATCTACAATCATATCCAAATAAAGAGTTTGAGTTAGTTGACTGTCTAAAAACTGATATCATTTTATTGTATGTAAAATAAAATTCATAACAAAAATAGGACAAAAAATGAGAAATTAGAAGAATATTGTGGTTTGATTCTCATAAAGTTATTTGAAGGTAAAAGATTATATTAAAGTCAGATATGGTAAATCTTAGGACAACCACTAGAGAAAAGGCAGTAGAGGAAGAAAAATAAAGTAAAAATTACTATATTAATCCAAAAGAAGGCAGAAAAGGGGTTGAAAGGGGAGAATGGATAATATGTTAGTAAGTACAACTGAAAAGATTAGGTAGATTAAAAGAAAACCATTTCAAGTTAAGATGAAGGAAAGAATCTAAAGAGCTGTGAGGCAAAAGCACCAGGTAACCTATAGAGGAAAACCTATCAGGTTAACAGCAGATTTCTCAGTAGAAACCCTACAAGCTAGAAGGAATTGGGGCCCTATCTTCAGCCTCCTTAAACAAAAAGATTACCAGCCAAGAATTTGTATCCAGTGAAACTAAGCATCATATATGAAGGTAAGATACAGTCTTTCTCGACAAACAAATGCTGAGAGAATTCGCCATTACCAAGATACCACTACAAGAACTGCTAAGAGAAGCTCTAAATCTTGAAACAAATCCTGAAACACATCAAAACAGAACCTCTTTAAAGCATATAAATCACATAGGGCCTATTAAAAAAAATGCAAGTTCCACAATGGTTGAACTAGTTTACAGTCCCACCAACAGTGTAAAAGTGTTCCTATTTCTCCACATCCTCTCCAGCACCTGTTGTTTCCTGACTTTTTAATGATTGCCATTCTAACTGGTGTGAGATGGTATCTCATTGTGGTTTTGATTTGCATTTCTCTGATGGCCAGTGATGGTGAGCATTTTTTCATGTGTTTTTTGGCTGCATAAATGTCTTCTTTTGAGAAGTGTCCGTTCATGTCCTTCGCCCACTTTTTGATGGGGTTGTTTGTTTTTTTCTTGTAAATTTGTTTGAGTTCATTGTAGATTCTGGATATTAGCCCTATGTCAGATGAGTAGGTTGCAAAAATTTTCTCCCATTTTGTAGGTTGCCTGTTCACTCTGATGGTAGTTTCTTTTGCTGTGCAGAAGCTCTTTAGTTTAATTAGATCCCATTTGTCAATTTTGGCTTTTGTTGCCATTGCTTTTGGTGTTTTAGACATGAAGTCCTTGCCCATGCCTATGTCCTGAATGGTAATGCCTATGTTTTCTTCTAGGGTTTTTACGGTTTTAGGTCTAACGTTTAAGTCTTTAATCCATCTTGAATTAATTTTTGTATAAGGTGTAAGGAAGGGATGCAGTTTCAGCTTTCTACATATGGCCAGCCGGTCGGAAGTCAGTGTGGTGATTCCTCAGGGATCTAGAACTAGAAATACCATTTGACCCAGCCATCCCATTACTGGTATATACCCAAAGGACTATAAATCGTGCTGCTATAAAGACACATGCACACGCATGTTTATTGCGGCACTATTCACAATAGCAAAGACCTGGAACCAACCCAAATGTCCATCAATGATAGACTGGATTAAGAAAATGTGGCACATATACACCATGGAATACTATGCAGCCATAAAAAAGGATGAGTTCATGTCCTTTGTAGGGACATGGATAAAATTGGAAATCATCATTCTCAGTAGACTATCGCAAGCACAAAAAACCAAACACTGCATATTCTCACTCATAGGTGGGAATTGAACAATGAGAACACATGGACACAGGAAGGGGAACATCACACTCTGGGGACTGTTGTGGGGTGGGGGGAGGGGGAGGGATAGCTTTAGGAGATATACCTAATGCTAAATGACGAGTTAATGGGTGCAGCACACCAGCATGGCACATGTATACATATGTAACTAACCTGCACATTGTGCACATGTACCCTAAAACTTAAAGTATAATAATAATGAAAAAAAAGAAAGGTGCTAGAAATTGTATATCATGTGTAAATTATTATAAACATTGACTGATACCCCACACCATACACAAAAATCAGCTCAAAATAAATTTATCCCTAAATGTAAAACCTGAAACTATAAAACCTATCCTAGGAAATATGGAAGAAAATCTTTGTAATTCACTAGGCAAAGATTCTTAAATACAACACCAAATGCATGAATAATGAAAGAACAAAATTGACAAATTATAGTTTATTAAGTTCAGACCTTTTGCTCTTCAAAGTACACTGCTATGAAAATGGAAAGGCAAATCATAGGCTGGGGAAAATATATTTGCAAATACATATCTGGTAAAAGACATATTCTGTGTGTATTTAAAAAGCTCTTAAAACTCAATAAATGGAAAACAAAATCCCTAATGAAAATTGGACAAAAGATTTGAACTGAAACTTTACTGATGTTTTGTCTATACCAAAGAAGAGACAGGGATAGCACATATGCACATGAAAAGTTGCTCAAGATTATTATTAGTAATCAAAAAACAGATTAAATCCATGCTAAACTACCATTACACATGTATTGGAATGATTAAAACTAAAACAACAACAAAAACTCTGACAATAAATACTAAGTGTTGGCAAGGAGCTAAACAATGACACTCTCATAAATGTTTTATTTGTATTATCATCGTAATGCAATTTTCTTAGATACTGCCTTTTCCACCACCATTGCTGGTGAAAAAGGCAGTTCCTTAAAAAGTTAAACATGCCGGGCATGGTGGCTCATGTCTGTAATCCCAGCACTTTGGGAGGCCAAGGCAGGCGGATCACGAGGTCAGGAGTTCAAGACCAGCCTGACCAACATGGTGAAACCCTGTCTCTACTAAAAATACAAAAATTAGCGGGCTTGGTGGCATGTGCCTGTAATCCCAGCTATTCGGCAGGAGAATCGCTTGAACCCAGGAGGCTGAGGTTGCGGTGAGCCGAGATCGCGCCACTGTACTCCAGCCTGGGGACAGAAGGAGACTCTATCTCAAAAAAAAAAAAAAAAAAAATTAAACACATGACCTCAATTCCACTCCTGGGAGAATGAATGCACATGTCCATATAGCTAAATATATTTGAATGGTCTGGCAGATTTTATACTTACCAAATCTGGAAACATACCAGATATCCATTAATCAGTGAATGAAAAATTAATGGTAAATACATACCAGCAATAGTATACTATTAGGCAATAAAAAGGAAGCAATGACCAATACATGCAACAGTGATCACTCTCAAAAGCACTGTGGCAAGTGAAAATCGGACCAAAAAGGCGAAGTGGCAGCTGCAAAAATTCAACATTCCTATCTCTTTCAGGAGCTTCTGCTTCGGGGATCATAATCCACTGGCAGCCTCTGTGGGGCCCCTTTGGATCAGTCCTCACATTCATGCATGTTACTTGAGAAAAAAACTTAAATTTGCTTTGGAATAAATTAAACTACTGCATATTTGACATTCTGCATTTAGAAATGGAAAAAAATATTCTGTAAGGAATGTAACTGTGACTATTTCTCTCTACTGAGAATAATTTGAACTTTTAGCCTCTTACTGAAGTTAATCACACTTGATCTCTTGAGAAAAAATGTTTTTAACATTAAACAATACTCCACTGAGATTTATCAAACTCTATTTTAATTGTAATTGATTTATACCAAAAGATAAAATGAGTTAATTAGGGCATGCTATTAGAAATACTAGCAAGGGAAGAAAGCAGGGAGGTCGGAGGACTGGAGAGGTGGGGACCCTGGGGAGGTGGCGGCTCGGAGTCTAGGCGACGACGGGGCGAGATGGGGCCAGTAGGTGGTGGGAGGGGGCCGGGTGGGAGCCAGCGGGAGGGCCAGGCCCGGAGGCCCCCAACCTGGCGTGCCCGCCTGGGCCGAGGCTGAGGAGGAGGAGGAGGAGGAAAAGGAGGAGGAGGAGGAGGAAAAGGAGGAGGAGGAGGAGGGGGAGGAGGAGGAGCAGGAGGAGGAAGAGGAGGGGGATCTCCAGATACACTCGGGAAGGCGATGCCACAGAGCTTGGAGCTGAAAGGAATAACAAAACATGCTCTTAACCATCATCTCCCTCCCGAGAAGCTGGAGGAAATTTCCCCCACCAGTGACAGTCATGAGAAAGACATAAGTTCCCAAAGCGAGTCTGACATCACAAGAGAATCACCTTTTACATCAGCCGATGCTGGGAATTCACTGTCTGCTTTTCCAAGTTATACAGGCGCAGGGATATCTACTGAAGGCAACTCAGACTTCTCCTGGGAATATGGTGAACTCGATCAAAATGCCACTGAAAAAGCCTAGGCAATGTTCACAGCCATTGATGAACCCTTGTATGAGCAGAAGTTGAGTGTGCATACCAAGAGTCTACAAGAAGAGCGCCAACAGTGGACAGCTAGCTTTCCTCACCTCAGGATTCTAGGTAGGCAGATAATCATTCCAAGTGAAGGTTATAGATTGTATCCTAGATCCCCTTCTGCTGTTTCAGCTTCATATGAAACAACCTTGTCTCAAGAAAGAGATTCTACTATATTTGGTATAAGGGGAAAGAAGTTACATTTTTCATCTTCGTATGCTCATAAAGCATCTTCTATTGCCAAATCCTCCAGCTTTTCTTTTATGGAAAGAGACGAGGAAGACTCTATAATCATCTCCGAAGGAATAATTGAGGAATACCTAGCATTCGATTGCACAGATATGGAAGAGGGATTTCATGGGAAGAAATCAGAAGCAGCTACAGAGAAACAGAAATTAGGGTATCCTCCCATTGCTCCATTTTACTGCATGAAAGAAGATGTCCTTGTTTATGTGTTTGACAATGTATGGAGCAAGGTTGTGAGCTGTATGGAGCAGTTGACACGTAGTCACTGGGAAGGATTTGCCCACCATGATGAGAGTAATGTTGCAGTTACCAGACCCGTTTCAGAAAGTTTCTGTGTGCTGAGTGAGCCACATCCTTTGGTGTTACCACGAGTGCCACAGTCTAAGGTGCTGTCCGTTACCTCAAATCCAATGAGTCTCTGTCAAGCAAGTAGTCATCAGCCAAATGTTAATGGTCTCTTGGTTTATGGGATGCCTCTACAGCCAAGAAATCTCTCCCTAATGGACAAGCTCCTAGATCTTGATGACAAGCTACTTATGAGGCCTGGGTCCAGTACCATCCTTTCAACTCGAAATTGGCCAAATCGAGCTGTGGAGTTTTTAGTACATCATCTCTGTCATACACAGTGCAGTCCACCAAGAGACGCAATCCATCGCCACGAACCCTTCATCCGATCAGCACAAGCCATTCACGTGCTGGAATACCAAGACTTGTGGAAGAAATCCTCAGAGGAGCCCGAGTCCCAGCGGCAGCCAACTGGCTCTCCTCTCCCTCACCAATGTCCCTGAGTCGAAATAATCTGCTACCACCTACTAGCACAGCTGAAGTGGAACTTGTGAGCACTGTGGGGCCACAAAGACAGACGGAGCCCCGTGGCGACTCCAGTCGAGCTCCAAGTGTGGTGGTGGATGAACTTAACTATCAGCAGCCACAAGAAAGGCTCCTTTTGCCCAACTTTTTCTCCAGGCCCAACACAACTCAATCATTTTTGGTAGAGTGACATACTTCCTAGAATGAGCTCGATGGTTGGGGAAAGAAAAGGTGGGGGGAATAGTAGTTTGGCAGACTTAAGACTTTATCTAGAGGATTAACTCAGAATAAAAGTTGAGTTTCTAACAATAAAAAAAAAGTACTAGCAAGGGAATACAGTTGGTACAACTAGCAATGAGCGGGTATGAAATGAAAGATTATCTTAAAATTTGGAACAAAATAAATTTTAAATTGTATATTTTTGTTTTAAAAACTACTTAAAAAAATATCTAGGCCTATAAGGATTAAAATTTTATTCTTGTACAAAATACTTTTCATATCCAGAGCATATCATTTTCTATTAAAAAATACACCAAGTACCACCTGTACTTTGGTCAATGACAACCATGTATTCATTTGACACAGGGAATTCCACCTTGGTTTGAGCCATATCTCTGCACATAGGAGAAACTACTTATTTACAATTGCTGCTCAACTGCTACAGCAGCAGGAAGGGTGCCTCGGTGTCTTGTTATCCTTATTTCTCTAGGTTTTCACTCTTCCTTAATTGTTTCCCAGGTACCCATTTTTATTTCTAGGGAACCGGGCATTGCCAGGAAGGGCAAAGCCTAGGACCCATAGTTTTAGGACTGAAGTAAGAAAGGACTTCATGGAGGCAGAGTCATTTCAGTATAGCAATCCGGACAACACCATTTCTTGCTTTTCCCTCACAGGCATAATAAACACCCTGAGATAAGTGAAAAATAATTAGAAATAGCAGCAAAGAGATGATGGTGAAGAGGAACTATTTAAGAAATAATGAACAAGATTTAATAAGTGACACTGATATCAGATTGAACATATATCCATATCTAGATATGTTGAGTGAAACCTAATGGCTTCAAAGACATCCATGTTCCTTCAAAGGACATGATCTCGTTCTTTTTAATGGTTGCATAGTATTCCATGATGTATATTTTCTTTATCCAGTCTACCACTGATGGACATTTAGATTGATTCCATGTCTTTGCTGTTGAACATACACCTACCATGTGTCTTTAATGTAGAACAATTTATATTTCTTTGGGTATATACCCAGTAATGGGATTGTTGGGTCAAATGTTAGTTCTGTTTTTAGCTCTTTGAGGAGTTCCCACACTGCGAAAAGCAGTTTTATTTATCTCAAGAAAACATAGTCATTGAATATTCTTAATAGATTACATGATTTTGTACTTGTCAATTTTTGTTTTCTTTAGAAGGAGCATGCATCCCCATGTGGATAAATGCCACCTGAGCCATAGCTTTAGCATTTTGTATCCTTGAACCTCCTTCTTAACCTAAAGATACATAACCTGAAAAGGCCTAGCAAATGAAAATCCTTTAATTCTTGACATAGATGAAGCTCAGCACATTGTTTGTGAGGACCTAAGGTATAAAAAAAAAAAATCATTAATTCAAACTTAGTCTTGAGTGGGAGATGCCTCCATGATTACTTACTAAAATGTCTTCTGTCTTTAAGGATACTTTTAAGAAAAAGAAAAATAGGAAAACTGCAAATATTGATATTGCAATAAAGGGAAGAAAATTATAGCTACTGCCTGGTAAAAGGAAGCTTGTTTATACAGGATTTCAAAAACTTTAGATCTATTATCTACATAAAAAGAAGAGTCGTCCGGGCGTGGTGCCTCACGCCTGTAATCCCAGCACTTTGGGAGGCTGAGGCAGGCAGATCACGAGGTCAGGAGATAGAGACCATTCTGGCTAACACGGTGAAACCCCGTCTCTACTAAAAAATGCAAACAATTAGCCTGGCGTGGTGGCGGGTGCCTGTAGTCCCAGCTACTCAGGAGGCTGAGGCAGGAGAATGGTGTGAACTGGGGAGGCGGAGCTTGCCACTGCATTCCAGCCTGGGTGACAGAGCGAGACTCCGTCTCAAAAAAAAAAAAAAAAAAAGAAGAGTTAACCATATCAATTCAGTGATCTCCAATATGAAATGTAAACCTTTACAGTTTTCATCAAAAGAAGAAATTTCATTATTAGCTTGCATATTCCTGTACTTAAGGAATAACAAGAGATTTCCAGCAAACCATTTCTTATTTGTTAAGAATCATTGGCTCTCTTATGTTTTGTGGGTTTTATTAAAATTTTCTATTTTGCTGCTAATTATGTTTTCACCTTGTTTGGGACTAACATATGTAAACCTGACCCTTGTATTTAGAAACACACAAAGCATGGAAATGGGGATGGCAATGTAGTGTTTCTGATTAACAAAGGCACAACCTGACCTTACAACTTAGCACTCATCCAGTTCTATGGTAAATACAACCATATTACACAGTGTGCCTCAATCTGCAGGAATCTTAGGTCATGACCATTCTAGAAGTCTTTGGATCACCAGTTGTGCCCTCAACAGTGTTTTGTTTCCACCTGAACATCCCAAGTGAAGTCATTATTGGTGATCGTATTTATGGTTCTCCTGAGTTTCATGATAACAATTTGAAAATGTCAACATCTGAGTTTTATGAGATTAAACTGTGCATGATCCTCTATTTGTCTTATTAATCTTGACTAAGATTTGCTACAAAAAGATGAAATTTAGCATCCTTGCCAAATTTTGTGGGCTCAGTTTTCTGAGCCCACAAAATTTACATCATCAGTTTATCCTGCTGTGGACTTAGCTAGTAACACTGTTTCAACTTCTGCTTTTCTAAAAAAAAAACCAGAGTAGAATGAAAGAGAAGAGGGGAAATTAATAGTTGATCATCCCTAATATTTTCAAATGTGTTCGTATTACTTTAATTTTAGCTGAAAAGGTAGCACTCTCCCTATTTGACAGAAGATAAAATGCAAGTCCCTAAAGCCAAACATTCTCAGCATCAGCCGTGAAAAGATAAGAGTTGAGATTTGATCTAGTTCTGAGTTTCCAAACCCTGGTGATACCATTGCCCCATTCTGAAAAGAAGAGATAAAGGAAAACAGTTTTTTATGTTCTTAATTTTTTTATTTTAAAGAATAAAATACACACTGTCAGGCTCCACTTTATACAATTCACCCTTCTCTCTCCTGCTGATGAAAGAATCCACTACTTCAGGGAGAGCAGTGTAATCGGTCCAGGTGCTAGAATGTCATTATGCTGCCATACTCTCAGGAAGGGCACTTCTGTCCTAATGGGACGTTAGGACAAGGCACTGAGGTTTGATCCCAGAACTGCAGAGAACTCCAGAAGTTTCACTTGTTGAAAATACTTTTCATAATAGCATTGAGCAATTCGTAATCATATAACATGCCTGACATGATTGCAAATTTGTTGACAGATTATCAGAAAGAGTACTATGTTTTTTATTCGGCTCTTGATTCATAAGTTCTTTTACACTTGGAAAAATAGAGGGCTGGAATCTCATATAGCTTCCTGCATTTCTGACATTATATCAGACCCACATATTTGTGCAGCCCAGGTGTGCTAGGAAGTGGTAGACAACTACATTGGTCTTGGAAATGACTAACATATTAATTATAGATGAATTAATCTAATATACAGTCAAGATGATGTGTATCAGACACTTGACTGGTTATTTAAACACATTTTTCTCTTTAAAATACAAAACATACATATTTCTCACAGGACATAGAAAATGTTTTCTGTGGTATAAATTTTAAATTCTTATAAAGCATTTACAACAATGTTTGACCCATACTTAAAACAACAATAACAGCTATTATTTATCAAATGCTTAATATGTTCCGGGTACTTCATGTATATTATCTCACTCCACGAGGTGTGTATCACCATATCCATTTTACTGACGACACAATTTTTTTTGTGGTTAATTAAGTAAGTGGCAGAGCTGGGAGTTTTCATTTATTCAACAAATATTTTTGAATGCCTAGCACTAGGCATATGAGTATCTGAACAATATGATGTGTTATATTCTTGTGTAAAGTATTGTATCTATGAATTATATGCATTTTACGATGTGTCAAAATGTTTTATCCTGATATATGCATTGGGAGCAAGAAAATGTTGGTTTGGATTCAAGTACTTTATTCAAACAAACTGGGAGGCTCATTTTATTCCCAAATCACTGGATTTTAGTTTACAGGACTCCTCTGCCTCCATTCTCTCCCTATGCTCCTTACCAGAAGTGACCTCTCTCTGGGACACCCACCAACTTCCTGTCATTACTTTAGGATTGGCTCTTGGCCTCTCTTCTTCATTATTCCAAATCCAAGCCATTTGCCAACATTTTGGTCTTAGAGCCTCAACTTCCTCAGCACAGTAACTTGCAACAGCACTCCATTTCATATGGGCCTGGTTATATACAATTTTGCTAAGCTTCCAAGAGTTTTTCCAACTTCCAAATCTTAAATCCAGAGCTTTGTCTTCTGGTGACATCTTTATGTGTTACTTTTCCTATTGTCTTCTGTCAACTGAGCCTACTCTTATTCCCCCAGATACAGATAGGTTTATCTTGGAATGCTTATTTCTGAAGTCTAGGGTAATTAAAACAGGATATGATGTCTATTTTCAAAATGGTCTCACAGCAAGTAAGTAACAGAACTAAAATTTTCCATCAGTTTCTATCTGTCAGGTCAATTATTCCGAGCCTCAGTTTCTTTAGAAAATAAAGGGATTGGATTTGATCATCTCCAAGGCCTTTCTCATCTTTAATATCCTGTAAAAAGAAAGTCTGATTATCTTTCTGCCGTACCTGGCAAGCCTAGGTAGCCAATTAGGAAGCAAGGATAAAGGTACCTAAAATGTCTACTTTCTTTTCCTTTTTATGTAATGAATGGCTGTGGCCAGGACCCTCTTGTTTCTGGGATAAGTCTCTTATTTGAACAGAACATTTAACACAGAAGATTTTCAAAGTATGTGGGTTTTGTGTCTATCAAAAAAGAAAACACGCACTCCAACCAGTGAATCCACCATTCAATGAGGCAGAGAACTGCCCTCTGGAAAGCAACCAGCATCTCAAGGGAGTATTTTAAGCACATCCCAGTGTTCATTCTAAACGTGTATTACCTTCACTGTAGAAGAGTTTGGGGTTTATAAGTGAGGAAATACCATTTTATATGCAGAGAGGATCACACAACTGTGGCAGAATAGAAATTACTTTTTCAAATTTTCTAAAGTAAAACCTCGAAAGAAATATCTATTTCTATACAACCTTATTGTCATTTTCTCTAAAGTCACTCATCTAGTTATTTTAAATTGGTTCTGAAACACAATCATACATTCAAAAACCTAGTAACAGGCTCTCTTGAATGCACTAGAGCAGTAAATATTAGTTTCGATTAAACATTAATCCAAAGGATATTATTTCACTCTCTTAAGCCTCATTGAGGTTCATTATTAGAAAACACGCCTTCAATATCTCATTTTACATTCTCACTCTAAAACTGTATCATGAATGTAAATTTATTTTATGATCCATTCTTAATCAGTTCAAGAGTTTATACTCATAAATTGGTTAAAATATTTTAAAATTGCATTTGTTCTAATTGCTTCAATAGAACAGAAAATATAAATTTAATATTTTTGGTATTTTTCTCACCATAAATTAAGCTTTTATAACTTTTAGCAGTTTTGTGGGATAGAATTAACCAAGATTTTTCTTTAAGATTTCTTCAATTGCTTCATGCATGGAAAAGACTCTCCCAAGCTGTGGTTATATAGATACATATTATTGTATTCTATTATTTTAAAAAACTTTTAACACTCCTTAAATAATCCATCCAATTTAATATATGGAAGTTTTCTGAAAAATTATTCTGGTTAATGGACTTTCTACCACAACATGAATGCAAACATTATAAGCAGCAACTTTTGCTATTTCAGACGTTTATATAGACATCTATTGTTGACCTAGGTCTTCATTGATCTACCTGTATGATTGACATACTGCTGTCAATGGAATGTCTGCAAAGATTATTGAAATATGCAAATAACCGGCCAATGAAAAAAAATAGGGGAGAGAGGGTGCATCCCTGCAGCCCCGCACGACGGGCCCGCCGCCTTTGGTGACCCCCGCCCCCCTCCGGCCTCAGGGTGGGTGGCGGCCAGCGCGCCAAGACCCTCGGGAGCCCCGCCCAGAGCCTGCTCCGCTCTCAGGCCGCCCAGGCTAGCCAGCCGCCAGCCGCGCTCGCCCATGGAGATCCTAGACGAGTTCGACAGGGGGAAGCTCCAAGAATCCTTCCCAAAGACACCTGGAGAGGGCTGAAAGGAGGGAGAGAGGCTCAAAAACACGTGCCCTGTTGCCCGTACGGGCTTGGGACTGGCCAAGGACAGGGGCCAGTTGTCAGGCACTACTCATAAACTAGGGATGAGCTTTGCCCCTGGTGCAGGGACACGCACACAAGTGTGTGGTTTAAGCATGTATGTGCCAGTGTGCTGGATGCAATGCATTCTACACAACCGTGGCCACAATGTTGCTACCTCTGTTGCCTCCCCTGCTGGAGATTCTTCACACTGGTGATGCCAAAGTGCCTTGCTTGATTCCCCTTCTCGAGTTTGGAGTCCCAGCGAAGCTGCTGACCAAGATATCTCTAGGCTTTCACGCGGCCTGAGGACAGCCTGAGTCGGTCTCTGGGAGTCTAGCCCAGTGACTGCAAACTCTCAGTTGGGTGATTCAGTGCAGTGTTAATTGAGGCCAAGGCAAACACCTGTGGTTAAGATGCGCAAAGGCTGTTTTACTCTTTGACACTGCCCAGACCCGTTTCTAAAAATCAGAGGCATAAGAGACACAAAGCCTCATTTTCTCTCTCACAATATATGTGTGATGGTTGAAGTCATACAAAGCTGCCAGCCTTGGACTCACATTCAGACTCCCTGGGCTTGGCAGGAGAAGTCCTCAGTTCTGGATATTTTCTATGGTCCAGGCCCTTGGCTGTGTGCTGCAGAGAGATACTCATCAGACACAGAAACTACACTCGAGGAGTTTTCTTGCAATATATGGAGTAAGGGTTTCAGCAACTCTGGAGACCCCCTCTAACATGTTCCTTTAGGACAGAAAATAATCAGACTTTCAAACTAGGAAACACTGACTCCCATAAAATTCATTCATTCTGCACTATTTAAGACACTGTTCAACATTAATTGAAGATGGGATGATGATTTTCTTTGTGTCATCCCATAAAGTCTAATCTTTTTTGTTTGTTTGTTTTTGAGATTCCTGTCTTGCTCTGTTGCTCAGGCTGGAGTACAGTATCACCATCATACCTCACTGCAGCCTTGAACTCACACACTCAAGCGATCCTCCTGCCTCAGCCTCCCAAACAGCTGGGACTTCAAGTATGTGCCACTATACCCAGCTTTATCTTCTGTATTTTTCTAAGAATGGGAAATAAAATTTGAACAAGCTTCTGGAAAAATTATGATGCATTTGGCCAATTCAAAATGATTCATTGTCTTAGAATCTTAGACTTTTAAGTGCTTGTATTATTTAATTTTTTTCAGAAGATTGGTTAAATATTCACTTTGCCAGTACTTACTAGCCAATAGATTTTTAAATTATATTATTCATGAGATATCTCAATTTCTTAATAACTTAAAGAAATTATAACTCTTTTCAATATATATCCTGTTGGATTTTGAAGATTTGGGATTTGGAGGATTTATATAAAATAATATTTTTTCATTTTTAAAACTAACAAGAAATTATTATTTCAAATAGTTTTATGGACAGTAATGATAATTTAAAATATACGAATATTGGATTTTAATTTGGTTTGTTTTGTTTTCTCCAGTGTAGTATATAAATATCATTAGTGCAGTTTTACCAAATTTCAGAATACTACTCTCTTGACCATCTGTTAAATGTCTATTTAATGCACAGCTTTCCCTGAGTTCATTTAAGAACATTCTGAATAAAAATGTTTACAGATAACAATTATAACAAGACTGAGTGAAGTTTACTGCGAAAATCTGGGAATTTGGATACCAGTCACTGGACAGTGAAAACGGAAGCCTTGTGCAACATGCTTCTGGCCTGTTCTCTAGGTTCATAGTAGGAACCGAAACCCTGGAGACTGCAATTTAACAAAACAGGGCTACAATTTTTCACCAAAAGAGCAGGATCACATGCACTCAAATGCAAGCTCACAACTGGCTAGTTTGCAGCTTTGAGAAGTCATCTCAAAATGAACGAATACTCTTCTTAATGCTGCTGAACATTTCTGGCCCATTTCCCCTACCACTAAAGGATATTTATTAAGGGCCTCACATACATACAATGACACTCAGTATTTTGCAAAGCCTATTGAAACACTCATTGGAGGCATTCTGTTGTTACTACTGCCCTCGGGGACTTTGGTTTATACTAAGTTTAGCCATTGTCTTGCCGTTTGGATGTCTAATAATGACCATAATCATCGTTGTTTCCTCCAAATGTTGCCCATGAGCCATGTTTTGCTTACTAGAAATTTTTCCTGAACTTACTACATTATTGCTTCAATGAATGTTTACAAATGAGTTAATTTTTCTTAACGCACCTACGAAAGGCATCTTTTAATTCTATGTCAGGTCCTCGCCCAAATTTTCATAGCTTGTCTCTGACGTGATTTCCTGCTTACTGGATCCCCCTCCATGGTCCTGACTTAGTAAGTAGTCACAGAGGATTTCTGAGATCCCTGAAGCCAACAGAGCTTTAATTTGTATTAAGTCTCTTCAGCAGAGCTGAAAAGACATTTTTAGAAAAATTCTGAGTACAACCACTCACTAAAGACATTGCAAGTATAGCAGGTTTAGCAGTTAAAATTCTTACTCCACAAAAATACACAGATTCAAGTGATGCAACATTATTTACTTCTTTTTTCTTCCCTTTTTAAAAAAAATAAAATCTGCCTCTGAGTTCCCATCCCTTTTGGCATAAGCAAAATTTATCATCACTTATTTGAGGGCGCCCTCTTTTTTCTGTTCCTCTTGCCAAATGTTTCAGAGACTATACAAACTCTGGTCTTTGATCACAGTGAACACTACTGTTCTAATGTCTATAATAGGCACAGTTCACTGGTGATGGGCACTGGAAGCCAGGATCCTAGACCCCCAGGGTGTAGCTTCCCTAAAGCCATCTCCTGGGGTCCAGCCACCCTGAAGCCATCTCCCCCTGGGGCCTTCATGCATTGATTCAACAAACATTAACTGAGCATCTACAATAAGCCGTGTTTTCTAACCCCTGGGAATGGATGAGTGAACAGGTAAAGTCCCTGCTCTCAAGGAATTTACAGCGTTTTGGGAGAAACCAAAGACAAGGAAGTGATGAGTTCCCAACCACAGAGATAATCAGGGGTGCCAGGGGAGTCTTTGGAGTGAGTCTCTCCTGGCCCAGGGGAAATTCCGGAAGACTTTCAGAAGAAAGTCAAGCCTAGGGCGCATTCCAGAGGATCTCATTCCAAAGGAGTGAGAAGAACGGTGGCAAGATGTCTATTTTAGCAGAGCCATAAATACGTGGCTAGGTCAACACAGAGAGAAAAGTAGCCTTTCAGAAAACTCCAAGTGTTTCCTTAACACATGCTGCTGTGAGACTAAAGCCCAGGGCAAGTGATAAAGGAAATTTCCACTGACCACTTACAAGACCCAAATGCCCCCCACCGAATCTCCAAGAAGAACTGAGGAGGTAAAATCTTCCCTGTGATGCAATTTCTTGCCTTCCCTCCTTTGGGTGAAATTCTGGGCCAGTTCCAGAATTTTTCCAGAAACTTTCAGGTAATAACGAGTCCTGGAGTCAGTTTAGTCATAAGACAGATCTATTTCAGTAACTAGAATACCAAGTCCTGTGCAAGAGTCAACACTGTGAACTTCATTTAGAGCGTTTTCCCTCTCTTGAGTAGTGGCTAAGGCGGGTACTCACAGTGGGAGATGAGGGTGTGGTTTGCAGTTTTGAGCTTTGCTTCTTTCTCCTCATCCCTGCTGGCCTTACTGTGGACCCCAGCATTGAGGAATGGGGAAGTGGATTAGTTTGCCCCTGATCTGGCTGTGGTACATGCTCAGGGCTGACCCTTACCAGGGCGCTAAGTATACCTCAGATTGGTGCCCTGACCACGTCTAACTGCACCCTCCCAGCCGTGGGTAAATCACATCCCAAGGTCAGCAATTGCCTCTTCTTTTACAGTCAAACACTCCTCCCTCCCTACCCGCAACACTTGCTTCCTAGAAACTCTCCTGGATGGGATTTAAAAACGGCTCCTGGACAGGGCTTCCCCTTGAGTGGCAGGTCTGGTCAGTGCCACATAGCAAATCACACCGGCTCTACTCCTTTTCCATAGAGGCACGGCCAGCCCCCATGGAAACCAAGTCTTTCTCTGCCTGGCAGCCTCAGCCTGAGCCTCCACTTCTTCCCCTGGGGTCAGATATCAAGGCATCGTGCCCGGCAAAATTCAAGGGACAGATCCACCAGCATTCTTTGTGGCCATTCTTCAGTGTGAGTTCATGGGGGATACACTCCTCTCTCCCAGCAAGGAATACCAAAAATGCTCCCCCACTTCAAGACATTTCTCCAGAAAAGTCTTTTTTCTTTTCCAGACTTCCAACATTTTTAGACCATTCATATCAGTGCTGAACTAAGGTTCACAAAATTGGTATTAATGGCTGCCTCCTTTCTAAGTCAAGTTCCTTACTTTAAAAGATAGGAGAAATTTTCCATCTATTTTTCTTTCTTGGCTTGTTAAACCACAGTGAAAACAAAACAAGAAACCTTTTTATATATCTTGTTATGCATGACATGTATATAAAGAGCTTGAGCTTTATCTTGGTGACAGAGAGGGATTCTTACATTTGTTTAATAGTCTTGAGTGTGTTAACAAGGGCATGAACCCTGATCCAACAGGCATATTCTTGATGCTTTCTGTTACTTTCCCCACCCCAACCCCTCCCAGCAACCACCCCTAAGAGGAAAGGATGAGTTTCTGGTTGTCAGCTCCCCAAATGCTGCCCCCAGATAAGGGGCAGTGTTAATGAAATCAAATTAGACTGTGATAAGGAAGGGAAGTGGAGGCTCGGACACAGCATGCCACAGTCTGAGCCCCCAGCATATCACCTTTCTTTCTTCTCTTTATTACCTTCAGCTCAGTTGGGTCAGGCCCATGATTCATCTACAGCTGGGGTGAAGGTACAGAAATAGGTTGGGGTTCAGGTGAAGTGAGGAAGTGGTGGGCATACTTTGGACCTTCAGATCCTTCATGCTCTTGTGACAGCTTCCTCATCTGCCCCCTATATGTTCTCTGGATGTACCTTCTCTGTCAAATCACATTTCATGTCCCTTTCTAGGAACCAAGGAATAAAGCTGCCCCAGGCACTGCCTTCAGGGGAAGAGAGTGGCCTGGCATGGCCGACAGTACCACCACCTTCATGTCTGTGCTTCTTCCTCCATCTGTCCGGGAGCCTCCCTTTTTGGGCCTCTGCCATCAAATCACATTTCCCTGCATTGCTTTTTTTCCTGCTGCATCTTTAGTTTTCTTTTTCTGTGTTGCTCTCTTTTTATGGTCAACATACCTTTACATTGTCTTTCTAGACATCTGAAAAAAATTGACTTCTCTGTCTCCCCCATTTCCTTCTTCCTAGTTTGTCTGCTTGCCTCTTATTTTATTCATCTAATATAATTTTTAGACAGAAAGGGATGATTGGAGCCTGAATGGCCAAAGGGACTGAAGACAAAGCTCTCATTTTTTTTTACCTTGCCCAAATTCCTATCCTAAGGGGTCTGGGGAGTCATGCCCTATAAGCCATAAATCTCATCAGATGGGTTTTATTTGACCCTGTATATCATGACTTACTTTCCAATTTGACTCTGGAGTAACAAGGAAGAAAATCAAAGTATTTTACCCCAAAATATATTTTCTTGCTATACCTTGAAATTGCCCTGCGAAGTCTCTTGTGGGAAAAAATCCACATTCTATAGAAAATCCCCTTTCCCCTTTGTTTTCCTTCCTTTCTTTCAAGATCCAGGAGATAATCAACTAAGAGCCAGGCACCCTTTTAGGTCTGATAAAAAAACATTTTACAATCTGCTCTCTATCTCTGAAGTCTGCTACCTGCAAGATTCCTCTGCACAATAAAACTTGGTCTCCACGATCCTTTACCTTAACCTGAACATTCCTTTCCATTGATCCCAGGTCTTCAGACAAACTCAACCAATTGTCAACCAGAAAATATTTAAATTTACCTATAGCCTAGAAGCCCCTGCTTTGAGTTGTCCCAACTTTCTGAACCAAACCAATGTATTTCTTAAATGTATTTGACTGATGTCTCATGCCTCCTTAAAAATATATAAAACCCAGCTGTACCCTGACCACCTTGGTCACATGTTCTTAGGACCTCCTGAGGGCTGTGTCATGGGCCATGGTTACTCCTATTTGGTTCAGAATAAATCTCTTCAACTATTTTATGGAGTTTGGCCATTTTTGTCAACAGGGCAATGTGAGAATAGAAGGCAAGGGACAGGGCACCGTTTTGCCACCCTAGAGGCAACTGGTTCAACCAGGATCACCCTCCTTCAAAAACCATGTGGAAATCTCATTTTCCCACTTTCTCACATGCCCCAGCCTCTGCCTCTACCACTGCCATCACTTGCCATGAGAAGAATGACATCTAAAGGGGAGTTCCCTGTTCATCATCCTGACCATCTGGCTCTTTATTCTCCAACTGGGAATAGAAAGAAGTTACCCACTGTGACCTTCTCGAACCCCACTGTGATTTGCAAATTCCCATAGGATGACTCCTTAAAGGACACTCTGCTCCCTGACTGACTCCAGCCTCCTTTCCCACAGTCCGCCCTTCCCTTCTCAACAGTGACATTCTCAGTGGGGGAAAACAAATTCTCAATTGAATTTGAGTTCTCAACACTACTAGGAGTTCAATATAAGATAAAGCTCAATAAATATTTGCCAAGTAAAGTGATTTTCATCAATGAATTTAGATAAAGAGTTCTCAAGTGTTTTCATGTATCTATTAAGTAAGTCAGCAGAAAGCCAACTAAAGCATGAAGGAAGGATAAGAAAATCTGAAGACAAAGGAGAGAAACGAGTAGATGAGCACTGGGACTGGTGTTTTTTTTGTTTTGTTTTGTTTTGTTTTGTTGTTGTTTTTTTTTTTAGGACATGAACCCTAAAGCTGGAGCAGTTTCTCTAAAAGTCTGAGACTGCTGTGGGTTTTCTACAACTCTGTGCCTGCACTGCTCTGGGACCTACAATGGAACGTGTCTCCTACAATAAACAGATCAAGACCAATTCCAGGTACCAGCTGAAGGAAAATCTGGGCCTAGCTTTTACACTTGGTCCTAGGGCTTTGACCTGAATTATGATGCAGGTTTTTTTGTGGTTCCCCTCTCTCTCACCCATATCTTCTCATGAAGAAACCTGGTTCAAGCTACAGTTGAAGCCCTCTGAAGTTGAGTTTACCATCAAACCGTAGTTTAGTAAAATTCCTGAGAAAGCAGATACCTTCGTGTGATTTACTCAGTAGATGTTTACTGAAAAGGGAAGAAGGTTGTATTCCAGGCTTTATGGTGGATGATGGCAAAGCAAACATAACAAGCTTCTATTGTGAAGAGCTCTTCTTTGTGGCCATTGTATCAAGGCTAAAAAGTCAAGGAGAAACAGTCCCCAGCACTTCAGTGCTCTTGTTTTGAAGACTTGGTGAATACAGCAAAGCATCTTCTAACTTCAACTGTCTCCCCTCCCTCCCTGCTGCCACCGGAAGAGGTTCTGTTGGGATGAGCACAGAGGCTTGGCTCTCCGCTCCAGAGCACAGGATTAGGACCTCACACCAGGCCAAAGGCCAGTGATTGCAAATGAAGCAAGCACCTCACTCCCTCACTGTACTAAGATGAGACAAGTTCCTGAGTTCAAGAGCACTTTACTGGATGGTGTCTAGTGGATACCAGACACCTCCTCCTGCCTTAAGTAGGGCAAGGGGCAATGATGGGGACCTAGACTTTGGATAGTACCCAAAAGAATTTTAAGAGTCTTCAGCTCTGAGTTAGAATAACTTATTTCAAAAGCTGAAGAGAGAAATTTTCCGGGGATATTTCAGTGGCCCCAGGCGATTCATACTTTTTACTCCTTTGCTTCCTTGTGTACCAGGAGCCTGCCTGGAGGTGGGGTTTGTGATGATTGTGGGGCACATTTCAGCCTTTTGGGCATCTTTCTGGCCTCCACCCCAAAGGTCAGAACCCCTTCTCTCTTACCTGTATCTTTCAACGCTTCCCTCATTTGCCTTTTCTTTGCATTCCCTCATCCTGCTCCTTTCTGAGTGCTTTCCTCTGTGGTTTTGTCTTTGTGCAGGAGCTGTGAATGTGTGGGGAGAAGCATGAGCATGCTAGGGACAGATGGTGGGCTCACTGGGACAGAATATTATGGCTAAAGTCCCGCTTCTGCCCTTTGCCCTCTCTGAATCCCTCCAGGTCTGTGACATGGACACCTCTGTTTCTGCCTTCTGCTGGCATTCTCTATCTGTTGCTTGCCTCCAATCCCCTCATCACTGCTCTGCACTCTGGATTTTCTCCTAGGGGAAGCAACCAGTTCTTTTGTTATTTTTCTGCTGCTGTCACTCTTTGTTAGTTTATTTCTATGCCTTGTTCTTTTTATGTATCTCTTTGTATCTTTCTATATAGCTATCTCTCTCCCTACCCTGCAGATTCTCTTTCCCTAGTAGGGACATTGTGGCTCATCCATTTGACTTTTTCTTTCATAGGAAGAACAGGACACTGGGATGGCTACGGCAGGGTTAGAAGGCAGGGGTGGAGTTGGACATCAGCAAGCAGCTTCCGGGCTGGGGGACCTTGTGCCCTGGAGGTGGTGTTTCATTCCTCAGGTCCGTTCTGGCCTTGCCTTTTCCTTGATCACTCTTTTTTCACTTTTCCAGTAGCCACCATTTGGTTAACAGACATGAAAACAAACCTTCTGACACTCGCCCCACTGGCTGTCTGTCTTCTTCTAGCTGGGAACTCTGATAATGGGGTTTCCCTCTCCAACTGTGGACCCCATTATTAGAATCACATCCAGAAAGGCTGACTCAGTCCAGGGAGTATCTACACTGTCAGCAAGCTTCTTCCCAGGAACTTCTTAAGCCCAACCCCAGCCATTCACAGACTAGAGGCTTCAAGGATTTTTTCCATTTGCCATCCAAGAAATTGACTCCCTATGTTAGCTTACAAACTCAACGTCACCTCTAATGTCTTGGAAGCTTCTGGACGCGATTTTACAAGATTGCTTTTTAGAGGAAAAGACATGGTTTCTCATTCATTTTTGAATCCCCAAGACTTATTAGAGTATATGCCTTGCACTTGAGCTTCCATGGATGTGTTTTGAATAACATTAACATATTAATGTCCAGTTCCTAACGTGTTTTATGGATATGAGTGACAATGCAATATCCAAGAGTCCTGGGGGCAGAAATGGTAAAGAATCCAGGATGTAAAGGTCTGGACAAGAGTGGGGAGAGAACAGAAATATAAATCCATGAGTTCTAGAAGGAATTGGGTATTAGCTTGTCAGGTAAGGCATAGCTTCAGTGTGTCAGAACATCTGCAATGGAGGAATCCTAATAGATCTCAGGCAAGTGGAAATCAGTGAGTTAGTGGCGGCAGGAATTCCCAGACTACACTTTCCCAAGCAGGTGTAGCCAAAACTACAGATCAAGACAAGTCCTTTGAGCCCTTAATGAAAAAAATAAAAGATACATATTAAATTTATAGATTAAAAAAATGCTTGTGAAAAAGAACAGAGTCCGCAAATGCTCATTTCAAAACAGGCATTCTCATTTGCAACACAAAGTCCTATTAGGAAAGAGATGTGGGTTTCCCAGGGAACTCAGGGCTCAGCATGAGTAAAGTCTCCTGACACAAGAATCAGTCCTAATGAGTCGTCTGGGAATGAATTGGGAGTGATCAAAGCCAAGAAACAGGAAGATGGGGAGTAATCCCAAGGAAAGAGAATAATGAGATAAAAAGGGTGATGACTGGTTCAGACCACCAGAGCAAGGCACTCTTATTTTTTTTGGAGATGGTCTCACTCTGTCACCCAGTCTGGAGTGCAGTGGCGCAATCTCAGCTCACTGCAACCCCCACCTCCCAGGTTTAAGCAATTCCCCTGCCTCAGCCTCCCGAGTAGCTGGGACTATAGGCGCACGCCACCACGCCCAACTCTCTCTCTCTATATATATGTATATATGTATATATATAAATGTATATATGTGTATATATGTATATATGTATATATGTGTGTATATGTATATATATGTGTATATGTATATATATTTATGTGTGTGTGTATATATATATATATATTTTTTTCATATTTTAGTAGAGACAGGGTTTCACCATGTTGCCCAGTCTGGTACTGAACTCCTGAGCTCAAGCAATCCGCCCACCTTGGCCTCCCAATGTGCTAGGCAAGGCATTCTTAACAGCCAGATTTTGCCTTGTCTTTCTAAAAGAATCTTTAATAATAGGTCATTTGATAATTTCCTATAGCATAAAAATGAGGTTATGCTCAAGCTTTTGTTAGAAAGCCATTCTTCCTCCTACCTTGGGGCAGGCAGTTCACCCTCCTTCCTGTATGGATATACATCCCTTCCAGGAGTGAAAAAAACTCAAAGTTTGGCCCTGATTGTTATTGTTCTTCCTGGGGACAATAGGGCCCCTTTAGTTTTGGGAGTGCCTATTTTGAAGGGAGAGTTTGTGGGCTTGGGTCAATCTAAATTCTCTTCAATGCCGAATCTGGGATATGGCTTGGCTTAGAACCAGATAGGGATGAAGACCTCAAGGGAACAGCCTGGAGGATGGAAGCCTAGTAGCTGGCCTCACAAGGACTTGAATTCCTTTAACCACTAGCCTCTCCCCTAACCACAGCCCTCTCTCTGCCGCACCCCCTTGCCTCCAACCTACACACACTCCAAAGTGCAAGCTGTCAGAGGGCTAACTGGGAGCAAGTCCCAGCCCCTCCCTTTGGCAAAACGCCCTATTTTCCTTTCCTCTCCTCTTAGGCAGCCTTATCGAAGCTCATTCTACATGGAGTTCCTCTCCCTCAGAAACTTATGCTGAAGATCAGAAGAGGGAACAGGCAAGTCAGACAGTGACCTGTTTCCGAGTGCCTCTGACCATCATGGTCTTTCATTTCCATCACAGTTCTCTTTCCAGAGCAAGACTGGACCAAGGTATGCATTCCTGGACAAAGGTTCCTGGATCCCCATGCCCTTGACCCAGCTCTGACTCCCCAGACCCCACATCCCCCTTCTATTCCCTTTCCCTCCCCCGCTTCCTTCCCCTCCTGTCCTGTCCCTTCCCCTAACCTCCCCTGCACTCCATGTCTGTTTTCTTCAGGACTCTGCTGCTCTTCTCTGCTCTTGCTTTCCATACTTTGCCTTGCTGCAGGACATCCTGCATATCCTTCAAGAGCAGGATGCAGGATGCGTCTGTGTTGGTCTACGTTAAAAATTTTAATTGTCTACAGCATGACAAGATAGGTACCATGAAGAAAGAAAGGCCTATGGACGTTCCAGGGAGGGCAAAGGAACCTCCTTCACCAGATCTGTTGTTTGAGTTTAACCTCATTAGCCAGATTGTTCTCATTGCCGCCTTCCTTCCTTGCTGGTGTTCTCATTGCCGCCTTCCTTCCTTCCTGGAAGGCTCCACAGACAGGAAAGGGATAGTCCATGAGGGACAAATTCCTGATCCATCACTTCCCTTCTCTTGGTTTTCTACTCTCCACCTGGAAATAGCAGAGTTCCTGATCCAAGCACTGTATTTCAGTCACCCAAGACCACAATCTTGGAAACCTCTGCGCCCCCGGGGAGTGAGAGCCTGTTTCATTGCCATGTGCTACTCTGAGGACAGGCCAAATATCTCCAAAGGCATTTCCATTAAAGAGATTGCCAGGCCTTGCAGTCTTTTACTATGGCTGCCTTGATGACTCTAGGGTTCTCTCCTAGGCATCAGGGCATAGGGGACATTATATTGCATTTAACATGGGACCACAGGATTACACACTTGATTGTATGCCCCCTTCAGACTGGGAGCTTACTGCAGGCAGAAGGTTCTCACAGGGCAAGGACGCAGATCCTTCTCTGACTTAGCAGATTCATCAATGGGATGTGCAGGCTATCCTAGAGGAATAAGTCTCTCGAAGTCAGCTGGAGTCAAAGGCCACCGATGAAGGAAAAGCCTGTCAGAACCAGACTAGTCCTGGGCCCTAGACTATAGGTTAGGGTATCTTGCTTATTTAATTATTGTGATTTGGACATTCCTGAGAAGTCTTCTGCTTCTCTGAATTCCCATTTGCAGTCTTAGCATTTTAGGATGTTCTCCTTCTAAGAGAGTTCTGCCTGGGACCCGCTTAGAAGGTTTCTCGAGGCTGCCTGGGCTTTGGAAGGGGATGAAGTGAGAAACATTCTGGGTTGGGCTTTCGCGGAAGTCAGAAAATCAGCTGACCATGACTAACTACCCACTTTCTGAAAAGTAGCCAGCCCCTGACCCTGCATCTTTTTCATTTTGTTAAGAAATGTTCACTACTAAGCTTAAACTTTCTTTGGGGAAGAAACTCATCCACATGCCATTGGCTTTCTGCTTTTGAGAAAGTTTAAGGCTCTTTGGAAAGGAGAGACCAGATAAGAGGAGGAAGGACTAAAGGGTAGAAGGAGGGGGACTTCCCAAACAAGCACAGAACAGTCCACCAGACCCATCCAGGCTGGGGGTGAGCTGTGACCAAAGCTGTCCAGAGCCTGCAGGGCAGGGCTGTGGGTCCCTGGCTGCCAACGGGCAGCTAATGAGGGCAGCAGCAGGAATTGGGTCTCTAAAGGCCGAGCACTCGTCATGCCCAGCCAGGCCTCTGCTCTTGCGCTTCTTCCTCTCTTCTCTTCAGTCTTCTTAGTTAATTTGGGCCCTACACCTGGCCAGAAGGTAGCAAGACAATTGGTAGCCAAGGAGATGAGCCATTCTAGATAAAGCAAGTGACTTACATCTCTGAATCACAGAGAATACTGGTGGTTCTGTCCCAGGAGAGACCTGTCTATCCCTTGTCCTTCCTCCACTGAAAATCTCTAATGACTCAATTTCTGTCTCTTTAAACCATGAAATTCAGAGGAATTTGACTCTTCCCCTGGAAGACAGCCAGCAGAAGGCTCACTATGCCCAACGATTTCATATTTTGGTCTCTGTACTTCTCTCTGCTCCCCCTGTGGCTGTGGCTCTCTGCCCCTCTGGGTGCCTTGTTTCCACCTTTACTGTCTCTAATTTTGTCTCTGATCATATCTTCCCCACCACTGTTTTTGTTCTCTCTCTTTCTCAGGAGGCTTTATCTCCCTCTGTCTCAGTTCACAAATGTAACCTCATAACCTCTGTCTCTGTCTCTCCAGGGTCCCGAGGTCTCTAGGCATTTAAGTCAGATGAAAATGCCCTCCTTTGGCATTCCTTCTTTGTAAAGAATGTGTTGGGGCTCCACAAAGAGTGACAGCAGAGAGGGTTCTGGCCACATCACTCTTATCCATCCTCAAAGCTGAAGGGAGGACACCTTCTCTCCTCCCCATGCCATATCTAAAAAATTGCAATGAAACACACACATTACAAAATTTACCATTTAATCATACCTCAGACCTGGCTTTCTAATCACAAGGAAGCAACATGTGAATGATACCCTTGAATGATACCGTAGCCTCACCCCAACTCTTCTTGGCCCCCTTCAGGAGCCCCTGAGACTCCATTTGGCCATCATCTGGGCTGTCTCATCTTCTTAAGAGCAGCCCCCCACCCTCTGCTGTTCAATTGGGAACACAAAAGGAGGCAGCTTCCAGACACAAGCCCAGCCCCTATAGCACTGACCTCCCCAGAACCTGGATCTTGGGGGCTTCCCTGCTCCCCCTCCCCTAGTCCTATGCTGGTCGCGGGAAGCATCTGACGCTTGTTCCTGATAAGCCCATATGACACCCTCAGAACCCTTAAGAGATGGAGTGTCCAGAATTTCAGGGCACTCTCCACATTGGACATGTAGCCCCGAAGATTTCTCCTGGTCCTTAAAATGCCAGTACGGCATAAAGGCAGACAATGGGACTTTAGTCACCCAAAGTAGCGTCTCCTTTAAGACCATGAGACCTTGATGGGCAGAGGCCTACTCACTCCTTGCCACCCCTAAAATATTTTCTAATTGAAGTTGTTTTCTAGTGACATTTTAGCTATCTTTACAATCTAAAGTTATTTTAGTTCCCTATGAGGTACAATGGAAGAGATAGCCTACGATATCTGAAGTCTAAGGAAGGCCCCAGCAAGCATCAACAATACCCCCCTCCTCATGAGGACCGTATCTTTCCCCAGGATGCAGTGAGCAACTTGAAGTTAGGGACTATGTGCCACTCACTATTTTATGTCTCGTATCAAGGCCAAGTTAATAGCTGTTCAGTGAACAATACATGTGTGAATGGAGACATGACTGTGGAGAGTGGTGGAATGAGAAAGGAAAAGAAAGCAGGCCAGCATTGTTTGTTTCGGTGCCGTGTACTCAGGCAAGTCATGAGTGGCAACTTCTGTGAGACTTTGGCTTGGGGTCCGAGATGACCTGAAAGTGGCAGGTCACTCACGGGTCAAATACTCAAAGCAGCTGATCCAGAGCAAACCACTTTGGGAGCCAAGCTGAAGAGCAGCCCTCAGCCTAACCTCGTGGAGCAGGCTGCTGCTGCTTGCCTCTTGAACTGTAATCCCAGCACTGGGATTTGACCATTTTTCAGGCGCCCCAGATCTCATCCTGAGACCCCTCTTTTTACAGCCACAACTGCCGCAGGGGAGCTTGGACCATCTCTCAGCTCTGGTCTCTTTGGAGGGCCCTTTCATTGGCAGAGCTCTCTGGGCAAGAGGAGCTGGGGAGCCTCACTCCAGTTGAGGGGTCCTCTGGGTCCAGGACCAGCCCTCCTCCCTATCTGTGGGGTCTAGGGGTGCAGAGAGGGCCATGGGGTGGCAGTGACTCTCAATGGCAGGGCTTCCTGGGGACTGGCTTCGGGTGCATATCACGCAACTGCTTATCCATGTAGTTTCTGGGCACAGAGCAGCCCAGTCCCTCCCCAGACGAAGGGCCACTCCTTTCCCAGCCCACCTGCCGGGGGCTGAGCTAGGGTCCCTTGCGTCCTCCTCATAACTGAACTTCCCAGGGCTGTCTGCGTCCCAGGGAAGGATGAGGGGGATCCAGGACCCATGTCCCCACCCCTCAGCCCCAAACAGTCCTTTCTCTCCTTGACATCAACTATGCAGCCACGTTCCTCTCAGTGGGAAACAGACTGTAGTTAAGATGCAGATCTTTTTGAAAGAAAAAAGAAAAAAGGTATGGGGCTGCAAGCATCGACTCCTCAGAGTCAGCTGTGCCCGGTCAGGCAGGGCAGCTGCTGGAGGGCCTCCTTTGACAGTAGGGGGAGGCTCCAAGAACCCTTCCCAGAGACACCTGGATAGGGCTGGAAGGTGGGAGAGAGGCTCAAAAACACGTGCCCTGTTGCCTGTACGGGCTCGGGACTGGCCCAGGACAGGGGCCAGTTGTCAGGCACTCCTAGTAAACTAGGGATGAGCTTTGCCCCAAGGGAAGTGGGCACCTGGGGCACCCTCAGCCCATGGCTTCTTGACTTGGCCACTTCTGTTTCTCTTCATCTGCATTCTATCCCCAAGAGAGGCATGTCCCCAGAGTTAGGGGCAGAGGGAGGAAGCACAGACCACATCCCTGAAGCCTTCAGGCTCAATCCTCTTTGGGTGAGGTCCAGCCAGTCACCTCTTCCTGCGCTGTTAGCCTTGTCCTGACCTCACTCTGACTCTGGTTTCCTAAGGGACACTGTGTTCTTCCTCTCCTCTCCTTCCTTCTTTTCTTGACACAATGAGGTTTTTCATCCTGACTCTTTTCTTTGCTCTTGCTATGCTCTCTCTCTTTCTTCAGATATAATCTCAGCATTTACTTTTCTGTTTCTGCCCATCTGTCTCTCCTGAGTTGGGAGTCCTGTGGGTATTTAAGACTGATCAAATAGCCCTCTGTTTGGATGCACTCCCCAGCAGTGATAGCCCAATACAGGGGCAGCAGGGAGCAGGGGGGCTGTCACTCCAGCTGAGTCATCTTCCTCCTTTCTCCTCCCCAGGCCTGGCTTTCTGGTGGCAAGGAAGCACCACCTTGGTGATACTCCAGTGTCACTCCACCTCTTCGCGGCCCCCTCCAGGAACCGCCTCCCCCGCCAGCCAAGACTCCATTGACCATCATCTGGGCTGTCCCCATCTTCTTGGGACCTGCCCCTGGGCCTCTGCCCTTCAAATGGGGACACCAAGGACACAGCTTCCAGCCACAAGCCCAGCCCTTGTAGCACTGACATCCCAAAAATCTGGATCCTGGGGGCTTCCCTGCTCCCCCTCCCCAAGTCCTGTGCTGGTCTGAGGAAACCTCTGAACCATGTCCCTTATAAGTCCATATGGCCATCAGAACCCCTTCAAACCTGAGGTCTCCAGCATTTGGGAGCATTTTCAATGGCTGTCTTGGAGACCGTTCCTGCTGTATCCTAACTTGCCAGGTAGTTTTCTTTTCCCCGACATCGGTGCTGCTCAAGGGAAGGACCCCGATTAATAGGTGTGAGTATGTTTTGGTTTTAAACTATACATTCCCAAGTAGGCAAAGAACTTTCTGGTTTCCAACTTTCTATCTGCCTGGTGAGAGGCAACAAATATTATCATTGACTCCCCTGGAGGATTTTTTGATGTTAACTTTCTCCCAGTAGCTGTATTTACCCATGAGAGCAGGGACTAAAGGGTATGTCTACCTGAGCCATCCGCCTGCATCCTGTATTTCTCTCTTCATTCTCAGCATGTCAGTCTGCCCTTTCTCACTGCCCAGCAAGGTACTTGAATGCAGGAACTTTGTCTCATTCATTTTTGTATCCCCTCTGCCCAGCAAAGCTCAACAAATATTTGATAAAGCAATGAGCTTACAGATGGGTGAATTCCTGAACAAATATCAGACGAGAGTGACAATAGGGAAATGCAAAGGGAAGTGAGTGGTGTGGTGTCCTGGCCAGGATGCCAGGATGCCTGGCATTTGGGTCTGTTGAACTCTGATTTACCTAGAAAGGTTTTAATGGACCTTCCCCACAAAATCCTTTTCTGCAGGCTCTCTACATGTGTGAACATGATCCAACAGCAACACCACAGTTAGATGCTCCAGAGCCCTGCCTGAAGAGAAATCCTACATCCATCTCCTGCTTAGTAGGGGAGCACTGAGCAACGTTGGGAGCCATTTATTTCCTTCCTTGGGATCACACTTCTTCCCCAGATGTCTGATTCTGGTTTTCATCTGCAGTGATGGCCTTCATCTTCTCCCAGGGCACTGGGCCCTGAGATAGCAGAGCTGGCCAGCAGGAGGACTATGTGAGGGCTTCTCTGGGTCCAAAGGGAGTTCCCCCACCCCCGGGGGTTGGAGGAAGGAAAAGTGGAGGTGCTCCTGCTAGGGTTTTGGGAGCAGCCTCACGGGGGCTCTTGTGGAGGTGGGCATGCCTTGGCACCCCCCTCTCCTGGCTATTCTGTGCTGTACCCACAAGGCTTCAAGCACCTCCCCAGAGGAGGCAGCCCGATCTTCTCCACCTGGGAGCCATTTCTGAGTCTCCCTCACACCTGAGCTTCCATGGACAGGAGACCTCGGCTAGAGTCTGAGGAGTCTGGGAAGATCTCAAGCCTGTCCCCTTCCCCTAGGCTACAGTACTGGATGCTCAGCCCTCCACCATTATGGGGGTGTTTCCTGGCCATTCAGCTGATCACTGTTAAGCTATCATTTCTCTCTGGAAAGGATGCCCAGACCCCATCCGTCTACTTCACCTTCCTGGGTTCCATTCCCTTGTTTCTGGGGCAAGGCTTTTGGGAGGGCTGGAGAGAGAGAGGATGAGGGGACAGGAGAAGGACACTTTGGGCTTTCTGTCCTCCTCCTGTCCTGCCTTAGCTGGCGCCCTTCACTCCCTGTCTCCTGCCTCTGACTGGAACGAGAAAATACCTTGCACATCCCAGGTCCACCCAGCCAACCCTGACTGGTCCAGTAAGCTGTTTCTTCTGCATTTCAGCCCTGGTTCCTGATTCTACCTCCCCCAGGTCTCTACCATTCCACTCTCAGCTTCCTCCTCCTTGCCACCCAATTCTTCTTGGCTTCCCATCACTTCCCCTCTCTTTTACCTCTCTGCCCCTGTCTCGCCAAAGGCTCTCTCCTGTCTGTGGTTCTACTTGATCTCCGTAACTTTTTCCTTCCCTCCATTCACCCTGGACATTTTGCCCTCATGATTTCTCCTTTCCTCTTGTGTATTTGTCTCTTGATGACCCATTTTCCTTTCAGAGAAACTGAGGCTCAGATAGGTCAGGGGTGATGGCCTACATGGGACAGCAGGACTTAGTAGACAAGGCCTTGCATCCTTGCGGCCCTGCTTTCTGTCTCATCCCTCTTCCCTTTTGTCTTGGTCAGCCGCCCAAAGGCTCCAGCTCTGCATCCAGCAGGGGAGCCCCTTGGGGGGTTCCAGAGTCCACAACTGCACACCCGTCACCTTCACCCACTGCCTTGTTGTAGCAAACCTGCAGCCACCCTGTATATTGTATATGTATATTTATCTATTTGTATATAGATATACAATTTCAAGAACCTACTAAAGGAGGAAGCCTCACTGCTATGCAGCCTGACAGGTTATCAAGTGGGCCTCTTTGAATCCCTTTTTGCTTCTAGGAGAGTTGGGAACCATGAGGTGCCCCCCTGCAGACCCCAGAGCTGCTGCCTTCCCCAGGTGTGCAGGAGGTTTGTAGGAGACGGGGCCCCTTGGCTGCCCAAGCTGCCACCCCTCCCCCACCCGCCCAGTGGCAGTTGCGTCCGTTGGGGCTTCTGGGGCAGCCCACAGGGTTCCGAGCATGTGCTGGCAGTTGCTCTTTGGAGCACCCACTTCACTTCTCCCATGTAGTTCCTGAGTGCAGGACTCTCCTGAAGAAGGGGCGTCTAAAAGGCCAGCCCATGCATCTTGTTCAGACCAGGCTGCTCCATCTCCGCTAAGCCCAGGGATCCACTTGTGTGTCTTTCTGGGATAATTGTCTTTAGTGGCAGCCTGGGCCTCGGGGAAGGAAGGGCATGAGGAATGGCCCCGGCTGGGATGTCAGGGGCCCAGGACAACTCCTGTCTCTACCAGGAAATTGCCCCCTCTTTTCAGAGGCTGCCTTGTCCTAGGTATCTGATGTCCTGCCCTTGGCAGTTTTCAACTCCAGATGTAGGTCTGACTCCTATTAGGCTACCATTTCTTTGTGGGAAGACAGGTATGAAATTGCAGCATTCCTAATTCTCTTAATGTGAATTGTCAGAGCCCCTTCAGACCGGTGGCTGGGGCCAGGCATGAGAGGCAGGTGGTAAGGGCAAGAGGAGCAGCCCCTGTGCACTTGGGGAGGCTGGAAGGGTTGGCGAAAGGAGCTGAAAACACCCTAGATTCCCCAAATGGCATGAAGAGATCCCAGCCCTGAGGCACCTCCCACTCAAGCCGGAGATGAGCTTTTCCCAAAATCCAACTCTATGAGGCTCTCACTCAATGTGGGCTCCTGATGCTGAGGGGACATCCTGACACCCCTGTGTTCTCTTCTGCAGAACCTCGTCGCGACATTTCTCAGAAGCCATGACATGTCCCTGCGGCTGGAGGCCTTTCAAGGGTGGCCCAGGAGGCCTCAAGGGCCCGGTGTGGCCTGCAAAGGAAGGTAAGTAGGTGGCAGGGCTGAGTCTGTGCCTCAAAAGCCAACACTCCAGTTTCTTGACTTCCTCCCTTCTCCATTTCCTGAACCTGGATGGGTGCTGCCGGGGATGGTGGGAGGGATGAGACGGAGGACCCCATTCATTTGTTAGGAGATCCAGAGTTCAGCCTCTCCAGTGCCTTGGCTGCCCCCTTCCTCACTCCCAAGTGCTGCTCGTGCATATTTACTCATTGCTCCCTTTTCCTGAGATGGTGCGTATTCTCCTTTAAGAAGTGTAAACCAGACGAGTCTCTTCGGTGATAGCTCAAGGCATAGTCAGCTGCCCACTACTGAGCCTCCTCCCTTCCTTCAGCCTCTGCCCTCTCCAAGCTCACTCTGGCCTTTCTTATCCTAGGTAGGCTCCTGTCCTTTGTCTCTATTTTTGCCTTTGATCACAACTTCTCTCCTGTTGTCCCTTTGGAATGGCAGCATCATTCTGCAGCTTCTCGGTCAGCATGGGTTATGGGTTTGTGCCAACAGCGATGCATGCTGTCCCCAGAGTGGCTGGATGGGCCTTGGACAATCACTCACGTACCCAAATGTGTTCTCCAGATAACCTTTCCTCTGTGTATACGAAGAGAGAACGTTTAGGGAGCACTGTTCTCCTTCTCACCCATTCTCTCTGTTTTCCTCTCCATCATCTGGGATGTCTTTCTCTGTGTGCCATTCTGCCTCTAATTATCCTCTTTTTCTTTGTTTACAGAGAACAGCTGTTCTCACGGAAGGATCCAAAGGGTTCAAAGGCGAAGGGTGCCATCTGCTTCCCCACTGATTCAGAAGATAAACAGGAGAAGTGTCCTGTTTCACCCATATTGCTGGTCCTGATTTTTCAATAGTGTCCCTACCCTGAAGCTCTTCCATTGGTCATCATGGAGTTAGCTAACAGCCCAGGGAACTGGTCTCTTTTCCCTTTTCCCTTACCACCTGGAACTCACCTGGAAAGGGCAATCAGCTGGCTCTATATCAGACGCCACCACCTGGTCTTTGAAGTTTCTGTCCTACCAGTGCCACAGCTCCCTCTCCCACTTCTGAACTACCTCCAAGAGAGACCATCCTCAGCAGCCTAGTATGTTATGCTAGTCCTGGAATGGTGTATTCTGGATGTCTACTCAAGGCCAAACCCCAGTATTGCCTTTCGTTTCCCTATTCAAGGCCAAGGCTAGATTCTCTTCATTGTCTCCATTTCTCTTTCTCCAGAGCTCCTATAGGGCAAGACACTGTTTCTCATATATTTCTGGATCCTTGGAGCTTAGCTCGGAGCTTGGCATACATGCCCAGCATGAACTTTTCTGAATAAAATAATTTCAAATGCTGTATACAGGATACTGTTTGGTTTTTTTTTTTTTTGTTTGTTTGTTTTTTTTCTGAAATTAGAACTAAAAGCAGCTGAAAGCAAGCTTGGGGGCCATCCTGGCATGCTCAGGGAGAAAAATGAGGGGGATGAGGGCCATGAGACAGGCATGCGTGTGTTCAGAAGGGGATTTAAGGACCAGTGTGCCTACTGGGGCAGAGTTAAGACTCAGCACACACAAGGCTGATCTTGAGGGCACTTCATGAATTTCAGATTCAGGGACTATTATAGACCTTGAAGCAACCTATCATGAGTGGTAGTTGTTGCAACAACACTGGAAAAAGAGACATTTCATCATACTGTGATCCAAGAGGGATTTCATTCTCTGCCTAGGTAAGACTCTAGGAATTGTTGTGGGAATAGAACTGAGATTTGAAATATTTATCCACCTACTGTCTCTATTCACCTTTAGGCTCTACTATTCCATTTCCATTTTGTTCACAGAGATATATGGGCCAGGTTTCTAGTTACAGATTCAAAAGCTAATATCTTAAAATCTCTTTCTGAATCTCCAACTGACAAGTTTCCTGGTAAGATAAAAAATGTGAGTGAATTAGCTTCTGCAGTCAAAAATTCTGTGTGTCTGTATCCTGGTGCAGGGACATGCACACAAGTGTGTGGTTTAAGCTTGTATGTGCCAGTGTGCTGGATTCAATGCACTCTACACAACTGTGGCCACAATGTTGCTACTCTGTTGCCTCTCCCACTAGAGATTCTTTACAATGGTGATGGCTAAACAGAGTATGATGTTGAAAAAGATGTCAACATCAAGACCAGGGAGAGACAAAAACAACATAGAGATCAATGAGCAGTAACTGACATGGAGGGCCACTGAGGCCTGTGGAGTCTGTGTCTTCCATATCTCCGTATCTTCCCTGTTGTATCCCTCTTCTCTATTCTCACTGTCAGTGTTTGGACTGAGACTAACAGCTCTTCTGTAGCCTTCTAAACCTACTCCCCCATCACTCTCCACACTTTCCCCAGATTGCCCTTTCTCAAACTTGCATATGACGAAATGCCTTACAAGCTGCAAGCCGCCTGGGACTCTCCACTGCTCCTGCTCACTGCCATGCCAGTCCTTGTTTTGTCTCCTAATTATCCTTCAGGTCCAGCTCAAGTCTTCCCTTTCTTGTAGGAATGATTAGCTTTATGTGTCATTTGGGCTAGACTATATTACCTAGTTATTCAATTGAACGTGGATCTACATGTTGCCAAGAGGGTATTTTGCAGATGTGTTTATATAATAAGTTGAACTTTGATAAAGATTATGTTGGATAATCTGGGAGGACTTCATCCAATTGAGACAGAGTAGAGATGGGGCTTCCTTCAGCTCATCACCACTAGAGCATTCTCCCATGCATTCCCACTGATCACAAAACCCACATCACTACCTCACTGCTAAGAATTCCAGGAACTGGCCTTAGGAGATAACCAAGGTTGTGGAGTGTCCCACCTTTGGAAAGAATGCTGAACAATTGATTTACAGCCTTGTTGCTGCTGGCAAGACCACCAGGTTGCCCAATATTTAAGGTAACCATAATAACCAGATAATGCCAACTTGCATACCCCACCCGCCGCCTCCCACCGGCTTTGCCCAGTCCAACCTACACACCCTACCCCTGATGTCAGTTCCCATGCTTGCTTAAAAAGAAAGTCCAACTGGCACTTTTCAGAGAGTTGGGGGAATTTATCTCCCTCTCTCTTTGCTGCCCTCGTTATGTCTGGGCATAAGCTCTAATAAAGTAAAAAAACAAATAGTCATTTAGGAGTTATATATACCAAGTGCTTGATAAATCCAGATGATGCCTTTTTCAATTTTGCAAATGACAGCATATCAATTAGGTTTTCCAGAAAATACAGAACCAGTAAGGTATATAAATGATAGATAGGTAGATGGATAAATTAGATAGATAGATAGATAGATAGATAGATAGATAGATAGATAGATAGATAGATGATAGGTAGAAGATAGATGGGGTTTTATTTCAAATAATTGGCTTACACAGTTGTGGGGTTTGGCTAGGTAAATCTTAAAATTGTGGGACACGCCGACAGGCTAAAAACTCTAGACAGGAGCCGATGCTGGAGAATTGGGGTAGAATTTCTCTTTCTTCAAAAAAAAACCTCATTTTGCTCTTAAGGCCATTCAACTGAATGTGTTACTAACCAGGGGTTCTTGGACTCTCAATGCAATATGACACTCTCTACATCATACCTTCTAAATTAATATTTGCAGTGATGGCAGAGCAAGCATGGATTTTGTGGGTCTTAGTCTACAAAGTCAGTGGTACCAGAAGTATCAAGTGATTTTCTTTCCACTTCCCTCTGAGTATCTCTGCACTAGAAAGGCAGGACATTTTGTCTCAGTCACAACAGGAGTTGTCCCCTTCTCAGAGGTGTGCAAGGATTTCTGGATCTCAGGGAGCCCTAAAATATTGGAAGGACCCCTCAGGCCATTTGTCTCAGGAGACTGGCATAGTTTCTCCAATGCTTATATTCCAACACACATGGCCCCATGGTGCCTTGGATGCAGAAGTGCTGCTGACTTTCTGTCATGTCTGGGGCTGTCCCTGTGGCCTGGGGTCCAGACTCCCTGGTGAACCACACAGCTTGCCCTCTCTGTGGGCTCCTCACCTCTACAAACACCAAGCTGGCTCCAGCTTGCATGTAGGATCCACCGACATTTTCTGCTTAATTGTCTAGGTGGAGTTTCTTTCTCCTTTAAACCAGTTAAGATAATCCTTCTCTTTCCTTTTTTGGAACAAGGAAGCATCATCCCTTTTAGAAGTCTAAGCTTAAGCTTTTACAAAAGTCAAAAGAGCTACTGATTTTAAGTAGGTCACTGCAACAATCCCTGCAGCAAGAAACCCCAAAGAACCTGAAAGATCAAGCACAAATTGCTTAATAAACTGTGGCCATATACATGATTATTCATCTATCTTCCCACTAAAACATCCCTAAGACATTTTAGAATAATAGCTATAAAGATGGTAGTGAGATCAAGTGAACTTTTCTCTCCACGTATTTGCCCATATTTTATACATGTTTTATATTAAACAGATATTGTTTTGGTAATGTGAGAAACTATCATAAGAAGAATGCAGTCAGAGGTCAAAAGCAAGTGGTAGAGTCCAAAGACTCTACAAATTCCAGCTTTGCTACTTACTTGCTTGATGACTTCTCAACCTCAGTTTGCTGAACTGTAAAAGTGAGATAATACCAAACTTTTGTTTTTTGAATCAAATGAGCCAATGTGTATCAAGTTCTTGGTGTAGCCCAGTACCTAGTATATCTTTAGTACATAGTCACAGCTCTTATCCCTGCTGGACTGTGAGTTCGAGGGCAGGACTGGATCTCTTTTCTCCTTTATCTTCATCATGGAAGATAGTCAAAAGTTATTCGTTAAATGAATGAACGAATGAAAAATTTATTTAATCCCAGATCTGTTATTCCAAAAGTTAGATTATTTCTCGATACTGAACATATTCACCTAAAGTCCCTTTTGGGGTCTGCATGTGTATATGTTTTTTAAACAGACTGGCTTTTGTGTGTGTGACAAAATGCCTGGAGAGCCTTTGACCCACAGAAGATGTTTCATGCCACCTGTCATAAGCCCAAATGTATCAGTCCATTCTCATACTGCTAATAAGACATACCCGAGACTGGACAATTTATAAAGAGAAGAGTTTTAATTGACTCACAGTTCAGCATGGCTGAGAGGCCTCAGGAAACTTAAAATCATGGTGGAAGGGGAAGCAAATATGTTCTCCTTCACATGGCATCAGGAGAGAAAAGAAATGAGAGAATGAGTGCCGACAGAAGTGAGAAGACCCTCATAAAACCATCAGATCTCATGAAAATGCACTCACTATCAGGAGAACAGCATCAGGGGAACCTCACTCATGATTCAATTACTTCCCACCAGGTTCCTCCCAGGACACGTGGGGACAATGGGATTACAATTCAAGATGAGATGTGGGTGGGGACACAAAACCAAATCATATCACCAACCACACACATGTTCCACTTTTGCCCTTAAGTTTTTATGACTTTCTAATTATCTCAGCACACATATCATACCTCTGTTTATAACTCTGACTCCATGGCAAGGTTACTCCCATATTAACCATGGCTTTTCTACTTGAGATTTGATGTCAGTATTGACGAGGGAATGAGAGATCACAATCAAAAGATTGAAAAGTGACCAAAACCGAAAACACACCACCACGCAGTGTTCCCAAGTCCCACCTGGATGGTCCATTCAGCCTGGAAAAAGCATATGCTCTGCTCTAAATTTTTTGAAAATGTGTATTATTTACCTATTGCTGCATAAGAAATTAGTACAAATGTAGCAGCTTAAGAAGGTAGATATTTAATACCTCACCATTACTGTTGAGCAGGAATCTGGGCATGACTTATCTGGGTCCTCTGGCTCAGGGTCTCTGGTGCCACAGTGAAGGTGTTGGCAGGGCTGGAGTATCTTCTGAGACTCGACTGTGAAAGAATCCACCTTCAAGCTCATGTGTCATGGGCAGGATTCACTTCCTTACCGAGGGCTGTTGGCTGGAGGCCACCTTCAGTTCCTTGTCACATGGGCTTCTCCATAAAGAGGTTTACTTCCTCAGAGCCTGCTCAGGGAGAGTCAATAGAGTTTGCAAGCAAAATGAGCAAGAGGAAAGTTACAGCCTCATGTAACATTATCCCAAAATTAATATCCCATCATCTGTGCCATATTCTAAGGCTTAGAAACAAATCACAGAACCACTCAAGGGGAGGGGATTACATAAAGGCACGAACACCAGGAAGTAGGGATTCTTGAGAAGGCCACCTACGAGCCTACCAACCACAGAGCCCAAAGGGGATGATTGTAAATTTGTGTTTGGTCAAAACCAGTCCATCATAACTCACATTCTGATCATAGCCAAGTCATAAGGAAGTGACAAGATCAGCCATAAGTAACTCGTCACCACCTTGTGCTGGGAGAATGTTGCTGAGAATACTGTTGTTGTCACTATTCAGTGCTCCTAGATGAGATTCCATGGAACAACCACTTTGAACTTGACTTTGAAGGGAAAAATTCAACTTCCCTTGAGAACTGGAAGTTTTAATTTTTCTCCTAAGATTAATAACCATGATTCCCTTTTAGCCTAGTTAAGCCTGGAGGCTTAACTATTATAACTGTAACTCTTCTATTTTCTATTTCACATTTGTTTGTTGACCCTCGCTCTTCCCTTTCTTGCACATGTGTTATTTTAATTTGTATTTTATAGTCATGTCATTACATATACTCTTATTGGAAGCCACCTAAATGGGGTAGGGTATAAATTAAGGGGGACTGAGGTTGGGTGGGTTTCGACCTCAACATTTAGTGTGGTCAACACAGAGTAGAGGTGAATTCCTGAACCTCTGTCTGCACATTGAGTAAAATACCTGAATGTTCTGTACTTTACCTACTCTTATTATAAAGGAGAAGTTACGTTGAAAGTAATTTTTAAAATGTTGTTTAAAATATTTTGAAAAAAATCATCAAAGTGAATTGTAGGTTAAAACTTACGTTTTTGGTTGGTTTAGTTGAAATTGGGTTTTAGAGAAGAGGCAATAACTAGAGTCTTTATTTGGACATAAAACACTGGCTGGGCGTGGTGGCTCACGCCTGTAATCCCAGCACTTTGGGAGGCTGAGGCGGGCGGATCACGAGGTCAGGAGATCAAGACCATCCTGGCTAACATGGTGAAACCCCGTCTTTACTAAAAATACAAAAAATTAGCTGGGCATGGTGGCATGCGCCTGTAGTCCCAGCTACTCGGGAGGCTGAGGCAGGAGAATGGCGTGAACCCGGGAGGTGGAGCTTGCAGTGAGCCGAGATCGTGCCACTGCACTCCAGCCTGGGCGACAGAGCGAGACTCCGTTTCAAAAAAAAAAAAAAAACAAAGCCAGGATCTACAAAATATAGCATTTATTCATCAAAAACGTACTAATGATTTATCAAGGGGCAGACACTAGATGATACAAAGATGAAAGAATGTGCAGCCCCTTATGACTTTTGGAGAGATCATGACAATACATCATGACATTAGGCCGTCGAGTCTTCAGCTGCAGACACAAGGCACGATGGGATCCTAACAACTACTTTCACAGTTTACAAGGAGTTATCAGAGTCACAGAAGATAAAGATGAGAGATCCTGGTGAATTTCCAGCACAGAGCTCAGGGCATGTACATCTAGTTCCCAGGATTCATAGCCTGAGGGGATCTGTCTGTCCCTCAATTTAGACAGTCACTAATGATTAATTGAAGTTCAGCATTTCTTTCTATTATGAATGAAGGCAATGAGCTGCACTAACGTTAGCATTAGCTCTACTTGTTAGCAATAGATATTTTTATATCACTTTATAGATATCCCAAAATATAGTTTATGTTCATCACTACTTCAAATCATAGTAGTAATTAGACCAACTGCCATATCTTGTTATTTAATCCATTAATAAAAAAGCACATATCTTGTTCTATCATATTTCTAATTATATTTTGATAACTGTATTTGAATATAATTGGGTTTCCTCTATAATCCCGCCTACTTGCTTTTGCGTAGTTAGAAATGTGATGCGGAGAAAGATGCACAGGGTTTGACTGAGAGCACTGATGAGGGAGGGACAAAGTCAGCACAGCCCGTTCTGCAAGCAAGACTCTGCCTTCCTTTCAGAGTTCTGTGGAGGAAAGAGGCAGCTTGGGGAAGTACAGAAGTCTGGAGAGGTTAATTGCTGGTCACTTCTGGGGTTGAATGCAGGTTCTGCTTTATGTCTAGCCCAGGTCTTGACTCAATAACAGGTTGCATTGTCTCCAAAATTTTTATTTGAAAAACATTTCAAGCCAGGTGCAGGAGTGGGTGCAGTGTCATGTGCAGTGGTGCATGCCTGTAGTCCCAGCTATTTAGGAGACTGAGGCAGGAGGATCTTTTGAGCCCAGGAGTTTGAGGCTGTATTGTGCAATGATTGCACCTGTGAACAGCCGCTGCACTCCAGCCTGGGCAACATAGTGAGACCCTGTCTCAAAATAAAAATTTCAAATTCACAGAAAAGTTACACAAATAGAACAATCAATACTTATACAGACTTCACTGAGATTTATGGACCATTAACAATGTAATTCCTTTGCATGTGCATTCTCTGTCTCCCTCTCTCTCTCAAATCTACTTATAAAGTACATATTCTCATGCCCTTCATGTCCCAATAATGTTACTTTGTCTTTGCAGCTTCTTCACCATATCTGCCTTGAGTCCACTTGGCCCTCTCTCACTTTGCCCTTTATTTCAGGTGATGTCCTTCAACACCACAAGCCCCAGATCCATGGCTCACCCACTCCTTGTCTCTTGCACTCTGACCATCATGAACCGCTGCATGTCCCCTCCTCTGCCTCTTCTCTTGCCCTTCCCCACTGCTTAAACCTTTCCATCCTGCCCTCTGGAATTCACAATCCATCATTAGCCATACTCTCTATGTTCTCACTTTCTTCTTAGCATGTTTGCTTTTTCAAATAGGTGCAGAATCCAATCAAGAACCATGTATTGCCTAACTCTTGAGCTTCTGTCAACCAGTAAGTAGTTCTTGAATAAATGGCATTAGTTCTTTGAGCCTTAGTTTCACAGTTCTTAAGATGGAAATTAATGACAATAAAGACTGTTATACATGGTTGTTAACAAAAGACACATGAAAGTCCTTCAGATGTTGAGAAGTAAGTACAAGTAGTTATTATTCTAATTTTTATTTAGAGAGCTGAAGATAAGGTTCAAGTTTTATTCATCTTTTTATCTTCAGTACGTAGTATGGTGCCTGGAGTCCAGGCTGACCTCAGTGTTGTGACTGATTAGACTCAGGCATGCATGAACGTAATAGCAAGACCATTTCCCAGAACAACTCGATTATTGGAACTCACTTTCTTCAGTAATGTGGACACTGCAACATTTATATAATCACAAACCAAAGAGTTCGACTAAGTAGTTTATTTCATTTAGAATTTTCATTCAATAAATTTTTTTCTAAATTTTTTTGCTTTCACTGTGGCATCAGAATTGACTCTAGAGAGTAAACAAATGATGTTTTATTTCTATAACTTTTTCAAAGAAACAAACCTAAATCAAATTTCTGATTAATGATTTAAATATAGAGAATTTATTATTCGGTCTCCCTGCATTCCATTTTTATCTGTAAAAATATCCATCATTACATAAAATACCCAGAAGTTTTATGACATTTGCCCTATCTATTTATAGTTGTCAATTCAGAACAACATTTCATTCTAGTTTAGATGGTTTTCCTGGTGTACCTCATATTTGGATGGATATATCCACCATGTCTGATGTTGGAATCCTAATAGTCTAATATTTTGCTAAAAGGGGAAGAGAGAGGGAAGGAAACTAACATTTATGTAGGACCTTTACTATGTCATCCTCTTTATATAAATTATCAGCTTCACGCATTGAAAAGACCTGGTGCAGTCTATATTATTGCCCAAGGAGGAAAGTGAGGCTCGGAGACTGGGACATTAACCGAAGATCCTGTGGCTAAGAAGCTCTGCTGATTTCCACAGCTCACACTTTCCACTCTTTCATACTCTTCACGCCGTTTATGACACTACCTTCTAGGAAGTGACCAGAGGTGTCGGTTTCCCAAATTCTCTGTCAGGCTGAGCAAATCGTGTTTTGTACTCTTTCCCACCAAGCCACTCTGCACTAATTACATTTACTCATGCTATAGTAAGTGTTGATGCAGATAACACCTTTGCTGTAATCCGATAATATCCATTGCATGGGTTTTAGCCTCATTTTTGTCTCAGTTCATTTTATTGTACAGAATTATGACCCCAGGAAAACTAGTGCTCTCCAGAGGGAAGATTATTAAACTAAAATTAGCAGACATGAGAAACTTCTTAAATATCGTCAGCATTTGTGATTTAAAATTGTCATGTTTATTCAATATTGGAAAATGTACAAGGTGATCTTGGCTATACATTGTGACCTTTCGCCTCATCTATACCAAATAAACTATATTGTATGGTAACATTTTAATTTCATATAATTAAACAGTATTAATTTTATAAAAGCAAAAATGTTTTTAAACCTGCATTAATCATCCTTTTAGAAGAAAACAAACAATGTTTCTCCCTCATTATGTTGTTACCTACTAATTAATGGGATGAATCAAATGTTCCTGTTTCTTTAGATTTGCATGAGCTTAAAATACCTTTTCATCTACATTGGGTAGAATGTCAGAACTAGCTTTTGGATTATTTTAAAGCTTGGTAAGATCACAAGGCTTCCCTGAAAATATGTCCTATCTTGACAATGCATTAAACCTTAAGAAAAGTTTAATTAACAAATGTCAGAATGTGTTCCTTCTTAAAAAATGTGACATATTAACAATTCCTTCCTATCTCCTGAGTCTAACAATATCCTAACCCTTAAAGAAAAAAAAAAGAGACATTTTATATCTCAACATAGCTTTTGCTAACTTAAATTTGATGCTTTAAAATTAAAGTACATATAAACTAATATAAAACAAATGTTTTAAGCATTGAATTGTTTCAGTTCTCTTTTAGATATATATTCTCATTAATTTACAGACTATTAGTTTACCTAGTTTTATATCAATAGACACTAATTTTAATTGTAGATTTACATAGACCAGTTGCGGCTACAAAGCTAGTTTAAGACATTGTTTAATATCTCTGCACTTCACCTTTATCTCCTGGAAAAGAGAGATAAATTATCTACTTTACATATGTTCGGGGCATAGCAGACGAGAAACATAGTTATAAATACCCTGGTAACTCTAAGGGGACATGCTAATTAATTTTTTTGTTTGTATTTTTTTCAAATAATGTAGAGGTGCAAGAAAAAATAAGGAAAAAAGACAAATCAGCCATACTTTACCTTATATCTTACATCTCTTGTCTTTAGAGGTCTTTGTTTTGTTCCGGTCCGTTTTCTCTGTTTAAATAGAAATATGACCCCATGTGCATTATAAACAAAGAACTATAATACTGTTTGTATCTCACTTTTCCACCTAATAATCTCCCAAATTATTAATAATAATGGTATATCCACATTCCACATGTCAATTTACTTAATCAAATTTATATTTCCATATTTAGCTTATTTCTATTACTTTACTGGTATAAAAAATGATATGATGATAATCTGCATGAAAGTACCTTTGGATACATATCTGATTATTTCCTTAAGACAGAGTCTTAAAAGTAAAATCGCAGAGTCAAAGAGAACACAAATTTTTAAAATTTTGCTATATATTTCTAAATTGCCCTAAAGAAAGAGGCTTTTTAATTTATACTATCACCAGCAAAGGATGAGAGTGCAGGCCCCTTGCACACCCTTGTCAACACCAGGTAGTTGCATTGTTTTCAATCGTAATAATGTTATTGTTATTATCATTTTCATTATCCCTGGTGTCTTACTTTCTTCTTGTTTTGTATGTGTGTCCTTTTTCACTAAGTGAGAAAATGCAGGTTGTAAAACAGGAAAGTGGCACTCTTTGAACTAGAATTCCTTTCTCTAGAGGCTCAAAAAGCTATTTCATAAAGAAATGTTGTTCCAGCTCTATAATTTCAAGCATCCCAATCACCACTGGCCCCTTGTAGGCCTCAGGCCTACAAGGATGTCTGGGCGACCTAAGGAGAACATTAATATATGCAGCGTTTCCTTTTTATTCCCTTTGGCGACCTGTGCCTTTGGGATGTCTTTGAGGTGTTTGATGCTTTTTGTAGCTAGAGTTATTGATCAGAGTAGCACACGGGAGTGCTAGCGATGGGCAAGAGAGGAGTTTTTACCTGAGCTGGCAGCCAGTGTCGAAGGGGTCTGCTCACACTTCAAATAGTCTCCAGAGTCTTGATGCTCCTGACAAAACTGATCCCGAAGGAAAACATCGTTTATCTTGGCTGGAAAATCAGGGCAACCTGATACTTAATGAATGAAAGGAAAGCATTAGGTGACACGTTTACAGTCATAAAGGATTCATTTGATTTTGCAGTCACCCTACTCTGCTATTAAATTTTAATTTCAGCAAATGACATTTATAAGAATGCCTTGGAAGCACGTGTCCTCTAAGACCACTGTGGTATCCAGGAGTGCAGGTCACCATGTTTCCCAGCTCTTCTTCTGAGAAAACGGTAGTTCTCGCTGTTGGGTGGGGCACAGGACTACCTCTGGTGAAAAGAGGTGACCAGGGTCACTTCGAGGCTGAAGCATTTAGCTGCGCTGACCCTCTGGCGTTCTCCCACTCTGACATAGTGAGGTGACGAGACATTCCAGGTCCCCAAGAGAAGACAGCAGCGCAGAGCCTGCAGAGAGCCACAACAGGCCGTGACGCAGGGATGAGAAACAAACCTATTGCTGGAGACACCGAGACTGTCGAGGTCGCTTATTACCTGGCCCATCTTGATGGATTCAGATGTTTTGAAGGTTCACTTTTCCGAAAGAACACTTAATAGCTGTAAAACCTACAAAAATCACCATGGAATATAGAAGAAGAATTGAAGGTCTGATGAAAGAAACATTTAACACATTCTTAAAAGTTGGAATTAGTTAAAGCGGTTCCTAACTCTCATTGTTATCAGTGGCTTTTCTGCCAATTTCTATTTCTAATCAAAATAAAATTTGGTATGCCAAACTTAAAAATGAAGGCAAATAGTGACAGCGCTTATTGAGTGCCTGTTAGGTGCCAGATACTGTGCTAGATAATTTATATGTTTTATTTCACTTATGGCATCAGAGTAACCATGGGAGGTAAATAACATTTCTATTTCAGGGGGGAGAACTGAGATGAGCAAATATTGAGGGACTTTGAAACCAGCTTGATCTCACTCTACTGCCCTTGTCATTTTTCCCCTCATAAGTGCTTAGTATTTTGATTGCTTATGTATTAATCCAAATAGAGAAGATATTCTATTACTCACATAATTGAAAAATATGTAACTTTTTCTCTTCTGGAGACAACAGAAAACCTAGTTCAATTCAGATCCAGAATCTCTGTACATAATGACACCATGAACTCTGCTGAGACCAAATGACAGTAGGACAAAAATAAAATGTTTCTTGGGGCCTTCTCTTTCAATAAATATTTATATTTTCCCGACTCCAGTAGTTACCATCTCAGGTTTACATGCAGCCTCTCGTCCAGTTAAGCCCTTTGTTAAAGGTCTCAGCAGCCAACTTTGTTTTTGCAGGAGTTGAAACAATTTTTATTTGCAAACAGAGGTGCCAGTTGGAAACTGCTACTAACAGGAGTACTGTTAGAGCTTCCTCCTCATTCTGGACAGTGAGTTCACTTCTCTAATGCACTTGTCAAAAATGAAGACGCAGCAGATGGAGGAGGAGAAGGAAAAGGGAGGGGAAAAAAGAAGAATCATACATTCCAGTTGAGGTTGTCAAATTCTTTGTTGCAGTATGCGGAGCATTTTAAGTTTTCTCCGCCTACCATCTCTGTGTCTGTTCATCTTCCCCAAAAGTGGCCTGCTCTGCCATCACTATTCAAAGTTGTAGGGAGATAGCACATCAGAAATGCAGATCCTTAATTCTAACCAGCCAAATCTTCAAAGTCCTCCATTACATCTTGGTTATTCATAACTCAGCCTGTCTCATACTATTCTTTCTCAGAATAGTAATATAAATAAATACATATTTCTATGTGGTATCTTCCAAATCACAAAGTCTGTCTTTCATCTTCACTACATACAAAATTATTTTTTGTCTTTGTTAAAAACCCCAAAGGGTAGAAAAGTTGGGGAACTCCCTTCTTCCCTAAAGTTTTTCTTATCTGTAAGACCCTCTTCTGGTCAAAACTCCTCTGAGAATCTTCTCTCCATCTTCTCCATCTAGATTAGCCCCTCTCTTCTCCTATCTATAGGAGCACATAATACCCTCTCTGCCCCTTATTGCCCCCAGATATTCTTTTAAGCATTTGGAAGAGTGTGAATGAGTGGAGAGAGAAACACTTTGGAGCCAACCAGAAGCTGAGTTTGAAGCCCAGTCCTGCCACACAATGGCGTCACTTTGGACAAACTGCCTCTCCCTCCTACACTGTGGTCTGTTTGTCTGTAAACGGAGATGACAGAAACTACTTTGTTTGATTGCTATACAGATGAAACATGGGAACGCACATAAAAGGTTTTGCCCAAAGCCTGACTCAAAAATGGCCAGTCTCTCTCTCTCCTCACAGTCCCTCGAAGGCAGAGACCTCATCCCTATCCCTTTTTCATCTCATTCTCCACAGCATTCACAGAATGCGGAGCACACAGGGGAGTCCACAATAAATATTCCCGGAATTGAACCATATAGAGGCCAGTCCTCAGACACCATCCTCGGAGAAAAACCCCTCTGTGGGGCAGTCAGCATCCAGACCTTGCTTGTCAATCAGGAGTGTCCTTTGAAGTCCAGAGGCATCTTTGATACCAAGGAGCGAGGAGCCCACGCTCAGCTGGGACACGGGGATGTGTCTGCATCGTGCCAGATTCCAGTAGTGCTAGGAAAAAGTCCTGGAGGTGGCCTGAAAACGGAACCCTTCTTGGTATCCGTCCTTCCATGTATGAAAAAACACCATGGGTGATTTTATCTGGGATAATAAAATATCCATCTAGTAGATTACATCATTTGGTTAGGAAACGGCTGGTTGAAAGAATATTCACTTAAAATTAAGAAGCAAAATATGTTTTCTGCTGCTGACATGAGTTTTTTTTTTTTTTTTTTTGCTTTGTTTTGTTTTTTTGTTTTCTCATTTCCCTGTTGATTTTAATTAATTTTGCCCTAGATTCATGAGCTTTGTAAACTTGGAGATTTTTTTAAAAATTTAAATAAATGAAAAGAGCCTTCAAGTTTTCCCCAGATCACCAGGCTTTAATATTAAATTACTGTTTTCCAGCAGGATCATCTGCAAAACTCTGATTTTGTTTCTTCTTCTGTTCCCATCCTGATAATTGTGGCTGAATTCCCTTGTCTTTAATATGCCATATATTCTCCACCTGGCAAAGGATTCAGACAGATACAGATAATAAATACCCCGTAGACATACAGACAGAGAAACTGCTGTAATTGCTTTCATAATGACTCTGAGACATCAAAGGAAGGCAAATAATGGTATTTAACACTGTTTCCATTCTTTAGCTGAAATGTAATTTCATGGAGTTATTGTCAGGCAGCACGGTGAACGTACAAGTACAACTGTCATATTCCGCTCATATTAATTAGCTGCCCACGAGAGGGCCAGGCGAGTAATGGCAAAGTTCTCCTCATTTCAGATGGTCTGATATTCAGACAGAACCATAAGTACAATAGCTTGATTAACATAGTTGCTTAGATCAGGTTTTCCCTGGGAGTGTGTCAATTGGCATTTTGAAGAATCAATTAATTAGCACTCCAAATAATCCATTCTTGGGTTAATGAAAGTGTTTTGTGCAGCTGCAAAAAATTACATGAAGAAAAACTCTACCTTTCCAAAGTGGCGATGAAAAAGATTTATCTCAGAAAACTATGCTGTCCATGTCAAAACGCCACCGAAAATGTGTGTTTCCTTTTAGAGCCGTGGAATCGACGTATAGGATTCTGACCACAACGCGTTCGTTTTGGCCTAGAAGAAAGCAAGTGGTGGGTGTTATGACGACACGAAAGTGAGAACTTTTATTTTCACTATTTTGTCTTGTAATCATGTCACTTAATTAGGGTAAGTCATAGCCAACGTTTTGCATATCGTTATCCACCATTTTAAACAATTACTCTTTGAAGACAGTGTGCGTATTAACATTTTTCAAATGCCAGTATCACACAGATATTCCTGCTTTTTAAAGTTTGAGATTTAATTCTCAGACAAATGAGAATTACACATTGAAGGGGCAAATTTATTTTTAATCAAAACTGTTAAGCTGAGAGATACAACACATTGTTAACACAAAGTTTACATTATCGGAAAACCAAACTGGGATCGGAAAATCCCAGACACCTTTGCCATCATTAAGATGATACTTTTGGCACACCTTATCAATTCTTCCTTTGACTTTAAAAGACAGCTAATGTGATTGTCTTTCTCATCTCTCTTGAGATCCAAATTTTCAAAGGGGCTACTTTTCTGGCAGGGCTTTCTTACCTCTGAATGATATTAATCAAGTGTACTAATAAATAAAATAGTTTATTTGTTTATTTAAATATTCCCAGCATCCAAAACTTGGTTTAAAGTATAGAAAGTATTATATTTCCGCGTTATTCTCTTCTTCAGAAACATCCACATTTATCAGCTTCCCTGATGTAAGTCATTAAAAATTATGTTCAAGGGCCTTGAAATGGAAGGTATACAGTAAGTATGCATTAAATTAAGGTAAATGAGTCATTTTATCGACTAAAAATCATTCGGAATGAAAATATGAATTTTATCATTTGTGGGATTGGTTTGACATTTTTTGGTAGTGTGAAAAATGTGATTTGTCATTACCCACAATTAGTAACTTCTCAGTTCATTCTCTTTCATAGACATGGCTATGAATTCAGGTAAAAATCAGCAGATTTAAAACAGAACAAAACACACGTTTTATCACTTCAGACAGCGATTGTTTCCTTTCCTTTATCCTAATTTGGTTATAGATTTAAAAAAAAGTTAGAATTCAGATGAGGCTGGAGCGCATTTTGCTGCCTATTAATTTGTGGATGAGAGTTGTAGAGCTAGTTACGTGGGAAAATTACGTCTCAGAAGGGCGGATACATTTAGCATACGTCAAAATCAAGAATACACAGGAAAAAGATAAAAACACACAGGATTAAATAGAAACAGGCTGCTCATGTCTTTCCATTAAGATGAGAAATTCCCCCAAACTTAACCGTTTCCTTTCAGGCTTAATGAGGCTGATGATGTGGGTGATGAGGAAGAACCTCTGTTTCCGGGGCTGCTGAGGGGCGTACCCCACACCTCCCTATTCCTCTCCCTTCAAGGTGAAGAAGCAATCGGCCAGGGCTTGTTTCCTGGGACATTGGATTGGATGTTGCTGAGATTCAGCATCACCCGTTTATTGCTTATTCTTCATTTTTAGATTCTCGTAGAAATGTAAAATGGCAAAGTTTCATTGCCGCTGCTCGCTGTGGACTTCAGCCAGAAATGAGATCTATTGCTTATTTTGCTAATCAGCTCTTTCCATATCTGCATGCTCATTTTCTGATAGCTGATGAGGCGACAAGGTCATTGGACGTACAAGTACTTATTTAAAAACAGACATGAGAGTGAGATGGAGGTTAGTTGGGTCTATCAGAGCTGTCAATCAATTAATGAAAATTATTGAGCAAGGACACGGTGGGGGAAGTGAACAGAAGGAAGGAAAATGACCATGGAGACACAACATAGGGAAAACGACAGAACTGACTAACTGTGCTCACGTGAGTGCTAAAAACAGACATGCTCACATCCCAAGTGAGAGACAGCTCCGAGAAACACGGCGACTGGAGTCTCTGCCACTCTAAAGGCTCAGAAGCTGACAGCGCAGGGCTTTTGCCCAGAGGTATACCCCGAACAATGCCTTTTCTCAGACGTGGAGGAGAGAGGTGTCATGCCGGATGGGATGAATATTTTATTAATGTGCTGAAGAACTGTGGCCAAGATTTCAAATGGTTTAAAGACACTATTATTCAGACCAAAATTTGGACTAAATACAGGCCATACAAGTACAAATAGCCCCCTTTTTCAAAGAGGGGAAATAGCGGATCCCTACCTGGAACTGTACAACAGACATGGAAGGCAAAACGAGGCTAGGGAATGCTCTGTAAATGGCCACTCTGTCACTACTGCCCACCATGTGCCGGCGCATTCCAATCATCAGCACAGGAAAGAAATAATTCATAACTTGATCCTTGGGGGAAAGAAAGGAGGGATAAAATTACATATAAAAGAGTGGAAGGAGAGAAAAAGGAGAGAGAGAGAGAGAGAGAGACTGAGGAATGAGGGAAGAAGGGAGAAAAAAATTGCCGGTATGCTTGTGTGAATGAAAGATAGTGAGGCAGAAAAATGAAAAGGCTGCAAAGTCAAAAACGGGGAGATACTGACACCAAATCTCTGCAAAGCGTTCAAAATTCTCCAGCTGCCACGCTTTTAATTTGCTACCATTCTAATTAAAATGCAAATTAAATTTATAATTAGCATCAGCGCTTTCTAAAGAAACCTCCTTGTGCGCTGCACAAACATATGGGACGATGCTGTAGTGTAAAGTTTGTAAAACAGAAGTCATGCACAAAGTGGTGGTGGGGGGAGTGGAGAATTTTTTTTTCTTTTCCCTGGGAAACAACTTTTATGCAGACTCGGGGTTGCCTTAAAGGAATGGCAGTGGTTCTCAGAGGAGGGTTGAAGTGAGTGAGTGTCCCATTGCAACAAAAGGATTGCTGAATATGGAAGACGGGCTGGGCTGTGACTTTGTGTTGAATCAGGTGTCAAGGGTTACCCTGCGTGTCATCAGGACTGTATAGGAGATGCCAAAAGGCAAAAGGGGTCAAAGCTTCTAATCAAAAAGTCTATGGCCAAAATTAACCGCTGCTTGCTTCCAGATAATTAATTTAAAAATTGATGGGGAACAAAGTACCAAAATTACCTCATGATTCAAACACATATCGTGTTTTCAAGATAAACTGTCCCTCCAAGTTGTTGTTCAAAGCTGAGGGTGTGTGGAGACCCGAGAGCCATGTTAACTAAATGTGGAATATATGTGGCACTTCATTTGCAGAGATCCTCACTGAGTATGCCAGTTTTCCCACCATAATCCTTTAGACATAAACACATAAATCTGGTGTTGCTGTTTCTTCTTTTTTTTTTTTTTTTCCAGAAATACAATTGTGCTGACTGAGCCTCACGGTGCAGAAACAGCTCTGCCTGCAGCTGTAATAGGTGAAGGAAGATTACCCGCAACAAATTTGTTCTTATATTCACCACGTTTTGGTTCAAGGGAATCTTTATGAATTTATTTTTAAAAAAATCTGTGATCCTCATGGTAATTGTGCTTCACTTTTCAGTGGAGGACCCTATCTGCTCCTAAGGTCTCTTTAATATTCCAGGGACTCTCCTTTATCTATTAACCAGGCTCTCCATCAGATATTTAAAAATTTGAATGTAACAGGAATGAATATTTCATAGATGTGTGTTAAGCTGTTATTAAACTATAATGTAAAGCAGGATTGTAGGAATATTTTTATATGTCAAAAAGTCAATTAAAATGATAAGCCTGTAATATCACTATTGTGGTGCTGTGCAAAAATTCATTTCATATGCACAGGAGGTCCTCAACTACCTAGCATTTGGGTGTGAGGCAGGTCTGTTACATATTCAGAGGCCTGTGTACTTCAATTTCATTAGTAACACTTAGGTCCATTTTTGGCAGAGATTAAGTGGAGAGCTATGGAGGATAAATCTTACCTGACTTGATTTTTATTTAGCATTACAAAAACAGCATTAGGCATTCCTAAAGGTAGGTGCTTACCTAAATGCATCGCAGATTCATTTGAAAATAAATGTCAATCCCCAGGAGCGTAAGGTGTCTATAATAAAGTCTGTAGGAAGGCTGCCACCATTGTCTTGAATTAAAAGAAATGTAGTGTCTGTTGGAGAAAAATATCACACAATAGTAAAGACAGAGGAGGAAATTAAAACTATTGCTAACCATAATAATATAATGCTTTCAAAAACACAGCTTCCTATCTGTAGGCTTTAGAAGAAAAATAAATTTTGTGCAGGACGTGTGGGGAGGTGCTTATTTTTAAATTTTTCTACCTTCATACTTAGGAAGAAATATTCAGAAATACAGTCGGTAGAATTATGTCCAAATGCCATACTAAAAGTTAAATGCTTTCCCAAACTTTCTTTGACCATCAAATCTTCCCTGGGCAGTGGCCATTTTCAAAAATGGGATGTTAAAAGATGATCTGGTTGACAGGTTTGACATAACTCAATTAATCAAGACTTCGCCGAAGAAAGAAAAATAATTCTACCAATACATTGATGAAGGGTGTCTTCTTACATTCACAGAGTAGAAGTTCCTTATTTTTTCCTGGTGTCTAAGGGGAATGCAGGCCTCCTAAATAAGTCTTCTGTGTGACAGACAAAAGACCGAAAACTGTGGCATAAAAGCATTTCTTTGTTTAATTTCTAATTGTTGTCCTCCTCTTATTCAGAAAATGAAGTCACCTTTGTCGTGGTTTCATGAACCGCTGGGTAATCAAAATTATTATGCCGCCACCTGTTGTCTGTTAATTATTCTGAGAAGATACTCATAAATCATAACACTGGACAATAAATCAAACTGTCAGTTCTCAGATCAAAGTTTACCCATGAAAAGTTATAGGTCACCCACAGGGTGTGAAAGAGCAGGGTTTTAGAGCATCACTCATTGTCAAGCACTGTTGGGAGAAGTGCCATCGAAACAAAAGGAAAACTGAAGTACAGAAGAATTCCAGCCAGGGGACAGGAGGAGTTGATCCAACATTGCACATCCAACTACTAGCAAGACCCTCTCTCCAGGGCTCAGAGATTTGCTGCTCCTTCAGAACCTTTTCGCAAACACTGTCCCCTTTGGAAAAGCCTGAAGAGCTGTGGTGTTAGAACGCTATCTTTTCTTTTTCATGTTCACTGGAGAATATGCTGGAGAAGTTCACATCCTACTGCATTATTCATCAGGACAATCAGAATACATCACACTGGAGTTGATTGGAGGATGCTTCTGAATGTCTTACTTCCTAAATTAATTTGGTTTGGAATACGTTTTCCTTGTGGTGTGACAAGAACTTCAACTGCATTTAATATTTTCAACTCATTTATTTTCAGTCCCCTGTATTTAAAATAACATCATCACTTCAAACCAGTGTGCATTGATGGATATCCTTGATTTGAAACCTGGCTAGGGGTAAATTATTTCTGATGTGGTGGGAGCAACCTTAGGATAAAGCATAATAAAGACGTCATGATAAAGTAGGCAGGGAACAGAAATAATGTTTCAGTTGGAAGATGCATTGCCTGCTGTTTGAATTAAATTCTGTAAAATGGACATTGTGCCTTCATTAAAAATTTCTCCCCAAAATATTATTTTTTATTTTGCTTTGCATTAATTTGTTATTTTCTGCTCCAATAACCATGGCTGTCCTCATGAGGAATAGAAGTACAATCAGAGGGTCCACTTGGGTCTGATTTTTTTTTAAAGGACACACCAGTTTGTGTTCAAACCATAGACCTAAGAATGCATACTCAAATAGAATATACCCCTAAACATAATCCGCTCCACTTTCTTCCTTCAACCTGGCAAATCATTATCACTCCATTTTTAATGGATGAAAGTCAGTCTCAGAACATAAATGATTTGTCAGGTAGCAGTGGAGCTCAAAGCACATCCATTGATCCAACCTTAACTACGCCTTCAAATTTATACCCATGAATCAAAGAGTTTAATTCAAACGTCACAATGAAGGACATCATGGATGCCGAAGGCCACAGTGTAGTGAATTCAAGAGTTAACCACGAACAATTCTACATACGGACAATATCATAAAATAGGAAAGTCATGTTATTTGAGAGTTCTCTCATAATAATGGAAGTTGTTGAAGCTATTCTGATAATCTTTACATTTTTCACTGTGTTAACATTTGGGCATGTGAGTCCAGGTTGCTGAAGCAGAAATTGTGAACACTGACTTTCCCAGTTTTCTCTCAGAGTAGAGTTGAGAGCTTTCATCCATTTGACATGCAGGCATTGAAGGCATGCTAGAAGCTGGGTAGAATAGTAGGTACCAGAGGCAGGGCCAGACTAAGACAAGCTCCTCTTGGAGCTGATAGTCCAGTAGACCTCTGTGTCCAGCAGATCCCTTAGATCCTGTCCCTTGGGGGAAAGCTTAGGCTGATTGATTTTCCTTGGAAGGAGCTGGCTATGCCTATGCCCAGAGTGTGGAAAATCAGTCACTCTCCACAATGAGCATGTATCCAGTCATCGGGAAAGACCACAGAAACCCTTCTACAGAAAGTTTGGATCATGGTCCACTAAACCCTGTTATAGGCTGAACTGTGTTCCCCTAATATTCGTGTTTTGAAGTCCCAAACCTCAATGCCTCAGAATGTGAATTTATTTGGAGATAGGACGTTTACAGACGTGATTAGGTCAAAATGAGATCAGATAGGTGGGCTTTAATCCAATATGATTTGTGTCCTTATAAGAAGAGGAAGGGACACTTGGGCCACATATGCACAGAGAAAGGACCATGCGAAGAGCCAGCAGGAAGGGTGGCCATCTGCAGGCCAGGGAGAGAGGCCTCAGAAAGAAACAACCTTGCAGACATCTTGATCTTGGACTTCTTGCTTTCAGAACTATGAGACAATAAATTCCCTTGCTTAAGCTACCCAGTCTGTAATCCTTTGTAATGGCTGCCCTATATGGTAAGTCTGTGTCCCCACTCAAATCTCATCTTGACTTGTAGCTCCCATAATTCCCACAGGCTGTAGGAGGGACCCGGTGGGAGATAATTGAATCATGGGGGCGGTTCCCCCATACCGTTCTCCTGGTAGTCAATAAGTCTCACAAGATCTGATTGTTTTATAAGGGGTTTCCCGTTTCACTTGGTTCTCATTCGTCCTGCCTGCCACCATGTAAGACGTCCCTTGCTCTTCCGCCATGATTGTGAGGCCTCCCCAGCCATGTGGAACTGTGAGTCAATTAAGCCTCTTTCCTTCATAAATTATCCAGCCTTGCGTATGTCTTTATTAGCAGCATGAGAACAGACTAATACACTGCCTTAGCTGACTAATACAGCTCCTTCCTGATGCAAGGGGAGATGTTCCTATACACGAGTATCTAGAGAAGCAGGAAGTTCTGAGGACAAGAAAGCATGCTGTGTGAGAATCCAGGAATGTCATACTCTTCAGGGGAAATCCCTGATGTAATGGATAAGCCATTGTGGGGGACATCACCGTGGAGATTCCTGCCTGGCAGGCTGCTGCAGGAGCTTGGGAGGTCATCCCAAGTGCAGCTCAGACAGGGGACACTGCAATTTTCCAGCGTGGGCACAGGTCAGGGTTTGGCATTCACTGCCTTGCCCCTGCTAACCCTGCTGTTCCTCATGCCAGGCACACTGCTAACCTAGGTTCCACACATATTTCTCCCACCACCAGGAAAGCCTTCTCCAGAGTGTCCCTGGCCTTCTCTCTCACTTCATTCAGGCTCCTGCTCAATAAGAGACGACTTCCCTGGCCATCATCTCTAAAAGAACTCCTGCATCACTCTTTGTCTTCTTACCTTGCTTTACTTTTCTTAATACCACTTACAACTACGTGAAATTATAGGTAGTTGTACAAGAATATACTGGAGGAGAATCGGGACCTTGTCATTTTTGTTCCCTACCACGTGGCAGTGCATAGAAGAGTGTCTAGCACGTGAATGAAGACCTCCCAGTGTGGTGGTGGTGGTGGTGAGCATTAAATAAGTTCCTGCAAGAGAAGTGCTTACAACAGTGCTTGACACACAGCAGGGCTGCAGACACACAACAGGGCTGTAGAACCTTTGACTGTCATGGATGAAGACATCATGCCAAGGGTTTCTATTCAGGAAACATGGGGTTCGTCAACAAACCCACCTGAAAAACTTGAACGTGGTGCATATGTCTGTTGAATGATCCCTCGATCATTTGTATTCTTTTATCCTAGTAAAACTTCAGTTTGTTGTTTTGTGGCCAGAATATGTAAAGTCAAGGGAGTTGGTGGCTGACAACAAAATACAAAAATACTGTTCCAGGATCTCTTTGCTGAGGTCTGGTGTAGGAAAGATAAATAAGACATTGTTGGGTACGTGTACCACTGAGCCAGGTTTCCATAATAGTCACATTCATGTGTATACACTCAGGCTTCTGGTGCAGAACTAGAGCTGTGTATGCTTTGTCCCTACCCAAATGTCACCTCAGAACTTCCTACCAAAATAACTTGCTATATATTAACTGAGAACTTCCACTGTAGACAGACATTGTGTGAAAGGAAGGGTATATTCTATCATCATTATTCCCATTTGTCCATAAGGAAACTGAGGCTTAGAGAACATTTATGAAATAAATTCTATGTTTTTAAGTATAGAAAAGTCCCTCTCATGAGGAATTATTATTAGGGCATCTCGGTGACTCTCACGTTCTTGGACAATAGTTTTGTGACCCACCTTCATCGTATATTCAGTGAGGAATCCGAACTAGATCAGAGATCGGCAAACAATGAAACACACTGCATATATTGACCAACACTAGGCTTTGCTAATAAAGTTTTATTAGATTATACCCATACTTATTCATGTACTTTCTAAGGTTGCTTTGGTGCTGCAACCACGTAGTTGAATGCTTGCAGATAGTACAATATTTACTAACAGGTCCTTTGCAGAAAAAAGCTGAGAGTTCAGGACTAGTGAAATTCTAAATTATCTCAGCCATCTAAATTATATTGCCCTATGTCAGAAAGTTGTTGTTATGCCCTCAGAATTTAATAAAGAGTTGTGGGCGGATTTTACTGGCCACATCTACAAATGTTATATTACAGCTTTTCAGAAGCTCTAACCAGTTACAGGTTAGGTAGCTCAGATGATGGAACTGTTTTCTTCAGTCGGTATTGCTATTTTAGAGCCAATAGCTAATAGGCCAGATAGTATTAGGTTAAAAATGGTGTGGCATTGAATTCCCCTCTATTTCTAAAGCATAACTTTGTTTGGAACTGACTTGTGACTGTTAAAATATTTTAAACAGGTCAGGAACAGGTGCTCATGCCTGTAATCCTAGTACTTTGGGAAGCCAAGGCAGGAGGACTGCTTGAGGCCAGGAGTTCAAGAACAGTGTGAGTAACAAACCTGTCTCTACAAAAGAAAAAAAAACAAAGAAAAACAAATTAGCTGGGCATTATGGAACATTTCTGTAATCCCAGCTACTTGGGAGGCTGACGCAGGAGGATCACTTGAGCCCAGGAAGTTGAAGCCACAGTGAGCCAGTGAGCCATGCTCAAGCCACTGCACTCCAGTCTGGGTGACAGAGGAAGATCTTGTCAAAAAAAAAAAAAAAAAAAAAAAAAAAGAAGCAGTTTTTACTTGAGATGCCTTAAAGGAGAAAACACTGAAAATTTGATCCATTTTACTATAGTTTTTCTCAAATATAATTTTACACTAAAGATCCAATTTTGAAAATACTATTTGCAACCTTTTACTTTAATTTGTTTTTTCTCCTAGCAATTTATTTGGCAGTTGTTATATTCAACAGAAAATAATCCTTCATAGAGAGAGCTCAGTATTGCAGTAGTCAAATAGACACTAAGGCATGAAGAGAATTGGCTTATATTATCAAAGTTTATAATAAAATTCCTAATAGTCCTGATTTTTTTAGATGGTTTTAGCCATTGTGCAGTGGGTTAAAATGCTGCACACCGCCAAGACAATGTCCCTGTGTGTGCTGAGGCACTGCTGTGGTATTGGAGGGGAATACACACAAGTTATTTTTGCTTTGAGTATAGGAGGCTGCAATCAGCACCGCATTGCAGAAGAAAATGCCCGTTTCTCCTTTTTCATCCCTTCTCAACTGTGTTAGAATGGTCAATTTCTGTCTCACAAAGCTCCTGAGACAATCCCAATAAGTCTAGAAGTTTATTCTAGGGTCCCCGTTTAAAGTATTCTAAGGTTCTAAATTCACAAGGAGAGTAGAAAAAGTAATAATTTGGATTTGATTGAAATAATCCAAAAACTTATATGATAACCTCTGGGTAACCACTAAAAGAGAAGTAAAATAAGGATGATTAACAGGATAAGAGAATGTCAAGAGTGAGATAATAATATTAATAAACATTAATCCCAAAGAAGGCAAAAATAAAAGGAGAAAGAAAAATAAGTGGGTTAAATAGAAAAGCAGTATTAGTATAGTAAGTATTAGCATGGTAAGATAATAGATATAAACCCAAATATAACTGTAATTACACTAAATGTAAACTGAGTACCTAATCTCAAAAGTATGTAGTCAATTGAAAGAAATAAAAACAAAAACCCACGTAGAAGCAACTTTTAAGAGAAACACCTTAAATAGAAGGATGCAGAAACGTTGAAAATATAAGAATGGAAAAAGATATTACGTATGTACACTAACCAAAATATAAATGTACTAATACTACTATCGGACAAACTAGATTCTAAAGCAAGAAGAATTACTAGAAACAAAGAGGAAAAATTTTACGATGAAAACTGGTCAATTTCCTAGATACATATAATAGCTTTAAACATGTATATGTACAATAACATAACTTCAAAATATATAAAACAAAACTGACATAATTATGAGAAATGGACAAATCCACAAGAGTAGTAGAATTCAACACATTATATCTGATAGAACTAGCAGATAAAAAATTGGCAAGGTCATAGAATATCAAGACAATGAACAAATTTGATCAACTGATATATTTAACATGTATTTTTACATGTGCAATAGTACCGCATTTGCTGTGGTTTGGATGTGTCCTTTCCAAAGTTCAGGTGTTTGCCGACGTGATGGTATTAAGCAGTAGGATCTTTAAGATGTGATTAGGCCAACAGGGCTTCTCCCTCCTGAATGGGATTAAGACCCTTATAAAAAATGCTTCATGCAGTGTTTGGTGAGATGCCCTTCCACCTTCCATCACGAGAGAACACTGCAGTCCTCCTTGTCAAGGGGTGCAGCCCTCACCAGGCAACCTAACCTGCCAGTACCTTGATCTTGGACTTCCCAGCCTCCACATCTATGAGAAAATAAATTTCTGTTCGTACAAATTACCCAGTCTCAGGTATTCTGTTATAGCAGCACAAACAGACTAAGATAGCATCCAACAACTATATAAAACATTAAAGCTAAAGCCTTATCGTTCTCAAGTGTACATGGAACATGGTATGGCCCCATATTTCTCCTATGGGTAAAACGCATATCTCCATTTATGTAGCAGATGTTTTGCACCCTGGGAGGCTCTTCATTTTCTGTTGCTTCCCTTGGCCACATCTAAACAGGATATTGAGAAGTGTGCTCTTCTTGCTGGCTAAGGAGCTTTCTAAGTCCAATTCCTGGCTGTTGAATACTAGGGGACTGAGGAGTAAGTCTCCAATGGTGATAGCCCAGTTTCATAGATTCTCAAGCAACCTGACTCAAAACCTCAGTAGCTTTTGCTTCTTTGATTACAGGCAGGGTTGTGAAGCTTGAAATATTAATTTGTTTTCTTGCCCTTATCCTCATACCATGGTATAACAAGAAGGGCAGGATTGGTCTATCCCAGGAGGAATGAGGTTTCTGTCACTGGCATGGCATGGAATTGCCAGCACATGGAAATGATAAAAAGTCAGGCTAATTTTTGGTAGGTTTTGCCATTGTTTTAAAATTCTCTATTGACAACGCACCTCCTTATTTTCTGGACATGGGTAAGAACGCTCCCATCACAGAGCCCCTCTCGGTTTGCGAGATCCTATTACCTCTGGTGTTCACGTTATGTGGGGCTATTGCATTAAGCCAGTCAGGCTTCTGTGGGAAAATCACATCCTCAATCTTATCTCTGTCAAGCATTATTTTAGTAAACTGAGAGGTTTTGACACTATCGTTAGGACGTTTTTGTTATTGTTTTAAAATTTTTATTGTACATATTTAAGGTGTACAAGATGATGTTTTGATACACATACAGTGAAATAGTTACTATGATTAAGTAAATTAACATACATCATCCCACATAATGTTGTTGTTATTTTTAATCTGCCTTTGTCCCTCAGAAACTTTTAAAATTTTATCTCTTACTGTGTGGTGTCTAAATGCAAATAACTTTTTAACATTGAAAACCCCAAAATTTCTGGGATGTCGCTATTCAAATAACTGCTCTTGCAAACCTGCCAGTTTTTCTAAGCTCACCAGTTTCTCCTAACACCCTGCCAAATGTAGCTATTCACCACTGACACTAAGAACTAAGGTATACCTTTCATTTCTTCCCCTAAAGCTACAAGTTTCCTAGGCAAGTAGTGTGCTTTCCAAGTATTCAAAGGTGTACCACGCAGTATGCTACTGTGTAATATGTATAGTCATTTCAAATCAGTTTCCTTACCACCTTCACTTTCCAGCATTTGACATAATTTCCTAACTGTCCTTCAACCAGGTCAAGCTAGGTTTCTGCTGTGGTGACAGTTTCAAACCTTCAGGGAAGGTTTAAGGCATGAAATTTATGTCTCGCCTATTTAAATGTCCAGTAGTTTAGGCAAATCTCCATGTTGAACGTCTGAGAAGCCAGCTTCTTCAATCTTGTGGCTCTGTTCTATTAACAAAGGCCACAGTTCTTTTCATCACAGAGAGGTGCAAGTTTGCAAAGGAGTTTTCCTCTGCCTCAATGCAGCAGCAACATACGCCCCTTAGGCAGAGCCACTCACGAGGCTGTCTCACTGTGAGGAAGTTGGAATTTCACATATGAGAGAAAGATCAAGTACCTGGGAGCGCTAGTAATGTTTCTTAGAGATAGATGGTATAGTCTCCATTTTACACACGGACAAACTGAAGCTCAGGGACATTAAAAGGATTTTCCCAAGATTCTACGTTTTAGTAATTGACAGGGCCCAAAATCAAACCCAGATCAGTCTGATAATTTACTATGTGTCACACTTCTCCAATGTATTTTTTCTTATCTTAGATATTTTGACATCAGATTTTTGTCATATGAGTGTCACTTGAAGATTGAAGAGCTAAGTAGGAACCGTTTCTCCATGAGACCACAATGCCGTGTGGGCTCTCTATGTATACACACATACATATATGCTCACACATATATGTAACGATTCTGTTTATGTTTAGAATACATACATTTTCCGTGACTAATAAGTTAGAAGCTTTCATCTGAGAAATGTGTATAGTTGTCTCTCAATGTCCCTGAGGGGTTGGTTCCAGGATCTCCACAGATGCCAAAATCCAAGCACACCAAAATTCGAGAATGCTCAAGTCCCTAATATAAAGTGGCTGTATACCTCAAATCATCTCTAGATTACTTATAATACGGAATACAAAGCATATACATCACTTCATTTGCTTAAATTCAGTTTTGCTTTTTGAAACTTTGTAGAATTTTTTTCCCAAATATTTTCTATCTCTTGCTGGTTGAATCTATGGATGGTTGAACTCATGGATCTGAGGGCTGACAATATTCATTTTATGTGTATCTTCTTACCAAGATACACACATTGGCTCAGCATTTGCTGCCAATGGGTTAACTTGCCCAGCTCCATAAGGGATATGACTGCTTTGTAGGGAGCATTGGTAGGCTTTGCAGCTTCATTTTTGCAACAAGAAGATGTAGGAAGAACCAATGCCTGGAGCAAAAAGCATGGCTTAGCTGGTGAGCAGAACTGTGTAGTGAGACATTTAGCCAAGAAAGGCATAAGTAAGAATCAGTAGATATGAAGTTACAGGACAACAACCAGAGGGATTAGTTGACAGAATAATGGTTGAGAGGATGGAAGTTGCCAATTGATATTAAGATGCCAGAAACCAAGGAGGTGTGTGTAGGGGGTATAATACAAGGGAGAATCAAACCATCAGAAAGTAATTGTAGTAGCTTGTTTTGACAGCTAAAATCTGCCTTTTTGTATGTGCATTCTACCATGGCTGTTTGGGAAAACAGTGGCTGCTGCCTGAAAATTTTGCCTCTAACAAATTTTATTACTTTGAGGCTGCATAAAAAGGGCCTCATGTATTGGATATATAGGTATACCTTATCTGAAATTCAGGTTTTAAAAAACATTTTTAAATCCCTAGAGCATAAAGGTATAAAAGCAAAAGCCCAATCTTTTGTCTGAATTCTTTTTACTTTTTAAAGTTTTTTTTTGTGTTTTTAAAAAGCACCTCAAGTTCTTTTTAATGATTTTGTCATATTTCAAAGCACAAAACAAGTAAAAAAAAAAAACTGTAAATATCATCTTTTAAACATTGCCACAATTATAGTAGGTAAATATCATTCCAAATACATTGTATTTATATGTCAATGTTTGGACACAATAATATATCGACAAATAATCTCATAAGAAATGATTGCACATTACTTACACGGCATTAAAATAAAGATTGTTAAAGTTCATTTTTCTTGACTTTAACATAAAAAAGAAACTAAAGAAATTGCTGGATTTTATATATATCATTCATACACCCTATATGAAATCTCTAAGGAGAGAAAGGAAACAAAGAGAAAAGGAAAGAAACATAAAGAGGTTGAAGACATTTTTTCATAGCATGTTTCAAATTTGGATAATTTTAATTAATTACTTGCTTTGAAAGAGGGAAAAATTGTACTATAACTTTTTCAAAAAAAAGTATCTTTCCTCATCTCTGACTTTTATTAGTTATAAAATAACTTTTGTGTTGTCAGGACTTTTAACATTTAGATTCTGTTCTATATTCATATTTGTTTAAAGTTAACACTCAACATAATATTAAGTTAATATTATATAATATTAAATATAATATTCACAGTTCTTTAAATATAATTCTATATAAAAATAAATGGGTTGAAGGCTTACTGTGGTTTTTTTTTTTTTTGAGTGGGTGGACAGAGTCTCACTTTTATTACCCATGATGGAGTGCAGTGGCATGATCTCTGCTCACCACAACCTCTGCCTCCCAGGTTCAAGCGATTCTCCTGCCTCAGTCTCCTGAGTAGCTGGGATTACAGGCATGTACCACCATTCCTGGCTAATTTTGTATTTTTAGTAGAGACGAAATTTCTCAATGTTGGTCAAGCTGGTCTTGAACTCCCGGCCTCAGGTGATCTACCCACTTCGGCCTCCCAAAGTGCTGGGAATACAGGCATGAGCCACCATGCCTGGTCAAGGCTTACTTGATCATGGATTCATATCATGCTTGACTGGGCTTTATCTTCAGGTAGGTGTGATTTTTGCTGTTGTTGTAAGTCTCATGGGGGCTGCTAACTTGAGGTGTTACATAATTGCAAATGTTGCTGCATTTAAAGGGCAATTTACCTGGATATACTTTTTGAAGATTTTTTTTCCAATCAAGATGATTTTAGGCCTTGCTCTACTATTTCCTGGCCTAAGAATTGAATCTGTCCTTTTATCACAAAATTTAGTGCTTTTTAACTTACTCTTTGGTTTCCAGTGTCAAGTAATGTTTTGAAGGAGAATTAATGGGGTGATACTTCTGTAGCTAGTTCAACATGATTGTTGCTTTGATATTTGAAAGGCAGTTATATTTGTATTTTATATTTGAAAGGCAAATTCTCCATTTCTTTCTTTTTGTTTGTTTTGCTTTGTTTTTAGAGTCAGGGTCTCACTCTGTCAGCAGGCTGGAGTGCAGTCGCACGATTGTGGCTCACTGCAGGCTCGAACCCCTAGGCTCAAGAGATCCCCCAACCTCAGCCTCCTGAGTAGCTAGGACTACAGGTGCACGCCACCACACCTGCCTAGTTTATACGTTTTTTTGTAGAGGTGCAGTCTCTCTATGTTGCCCAAGGTGGTCTCGAAGTCCTGGCCTCAAACGATCTTCCTGCCTCAGCCTCCCACATCTTAGGATTTTAGGCATGAGTGAACACGTCCAGACAAATTTTTTCTTGGGTATAAAATTCTTGGGCCAAACCTTCTGTTTCTCTCAAGACTTCGTATATATTCTGCATTATCTTCTGGTATTGAATCTATATCTATATATCTGCTGAAGCAGTTAAAAATATGCCCTTTTGGCATATTGATTATTTTGAGTTAAAGGCACTTGAAAAACACCAAGTGCAAAAAAGATCACTCTGACTTTCCTTCTGCTTGCTAAAAAGCTGGAGATGAAATTCGCATGTGAAAGATGCCCTCCGTTTAACAGAAGAAAAGGAACATTCTCATCATCAAGGATGGGAAGCCAAGGCCTAGGAAACAAACCCTGCTAGATGAATCCTTAACCTGCTAGCCACTTCTCCATCCAATTAACTACTCTTGCCCAAGCCCCTTTGCCTTGTTATTTTATTTTTTTAATTTTATTTGTTTGTTTGTTTATTTATTTATTTATTTATGACGAACTATTGCTCTGTCACCAGGCTGAAGTGCAGTTGCACAATCTCGGCTCACTGCAACCTCCGCCTCCTGGATTCAAGCGATTCTCCTGCCTCAGCCTCTCGAGTAGCTGGGACTACAGGTGCGCACCACCACATCCAGCTAATTTTTGTATTTTTTTAGTAGAGACGGGGTTTCACCATGTTGGCCAGGATGGTCTTGATCACTCGACCTGGTAATCTGCCTGCCTCGGCCTCCCAAAGTGCTGGGATTACAGACGTGAGCCTGCCTTGTTATGTTTTTATAGTTTACTATGCTTCATCTAATTCAGTATACACATGCTCATCTTGAACTGTGTCTTTGGGTCTTTGTTTCCTTATGAAGCCTTCGTTGTTACAAAAAACTTGCATTAAATAAATCTGAATGCTCTTCATCTGTTGATCTATCTTATGTTAATTTAACTCTCAGTCCCAGCTAACAAACCCTGAAAGAATAGAGGTAAAACTTTGCCTCCCCTACTATGCACATATACACATGTGCATATACACACATGCATATGTATATACATACATAGACATATTCATTGTCTGTGAATATGTCTATATTCATACATACGTCTATGTATGCATATGTACAAAATGTATGAGGCGATTCTTTTTTTTTTTTATAAGTAATTTGCTTTCTTTGCCTCAGTGTTTGAATGTCCCTAAAGTTTAATATTTAATTATGCTCTACCTTTAAGTTAATAAATTTGAATTTGGGAGAAAATGAACCTTAAAATAGCCAATTACCTTTTCCTTAAGTTCAAGAAAGACTTATTTTATGTCAGAGGTCTTACCCTTAAAGGTTTACAGGGCTTACAGGGCTCTGTGTGCGTAACAGAAATATGTAAAATACGTTGGGTTACTTCAAGAGGGAATGACGGTGCCCTTGGTGAATAGGATCATGAATTCCGTATAGTAAAACTCTTAGATGTAATTTTTTAAAAGGAGAAAATGCACAGGCCAAAAATATTTTTTCCCAGTTAGTGATCCTTGGCTTATAACTTGTATAATTTTTCTGTTCTATTTTTATTTTTTTTCCATGTTACGGAGCATGAGCCACTTACATTAGACTATATATTTTTTTGTCTTCCATACTTATTATCTTATTGCTAAAATTTTAGTATCTTCTGTCTTTATTACAGTATCCTCAACCTTTCCTTTATGCCTGCCATTCATCAGTGTTCATTCTCTTCTTTCATTTTGAAAATTTATTCATTCATTTATTAATGGTGTAATTTTAGTCTTCAGTTAATTTTACTCAGAAGCCCTCCTTACATCTCATTGTTATTTTATCATTTAAGTGTTGAGCTCCAGTTTAATTGAATTTATATTATTGTTGTTTTTCTATTGCATCAAACAGTAGTAGAAAATTGTCTACTGTGCATTTTGTCAACTGTTTTATAGACTGGGTTCTACATTTGCCTCCTACGTGGAAGTTTCCATTTTCTTCTCTCTCTTTTTTTCAGTAGAATGCGTGCATATTTCCATGTCATTTATTTTTATCATGTTGGTAGAATGAGGCTCTCTCTGGATTTCTACTTGCTCTGATATAGCATGGGTGAATACCCTTGGACTCACTTCTAATCTTCTCTGATTCATGTTTATTTTCTCTGTGCTAAGTTTTCCATAGACTAATCGAGGATAGGTTCAGGGAGAAGGAAAAGCCACGTCCCTTAAGTAAAGCTGAAAGCTGGGGCTTTGCTTTCAGAATTAGGCTCTGTATTCCTTTCTGAATTTTTTTGACTTTCTGGTACCAGGGTTATTGCAGCTAGCAAGTGGGGCTGGGATATAATTGGATATAATTCAGATCACTTCATCAGGGAAGTGTGGAGCTCTGAGCCTATGGGTTTTTCAGAGTTAGTCCCAGTTGTTTACTTGCTTAATTTCACTCCAGGGAACTGTTTCCTGTTTTCATCCCTTCCAAGGATCTTTTTCCCCTTTTCAGGTAAATGAAATCGACAGGGAAAGACATACCCACAGTCTACAGTCTCTTCTGTTTTAGCTAAAGTACAAAATTGCAAAAGTATACAATACAATATTTTGGTAGCATTTCTGGGAGCCAAATTGATAGGCACCACAGCCATCTTTCTCAAATTGCACTAGAAACTTCTACCTCTTCTCATCACTTCACCTTTTGAGTTTTTGATAGGAGTACATTTTCCTCTCCTGGTATAGTTGCTTTTGGTAGCTACACAATCATTATTATTATTACTATGTAGGTATCAGGAGAGAAAGGCCGTCATTCTTCACCATGTTGCTATCTGTTCTTAGAAATTCTGTCTCTGCCTCTACTCCATGGAAAGGAAATTTATCTTGTTGGAGGGCGTGTTTCAACACGTCTGAGAGTTGGAGGAAATGGAACCACTTGCGATTACTGTAAAATGGTTTCTTGATTACTAATTTGCAGATACCACACAGATGGGCAGATAAAACTGAAGAATAAAGTAATTTATTGACTTATCTGGTGAGGTTACCTGAATAGGCTATATCCTGGGGAAAGACTCAATATCAAGGAAATCATAATGGTTTACAGTGGATGAGGATGGGGTGACATGAGTTGAGGCCATATGAGGGTCTGGGCCATCAGAAAGGAAATCTGAGGATAATGAAGGGGTAGGAACTTTTATGGATAAGATGGGGATGCCTTCTGAGATCTAAATGTTCCAGGTTGTTCATCTCCCTGTGAAAGAACTTCCAGCTTGGCAAATACTAACATGTGAATTAGGCTGGAGGTCACAATGATTAGGAAGACTGATAGGTAGGTACAAATGCTGCCACATTGGGAGATGTAGCATTAAGTCTCAAAATTCTAGTGTGTTAGTTTGTTCTGCAGATGTTTAGTAAGTCTGGCTGTGGTGGGGATTATACCCCTTTTGTTCTTATTTTCTGACTTGCTTATACAGATGGTCCCCGACTTAAGATGGTTGGACTCAGAATTTTTTGACTTTAAGACGGTTTAAAAGCGATATGTGTTCAGTAGAAACCATACTTCAAATACCCATATAACCATTGTGGCTTTAAATTTCAGTACAGTCTTCAATAAATTACATGATATACTCAATACTTCATTATAAAATAGGCTTTGTATTAAATTATTTTGCCCACCTGTAGGCTAATGTAAGTGTTCTGAGCATGTTTAAGGAAGGCTACGCTAAGCTGTGATGTTTGGTAGGCAAGTTATATTAAATGCTTTTCATTTCTTAGTATATTCTCAACCTATGATGGGTTTATCAGTCTGTAACCCCATCATAAGTCAAAGAACATCTGTATCTCTCTTGCTAGATGAGTGTTTGTAAACAGTCTCAAATCCTTATTGGAAAAAAATGAGGTACAAATGAAGACATATTATAATGCCTTAATGATGTTGTTGTTTATCATGTATTTAAAAAAATCAAATCCTCTAACTTGAATGAATCTCAGTGCACTTAGGTGTAATGGGGTGGACGAGACACCATCACCAACACTTCCACTGGCTAGTCATTCTGAATATATATCAACATAGTTGTATTATTTCTGGTGATCCCTTTTAAAAGATGAAATTTGGACTCACTTTGGAAAAAGTTGTTAGCAAAATGTCATTTAATCTTGGTAGTTGGGCAATGAGGCAGAACGTTTTGCATGTTTGCAAAATAAGCTTCATTTTGATGCATTTGGTTGTACTGATTATATTAATTAACTTAACAGCAAGTGTGAAGATTATTTATGATGCATTAAAAATGATTGGACCTTAATTGCTTCCCTGGTAGAACAAGGGACTTGAATTTCAGGGTGAGATTTGTAAAAAATTTAGCTTGCTGGTATGCAAATTCAAATTTTAGAATTGGTCCTTTGAAAACAAATGAAATCCCATAATGGGAAATAATTATGCATAATATTTCCCTCAGAAAGCAGAATTCAGATGTTTTATCTAAACAAGATTTTTTTTTCAGTTTATGCTTAAAAAGTGTCTCTATTTTTATTGTTTAAAGATATTCATTCATTTACTTTAAGACATTCATTCATTTATTTTAGGAAATAAAAATATAATTTGGTGTTTTGGTATTTGCCTGTAATATCTAAGACCTAGGCATCATGAGAAATATAAAAATGCATCACAAGTTAACCTGTTGATTTCCAAGATTTCTTCTCTTAGAACATCCTCAGGTAATTTTATATTTTTAAAACTTTAATATTTTAATTGTATTTTTCAGTTGAAATTCTATTCCAATTCCTTTGAAGACTTTTTTTCTCTTCCTTTACAAACTCAGGACTGAATACTTTTCTGTAAAACACAATTCTTTCTTCTTCTGCTTCTGCTTCTTTTCTTTTTCTGTTTGGCTATTTATGTACCATGGGCACCAGGCAATTTCTGGATGTAAGTTTACTTGGATTCTTCAAGTTTAATAACTCCATAGAACTTGCATTACCTGTTACCAACAGTACATTTATCACACAAGAAAATGCACACATCTCCAATAAGCAATAAGCCAAGTATGAATAATATTGAATATGTCACATGTAAAATTTAGCTTACTGGTAAAAGCCAGATTCATCATTTAAAGGAGTCTTTTAAATCTCACATATAATGTGTTTTGTTTCATTTTCTTTGGTTCTGAAGATTTTACCTTTCTTGGTAGGAGGCAGGTGTGTAGTAGATCAAAAGTTAGTGGGAGCAGTAATCTACATATCTTAACCAACATAGCTACTTCAGGCCATAATTATTATAGCTACCGTGAACAGGTTCGCACCTATGTTTTCTGGTTCTTAATGCATCTAAAATAGAGTTTGAGGCTGCATAGTTTCTATGAATGCATGTGTAATGTCTGTTTGATAAGTGTCTTCTCACACCCTGAGGACTTTTATAGGCAATTTGCATTTCACAATGAGAGAAATCAGCTGGAGAGGGTTTATTGTTTTGTATAATAGAGAGGAGTGTGAAAATATCCCAGTTCTACAGATGGCACTTCTCGTTAGCCTTGAACATATACATGTGCAAGGATTGCTTTATCTTAACTAATACAGCCACCCAAAAGGCTATTTTTAGAGGTGAATTCACAGTTTGGTTGGATTGCAATAATTACTGGAACTTCTTTAAAGATAGACAGAGTATTTATTTGAACTCCTGGCTGTAGAGTGACTTCATAATACTGGGAAGGAAATTTCCTTTTGTGCTGGTCTCTTTTAAACTGTGGATTGCAATATGTCTATAATGCGATCAGCCTGATTTTTAAATAACTCAGAAGACAAACCAGGGACTCCAGAGCCAGTACAAATGAAATCATATGCATATGTGAACCAAAAAAGCTATGGTGATAAAACAAAAACCTCTACTCTAAAGAGATCTTTGAAAGCAAACCACTGCATATAAAAATGCATACCGATGAACAACAAAATCTTATCAGACAACTTCAGGATTCTTGCAGTTTATAAACTTTGCTTGAGTCTCACAGCATTTCATCTTCAAGTTGAATATTAACTTCTAAATTTGGCCAGGGATTAATGAAAAATGATTCCTGTGAAACCCCATCTCTACTAAAAATACAAAAATTACCTGGACGTGGTGGCAGGCACCTGTATCCCAGCTACTCGGGAGGCTGAGGCAGGAGAATCACTTGAAACCAGAAGGCAGAGGTTGCAGTGAGCCAAGATCGTGCCACTGCACTCCAGCCTGGGCAACAAGAGCGAAACTTTGTCTAAAAAAAAAGAAAAGAAAAGCAATTCCTATTGATTGATGGATAGTACTACTGCCCAGTTTAAATAAGTATTTATATTTATATTTATATTGCCAGGAAAAAAAAACGATCAAATAGCTCAGCAGTTCTCAAACTTTTGGTCTCAGGATATTTTTTCCACTCTTAAAAGTTATTGAAAATTCCAGAAAGCTTTTCTTTGTTAGAATTTATATATATTATATATATATATATATATAATATATATAAAATATATATGTATGTACATACATATCGTATATATGTACGTACATATATACACTATATATAACTCTAACAATATGTATGTACATATATACATATATACTATATATGTACATACATACATACACTATATGTATACTATATATAGTATATATGTACACACATATATAGTGTATATATACACTATATAGTATACATATAGTATACTATATATACTATATACTATACATATAGTATACTATATATACTATATACTATACATATAGTATACTATATATACTATATACTATACATATAGTATACTATATATACTATATACTATACATATAGTATACTATATATACTATATACTATATATATACACTATATACTATATATATAAAATAAACTATATATATACTATATACTATATATATACTATATACTATATATATACACACTATATACTATATATATATATATATATAACTCTAACAAAAAAAGCTTTCTGGAATTTTCAAAACTTTTAAGAGTGGGAAAAAGAACCTGAGACCAAAAGTTTGAGAACTGCTGAGCTATTTGATTGTTTTTTTCATGACAATATAAATACAATATAAATATAAATACTTATTAAATAAGTATTTATTAAATACTTATTTAATAAGTATTTAAATATATAAGTATTTAATAAATACTTATTTAATAAGTATTTAAATATATAAGTATTTAATAAATTTAATAAATTTAAATATAAATACTTATTAAATAAGTATTTAAATATAAATACTTATTTAATAAGTATTTAAATATAAATACTTATTTAATAAGTATTTAAATATAAATACTTATTTAAACTGGGCAGTAGTACTATCCATCAATCAACAGGAATTGCTTTTCTTTTCGTTTTCTTTGAGACAAAGTTTTACTCTTGTTGCCCCGGCTGGAGTGCAGTGGCGTGATCTTGGCTCACTGCAACCTCTGCCTTCTGGTTTCAAGTGATTCTCCTGCCTCAACCTCCCAGGTAGCTGGGATACAGGTGCCTGCCACCACGCCTGGCTAATAATATACATATATGTACATACATATATACACATATATATATATTTACCAGATTAGAAGTTAAAACTGATAATTACTTTAAATGTTTAAAAGTAACTTTAAAATAATAATATGAAACCCATTACATGTTAAAATACACAACACTTATAATGAAAAAACAAAAATAATAACAAAAGTGGCATATTGGTAATTTTTACACATCTCCTTCATGTCTGGCTTAGTAGAAGGCAACTGGGATTTCATATCTGCCTTTAAAATCAATCTATTGTGATATGTTCTTTTGTTGAACTATATAAAGAACACTTAGCATTACACATACATTTAGCTGGATGAGGGAGAAGCATTTTAATAATTCTTTCAAATAGTAGTGGATGTTCTTCTTTGATATTACACCAAAACTCAACAAATGGTAGTTTAAAAGATTAATTGCAAAGTACAATCATAAACTATATTAACAAACATTAATAAGCTCTGGTTACATTAAAATTATTTGAATCTTGCACTTTGAATGGATGTTTTATCCACGTATAATTTTATATTATGCAGTGACTATTTATAAAATATTAGCTCACTAAGTTATGTGGGTACTCTAAATGTTGACATATTTTATCATAAAATATTTAAAAACCCACATTCATTAACATTACCATTGACATCAACAAAGTCTTTAAGTTTTGAGAAGCTGTCATGCTTGTGGAAGTGGACCCAAGTTTTTCAAAGTTCTCATATTTGCTTGATAGCTCAACTTTTCCTGGTAACAAAAACTGTCAATGGCTCTTATTGAAGGGATAGGATGACACAATTAATTTCTAAAAAAGGTTTGCCAAATACTTAAGACAAAAAACTATGTTTTGTCTGTCAGTAATTATCTTAATTAAAAATAGTACTTTATGAAATGCAACTCAAACACCAGTGCGTTTTCTCGTGACAACCATTTGACAGACTTCACAAGTGCTTGGTACATACTGCCTATTCTGTTGAATAGAAATTAAAAAAAAAAAATCTCTATGTGTGGGCCAAACTTTTGTAAAAGTAAACATATTTACTGCTCTTTCAAGGACTTTCTTAAGTAAGATGGTCATTTCTTTTTTATCAAAGAGTGTGTGGTGGTGAAGAATACAGGCAAGTTGAGGCTGGTGCCATGGCCTTGTTTCAAGCAACAGCACCAGCAGTTTTATGCTCCATTTATTTTGCAAAATGAATGCAAATGATAACATGGTGAAAATGGCAAATAATGTCTTGGTATTATTATGAGAATTGGTGTGAACTCACAAACCCAGTGAAGATGTCTTGGAAACCATCAGGAGTTTGCAAGCCACATCTTGTAAACCATTGACATCTCCAAGCACATGTAATAAAATACTCACTCCATTTGTGTCTTACCAGTCTTTCCTAATGGATGAAGGAAATCTTACTTTGAGTGTTCCAACATTTTTCACCTATTCAATTTGGGTCTATGACTTTCACCTAACCACTTAACATGAGAGATTTACTAGAACAAAGAAAGGACTTCTAAAGGTAATTCTTAAATACTGCTAAATATTTCTATATATACACCAAAAAACCCAAATAGCAACATGTTTTATCTGTCATTTATGAGTCAGGATCAAATCAGAAAGAGAAAAACTACCTGAGGTATTTTAAAAGATATAAGTTTAAAGATATAAGTGAATTGTTTAATATAGGGAAATATTTGAGGGCCAAAAGAACAAAAAGACAATATTTTAGCCTACTAAAAAAGATAACTACAGGCTGGGCAGGGTGGTTCAGACCTGCAATCCCAGCATTTTGGGAGGTGGAGGCAGGTGAATCACCTGAGGTCAGGAGCTTGAGACCAGCCTGGCCAACATGGTGAAATCTCGTCTCCACTAAAAATATAAAAATTAGCTGGGTGTGGTGGTGGGCACCTGTAATCCCAGCTACTTGGGAGGCTGAGGCAGGAGAATCGCTTGAACCCAGGAGGCGGAGGCTGTGGTGAGCTGAGATCATGCCACTGCATTCCAGCCTGGGTGACAGAGTGAGACTCTGTCTCAAAAAAAAAAAAAAAAAAAAAAAACATTAACTACAGAGCACAAGAGCTCTCTGAATATAGTGCTCGGAATATAGTGCTCAAAACTCTGCAGGGCTTACCATCCTGCTTCTGCTGCTGCTTCTAAGGTGGGGAAAGAAAGCTGGAGGCTGGAGCCAACCGCTGCTGCTGGGGCAAATGTCTAACCGCCAGTGCTGCAGGGATGATGATAGTAAACAGCCAAAAAGCAAAAAGAAAAGTTAAAGAAAAAAAGGGAAGGGAGAAAGCGATTTTTCTTTGACGTCCATGTCCCATTCTCCATCTAGAGCTTCCTGTTGTCAGAACTGAGGACAAATTCAGCATTAAAGGTATCAGCAAAATGTAATTTTTCCAGTCTCAGCCCTATTATCACATAGCAGAATATAGGAGCTTAGATTTGTAACTGAGTGACAATAGACAAATAACTAGCATGGTCACCGCTTTGGACACTCAGGACCAATACTCACCCTTCTACATGGGTTTGAACCACCATGCAACAGTAACAATTTTATGCTTTGCTCTAATAGGAAGACAGTCTCTCCTGCAAACAAAGGTGTTTCCATCCATGCCCCCACAAGCAGACATTCAAAATCCTAATAGTGATGGTACCTACCTCATGGAAGTCACTGAACTCATATCTAGAAGATATTTTTTCCTGTTCCAATATAGTGTTTTGTTTTGTTTTGTTTTGTTTTTGAGACTGAGTCTTGCTCTGTGGCCCAGGCTGGAGTGCAGTGGCATGATCTCGGCTCACTGCAATCTACGCCTTCTTGGTTCAAGCGATTCTCTTGCCTCAGTCTCCCAAGAAGCTGGGATTACAGGTGCCTGCCACCACGTCCGCCTAATTTTTTTTTTTTGTATTTTTGGTAGAGAAGGGGCTTCACCATGCTGGCCAGGCTGGTCTCGAACTCCTGACTTCAAGTGATCTGCCCGCCTCGGTATCCCAAAGTGCTGGGATTACAGGTGTGAGACACCACGCCTAGCCCCAGTGCAGTCTTAACTTCCTACTTGATTTGTAACTTGGAGACAGAAACTCAGAAAATGGTAAGAGAAGAGGTGGAAGGTAGAATTAGTTGACTCATATGAATATATAACATGAATATAAAATTGTACAGAAACAACTTGCTAAGCTGCTACAGTTCTTTTGCTGTAATTGGTTACAAAGCAGTTGTTAGTCTTTATAACATCATTCTTCCACTACCCATTTCATGTTGCCTTTCTCCACAGGCAGCTTCAGTGGTGGTACTGTATTTATGTAGTTGTTATAATTTTCAATTAACTTTTACTACTGGACATTGAAGTACTAAGAAGCATGTCAGAGTATTTCCTGACTTCCAGACACCCTTTGTTCCCTCATTGCATTGTAACAATCCAACTTCTTCTTGACAATCATGGAAATCACTTCAGCCAGTAGAAATGGCCTCGTCCTTGCCTGTTTGATTGACATTAAAAACCCAAATTGGCCCAGTTACAGTCTCAAATTCCAATTCAATAAAACTGTTGTGTTGCTTACTGGGAACATACCTCTTTTAGGGAAAAACACCTTTAGTTAAGCAAAGTTTAAAAGGCAGGAGAGTTTCTGTAAGTGGATTTTTTTTAGAAGTAATGGAGAAATCATTTCTATTTTCACCTCTTGATTCTGCAATTCCTGTACTTGGGCTATGGGAGAAACTGCATCTTACATTGGTTACTATTCAAGAAAGTATATTGCATCTTATAAATGAAGTCTTCTATACATCCTATACATTTTTTCAGGGTGTTGTCTCCCAACTGAGATTTCTGTAGGATACTCCACCATTTTATCAGACCAGTTGCTTCTGAGTGATGGAGAAGATTAGCTAATTCTGTGTCCATGAGGCCACTAAGGCTCTTTTTGTATTTGTTGACAAATGTGTCTCTTGGTTAGAAGCAATGTTAGGTGGAATACCATGATAGTTAATTAGGTATTCCTGGTGAGGAGGGTTGGCCTTTGTCCACGAAATTTTTAGTTTTTTTCTATTTGATGATTGGGAGCCTATTCTGCAAAGAATGCCATGTAGTAGAAATTCACACAAGACCAAACAATCTCTAAACTCTGTGTCCATTCTAAGAGCTTCATCTATAAGCCTCTCCCCAGACTTCCTTACTATCAATCTTTTCCCTTGCAAATTTTTGGTCATTTAGCTAATCTGATGCCCACGAATTAACATATACCTACATCCTTGACCATTTTTCAGTCCAGATAAAGTGGATCACCAAATGCACAGTTTAAAGTTCTGTCCACTGCGAGGATTTTCTTTCAGGCACTTCCCTATTTGTACCTGCAGTACTAAAACCACTTCTGGTAGGTGCAAACATGTTGTGCGGGAACATTTGTAAGTCAGGCCCAAGATTTTTTCCTTCCCAGTAACATTTTGTCATGAGGTCAGAGGCACGGATTGAGTAAGAGGAGGCAATGAAGCAGGTAGAGGTGAGCTATGAGCCCGAGATCCTGACACGTAGCTTTCAGATCCGCTCAAGGTATATATCTTATCTACAGTTCTCACCTGATGGTGGAATGATGATGGAATTGCTGTTGTGTACATGAAGCTTTATAGTAATACCAGGTTTTGTTTGTTTGTTTTGAGACAGAGTCTCACTCTGACGCACAGGCTGGAGTGCAGTGGCTCGATCTCAGCTCACTGCAACCTCTGCCTCCCAGGTTCAAGCAATTCTCCTGCCTTAGCCTCCAGAGTAGCTGGGACTATAGGCACGTGCCACCACACCCGGCTAATTTTTGTATTTTTAGTAAAGATGGGGTTTCACAATGTTGGCCAGGCTGGTCCTGAACTCCTGACCTCAGGTGATCCACCTGCCTCGGCCTCCCAAAGTGCTGGGATTATAGGTTTGAGCCACCGCGCCTGACCAAGGACACCCGTTTTTAGAACACCAGTTTTATGACAACAATCTCAAGCTACGTCATCATTTGATGTCTCATGATTAGGCTTTCAGGCTATATAAGAGCCCAGCAAAATATAAAAGCTGTTTCTCCAAATGAGAATAGATGTCTGCCAAAGAGGGTATCATATATATATTTTTTAGCTGCATCTCTGTGGATCTTCACTGTGATCTCTCTATTGTAGCTTGTAAGATGCGCCACACAACATGCCTGTTTATCAGATACAAGGAGTACCCAAGCATCTTCTGAGTCACAAGGATGAATGAACAGAATTGCACACTGGATGATGAAATGCTACATTTTCCCCTGGGTCTCACTAAGCCCTGGTCACTTTATAGTTAAATTAATAAATGGGTTGTATTAGCACACCCAAATGGGTCTACATTGCCCCTAAAATCCAAAGAGCCTACCATGCAGTGTGAAGCATAGCAAGTATCTTTCACTTAAAGGGATATTCTATTATATTCCAAATCATTGGATGCCCTGAAATTCACCAAGGTGGCAGGACTGTGAATTTTTTGGGTATTTCATTCTTACTCTCTGACATACATGTGTCTTAATACATTGTTTAGGGTACTTGCTACTTCCTGCTCATGAGGTCCAATCAGCATGTTGCCATCAATGAAGAGGAACAGCATGATGTTTTGTGGGATATGCTTATGATCGAGACCTCTGTGAACTAGATTATGTCAAAGAGTAAGATATCTGACATAGCCTTGAGACAAGACAGTAAAGGTGTACTGTTGCTCCTAACAAGTGAAAGCAAACTGCTTCTGGTGGTCCTTACAAATTGGTATAGAGAAAAAAAAGTGTCAGGTGTTGGGAGATGTATTGGCTTACCCTGATAAATAATTAATATCTGGAGCAACTGCTATAATTGGTTAACCTTATAACATTAATTAAAATCCACCATTATTCTCCAATATCCTTTTGCTCTGGCCCAGTGACAGAGTTAAATAGAGATAGGGATCTCTATTTCCTGTCTCTATTTAGGAATCTAAATAGAGGTAGGAATCTATCTGTATCTTTCAAATATTTCTTAATGACAGTGATTCCTATAATTCCCTGAGTGGTAATATTTTTGCTTTACCATCATGAGGAAGAAAATAATTCCAACCTCTCTTGGGTATTTGTACTGTAATAACTTTACTGGTTGTCTGGCCCTTACTTGAGCTGTTGCTTTACAACACAGGACTTGTTGTTTTTTTTTTCTTGTAAACTCTTCCATGCATTTGAAAGCAGCCAACCCACCATGTAATTCTTGTGGTCATTATTACTATAATAACAGTAAGCACATCAGCTACTTGGTCTTCCAAAGCACTTGCTTCAAAAGGTGCTTCACTCTATGCAAACAAAGATGATAATTTAATTCATCCCACTGTCACTGCATGACAGGGATCAGCAGTATCCTATTTTTCACTGGCTGTGCTCATGTGCAAAGACATAACCAAATCAATCCTAGAATATCTCCTTTGAGTGTCTTATTCATGGTACCAAGTACTGTTTTTTCCAGGGTCTTACAGGAAAAGAGAAACCAAACCAAATATTTGAATAGAGCTTATTGAAATTGGCTGTACAGGTTTTGTAGTAGGAGGAGGCAAAAAGAAAAGAAAAAGAGAAGAAAAGAACACCGAAGAAACCAAGATAACGAACGGAGCCATCAATCACTTCTAGGGCTGAGTGAACAAAGAGAAGTGTTGAACTTCAAGAACAAGGAGCTTGGACGAGGAGCCCCACTGAGCATGACTAGTTGGTGCTGATACCTTGGAGAAGGTTTGATAACACTGGTTCTGAGAATGCCTGAAGAAGCTGGAGGCTGGAAATAACTGCTGCCAGGAAGCTCAACTGGTACTACAATGGTAGCTGTCAGAAGTCCCTTCTGTCGTCTCTCTCATTCCAATTTTCCTGTAGTGCCTCATATTGACAGAATCCATCAAAAAGCCAGCTAAGAAAGGAATCTTGGAAAGGCAGTTCACAGCGTCTCAATGCCAACATTACAGGGCAAAATATAGAAGGAGCTAAGAGATCATACATGAATAATTGGCACATGTGGACATTTCTTATTTTCTCATATTGGTGGTATGGCTCATTTATGAAGTTAATACTGGACATTGTGGGGAGGCTGTGTAAGAAGTGTTAAAGGGGATCAGGGATACATTCACTTCTCTTTTCCTTTGCTAGTTCTGTGGTCTTAAGCAAAGTAGCCTCAAACATCAGTTTCCTCTTTTATAAAATGAGGAAAATAATACTCATTACCTTGCATGCATGATATAATGATTACATAACATACATGTGTGTAAAGTGCTTAGTATCATGATTGATACATGGAAAGAATTCTCTTATTTGGGTTATTAATTGAGAAAACTCCTTACAATTTTCTTTTCTTTTCTTTTCTTTTCTTTGAGACTGAGTCTTGCTCAGTCGCCCAGGCTGGAGTGCAATGGCGTGATCTCGGCTCACTTCAATCTCCACCTCCTGGGTTCAAGTGATTCTCCTGTTTCAGCCTCCAGAGTAGCTGGGATTACAGGTGCCTACCACCACACCCAGCTAATTTTTTGTATTTTAGTAGAGACGGGGTTTCACCATGTTGCCCAGGCTGGTCTTGATCTCCTGAGCTCAGGTAATACACCTGCATCGGCCTCCCAAAGTGCTAGGATTGCAGGCGTGAATCACCGCACCTGTCCACAATTTTCTTGTTATTGGTACCCTTTCATGTTGGTAAAATGTATTTTATTTTCTCTTATCAAATAATTTTCAATGCAATGAGACGTCAACTTTAAGCCCAAAGTAGACCAGTAGTAAAACTAAGGCTGAAACCATTGATTGATTATTACCATATATTGTCCTAAAATATTCGGCTTTTAAAACATTTGGTTTCATTTTTCATGATAAAAATATGTAGCATTTTTGCACTTTTAATTCACTTTGTAGAGTTCTCAATCATTTCTAACACATGCTTGGCAATGACAAGCCATTTGTGAAAGAGTTTTGCTGGCTTTAAAATATATGCAAATGTAATATATTACAATCGTTACACAAGAAACTAGCCCAGTAAAGCTGGTGTTTTTTAAATCCCCCTGTGCATAGCAATCCCTCTTATAAAGAGGCCTAAATACACTTGTGAATTGCCTTCCAAGTATTTGCTTAAACTAACACATAATTGTGAAACTTAATAATTTTCATGTGTGAAGGCCCTGTTAGGCATCTGAGATGGAAAACCTTCACAGGACTCACTCAATTCCAAGCTGACTCTGCCTCATGCTTATCTTCCCCAAAGTTGTGGATCAATAACATTTTCTTCTCTCTCTAGAAGAGCGTCAAGAAAAGACGGTAGGCCTGAATCTGGAGTTTGGGTTGTGGTTGGCAAGGCAGTGGCTAAATAGTGCTAAGATGTAAAAAGCATTCATTGGTCATCTAACATACCCTCTGAACTACACTATCATTTAGCTAAAGAGGAAATTAAGAGTTTATTCTGGAAATCTAGGAGTTGAGCAAGCTAACATATCTGCAGCCAGAAAAAGCTAGTTCTCAGGTGACATAAATACATTTCTAATGTCTTTAAATTGTGACAAAAATTAGTCAGGCATGGTGGTGCACTCCTGTAGTCCCAGCTACTCTGGAGGCTGAAGCAGGAGGACACTTGAGTCTGGGAGGCAGAGGTTTCAGTGAACCGAAATTGTGCCACTGCACTCCAGCACTCCAGCCTGGGTGACAGAAGAGGGAAACTCCATCTGAAAAAATAAAATAAAATAAAATAAAATAAAATAAAATAAAATAAAATAAAGAATTCACTTAGACATATTCAGTGATCAGGAAATTAACACTTTTTGGCAGGTAGTATGAGACAGGTTACCCCAGGTCCTTGGAGGTCTGATTCTCACCTTGCTAAGGAATTCAGGACAGAGAGCTTTACAGATATCTCTGAGTTTACCCACTTGACTCAAAAAAAATCCAAAATCTTTTTTAATCAACTTTCCTGGGGCAAAGTGGTGGGAGTTTTAAGGCAGTTTGATGTATTATCTTCTCAACCAAAACCTGTACTGTTTCAAGGTTACAAATTCTGGTCGCATACATTATTATTTACATTTCCATACCCATATTTTGGATGAGTGCTAATATCATTTTCTCAAATAATCTAATTTTATCCACTATTGCAGAAGAGGAAGGAAGAGGAGAAGGACTGTGTGAAACATGATCTCCTGCTTAACACTATATATTTACATGAACATACATCCATGTATAAAAATCCATGCATGGATTAAGAAGTCATAGCATTTGCACTCCCCAAATCATTACATTGAATAATCCAGAGCTGTATTACATGCCAAGGAGTTTACCTGTCTTACTTTTTGTTTGTTTGCATGTGTAATCATTTTCTGCATTGAAATGAGCTGATCTCCAATTGGCCCGTGACTCTATTGTCTATTAACGTGGTGAAATGTTGTCATTTGTGTTTATCCCTGTAGTCAGCAAACCAGCCTGTCTGCCATCATATAGAAGAGACGTTCTAATGAGTCACCAGTTTCCTCATCAAAATGGCAGCTTGTGGAGACGTTTCTCAGAGAAGCAACCTCAGCTCATCTCACCTTTCTCTTGATTTTTGACACTTTCAACTACTTTCCCAATACTGTTAAAAGGAAACTACATCTATAATTGGAGGAAGAGGTGAAAAGAGATTAAAACAGGAACTGCGTTCAAGAAATGGGGTTTCTGCCTATATAGCACTCATTAGTTCCTTTCCTTAGTTCCATTTTTCCGTAACATGGAATAATTTAGAATAAGGAAATCATGCATTAGGAGACAGAAAGGTTATCTCTCAAATCCTTACAATGCCATTTGCCTTTACCAAATGCAAAGTTTACTGATTTTTGAGCTTCCTGTCTACATTTGGGTACGCTCACATTTCTCCTTTAGCTGTGCCTCCGTCATTCTTTTAAGACAGCTCCTTTGTGGCCTTCTCTCTTGGAGTTAAGCCTTAATGATTTGTTCCGACTTTTCATCTCTGCCATGAAAAATTCCCACCCTCAGCCTGCAGCAGGCCTGACTCCTTTCTAGTGTCATCTGTGTACGGGGCAGATTGTAGGCCCTTCTTGTTTTTTTATCTGGTAGAATAATTCAGATGTCTTTAAAGCAAATGCACCAATAAGGCTTGCTTTTGTCAAGAAATAGCCAGAAACCCACAAAGGTCTATTATTCTTTCTTACCTACTTGAAGGGAAAAATCAGTCTACTATTCCATGAACCCCACCAGACCCACCCCTGCATCAAGGCTTTTTGTGTTTGCTGTCCTCAATACCTGGACTTTTCCTTCCCTTGATAACTAAATTACAAGCTAACCAATGCATGCCCCATCCTTCTTATCTTAAAGCAATTTTATCCCTCCGAGAAACTCAAAATTTACTTATTTACTGCATTTATCATCTGTCTGCCTCCATTGGATTAAAAGTTTAGGTTCCTCCTTGCCGCCATTTTGGTTTTGTTTTCTGCTGTATCCCCAAGTTCCTGGAGCAGTGTCGGACACAACACAGCATTTTTCCGTAGGGGTGTGAAATGGGGGGAGTAGTTGATCCTTTCCCTTTAGCCTGTATTCCTCTTCAGCTCCATCCTTACCATCTTGTCCTGTCTTCCTCATAGCTACCTCAGGTAGCTCAGAAAGTATTATACATTCCCAATTTACTCCAGACCCTGTGGAGAGGTGTCGGTAGCTTTCTAGAACTGCCTCTGTTAACGATCAATGATGTCTTGCATAAATGTCTGTTGAACGCCTGTTTTACCAAAATGCTGTGGAGCCCTGAGGTGGAAGGGCAGATACACACCCACAAGCATAAGTCTCTTCTTTCAAGGAATCTAGAAACAGAGAGACAGGCACTGCGAATGGACTAGGGCCCCAACATGGTCATTGTTCCCCCCACCGCCCACATTAAATATGGTACATGGAAATGGAACATTCAAGTCAAAAAGCTCTTGAGCACATTCAGCCTAAAGTTCTAATTCATAATTAATCAGAATGCCGATTTATCGTAACATTACAGATTAAAAGTATTGTTAATGCATCACTTTTAAAATTTCATTTATTTCTGCCTTTTTTTTTGATATGGAGTCTTGCTCTATTGCCCAGGCTGGAATGCAGTGGTGCGATCTCGGCTCACTGCAAGTTCTGCCTCCCGGGTTCATGCCATTCTCCTGCCTCAGCCTCCTGAGTAGCTGGGACCACAGGCACCCGCCACCACGCCCGGCTAATTGTTTTGTATTTTTTTAGTAGAGACGGGGTTTCACCATGTTAGCCAGGATGGCCTTGATCTCCTGACCTCGTGATCTGCCTGCCTCGGCCTCCCAAAGTGTTGGGATTACAGGCGTGAGCCACCGCGCCTGGCCTATTTTTGCCTTTTATTTTAAAACATTTGTTTCTTGGGTATAGCATTTTCTCAGGACGTTTCCCAGCTTTCCATTCTCTTCAGACTGTGCATTTTACCCTGTTAGGATTTTCCCTTAAGTCAATTCCTAGGCTTTATGTCACATAATTAGATAAATCAATTAAAACCACATACTTCTTGTTATTTTGCTAGTTCAACTTATGGTATTGCATGCAAAATATGTTGTTATGAGAAAGTGTTAATAATTTTTCTTGCATTATATGTGTTTTCTAACGTGCTATATTTTCTAAACATAGGCATGGACTCATTGTTCTCTATTAAGCATTATAATTATTTCTGTATTAAATTTAATATATTTTTCTTACATTTACTTTTGAGTTGTGTCCATCACATTTACATTTGCAGTTTACATAATTGTAATAGAGTTCAACCAAATAAAGATTTAGATTTGCATTACTTTTAGGTATTCTTAGTTTAAAGCATGCATGGTTTTCTAAACTATCTTTTTCCTACCTCAGCTAGTTTCCTGCCTTGACCAAATAGAGTACATTATGCGGCCAGTCATCAAAATTGAATGACCTTTTCCTTTGGAAAACTGTCTGAGAAAATATGTACACATATATTTCGGGCAAGTTATTAAACCTGACAGTAAAAACAAAATATTATTTCTAAACAAATACCTTAGCCTGCTGCCATCTATATGACACTCCAAGACACACCTATTTGTAAGACTCTATTTTCTATGCTTCAAATTACTCTGAAATTACAGTCTACACAACTGATTATCAGATAGAAATATTGAAACAGAGATAAAGTATTTTTCATACTCCTCCAAACCTGATGAACCAAGAGATTTTTCCTCTGCTCTTAAGTCTATCATTTCTCTCAGATTAAACAGCTAAATTGAGCCACCTGTGAAGAAAACAATGTGATTTATTTCCAGTAAAGGTAATTCCCATTCTGATAAGCTCAGCCTAAAAGCAGAAGCCTCTTAAGCCACTTTCTTCAGCTAAGCAATTTCTGATTGGCTTTCTATTTTCAGAATTGCACCTCACCTCTGAGTCTTGGGGATCACAGTGGATTTTCAGGGTCTATTTGGATGTTGCACATTTTTACTTGCTGTTAAATTTCAATTAAACGGGCATTGTTCCTTTCTACTAGAAATTTTCTATCAATGCCATGATAGCTGCCTAGTAGATGGCATCCATGCTCTATCCATGGTGCGCCGTAGAAAAATACAGTAGACTAATAGACTCAAAAGCTGAAGAAGTTAAAAATATAGGCTCTCTAAACCATGAAAAACAGGTTAACATTTCTTCTATTTTCAGACACATGCAATTCAGAGGGAGTTTTGATAAAGGTTATTTTATAAAATCAAATTATTTGTAAAAGATAATGATTTAGAGATAATTTATTAAACTTATTAAAATTGAGTCATCAAAACCTTTTTGATAAGCATTTTTAATTTAACTAAAGGCTGTATTTAAATTATTGAAGATCGCTTCTGTGCTTGAATGCACTTTGGCTGATTGTAATTTGGGCTGGTTCTTTCAGATGAATCATAATATGCTCTTTATTATTTTGTGGTATGTAGAATGGTTTAACAGTATTTAAACTGAAATAGTGGCAATATAGTTTTTTATAATCAACTATGTGTACGTGTGCACATCTACATATATGCATATGATTAGAATGATAATATTTCTACCATATTCTAGAAAGATGAGATCATAAAAAAATGTGGTGAGGAATGTACTTCACTGAGACAAGTTTTGTGACAATTTGGTTATATTTTACTGGCTAGAATGAATTTTGGTCCCCTGATTTCAACTCTGTTATTATTAATTTTTTTCTTATTCTATCAATATTAAATCAAAATTATATTACTTATCCTCAGATTTCAGGATGCATAAAAGTGTATAGTAGGAGGGTTAATGTCTCGTAACCCTCAAAGTAGCACTGGTAGGTGGGCATTAAGCATCTTTATTTCACATTATTTAAGGAACTAACACAAAACATTTCTAAAAGTTTCATGAATGTAAATATTCAGTTTAATATTTTAAATAAGTGTCCAAAAACAGAAGAATGTTTAATAAATTATGCTTTAATGAGGGACTTATGTAGCTTTTAAAAATGATGCTTGCAAAGAGTTTTCTGCAACATAAGTCAATGCTGTTTCATTAAAAAAGAAATATACCAAATACATGTCAAGAATTGCCTCAGTCATGCCAAAACATGTGCTTAAGAAACAATGGGATCTCAGCCAGGTGTGGTGGCTCATGCCTATAATCCTAGCACTTTGAGAGGCTGAGGTTGGGGGATTGCCTGAGCTCAGAGTTCGAGACCAGCCTGGGCAACACGGTGAAACCCCGTCTCTACTAAAATACAAAAGAAATTAATCGGGCGTGGCGGCATGTGCCTGTAGTCCCAGCTACTCAGGGGGGCGCTGAGGCAGGAGAATTGCTTAAACCTGGGAGGCGGAGGTTGCAGTGAGCTGAGATTGTGCCACTGCACTCCAGCCTGGGTGACAGAACGAGACTCCGTCTCTACAAAAAAAAGGAAGGAAGGAAGGAAGGAAGGAAGGAAGGAAGGAAGGAAGGAAGGAAGGAAGGAAGGAAGCTCATGTAATTGTTAATTGTGGTAACCTCTAGACAGTTTCCGATTTTTTTTTTAGCTTTACTTGTGTTTTCTAAATTTTCTCCATAATTATCCATCACTTTTATTGTTGAATAAAATCTGTGAAAATATAACTTTTATTGTCTTTTCTATAAGGAACCACTGAGCTTACAGAGATTTTGTAGTATTCAGATACCTGGGGATGGTGATGAGGGACGGGACTAGAATACTGCAGTACAAGATTATTCTTAGATCCCTTATGGCCATATCAACCTATTCCGTGACGTTTTCTAGCTGGCAGTTCATCAGCATATTGATTTTAAAGTTTTATTGACTCTTGCTAGGCAAGCTGTAAGCTCTTTCTGTAAGCCATCAGTCCCTCTGCTCTTCACTCTTTGGCTTTGATTGAGCTATTGAATGTTCCTTATGTGAGGCCAGGTCACATCGGTGAGATCTCTAGCCTCTGAAGAATTCAAATGTCCAGCTATCTGCAATGTCTTAAACTTTGCAAATCCCCATACTTTTATGTAGATGTAAATTCTGCAGGCACTAACTTTTCTGAAATTGAGTCCTGCTCCTCACTCCATAACTTGGCTCATACTCTTCCCATTTGCAAAGCCCTCTCCATCTGTTCACTAAGCAGACATTTCTTGGAGCTTCAATCATGAGTCAGGCCCTGGGCTCCCAGCTGAGGTTGCAAAGATGATAAAGCCAGTCTCATGAGGAAAATGACACAATCATGATACTGGCTGAATGGAAAAAGTGGGAAAAAAGTATTATGGGAATTAGAAGTGAGGGTAATTAATCTCTCCAAAAATGTTGAACAAGGACCAATATAGTGGTAGGGAAGATTTATAATTAGCCCTGAAAGATGAATAAGTGGGAAAGAAAGAAAGGCCTCCAATCAGAGGAAACCATGTACAAAGAGCAGGAGGTGAAAGAGGGTAGGCCATGTAGCATAAAAAGTACAGCACTGGAAATCCCCAGAGTATATGGCACCAGTTATTTTGTGAAATATATATTTGGTCTTCATCCCATTTGCTGCCATGCAACTCCTAAAATCCTTGGAATCGCCAAAGTACTGTCTTGTTGTATGCTAATGTTGACTGAGAGCTTCAGGGCGGGGCTTGTCAAGGGAAAGACAGAGGCATGGTTGGAGGATTGGAGCTTTCAGCCCAACCTGCCCTCAGTGTCCTTGGTGGGGAGAGGGGCTAAAGGTCAAGTTCATCACTGAGAGCCATTAAACCAATGGTTTAAGCAATCATGCTTATGTAATCGGGCCTCCATAAAAACCCAAGAGGACAGGATTCAGAGAACTTCTGGATATCTGAACATGTGGAGGTTCCTGGATGGTGGCATACCCAAGGAGGACATGGAAGCTCAGGACCTTGCCCTATGCATCTCTTAATCTGTGTCCTTTGTAATATCCTTTGTATTAAACCAGTAAGCATAAGTAAATGTTTCCCTGAGTTCTGTGAGCTGCTCCAGCAAACTAAGTTAGGGTCATGGGAACCATAACTTTAAGCTGATCAGTCAGAAGTTCTTGAGGTCTGGACTTGTGACTGGTGTCTGAAGTCAGGGACAGTCTTGGGGACTGAGTCCTCAATGTGTGGGATCTGATGCTATCTCCAGGTGGATAACGTGGGAAGTGAACTGGAGGATGCCTAGTTCATGTCCCCTGCAGAATTGACTGCTTGCCTGCTGGTGGGAAGGAATCTCCAGATATTTTGGGGTCACGGAAGTCTTCTGTGTTGACTGTTGTTGTGTTGGTATGAAAGATTTTCCAAGGTCGTGCCTGTGAAGGAGCAGAGCTCAGGGTGAAAAGGTAGGTGAGCACTCAAGCTGGAGGGCTCTGAATGTCTGCTCAGATCTCGATGTGGCGCATGTATGCGGGAGCTGGGGATTCTGAGAGCATCAATTCAACAGAGGCTGTAAAAGTGTCCACACACATGAAAAGGTGCTCCCACATCACTGATCATTCAGGAAATGCAAATCAAAATCACAATGAGATATCACCTCACTTCCATTAAGATGGTTACTACTAAAAAAAATCCCCAAACAAAAAACATACGTGTCAGTGAGGATGTGGAGAAATTGGAACCCTCATGTACTATTGTTGTTAATGTAAAATGATGAAGTTGCTACAGAAAACAGTATGGCAGTTTCTAAAAAATTACCCATAGATTTAACATATGATCCAGCAATTCCACTTCTGAGTATATACACAAAAGAAATGAAAGCAGTGACTTGAGAGATATTTGTATGCCAATATTCAGAGCAGTATTAATCACAGTAGCCAAAATGTGGAAGTCACTCAAGTGTCCATGGATAGGTGAATGAATAGACAAAATGTGATATATACATGCAATAGAGTATTATGCAGACTTAAAAAACAAAAAAATCTTGACACATGCTACAACATGGATAGACCTTAAGAATATTATGCTAAGTGAAATAAGCCAGAAACAAAAAGGTAAATACTGTATGATTACACTTACTTGAGGTACATAGAATAGTCAAATTCATAGAGACAGAAAGTAGAACGGTGGTTTCCTGGGGTGGGGGAAGGGAGAAATGAGAAATTAGTGTTTAATGGATGCAGACTTTCAGTTACTCAAGATGAAAAAAGGTTCTGGAGATGAATGGTAGCGATGGTAGCATGATAATGGAAATGCACTCAACATTACTAAATGGTATGCTTAGAAATGCTTATGATAGTAAATTATATGTTATATGCATTTTACCACAGTTTAAAAAAGTATCTTCATGTTTAAGTAAATATGGCTATATTATATAATAAATGCCAACTTAGCTTGAGTTTTTAACGTAAAACTTGAGAATATAAAGAAATTTTACGAGGCATCACTCCCTGTGTCCGCAAAGCCTGTGGAGTCTCTCATTTAATCCTGTCCAGTATTAGCTTTTATTAGTGGACAGTTTTGAGAAACCCTATTAGGGGACTTGGACTTTATCCCATGTCAATTTTGTACCAATGATAGGTTTTAAGTTTTTAGCAGGGAAATGACATTATCAGACTTATGTTTTGAAATGTGATGGGAGGAGAACTAATGGGAAGAAAATGTTGCTGGAAACCAGGCAGGTATGGAGCAAAGCCCCATAAGTGAAAATGCAGGTAAACCTTGTTTTATTATGCTTCACAGACATTGCATTTTTATTTTATGACTTTATTTTTTTACAAATTGAAGGTTTGTGGTAACCCTGCTCAAAGCAAGTCTATCAGCACCATTTTTCCCACAGCATATGCTCACTTCACGCCTCTGTGACACAAATATTTCAAACTTTATTATTATTATATCTGTTATAGCACTGTGATCAGTGATCTTTGATGTGACTTTGTAATTGTTTTGGAGCACCATAAGCCATGCCCATATAAGACAGCACACTTAATTAATAAACGTGTAGGTTCTTATTGCTACACTGAACATTCTCTGTCTCTCTTTTTCTCCTTGGATCTCCCGATATCCTGCAATGCAACATATTGAAGTTAGGCCAATTAATAACCTACAATGGCCCCTAAGCGTTCGGGTGGAAGGAAGAGTTCAATGTCTCTCACTTTAAGTCAAAATCTAGAAATAATTAAGCTTAGTGAAAAAGATATGTTCAAAGCTGAGATAGCTTGTAAGCGTGATGGGCTGAAAGCTGGCCTCTTGCATCAAATAGCCAAGTTGTGAATGCAAATAGAAAGTTTTTGAAGGAAATTTAAAGTGCCACTGGTGAACATATGAATGTTAAGAAAACAAGATAGCCTTGTTAATAATGTGAAGAAAGTTATTGTGGTCTGGATAGGAGATCAAACCAGCCACAAAATTCTCTTAAGACAAAGCCTAATCCAGAGCAGGGCACTAATTGTCATTAATTCTGTAATGGCTGAGAGAGGTGAGGAAACCACAAAGGAAAAGTCTGAAGCTTGGAGGGGTTGGTTAATGAGGTTTAAGAAAAGAAGCTGCCTCCATACCACAAAAGTGCAAGGTGAAGCATCAAGTGCTCACGTAGAAGCTGCAGCAAGATATTCAGAAGATCTAGCTGAGATCATGGATGAAGATGGCTTCACTAAACAACAGATTTCCAATATAGACAAAACAGCCTTCTGTTGGAAGAAGACGCCATCTAGGACTTTTATAGTTAGAGAGGATAAGTCAATGCCGGCTTTAAAACTTTAAGGGACAGGCTGACTCTCTTGAAAAGGGCTAATGAAGCTGGTGACTTTAAGTTGAAATCAGTGTGTATTTACCATTCAGAAGATACTGGGGCCCTTAAAAGTTATGCTAAATCTACTTTACTTATGCTTTATAAATGGAACAATAAAGGCTAGATGACAGTATATCAGTTTATAGCATGATTTACTGAATATTTTAAGCCCACTGTTGAGACCTACTGCTCAGAAAAAAAAAAAAGGTTCTTTCAAAATATTACTGCTCATTGGATGTGAGGGCAATCTGGCTGCAACATCTCTCACCCCATTGATTGCCAAGGTTGATTCTGTGATCTGGCTGGCTAGACGGGTGTTGCCTTCCTCCCTTACCACTCTGTGTGTGTCCTTCCTGAAGCTGTACATTCGGATGAAGAGGACGACCATCCCCAATAGAGGAAGACCAGTCTTCAGTCATGGATATAAGATTAGCTGCACTCCCCTGCTAGAACTTCCAAACAGGTTTTCAAAATATTACTACTCATTGACAATGCACCTGGTCACCCAAGAGCTCTGATGGAGATGTAGAAGAAGATTAATGTTGTTGCCATGCCTGCTAACACATCTATTCTGTAGCCCATGGATTAAGCAGTGATAGTGACTTTCAAGTCTCATTATTTAAATACGTACATTTTGTAAGGCTATTACTATCATAAACAGTGATTCCTCTGATGCATCTGGGCAAAGTAAACTGAAAACCTTCTGGAAAGGATTCACCATTCTATATGCCATTAGGAGCATTCATGATTCATGGGAAGAGCTGAAAATATCCACATTAACAGGGGTTTGAAAGAAACTTATTCCTACTCTTATGGATGACTTTGAGGGGTTTAAGTTATCTGTGGAGGAAGTAACTGTAGATGTGGTAGAAATAGTAAAAGAACTAGACTTAGAAGTGGAGGCTGAAGATGGGACTGAATTGTTGAGTGCATAAGAAGTTGCTTCTGGCTGGGCACAGTGGTTCATGCCTGTAATCCAAGCACTTTGGGAGGCCGAGACGGGTGGATCACCTGAGGTCAGGAGTTCAAGACCAGCCTGACCAACATGGAGAAACCCTGTCTCCACTAAAAATACAAAATTAGCCGGGTGTGGTGGTGCATGCCTGTAATCCCAGCTACGCAGGAGGCTGAGGCAGGAGAAGTGCTTGATCCTGGGAGGCGGAGTTTGCAGTGAGCAGAGATCGCATGATTACACTCCAGCCTGGGCAACAAGAGCAAGACTCTGTCTCAAAACAAACAAACAAACAAACAAACAAACTTTGCTTCTAATGGATGAGCAAAGAACGTGGTTTCCTGAGATGGAATCTACTCCTGATGAAGATGCTGTGAGCATTGTTCAAATGACAACCAAGAATTTAGGATATTACATAAACATAATTGATTAAGCAGTGTGTGGTTTGTGAGAATTGACTCCAATTTTGAAAGAAGTTCTACTATGAAGTAACAAGCTATCCAACAGCATCATATGCTACAGAGAAATATTTTTATGATGAGGTAAACTTCATTGTTATCTTTTTTTTTTTTAAGATATGGCCACAGCCACTCTAACCTTCATCAATAACAACACTGATCTGTCAGCAGCCACAACCATCAAGGCAAGGTTATTACAATTGGGCTATTATAATATTCCAGGTAAGAGATGATGATTTCTGGAAAAAAAGATTATGACTGGGAAAAAGATTACCACCTCCTGAAGCCTCAGATGATGATTAGCATTTTTTAAGCAAAAAGGTACTTTTAGTTAATTTATTTTTATTTTTAATTTTTTTTGGGGGGGACAGAGTCTCGGTTCAGTGCAGCCTCTGCCTCCCAGGTTCAAGCAATTCTCCTGCCTCAGCCTCCCCCAAGTAGCTGGGACCACAGGCATGTGCCACCACTTCTGGCTAATTTTTTATTTTTAGTGGAGAAGGGGTTTCATCATATTGGCCAGGCTGGTCTCAAACTCCTGACCTCAAGTGATCTGCCTGCCTTGGCCTCCCAAAATGCTGGGATTACAGGTGTGAGCCACTGTAACCAGCATTAATTAATTTTTAAATTAATTTAATCTAATGTTCTTCTTTTTAGACACACTGCCATTGCACACGTAAGTATACACTTAAGTATGTATATATTTATAGTATATACAAAACTTTTGTGTGTACTGGGAAACCAAAAAATTTCTGTGACTTGCTGTTCCAATATCTGCTTGATTGTGGTGGCCTGGAACTGAATCTGCAGTCTCTCTGGTGTCTTGTGTATCTCATGTGCTTCAGGAACAGCACGTAGGCCACAGCAGTGGATGTGCAGAGATGTGGATAAGGCAGGGAGAAAATCAAGTTGGAGAAGGAGTCTGGAGCCAGCAAATAGAGGGAGTTGAAGGTCCACGTCAAGGATTTTAGATTTTATTCTATGTATATTGGAAGGCATTTGAGGTGGTGGGGAGGGGAGAAACTCCTGACTTTTTACCAGAAACCCGACGCTCGTCATCGCCATCTTCACTTTCTGATGCTCTTATATTCAGTCACAATTCTGGTTTATGTGACTCATTCAATATCGCTCACATTTGTGTATTTCCAGCAACCATCATCTCTTGCCTCAGATATTATAATAGCCCAATTATAATAACCGTCTCATTCACTGTTCATTCTGCAGCAAAACCTGATTGTGTTTAAAACCTCTCAATGGCTCTCCACTGCTGAAGTTGACCAGACTCAAGCTGGCATTCTTGCTGGGTCCTATCACCCTGACCACCTCACTGTCCCTTCAGTTTCTTCTGTCCCCTCTCTCTTTCTGTGCTTCATCCTATTGACCTTTTTTTCTATTATTCAAAGAAGAAATAGTCCTTCTTGTCTCTAGGCCCTTTTCCTTTTGCCTCTTCTTCCTACAATTTTGCTGTAATGCATCTCCCAAATATCAGCTTAAATGTCTCTTTCTCAGGAAAATGTCCTGGACTCTCCAGAAAGACCCAGATCCCTCTCCAATACGCTGATAGCACTTTGCACTGCTTCTTCATGAAATTCACCAGAATTGTAATTCATGGATAATTGCTTTCTTATTTGTTTAATGCCTGTCTTCCCTGTAGCACTCTAAGCTTCCCAAGTGCCGGGAATATCCATCTTTAGCCTTGTATTCTCGTTGCCTGCTCCAGAGCCCGATACACAGCAGGCCTTTGATACATACTTACTATATATTTACTGAATGACTACATCGCTCAGTGAATGCACTGTTGGAATCTGATAGCACTTCTGGTGCTGGCACATGGTGGCAGTCGATTTCATGTCCTCTTTCATTTGATCGAAATTTCAGTTTACCAAGGGAAAGAAGCTCTTTTATTCCCCACCACATCTGGCACCATTGAGTAGGCATGGAGCTTGGACTTGATCCCTTGGAAGAGTCACATCACCTAATTAGACCAATCCTGGCTAGAAGTAGAATTGGGTTACTATTGAAAGCACAATGAATGAATGAGGGCCCATCGATTATCCATTTTAGAATCCCCTTTGGCATTCAATACTCCTTGTCCCTCAGTCTCAAAACTTTACCTCTCCTCAGATTTTTCTATCTGACCAGTAATTCTCTATCTACATCTTAAATACAGGCATTCTCCAGAAGCTTCTCCTCAGATCCCTCTGTTCCCCTCCCCTCAGGCTATGAAACACTAGCTCTAAATAGGTGTGTGGCCCCCACGTTTGTGTGGCAAGTTCCAGCGTGTCTGCTGAGGTCCAGAATGTTTGTGCTGGATGTCCCGTGTGGTGTGAAGTTTCATATAGCCACTAGCTTCTCCTCATGGCACCACAGCAAAAAATATAAAACAGAACTTAGGAACAACAGCTTAGGGGACTCTTTGACTTGTCCTTATCCTTCTTTGCCTGTGTTCTCTAACTTCTCTCACATCTGCCTCCGTCTTGCCCGTTCCTGGTACCACCTAAAGATAAGTTCTTTACTTTTTATTTTTTTATTTTTTTTTTATTTTTATGTTTTATTTCCATAGGTTTTTGGAGAACAGGTGGTGTTTCATTACATGAGTAAGTTCTTCAGTGGTGATTTCTGAGATTTTGGTGCACCCATCACCAGAGCAGTGTACACTGTACCTACCCAATGTGTAGTGTTTTATTCCTCGCCCCGCTCCTATCCTTTCCCCCAATGCCCCAAAGTCCATTGTACCATTCTTATGCCTTCGCATCTTCATAGCTTAGTGAGAACATATGATGTTTGGTTTTCCATTCCTCAGTTACTTCACTTAGAATAAGGGTCTCCGATTTCATCCAGGTTGCTGCAAATGCCACTATTTCGTTCCTTTTTATGACTGAATAGTATTACATGGTACACATATACCACAATTTCTTTATCCACTCATTGATTGATGGGCATTTGGGCTGGTTTCATGTTTTCGCAATTGCAAATTGTGCTGCTATAAACATGCATGGGCAAGTATCTTTTTTGTAAATGACTTCTTTTCTTCTAGGTAGATAGCCAGGGTGGAATTGCTGGATCAAATTGTAGTTCTACTTTTAGTTCTGTAAGGAATCTCCACACTGTTTTTCATAGTGGTTGTACTAGTTTACATTCCCACCAGGAGTGTAAAAGTGCTCCGTTTTCACCACATCCCTGCCAACATTTCCTATTTTTTTTTTTAATGGCCATTCTTGCAGGAGTAAGGTGGCATCACGTTGTGATTTTGATTTGCATTTCCCTGATCATTTGTGATGTTGGGCATTTTTTCATATGCTTTTTGGCCATTTGTATATCTTCTTTTGAGAATTACCTATTCACATTCTTAGCCCATTTGGGATTGGTTTTTTTCTTGCTAATTTGTTTGAGTTCTTGTAGATTCTGGATATTAGTTCTTGGTTGGGTGCCTCATATGATAGCTCTGAGGCTCCTGAGATAGGCCCTGGACAGTTTTGCCTGCGTCCTGTAGCTCTTCTCCCCAAATGGTCTTTAAAAACTCCTTCTAGTTTAAGTTTCCTATAGTGCAGTTCTACTTCTAGGAAGACTTTCTTTGAAAATAGCCATGAGAATCCTTGCTAACATTATTAAATCCTTACTACTTGGCACAATTCTAAGATCTTCACATGATTTAAGTGGTCAAATGCAACAACCTCATCAAGGAGATTGTAATGTTATTATCTGCAATTAAAAATGAGGAAACCTAGGCACATTTAATTTAAGTACTGGCCCAAGGTCATGCAATTTCTAAGTGTCAGAGCTAAGATTTAAGCCTGTGGGTTGTGGCTCTAGCATCATGCACCAGTCATAAATCAGCCCACCCATGTTCTGGTGATTTATGCAAAATCCTTCAATAGTTGCCCATTCCCCAACAAATTAAGTAGAGACTTCAAGAATCTTTGTACAAAGACTCCCGCCCACAGTACCCACCCCCTTTTTAAGTGAACACTGCAATCTAGACAGAGTGGGCTACTCAGTGGTCCTCAAAGATGCCTCACTGCTTTGAGTAATGATCTTTACACATTCTAAGACCCACTCCTCAGCATCTGTCTCCCTATTTAATTCCCATTTATCTTTCCAAGTCAAATCAATTGCAATGGTATCTTAGATGCTTTCCCAATTTTCCCTACTATTCTTTGCCTTAGTCAAGCCCTTTTAACAAGTATTATCTTTCTAAATTATTAAAACAAACATCTTTTCCACCTTGCAGGATCTCTCTCACTATGTACTAAGATCCTTGAATTGGGGTCAGAGCTATTTTTGTTTTTGCAAACAAGGCCCAGCATGGTTCTTCCTTACACAGAGAACTATGTCTGGCATTAAATGAATTCCTTGAATTTCATCCACCATGTAGATGCAGTGTGAGTCACAAATGCTCTGCCATTAATGCACGGCGCTATAGTACTCTCCCCTCCTCTCCTCCCCAATGCCAGCTTCAAACACATTTTTATAAAGACATATCTTCCGTGTTTATTGCAATACTATTCACAATAGCCAAGATATGGAAACAACCTGTATCCATCAACAGATGAATGGATAAAGAAAATGTGGTACATATACACAATAGAGTACTATTCAATCATTAAACAGAATGAGATCCCGCCATTTTCAACAACATGGATGGAACTGGAGGTCATTATGTTAAGTGAAATAAGCCAGACACAGAAAGACAGACTTTGCATGTTCTCACTCGTTTCTGGGAGCTAAAAATTAAAGCAATAAACTCATCAAGATAGAGAGTAGAAAGATGGTTACCAGAGGCTGGGAAGGTAGTGGGGTAGGGGACAGGGAGTAGGAATGGTTAATGGGTACAAAAAAGTAAATAGAAGCAATAAGAACTAGCACTTGATAGCACAACAGGGTGACTATAGTAAACAATAATTTATTGTACATTTTAAAATAACTAAATGAGTACATAAGTAACTAAATAACTAAATGAGTAAATTGGAGTGTTTGTAACACAAAGAGTAGATAGATGCCTTAGGCGATACCTCATTTACCCTGATGTGATTATTAAACATCGTATTAATGTATCAATGTGATGATTAAGCATTGTATTCCTGCATCAAAATAGCTCGTGTATCCCACAAATATATATACCTACTATGTACCCATAAAAATTAAAAATTAAAAAAAGTTATGTAGCCTCTGAGGAAAATGATTTGAAAGACACTGTTTTGGTTTCATAAACTTTTAGGAGTCAAATGGGTTACTAAATTGGTGTGCAGATGATTGATTGTGTCAAAAATGACACCTGATATTGAGAATTATACATATTGAATGAAATACACCTGATTCTAATGAACATGAAATTATTTTCACGGCATAAATAAGCCTTCTTCCTCGCCATCAAAATCTTGACCTTATGCAATAAAACAATAAGTGCTTCAAGGAGAGAACGAAATGTGAGTGATAGGAAATGTGAGTGATAGGAACTTTTAAAAACTTGCACTGTCTTGCTTTATACATTAAGGCTTAAAGAGTTATGAAGTGACGCAAGCAAAGAACTTGTTTGGTGAAGGGGTTCAGAATCCTGAAAAATTACTTGTTGCCGTGTAGAAAGGTCCTATAATTCATGAGCACATTTCAGCGTCTAATGCAGTTTGTGATACTTTATAATCCTTACACATTCCATAGCCCCAGCTCTCTGAAGGTTAGACCTAAGGGATACACTTCAGAAAAGTTACATAAACAACTGTGAACCTTAGGCAGGCAAAATGTACACTTTGAACATGTTGAAACTCTCCATATTAAGTCAGTTTAGCACTTTGATTAAAGAGTTTAATCAATCACCATCCTAAGCTGTTTATTAATCACTTTATCAAGCAGTTGATGCATTGCCGGTTTTAATAGAATCCATTTATTTTGATTTCTACCTACTTCATCTTTCCAAAGGGCTTTTCGAATCAGCTGTGATAAAAAAGGAGAGGGAGAGGGAGAAGGAGAGAAAAAGAGAGTAGGAGAGCGTGGTTGCCTCTAAAACCCGGCCAGAAATCTCTAACTGCACCTAAGCGTACTTCATTATCAATGCCCTACCACGACTTGGCCAATTTATTACCAGTAAAAAAAACGCTCTGGGGAGTGAATGTTTGGGTGAACCACACGGTTTAGCTCAGATAAACACAGGCCATTCGTTTGCTTTCACACCTGACACCCTCATGATATACGATCCTAATAAGATTAATCTCCACCCACCCCTCCAAGCCCCTCTTTGTTCCAACCTATTTGTGATCTTCCACTTTTCTTCATGGACATTTTCCCCAACTTGGGTTATAATTTGTGGTTAGAGTTAAAGCCCTTGTTTCCTCACTACAAGGAAAACAAGATTTGTGGGAAGAAAACATTTGTTATGTGGCTTAAATTTTACTCAGAGGCTCTTACGTTCCTATGCCTTTAGCATAAAAGGAAGTGGGTCTTGGAAGACATCCATGCAGCCAAACACATCAAGTCTGAAAGCTGGATCATAAACACGGTGTGAGCCTGACGGTGTCCTGAACGTCATTCCCATTCTCCCTCGGTATTCTTCTCTACCAATGCCAGGAGTTTAGAAGGGATAATGGTTATCTGCATTTCCTTTTATTCTATTATTGTTGGCTGAGTTCATAGAGATGACAAATATCATACAGATAAACATTTTAACTGTGTATTTTATCTATCTCTAGTTAAAAAAATTTCAAAAACGTCTTCCTCCATATATTCCTCAAGAGGAAAATGATGTTATGGGGGACATTATCTTTTAATGTTAGTATCATGGGCAGGGAGAAATAATTCAACATTTGTGTGTATCTTTGTATGCCACTGCCTATGGAAGATATTTCCTGTATATTGTTCCACATCATTTTGATAATAGCTCCAAGCACTATAATTTCTGTGTTTAGGAGCAGTGTTTTCCAAAACAGTAGTCCCTAGACATGTGTGGCTACTGAAGACTTGAAATGTAGCTGATTCAAATTTAGATGTGATCTCATAGAGGATTATATTAGGTCATTCTTGCAGTGCTATAAAGAAATACCTGAGACTGGCAAAAAGAGGTTTAATCGGCTTCTGTTCCTTGGGCTGTACAGGGAACATAGCGGCATCTGGGGAGGCCTCAGGGAGCTCCCAATCATGGCAGAAGGCAAAGAGGCAGCAGGCACATCACGTGGAGAAAGCAGGACAGAGGAAGGGAGGTGTCATGCACTTTAAACAGCCAGATCTTGTCCAAAGTCACTCACTATCAAGAGGACAGAGCCATAGGGATGGCACTAAACCACTCAAGAGAAATCCATCCCCATGATCCAATCACCTCCCAGCAGGCCCCACCTCCAATACTGGGGATTATAGCTCAACATGAGATTTGGATGGGGACGCAGATCCAAACTATCTCAAAGATGAAGGATGTGGATTTGATTTAAAACCCTAGGAATGACCCTATCATACAGAAACTCTTTATGGAGGAGATTACGTAGATCGTGTAAGCTGTTTCACATCATCTTTTTTTTTTTTTTTTTTTTTTTTTTCATAAAAACTAGGAGAGTATGGTGTTCTTACTTTTATTGAGCAGACACTATACTAGGTGGCAGGGGTTTGGAGACAAGCAGAACAGTCCCTGCTTTCAAGTGGCTACAGTCCAATTGAGGGGAAGACCAAAAACAAAAAATTGCTATTTAAAATGATAAAGCAATACACAAGGCATAATGGTACCAGAGAAGAGGGAACTAAACTTTCTGGAGGTGGAGTATAAGAAGATGGGAAGAGGTCAAGGGTTTTCTAGTGCACGGTATGCCTAATCCAAGGGGTAAAAGATCCATTTGAAGAATACCTTGCACATTACTCTGTAGACCCGGGGAGGGAGTTGGGAGATTGCATGTGGGACCGAATCAGAGAGGGAAGGAGAGCTCTTCCGGGTAGGGGCACAGCTTAGGCAGAGACATGCAAATAGGGAACCAGCATGGAGTGTAAAGGGAATGACAGAAAACAGAGGTAGAAATTAGGAGAGGCTTCCTTATGGGAAGTTCTGAGTGCTATGTGAAGGATTTTACCCTTTATTCTGTACCTTAGGAGAACGCATTGCCAGGTTATAAATGGAGACATGTGATCAGATTTGTATTTAAGATCTATCATTCTGGTGGCGGAGGATGGTAGCAGTTCATGTGAGAAAGGACAGGGAATTGGAAAGAGGCTCCAGATTCAAGACACAGCCAGAAAGTGAAGTCAGCAGAAGCTAGCCATGGATTGGCTATGGGGACCCACAGCAGGCTGTCTGATTTGGGAGACTGAGTTTGTGATCAGGTAAGTGGAAGCAGGCTTAGGGGAAAATATTGGGGCTTTCAGTTTTTGCTGAATTTGGATTATTTGTGGACAGCCAGTTTGGCAGAGCCAGTTGGTGGCTGGTTATTTCACTCTGCAGATTGAGGGCCAGTCTTGAGCTGGCAATGGCAATACCAGAGTCAGTCATGCACTGAAGGCTCATGAGGCTCTGGGATAGGTGGGAGCATCGCCCAAAGGGAGGAGAGGTCAAGAACCACAGCCTGGGAGAGGCTGACTAATAGTGTCCCTAGCAGCTGAGAGCTCTGGCTAGATGACAGCTAAGCTGGATCTGTTGGCTTTGGCAAGAAGGAGATCATTAAGTATTAGAACGCAGATCACAGAACATTCATGAGTCACCGGAAGTGGGCAAGTGGAGAACTTGAAAGAAGTTCAGTTGAGAAGGGCAGAGAAGAGACTGACAGCTTCTAGAAAGAGGCAGAGAGTCAGGGAGATTTTTTTTTTTGAGACGGAGTCTCACTCTGTTGCCCAGGGTGAAGTGCAGTGGCACAATCGCGGCTCACTGAAAGCTCCATCTCCCGGGTTCACACCATTCTCCTGCCTCAGCCTCCCGAGTAGCTGGGACTACAGGCACCCGCCACCACGCCCGGCTAATTTTTTGTTTTTGTATTTTTAGTAGAGACAGGATTTCACCGTGTTAGCCAGGATGGTCTCCATCTCCTGACCTTGTGATCTGCCTGCCCTGGCCTCCCAAAGGCTGGGACTACAGGCATGAGCCTCCACGATTCAAGGGGGATTTTTAACAATATATTTATTTTTAATAAGGCAGAGGCCTAAGAAAGTCTTTAAGACAAAGAGTACAAGCCAGGAAGTGACTTCTAATACACTTAGCCCCTGTAGGTAAAAAGTAAAAAAAAAAAAAAAAGGTCAAAGTCTAAGGCCCAAGTTGGAGGTTTGATTTTGAACAGGCAGGTCCCAATGGCTGACTCTGAGCCAGAGCTAAGGGAGCTGGGGTGGATGTAGTTATAAATGTGTGTTTGTAGACAGCACAGAAGATTGTTGACAAAGGAAGTAAGATTGTCCGCTGTGAGGTGATGGGGCTTGATGATACTAGGGAAGGTCTGCACTGGCCAATAGGAGCAAAGGAGTAGTAACTGATCAAAAACAAGTTAAAGAGTTGGTGAGCAATGCTGAGTGGTGGAGTGGAGCTCAGGCATGCAGCTATAGGAGCGTGAGGACAGAATATAGCATGGCTTCAGGTCGGCATTTGGCTGGCTCACTTGAGTTGAAAGTTGTGGCTGCAGGAGAATAAAAGGGGCTCGTGAAAGAGTGAGTTAAATCGCCATCATGGGACCCAGGCTGGGCTGGGAAAGAGGAGGAGCCAAACAGTAATGGATTGAGGTAATTGGAGGGATTGAGGGATAGGGTGCTCCTGTCAGTTTAAAGAACAAGCATTGTTGATTTATTTAAATTCCCTTGATTGATTACTCCTAATTTTCTAAAGAAGAAATCGAGGCATAAAGTGCTACATCTGAAAGAGAGTAGCACTAAGTTGTGGCCATTCTGAGTTTAGGGTAAATTATGACATTTGCATTTTTGTATACCTAGTAAAACAAATAGGTATTAAAGAAATGTGAATGTAGCAAAATATAGACCTGTATCTTTAGCAGGCTAGCCTACAAGTTTATACTGGCCACACTGTTAGAGATAGAAATGAGAAATCTGCACAGAAAGTGAAAATGCTATGGTAATTTATTATATTACCTAAATGTCACATGAATCAATTATTGTCTTCTAATACCTTAGATTTGACCTCTGCTACTTCTAAGACTTCGGTCAGGCAACTGACCCCTGAGAGCCTTTCCAGGACCCTCAGAAGGAAAGTGGCAGTTTGGTTTTTACGGCCTTGCAGTGTATGGAGATGGTTACCACAGCTCCCATTGTTTTAGAGCAGTTCTTAGATTGGACAGCAGTAACTGAGTCTGATAGATGCTTGTATACCAGTAGCTACCTCTGGCTATTGTGCGCAGGAGGTGTTCCATAAATACTTTTCAAACAAAAGAATGAAGGAGCATAAAAGGAAAGAATTAAAGTAGGTAATATATGAGAATTCTTCCTGCTCAGGTGTCTCTGATTGGTTGTCATGGATTCTTCAAATGCTTCTGTGATACATCATAAAGATCATGTTGGTTCTCTTCAATCTGGCCACCCTAACTTGTGGATTGCTGAGAAATCCCCAAAACCCATAGGGATGGGATGTTAACTCGAGAAGTCTTGATATCTTTCTCTCCAACTTACTGTTTTTCTCTTTTTTTTTTTTTTTTTTTTTTTTGGTAAGCCTCTAGCCCATCTCTGCCAAAATTCATTCCCTGATCAATAAGTTTTATTCTCCTTCCCTACAAAGATCACACTCAGTCTCATACCAAGAGACACAACCCATAGTCTTATCCAGTTTTGCATCCTGCATCCAATATGTCCAAGATGCACATTCTTCTCCATCAGGTCTGGAAATAGCTTCCATGGACTAGTGATATATGAATTAAAAAGAAAAGTAACCTGATCCCCTCCCCTATATGCTCATCCTAAAACACAGAACAGGAAAAGCAGAGCACAGCAATCATGAGTCCATAACATCCCTGAAATCCCACACATTGGACAAACAATGTGAGGATTCCTTAAGCTTGGGCAAAGGACTTATTTGTTTAGGCTCGGTTCTGCTGTCTGGGAGTAGCTCCTTGGCCTCAGGAATTGATCTCATGGGTCCTACTCCACCCTATGGGAACTTCCTATTCTCCTCCTAGGCCACATTAGGGTGTTGAGGAAGTTTGCTTATTTGAGGGTAGCCCTGTTTTTGCAGTCTACTTTCAACCCAAGGATGGTTCTAGGGCTCTGTCAAACAACTCCAATCTCTTTAGGCTAGTTTTGTGGTTTCTTTGGCAACAAAATTCATTTAGAAACTCAGTGGGACTCTGACATATTTATTTCTCATTTAGTTAGGTGTATCGGTAGCCACACCCAAAGCTCTTTCTGGATTTTGTGCCATTTTTTTTTTTGCCCTAGTTCTTAAAAGTTTCTCTTAATTTACTGATGGGTTCCTTGAGTGGAAGACCACACCCTTCATCCGATCTGTCTTTTAAGGCTGAGACAACTGTTCAACTGGGAAATATCACCTGGTCTTTGTCCCAGTAAGACTGTCATAATTCCACAGTTTACTCTTCATGGTCTAGAAATAGTTGTGTTTTCCTGCAAGTCTTCATATATTTGAACTGTATTCTAATCATTTCTGCTTATAAAGTCATCAATGAGTTCAGCTCTTTCATCAATTATCTTGCCAAATGCAGCCAGTAACAACCAACAATGTGCACCACATTTTGCTTTCCAACATCTTTCCCTAGTGGAACAAGCTCAGTAAGCATGTGGTTTACCTTCCAAGTTATAGCAGCTAGTGGTTTTACAGAATATTTTGCCACTACCTGACATGGATTTCCAGCCAATCATATCTTTTTCTTTACCAACTTACTCCTAAGCCAATGTGATAAAATTGAAATGTTTTGACAGCTCTCAAGTTCAAACTGCCATATTCTATACTAAGGAGGGCTATAGTAGTTCCCCCTTATCCATGGTTTTGCTTTCTGAGATTTTGATTACCCACAGTCAACTGTGGTCCAAAACTATTAAACGGGAAATTCTAGAAATACACAACTCTTACGTTTTAAACTGCGTGCCATTTTGAGTAGTGTGATGAACTCTCATGCCACCGCACTCCATGAACTCTCACGTCATCCCACTCCATCCCACCTAGGACATGAATCATCCAGCATATCCAGGCCATATATACTTACTGCCCCTTAGTCTTCAACATTGTCTGATTCTGACATCCTACCATCAACATTGTCATGGCTTGATGATCTGAGATCACCCAAAGCAGATGGTCCTCTTTCTCATCTATCAGCAGAAGGTCAATAGTAGCCTAACACTATCCACAATGCCTATGTCATTTACCTCACTTCATCTCTTCACATAGACCTTTATCATCTCATGTTATCTCAAGAAGAAGGGTGAGTGCAGTACAACAAGTTATTTTGAAAGCAAGAGAGAGACCACTTTCACATAGCTTTTATTACACTATATTGTTATAACTGTTGTATTTTATAAGAAAAAAATTATTTTTATTTTATTTTATTTTTTCTTATTTTTATTAGAACAATTTTATTTTATTAGAACAATTTTATTTTATTTGTTCATCTCTTACTGTCCCTAATTTATAAATTAAACTTTATCATAGGTATGCATTATAGAAAAAAATAACATTTCTATGTTATTTTTTCTATGTTCCTTACTATCTGTGGTTTCAGGTATTCACTGGTGGTCTTGAAATGTATCCCCCACTGATAAGCAGGACTACCGTATTCAAAATCTGAAAATTCAGTAAATTCAAAGAGTAAATGCTGATTACTTCCTCATATTACTGTCTAATATGATTAGTAGTGAAGAGGGTATTTTCTCATGTAGTCACTCAGAGACTCTAAGCTGCTTCCATCTTGTAATTCTGCCATCGTCAAACAAATGGCCGTCAAGGCCTGTGTGGAAAAGGAAAATTCACGATGGAGCATCCCAGGTGGGTTGACATCAGGCAGTGAACATCACTTTCAGTCTAATGTCATTGGCTAGAACTCTATCACATGGTTCCAACCTAAACCCAAGGGAATCTGGGAAAAGTAGTTTAAGTTGTATGCCCAGGAAGAAGAAACCAGCTTTCTATTAATCCTTTGCCATCCAGTTTCTACTTTATCTTAAAATGAGTATACCTGGCTGGGGGCGGTGGCTCACGCCTGTAATCCCAGCACTTTGGGAGGCTGAGGTGGGTGGATCACGAGGTCAGGAGATTAAGACCATCCTGGCTAACACGGTAAAACCCCATCTCTACTAAAAATACAAAAAAAATTAGCCAGTTGTGGTGGTGGGTGCCTGTAGTCCCAGCTGCTTGGGAGGCTGAGGCAGGAGAATGGAGTGAACCCAGGAGGCGGAGCTTGCAGTGAGCTGAGATCGCCCCACTGCACTCCAGCCTGGGCGACAGAGCGAGACTCCATCTGAAAAAAAAAAGAAAAGAAAAGAAAAGAAAAAACAAATGGAGTGTAACTGCCACCAAAAGAACCAAAAGAAATTATAAAGGTAAAAATTTCATATTATTTACTTCCTATAAGTAAATGGTACACCTGATATTTCTTATAAGGTACCAAATAATTTGGTTTCCTTCCTAAACTATCTCAAACATTATTTGGTAGCTTAGGGATTCACCAAACTTTTCCTTTTGACAATGCTGAGCTAAGAGTTGAACATTTTAAAAAGATGAACATTCTCTAATTTTGCAGTCAAGTACTTTTCTTTTTATTCGAAATCCTATAAAGATGAGAATATTGCATTGTTATAGAGACTATAACAATCTTCAGATTATTCACTCATTTCTTTACTCACTCATTTAACAAATGTTTGTCAAGTATTTAAAAATGTGAGAGGCTTTATGCTAAATGCATACAGTATATTCTTCTTATTCTTAGATTTGAGTTATTTAGACTGCATACATTCATTGGGCCCTAATATATGTTAGGAACTGGGGAAACAAAGATAAATGTCAAGTTCATGTCTTCAAAGGGCCCATTGTAGGCATGTGATAGTCAGGTAAGCCAGGGTTTCCATTGACTTGTAAGTGGTATGACAGAGCCATATCCTAGGGGCATAGCCTGGAAATGGTGTGGGAGCATACAAAAGTCTGAAGTCTGTGACAAGTAAACCAAGCCTTGATAAGCAAGTAACTGTTATTTGAAGAAAGAAGGCAGGAGGATCACTTGAGGCCAGGAGTTCAAGACCATGCTGGGCAACATAGCAAGATCCCATCTCTACCAAAAGTTATATATAAAAAATTAGCTAGACGAGGTGGTGTGCACCTATACTCCCAGCTACTCAGGGCGCCAAGGCAAGAGAGTGGCTTGAGACCAGGAGTTTCAGACTGCAGGGACCTATGATCTTACCACTGCATTATTCCACATTCCAGCCTGGGCAACAGAGCAAGATCCTATCTCTCCCCCTGCCAAAAAAAAAAAAAAAAAAAAGAACAAGAAAAAGAAAGGAGAAGAAAGGAATTTCAGAAAGAGAAAGCTATGTATTTAAGGCACAAAGGTGAAGCAGAGAGAAGAAAGGTGAAGCAGAGACTGACCAGAGGGCAGGACGTGAGTGACAAAGTGAGATCCCTCAAAGGGTTGCCAAATTATTAGCTGCACAGAGATGCGAGAGACAGGTCTTGAGGATCCACAGTGTCCAGTTAAGAAATTGAGACTTGAGTCTGAAGGTCAGGGGGCTTTGAAATACCTTTAATTATGCAAATAATAAGGTCAGAGCTATAGGGAACTTTGCCATGAACATGATATTAAGGAAGATAGCAAAGTAGCGGATATCTAGTGAGATCTCACTGCAAGCCAGGCACTGCTACAAGTGCATCACATAGAGTAAGCTATAGACTTTTCACAATAGCTTTTGGAAGATGGGGCCTCTCTTGTATTGATTTTGTAGATGTGGAACTGAAGTTCAAATAGTTTCTGTGATTCAACCAAGCTCATACAGCTCACAAGAATTGGAGGTAACAGTAATGACCACATAAGAATAACAGCAAATGATTATGAGAGCTACCACTTACATATCATGGATGTATTGGAGTGTGTGTGTGTGTGTGTGTGTGTGTGCGTCTTTCTCCTTGAGGAAACTGATGATTCATGAGTTAGCTTCCCCACAGCCCCAAAGGTCTCACAACCCCAGGTGATACAGAAGGGATATCAACTAAGGCCCATGTTACTGCAAAGCTCAGTTACATGCATATCCTCCCCCACTTCAAGCTTGTAGTGGCAGAAGAAGGGACAGACTAAAACTTGAGAGATCTTCTTCCTTCCAGTCTGTTTAAGCAGCCACTCACCGACCTCAGCACCAGCCAGTTAACTTCTGTGGGCCTCCTTCGGTCTCACTTTAAGTCAAGGGTGTTAAATAAAATCTGTTGCAAATTCCTTCCAGTTGTACACTATTCCCTGCTAGCTTTGGAAGCTCTAGCTTGCAAGGAGAAAGGCTGGTAGTTGACATGTACATATGGCCAGGGAGGAAAGGGGAAGGCCAGCCAAAAATGCCAGTGGTCATCTTACCTTTGTCCCCTCTGCAGCCTTAGACCATGATCATCAGAGCCAGGAGTTGAAGCCACGACCATGTCTCACTCTCCTTTTTGCTCATTCCCTTCTCCATCACTCTCACATTACAGGCAGTGAAGGGTGACTGCCTCCGAGCTCTCTTGTCACCTTGGCCTGGGGCCTGCACAGCTGTGTCACCCATCGTCCAACAGTAAATCCACTTCCAACTGGCTCGCCCCTGGTGCAGCACAGTTACAGAAGCCTCTGAGCAGCGGTTCCAGAAATATTAATTACGTCTGAACAAGGCTGCCGAGCAGCTCGATTACAGGCTCCCTGGGTGAGGGATCTGTGGCCCAGCTGTGAAAGCCATTTCCAGGCGACTATAAATTGTGAGGAAATGGCCATCCAGCTGATTTGTGGTGGATCCAAAAATGCTAATTAAGAGATGGACACCACTGTCAAGCAGCAGCTCGTGGACTCCCTAGGAATTTGCAGCAGAAGGCTCTGAGAACTGGAAATGTGCTTCTGTTGTGTGGCTTTTTGTTTTCATTTCATATTCTGTATTCAGGAGAAACAAAGTACTTCTAGTGCTTGCCTACCTTCCTTCTTCCTTTCTTTTCTTCCTTCCCCATTTCTCCCCTCCCTTCCTCCTCCCCTCTCTTCCCCTTCCTTCTTTTCTTTCATGTTGTATCAAGCCATCTGCTGAAGATGGCACTCTGATAGCATTCCAGAAGCACCTGAAGTCTTGGGATTTCTTAGGAAGACACAGAGCTATGTTGGGGCTTCTGTTGAAATCCTTTAGATGCAGAGTTCTGCAGATCTGGGTTCAAACCCATTTTCAAAAGTTGGTCACTCCTGGAGCTAACATCATCTTCAAAAATACACCCAATCATGCAGAGGGTATTTGATGGCAACATTTCCTTATGTTATCTCTGTACTATCAAAAGGATGGAATCTAATTCCATTTCTGCCTCATTGAGACTGCAGTGGAGCACTGGGGCCCTGACTTCTCTCCTAGGAGGGTTCAGGATCTCCCAGTGTCTGCTCCATTCCCACACTTGCCTTAGAAACTGGCTCTTCTTTTCCTCATTACAGTTATCTGTATGGAGTTTCTACTTCCCCAACACAAGTGCCTCTGCTGCCCAGCCTGGCTTAGTGGTTACAAGCACAACTTGCCTGGATTCCAATCGTGTATCTTTCACGTAACAGTTATATGACCTAAGGCAAAGGTAGTTAACGTCTATAAGCCTCAGTTTGCTTACATGTGAAAGAGAGGGATAGTAACAGTACCTACTTCCTAGAGTTATATTAGATCATCTCTATAAGGTACCTGGCATGTAGCAAGTGTTCTACAAAGGTTGCCTATCAGTGGCAAGTGCCCATTTTTATCCAACTCAGGTGTCTCTGTGTCTCTTCTAATGCTTGACTGAGAAATATGATTGGCTCAACTTCTTCTCAGGATTGGCTCCTCTTGGGACAGTTGGGCACAGGGGCTCTGTGGGAAAACGGGAGAGTTTGCAGGCTATGTTCTCTAACAAGACAGGGAGGATTGTGGCAATGATGAACAGTTGGCACCAATATTATTGTTTTTCTTGTTTCCTACTTATTTGACTTCATTATCCCTTGACTAGCTGCCTGGATTCTTTTATTTACTTATTGGTTCAATATATTCTGAAGAAGGACAGGCAAATAAAGGAACCCTAAGAAGAGAGGAAACCAGGATTTATGTTAATTGTTAGCCACCAGTACAGCTGCACTGGTTGTTATAATTTTGTATTATATTTTGTTTATTGGTACAATATACCTACTCACTGAGCCCCATGAATGATTTCTGTTGCCCCTACCACCCTGGTAACTCCAAGACCACCGGTGCTCCCCATGATCTAAAACCAAGGGACACATGCCTGATAGAGCAGGGCCCTCTAAGATACTTCCCCAAAGCTATGGCCAGCATCTCATATGCCTGCTATAGCTTTTGCTGTAGCTCTCATTCTCCTTCCTTCCAATCCCTACCCACCCATTCGGTCCTGATTATCTGTTCTCTTCTGGTGGTTGGAAACAAGTTGGGTGAGAGAGAGAGGAAGAAGTCCACGTGGTATTTTCAACAACCAGGACCAACATGTTATATTGTCATAAGAACGATGGGCTGTAAAGTGCCAATGCCTGATTACAGGCTCCTGATGCATTCTTTTTAATGTGTGCAAGTGTCTTTTTCCCTGCCTCCCTAGAAACAGTGACTATTACGGACCTTTAATATTTTTGGGCCATCTGGTGGACAAAAAGAAATGGGAGCTCACAGTTCCAAGTTGCATTTCCTGATTATTAATGAGATTAAGCATTTAAAAATACATATGCACAAGTTACTTATTTTCTAGATATTTTCTGTTAATATCCTGTGGTAATTTTTCTATGGAGTTGTCCGAAAGGGTTTATTAAAGCAAGAGAAGATAATAGGACAGTAAATTAAAAGTATGAAGGAAGTGGTCTTTGCAAAACACTGTAGAAAGAGAAGTGGGAAACTGAAGGAAAGCTGTGCTAGGAAACTTATGTAATTCCGAAAAAAAATTTCTTTTTGTTGAAGAATCAAGAGAGGAGGTGCCTGTAGGTGGAATGCAAGCATTTTTCCTAGGAATAAAAAAAATGATGTCATATGACTACACCTATTTGAAAGGTTGCTAGGAAGTGTGAGTGCTGGGTCAGTGTATGATACGTGGAGAAGCAGAATAGAGACCTCCAGAAAAATGAGTTTTCTAGCATTGGAGATTGGCTACATTTTGATCATGAGGAACATGTAAGAGGAGAAATATACTCACAGGTGCTGTAGGTGCTGTACCACGTTGAGATTCATGTGTTTCAAGGTCCTCCACAGGTAAGGCAGTTGAAAATATGGATCTGAGATTGGGAGAGAGGTTGAGATAGAAAGAATAGACAGTCAGGGGAAGCATCAGGTTAGAGACACTAGAGTGTGGCCAAGGGTGACAACACAGGCTAGAAGAAAGGTTGTGGGTCAAGGACATAATGTCAAGAAAGTTTTGGAAGTTCTTTTATACCATTTAAGTTGCTTGAATTAAATTCTTGAAATTTGATACCAGATTTGAAACTGCATGACTACATTTTTCAGCACTGTATTACTTCATACAGCTTATTAATTCACAAATAATAGACTCCAGGCACTTTTGTGCTGAGGATAAAACTTTCAGAGCTTATAAAGCAGCTCTTAGATCAATAGAAGACTCCACTCTCTAGAACTATTTTTTTTCTCTCTCACTCTCTAGCTCTTCCCTGGTAACTATTCTGATTATGCATTTAAATGAAAAAGAAGGTAAAAAAGAATTCCCTGATACATTTAGCTGCCTTGAGGGATAGGAATATGCAGCAGGAAGTGTGATATGTAAAGTCTCTGTTCCTGTGTGGCCGCACATGTGAAGGTATATGCAGCTGCCCTCTGCGGAGCCTTTGTACTGGGCTTCAAAGTCATGATGCTGGAGCTCAAAGGCCTGTGGGAGTGGTGGCATCTTCCTCCTTTTGACTGAAACTCAAGTGTGAAAGTGCTTTGATAGTTGAGTTGGTGTTTAAAAATGTTGGTTCTGGTAATGCACTCTTCTGAATGGATTTTCCATTTTATAGTCTCATATTCAGAATATAACTGGAAAACACTGTTTACATGAATATTAACATGGAGAATTTGCTTTTGCTGAATCCTGAAGGCTGCTGAGGAAATGCTGAAATTGTCCACTAGGACTAGGCTGTGATAATATAAACAGCTAACAGGTATCGAGCACCTACTTTTGTACTAAGCGCTTTCTATGAATTACCTCCTGCAACCCACAAAGGCATCCGATGTAGCAGATACTCTTTTTATACCTATTGAATGCACAAGAACATTGATGCTTGGATAAATTAGGAGTTACCCTGTGTTTGCTAGCCACAGTAGTAGACAGCAGTCGACTGTGATTTGATAAGTAAGTGTAGATAAGAAGCAAAGACATGGCCGGGCCCGGTGGCTCACGCCTGTAATCCCAGCACTTTGGGAGGCTGAGGTGGGCAGATCACCTGAGGTTGGGAGTTTGAGACCAGCCTGACCAATATGGAGAAACCCTGTCTCTACTAGAAATACAAAATTACCCAGGCATGGTGGCGGGTGCCTATAATCCCAGCTACTCAGGAGGCTGAGGCAGGAGAATCACTTGAACCCAGGAGGTGGAGGTTGTGGTGAGCCGAGATCACGCCATTGCACTCTAGCCTGGGCAACAACAGCGAGACTCCATCTCAAAAAAAAAAAAAAAAAAAAGCAAAGCAAAGACATAAAACTACCAAAAATAATAACAAAACAGAAGCGAAATGTCACAGGCAGGATGGGTAAATGGTAACTTGATACAGACCCTGAAACCCATGAACTGGGTAGCAATGTCTGAGTTGCATTACTGTATCGAATATGGGCCATGGTTGCTTTTGCTCTTCTGTAAGAAGGCATTAAAAAGAAGATTGGTTGAGTGTTGGAAGTGGAAAAAAAGTCATTGTAAATTTAGAAAAAAAATTACATAATTTCCAACAATTCTCCACTTTTGTTACACAGCTCCAGTGGGAGTAAGTAATAATGATTTAAAACCAACATAGTTCTGTGTATACAACACAATTCAAAAAGTGTTGCATAAAGCTTGTGAAACTTCCTTGGAAAATCTACAGTAATTATATTTTACAGAGTATTTGTAAACTCTGGTAATTACCTAAACAAAGACAAGCAAAAGACACATGAGCTATATTATGATAGAAAAGCAGGTGTGCCATTGAAATAAGGAAACTATTTGGAAAGTGTCTTAACATCCTTAGACAAATTCTCTATGCAGAGACTCTGCCTCTACTTGGGGCAATATTTTGGCTCTAGTGTTTTTGTACAATTTTGCTAAACAAATTGAATTGCTAGAATGGATTTACAATTTTTGTTTCCCCTGGGGTGAGCTGGAAAGGATTACGGTCTAGAGTGGAAGGAGGCACATAAAAAATAAAGAAAACAGAAAAAAAAAAAAAAGACTTCTTTTTTTTTCTCTTCCACGTTTGACTCAAAAAAGACTGAATCATGGAACAGCCATGAAAAACTGGCTGGATTTCATCTATATATTCTGATAATTTGTGCCTATATTTTGGGTTGATGCAAGGTCAACAAAATGCAGGGACCTAGGTTTCACTGGGGTCCTAACATTTCTGGTTCATCCTTTCAGCCATCATTTATTAAGACCTTATCACATGCCAATCCTGTGCAAAGTACTAGAGTTTGAATGACAGTGAGGAGGGAAGTACAAGGAGACAGATGTGAATAAATAAAGTGGAACCGTAAAGAAAGGAGTCATTCGTTCTACCTGGGGATAGGGCGGCATGTCGGTGTTCATGAAGGCAGGCTTTTTGTTTTGTTTTGTTGTTGTTGTTTGTTTGTTTTAACAGGTCCACATTTCTCAGGATCATGCAGATTTCCAGAAACTACTTTATGGCCTTTTTCTAAAATACTCTGAATAAAATTATTTTTTATTTGCATTCCCTGTAAGCTTCCTGGTTTTTCTTCAGAGTTTTCCGGCTACAGATTTCAAGGGCTGGCGAATCAGTGTTCAAACCATGTTTAAAAATTCCCTTAAGTCTTTTTTTCCTTTCTGCCTGAAGTTTCACTTATTTATTTATTATTTATTTATCTTTAACTTAATTCCCTACTTTGCTCCGTTTTTTCTGTTATCTATAAAGTCCTTTTTCTGTTTCAGGATCCCGCTTAGGATACAATTTACCCATCCTCTTTCCTTAGACTTCTCCTGGCTGTGACAGTTTCTCAGACTTTATTTATTTTCTTGTAAACTGACAATCTAAAATGAGGGTGCACAGACCAATGGAGTGAGTTAGTGAAAGCTGATTGAGGCCAATGTCTTTGTGCTTGCATTCTTCTCCCTGGTGCTTAGTATTCATACACAAGTCATAAAGCCAACATGTGCTACTTAGGATTTCTATTCTACTATCCCAGATAGCTCTTTCCTATTCTTGCGAAAGACACTGTGATGGAGACCTCACAGGAACAGGTGGGGAGGAGGTTCAATTCAGAAATTGTCAACAGACAGGTATATTCATTGATCTTCCACTATTCAGAAAACACGTACTTATGGGCAAAACCGCACGTTGAGCACTGGAGTCACACCAGTGACCAAAACAGACTTGTTTTTGTCTCATAAATAAATATGTTTTAATTATTTCTTTGTTGGTTTGGATTTGCTTGAGGTAAATGCAATTTCCCCATCCCTTTCACAACACTTGTAATGCTTTCTAAGATGTTATAGTCCATTCTTTAGATCACAGCAATAAAACATACACTCTCAACAGCTTGCTGATACCTAGGCCCCATTAAAGAAGCTTCTACAAGTTCTATTATCCACTATGACTTGACTAGAAGCTTGCTGCAAAAAGTTTTGGGCAGAGCAAAAATAGAAGAAAAATCAAAAGGGAAAAAACGAAAAGTCGGTCTCATGACCTCTTGGTCAAATTTGGAGTTGAAGTGTTCAGGTGTTTGGACTTTCCTACCTGGAGGCAGGTGGGTGCATTGTGCCATCAGCACTCTTGCTCTTCCTGGTTTTATTAGTTCAATGACCTACAAGATAAAGCAACAACGGAAAAAAAAATGGATCCAAATTCTCAAATTCCACTTCTAAAACTCTCTTGCTATGACCTCAGGCAAGTTATTTTTGGACTTAACATTCTTCATTTGCAAATAAATTTTAAAAAAACTGATTTGGTGACAAAACTTTTGGAGTCACGGATGTCTTTAGGACTCTTGTGGAAGGTATGGACCCATACCGCCTAGGAAAATGAACAAGAATCACACACACACACACACATACACACACACATAACTTTGCACACAATTGCAAATAATTCATGGAGTTTCTAAAGCTATTCATAGGCCACCTGGTTAGAGGGTCTTTAAAGTTTAGCACTGCCTGGGATATTCGCCATTTTTGCATTTAAAATTATTTTTATGTTTTTTTTCCTCTGGATCTGAAATTGGGTCTCAAATGGCGAAAATCTGATTGTCTTGGTGATAGTAAAAATGATTTAGTGTAACTAGAAATACTTTCTAACAGAGGAATGTATCTCTACAATGTTTTGATCAATGATAAAAATCACTGATGTAAATTTTATAGTCTTTTTAAAAGACAGCATTGGAGTCAAAGATATTGGACTGAACATGTACATACATTTGTATTAACAAGTCATGTTACCATACAGTCCACAAAAAGAACAACTGCATTAAGGATTTAAAGAGTAATACAACGATGTGTGCTTGGGATGGAGAAGGAATGGGTGTTTCCCAGAAGAAGAAGGAAAAAGCTTGAACAAGGCCGATGCCATGTATTGGATGATATGAAAACAGAATTTTCAAAAGTGTGTTCAGTGAAATATTAGACCCTAGAGACAGTGAGGGAAAGAAGGTTCCATGGTGAAATAATTTGAGAAGTATTACAAATACGTACTGGTAGAACACATTTCAGATTAGCACACTAAGGACTCTGAGAAGTTGTATAAGAGAGGAAAAACTATTAATTCTGTTTAACTTCCATTTTCCAAATTTATTTGACAATGGGATAAATTTGTATCCACTGTATCAGCTATTAAAGCTAGTCTTGCTGAACATGCTTTTCAGAAACACACATTATGAGATGTCCTGGGGAATAAAAAAAGTTAAGAATTAATTTCTAACAAAAGAAATGATGAATTGAGAGAGCATCTGCCTGGGAAACAGGTTGAACAAATGTATATGGTATGTGTGAGAAACTGGGCAACCCTTCCCAGCTAGAGTAGAGGTAACTGAAGGTAAGATGAAGTAATACAAAGTTACATTCTACAAGGGGTATAAACAAAAAGCAGACTAGCACTTAGATGTAGGGCATATTGCTGACAAAACCACAAAGTAGTTCTGAAATGGTGTTTTCCCTGCTGATGATCTTGGAATGTGAAGAGATTTCCCGATCTTTTTTTTTTTTTTTTTTTTTTTTTTTTTGAGACGGACTCTCGTTCTGTCACCCAGGCTAGAGGTGCAGTGGCGCAATCTCCACTCACTGCAAGCTCTGCCTCCCGGGTTCACACCATTCTCCTGCCTCAGCCTCCCGAGTAGCTGGGACTACAGGTGCCCACCACCACGCCCGGCTAATTTTTTTGTATTTTTAGTAGAGACGGGGTTTCACTGTGTTAGCCAGGATGGTCTCGATCTCCTGAACTCGTGATCTGCCCACCTCAGCCTCCCAAAGTGCTGGGATTACAGGCATGAGCCACTGCACCCGGCCGAGATTTCTCAATCTTTTAAGAACTTCATGTGGCTGAAAAGATCAAGAAGAGACATAAAGTCCTACTCACTCTGAACCAGCAGCACTGAGGAAACTGATTAAGAAATTCTAGTGTATCGATAGTGGAGATCCGGATCCATTAGTTTGGTAGAGACTGAAAACAGCACTACTTTTAGAACTTGACCTGGAGCTCCATGTCCCAGTGGGAGGACACTGGGATTCCTGATGTTGGGTGTTCTATTCACTCAAAGCATCAAGAGACTTGAGCTGCCTAAGTAGGGGAGTCTGTTGATGACTTTCAGCCCTGTATTCCTGCAGACAATTAGGAAGAGGCTGCCAAACGGATATTAATAGCTTGATATAATCATAGTAATATCAATAGTGTTATGAACAGGGGACAGAGAAATTCTAGGCAGAAAAGGGTGGGTCCCTGGTGAAGCCTCACCCTCAAGCTGAAAAGCCTGAGACTGTGGCCCAAAGTGACAACGTATATCCCTTTTTTTCCACTTGAATGTTGCCTTTTCCTAAACCACCCACGGTCTGCCCTGCTCCCCTGTCCTGTGCTTATACAGACCCCAGATTCAACTGGTAGAGGGGAGAAGCTGCTGGATGTTGGCGACTGTGGTTGGACATCGGAGAGAAGTGGCTTGACATAAGAGGGATAGCTTGATGGCCTAGCTTCGGAGAGGAATCTGGCCAGAGACAGCTGGACTTAAGGGGAAGATGACCTTCCCATCCCATCCCCTTTTCAGCTCCCCTTCCTGCTGAGAGCCATTTTCGTAGGCAATAAATCCCCTGCATTTACCATCCTTCAATTCGTTCATGCAACCTCATTTTTCCTGGATGCCAGACAAGAGCTTGGGAGCCATGAGTGTGGATGCAAAAGGCCCTTTGCCCTCACTGGCAGGAGGCAACCGTCTTACGTGAAAAGGCAGAGGGCCCACTGAGCTGTTAACACTTAAGCAGTCCACAGACAGCAGAGCTAAAAGCACTGTAACACTCACTCTGGGGCTTCAGGGTTTGCAGGCACCCCACTAGATGCTGCCACAGGGCCTGCATGGAGTTTGCTTCCGCCAGCACCCAAAAGCACTCGCCCTGGCTCCTGCACCTGCTCACCTGCACGTTCCCTCTGCTAGGGGTGGAGCACAGCGGGTCTGAGTGAGTGGAGTTCACTCCTGCCAGCGCCAAAGCCGCTGGCTGGTTCCAGCACTCATGCACTCCTTTTCCCGCTTCATTCACTTGCATACTCCCTCCCACAAGGAGTTGAGAACTGCAGGCACCCCTGCTGTGAGTCCTGTGAAGGGGTCAAGGAAATATCCAGCTTCAATAGGTGATACTTATTGAGCTCTTAGTCTGTGTGAGGTATTGTTCTACATGTAGATTATTTCGTATTATCTTTATTATTTTTGTAGGGCAGGTCCAATTGTCTACATTTTACACAGCCCCACAGAAATACTTGCCCAAGACCATATAACATGTTTGTGAGAGAGCCACGATTTGAACCAGGTCTTCTGGCTCTGGCTTTGGGGTAAATTAGGGAGTTCTGAGGAGTGTGATTGTGATTTTTAACTCAGTCACTTTGTAGATCGTTCAATACAGTGGGGTGCCACTTGAACCTTGGTATAGCTTTCACTTTATCTCCATGAGTAAGAGCTGATGCTAGCTCAATTGTTATGAGACCAACTCATGCTTGAAAAAAAATGGTCACAGGGATGAATGGGGCTGGAAACATACTGATCCCAGAGATTTTGCATAGTATATAGAGAATCACTAAATCAGTGAAGCAATAAGTGGAAGGAAATATCTTGGTAATAGATTGAGAACCTTTAGAAAATTGATGCCTTAAGTATTTCAAAGAAAATAACAAAGGTCCCTTCTCTACTTGTGAAAGAAACATTAAAGTCAGGTTTGTGACAGTTTCAACTATGAGGTTGTGGAGGGGGTGGAGGTTGGGATAAATAAGACCCTCACAGTCTCAAAGAGATTGGACCCAAGGAGTGGGTAGAAGCTAACAGAATTTTCAATGACCCATCTCAGGTGATGAAGATTGGAATTGGTGTGAAAGGGCCAGGCTGTACAACAGTAGCAGAAGTGAACTGCAGGGTGTGTTTGATAATTTAGATAAAACACACAATTCATCCAACAAGTTAGGGATGGTGTATGGGATGAAGGGATGCTGTGTTGAAACCTTGATTTGGGTTTCCTACAAGGGCACAGATGAAAATGTTTACCCCACAACCCTAAGGGCATCATCTATAATCTGCCCACTGTATAAGGTGAGCCTAGTACTGACATGGTCATAACACCATTCTGGAATGGAATGGGACCAGTGAAAGATGAGTCACTTCCTTCCTCCTCTCTTGGTTTTCATCTGGCCATGAAAAGGACTGAATAACAGGCATCAAGTAATTTCCAGAATTCTGTAGTAGGTCAAATTATTTTAATAGCCTGCTTTAGGGGAGATCCAGTTTTTAACCGCTCACTATACTTTAGCATCATTGATTACATTAGTGTTGGAAATTCAGTCTCAATAGCATGGCATTTGATGAAATAATATTTTACCAGTGTCCTTACTGGAAATCAGAATGCTGAAAAAAAAGAGCCTATATCTCACAGAACTCTAGTATTAGTTATGTTTTGGAAAAAAAGTATATATTCAGAAAAGAAATCATCAGAAAATTATAAAATTCCCATCTTGATTGACAAAAGTTTTATGTAGTATACACTTTATCTGAGGAGCTCTTGCTTAGAGCAAAACTGGAACTCTTTGAGAAGCATTTAAAAGACAACTCGATTTGAGTCCCCTTCTGTCTCTTTTCCCAGATTGATACATGTGGCCTCCTACATTTAAAATGAAAAGTCCTCAGACAATCCTAATCACATTGTCAGTCAGATAGTCATCTCCTGAAAGGGGCTCCTTCACCTTTAAGGATGCATGTACAATAGTGATATGTAAGCAGCTCAAAGACTCAATACCCCTTTTTTCTGCAAAGCAAGGCTGGGTTAGGAAAAAATCAATATGTTGGAAGTAAAGGTCAGACGAGGAAAAGTGACATGAAACAGAACTAAGGGAACAATATCCTTCATGAAGACTGTTTGAAGTTTCCTTTACCCTTGTGCTAGCTTCAGTGCAAATATATTTTATCCTAGAATAGAAGGCTGTATTCTTGAGGAAAAGTCATATTTTAAATATTTATCTATTCGGCAGCGTCCTTATTGTATATTATCCTTGTCCTATTGACTAATACTCAAAAAGAATAGCACAGAGTTTAAAGTGCACATTGCATGTGAATTGGAATTGCCGGATTTTTTTTTCTTATACGCAATGGGATTCGAACACACATATGCATTTGGCTACTTTTTTGAACAGTTCTCAATTTACTTTTTCAAGTGGGCCAGATGTACTACTATAGCCCTTAAAAGGGTCAGGACCGTCTCCTTATTTCCCCACTCTCTATACTTATTGCTTGGGTATAGCTTTAAAGTAGCCCATGAACCCTTTTCACTCTTGCAACACATTTACCCACAATTAACAATCAAGCTGTCTTCCCTGCATTCAGGACTCCATTCTCCCGGGCCTCATTTTCCCTGCCTCTCTCTTGATCTACCATTGTGCAGAGAGCTGTTTGTGCCATCTCAATCTGCCCCCCTCACCAGCCGCACAAGGACTGGGGGGGAAGAAAGCGCCCGGCATTCAGATGCTGAATAGCAAATTGCTCTTGAGTGTCCTTGCTTCCCCCAGCTCTCCCCCTTCCTCGGGAAGGACAAGGGGGGAGCTGAAAGCAACCATACATTTTGTTCAGTGCTCTTGAAAACAAGCGTTTCACACCTGAAGCCTTTCACAGCAGCCTAGAAGCACCCCTTCAAACCACTTAATTGCCAATTGCTTCAGAGCTCCTTGTAAAAGTCCATTATGTCAGCCAGCTCCATGGCGGAGACAAAGTATGCGAAATGAAAGAGTCCTCCTTATTCCAGGGCCAATGCCGCATTAAATATCCCCAGATCACTGGTTTTCTTGTTGTTAACAGGGCGTGATTGGCTCCCGTTGGAGGTATGCACGGAAACCTTCTAGTATTATTTGAAAATGCAATTTTCCTTGTGTTCTTTGTCAAAATAAGATACAAATAAAAAGATATCAGAGATATCCAAGAAAGTGATCTTCACACACTGGTTTGCTGTGCTGGGAGTTGGGGTGGGGGAGGGGGTGAGTCACAACCTACAATAGTGCACCTATCAAAATGGAGTCGCCTTCTGCTTTTCTCATTAGGTTGAAAAAATTAAAGTGTGTGCAAATTCTCAAAGTTAAGAGGCTCTATCCTTGAAGTCCAAAGAAACTCACAATAAGATATTCCACAAGGAAAGCATGCTGGCCCTGAACACAATGAAACTGCATGTTTATTCACTAGAGAATTGTTTCAAAGTTGCAGCTGTGGAAATTGATTTTAAAATGACTTGGCTTATTTGGAAGCCTGCCCCCGCCCTCTCCCCCCATTCTTTACTACAATTAACAACAACACAATCAATTTGATGAAGAACCACACCTGGCGGGGTATCTGAGTATTAAATGAAATATTCTTAGAGAATATGTGTCTTGTAAGCAAGGCTGCTTCTTAACTACTAGAGAAACGGGGCTGGCCAGGTGAGGGAGACATATTAATAAAATATGATCTGGTCAAGGGTCATCAAGTCCAATGGTACACAAGTGGGGTTGATCTGTCAGGATATATTAGTTCAAGGTAGTTCTTATTAATAAACATCCTGGGTTACCGGACTTCCATTTTTGTTCTGCCAGCACTTTGAAAGCCATGGGCCTGATACAGGAGGAGTCTGAATAATCTGCGTCCATTTTCATGCGCGTCCGTGTGAAGAGACCACCAAACAGGCTTTGTGTGAGCAACATGGCTGTTTATTTCACCTGCGTGCAGGCGGGCTGAGTCCGAAAAGAGTCAGGGAAGGGAGATAAGGGTGGGGCCGTTTTATAGGATTTGGGTAGGTAAAGGAAAATGACAGTCAAAGGGGGTTTGTTCTCTGGTGGGTAGGAGTGGGGGTCTCAAGGTGCTCAGTGGGCAGGAGTGGGGGCGGCAAGGTGCTCAGTGGGGGTGCTTTTTGAGCCAGGATGAGCCAGGAAAAGGACTTTCACAAGGTAATGTCATCAGTTAAGGCAAGGACCGGCCATTTACACTTCTTTTGGGGTGGAATGTCATCAGTTAAGGTGGGGCAGGGCATATTCACTTCTTTTGTGATTCTTTAGTTACTTCAGGCCATCTGGGCGTATACATGCAGGTAACGGGATGTGATGGCTTGGCTTGGGCTCAGAGGCCTGACATTCCTGCCTTCTTAATAAGAAAAATAAAACAAAATAGTGTTGAAGTGTTGGGGTGGCGAAAATTTTTGGGGGGTGGTATGGAGAGAGAATGGGCGATGTTTCTCAGGGCTGCTTCAAGCGGGATTAGGGGCGGTGTGGGAACCTAGAGTGGGAGAGATTAAGCTGAAGGGAGATCTTGTGGTAAGGGGTGATACTGTGGGGTTGTTAGAAGAAACATTTGTTGTATAGAATGATTGGTGATGGCCTGGATACGGTTTTGTATGAACTGAAAAACTAAATGGAATAAGAAGGAGAAAAACTGGTATAAAAGGTCTAAGAATTGGGAGGACCTAAGACATCTGATTAGAGAGTGCCTAAGGAGATTCAGCATAGTCCTGCCAGCAAAGATTATTTATTTACTTCAAGAGTTCAGAGTGGCGGTTTGGGGATAGCACGAGGAGATATCAGCTGTGATGGCTTGGATAAACAGTGTAAACCGGCAGTGTAAACAAGAGCAGGGCATGTATGAGTAGTTGAGAACGGAGAAGAGGAGTATGACTAGACAGAAGATAGTAGGGATGACAAGTATTTTTTGGGGCACAGTCTAAGTTGGTCTGGTGTCTGGAATGAGACTAGGGCCTAATAAAAAGGAGCATCTATACAGGAGCTTAAATGGGCTGTACTTTGTAGCTTTCCGAGGACAGGCCTGAAAGCTTGGTGAGATGTGTTTTTAAAAGACCTTCAGTCCATTCTACCTTTCTTGAAAATGGAGGACTGTAAGGGATATAAAGGTTTCACTGAATACTAAGAGCCTGAAAAACTGCTTGGCTGATTTGACTAATAAAGGCTCATCTGTTATCAGACTGTATTGAGGTGGGAAGGCTAAACTGAGGAATTATGTCTGACAGAACAGAAGAAATGACTGTGGTGGCCTTCTCAGACCCTGTAGGAAAGGCCTCTACCTATCCAGTGAAAGTGTCTACCTAGACTAAGAGGTATTTTAGTTTTCTGACTCAGGGCATGTTGAGTAAAGCTAATTTGCCAGTCCTGGGTGGGGCAAATCCTGGAGCTTGATGTGTAGGGAAGGGAGGGGGCCTGAATAATCCCTGAGGAGTGGTAGAATAGCAGATGGAACACTGAGAAGTTATTTCCTTGAGGATAGATTTCCACGATGGAAAGGAAATGGGAGGTTCTGAGAGGTGGGCTAGTGGCTTGTACTATAGCATAGCCTGCCTTTGCTGGTGTGTGGCGATTAGGCCTGGTGGAACTGCCATCAATAAATCAAGTGTGATCAGGGTGAGGAACAGGAAAGAAGGAAATGTGGGGAAATGGGGTGAATATCAGGTGGATCAGAGAGATACAGTCATGGGGGTCAGGTGTGGTATCAGGAATAATGTGGGAGGCCGGATTGAAGTCTGGGCCAGGAACAACGGTAATTGTGGGAGACTCAACAAAGAGTGAGTACAGCTGAAGGAGCCGG